>NC_000005.10:56984807-57609807 GCF_000001405.40 Homo sapiens | reverse complement strand
TCTTTACGTGTCTTTATATTTATATGTCTTTATATTTATACGGATTTCTTTTAGACAAAATATTCTTGTCTTGTTTTTTATTCACTTTGACAATGTGTCTTTTTATTGATACATTTAGATCATCCATGCTCAAAATGACTATTAACATAGTTGGATTAATATGTCCCATATTTCTTACTGTTTCCTATTGGTTGCTCTTATTCTTTGTTCCTATTGTTTTTCATTCTATTTCTGTCTTATGTAGTTTTAATTGGGCATTTAATATGAGTCCATTTTCTCTCCTTTCTTAGCGTATCAATTACATCTCTTTTTTTTAGAGCAACCACTAAAAACAGGAGTTAAGAAGTATACATTTACTACTAATCAAAATCTACTTTTATTTAACACTATATCACTTTACAGGTAGTAGTAGTACCTTATAATAACAAAATAATTCTAATTCCTCCTTCCTATTTTTGTATCATTGCTCTCACTCATTTTGCTTATATATAAACATATGTACACATATAGGATGTATACATAAAAATACACAATTGATTACATTGTTGCTATTACTTTGATCTGTGAGACCGCTTAAATTAGGGAAAATAATAAGGTAAGTTTTTATTTTACCTTCACTCATTCCTTCTTCAATGCTCTTTATGAAAATCTGTGTTTCTAACCTATATTATTTTTCTTCTCTCTAAAAAATTTCTTTTAACGTTTCTGACAAGGTAAGTTTACTGAAAACAAACTTCCTCAATTTTTGTCTGAGAAAGTCTTTATTGCTTCTTCACTTTGAAGGATAATTTTAGAGAGTATAGAATTCTAGATTGGTGGTTTTCTTTCTCTCAACACTTTAAACGTTTCACTTCACTCTCTTGTTTGTATGGTTTCTGAGAAGTCAAACATAATCCTTATGTTTTCTCCTCTATAGGTAAGATTTTTTTTCCCTTTAGCTTCTTTCAGGATTTTTTTTAAATCTTTGGTTTTCTGAAGTTTGAATATCATATGCTTACATACAATTTGTTTTTATTTTTGTTTTCATTTGTCCTGCTTGGTGTTTTCTAACCTTCCTGGATTTTTGGTTTGGTGTCTTACATCAATTTGGAGAAATTCCTCATCATTATTATTTCAAATATTTCTTCCCTTCCTTTCTCTCTCTGTTCTCCTTCTGGTGTTCCCATTACATGCATTTACACCTTTTGTAGTTGTCCCATAGTCCTTGGATGTACTGTTCTGTTTTGTTTGTTTGTTTGTTTTCTTAGTCTTTTTTCTCTTTTTCAGTGTAGGGGGTTTCTACTGAGATATCCTTAAGCTTAGAAGTTCTCTCCTCAGCTGTGTCCAGTTTACCAATAAGCCCATCAAAGACATTCTTTATTTCTGTTATGATGTTTTTGATCTCTAGCATTTATTTTTTGTTCTTTCTTAGGATGATCATCTCTCTGGTCACATTGCCCATCTGTCCTTGCATGGTGTCTACTTTATTCATCCAAGCTCTTAGCATATTATTTATAGTTATCTTAAACTCCTGGTCTGATAATTCCAACATCCCTGCCATGACTGGTTCTTACTCTGTCTCTTATTTGTGTTTTTTGCCTTTTAGTTACCTTTGTCCTCTTTGATAGCTGGACATGATGTCATGGGTAAAAGAAATTGCCGTAAATAGCCCTTTAACAATGTGGTGGTAAAGTATAGTCTTTCACTGAGCCTCTGTCTCTAGACTGTTAACTTCGCAAGTGTTTCTCAGTCCCTGCTCTCTGCCTCCAAGATGTCTCGTTGCAGCATCCTCCTGAGGGGTTGAATGCTGTGTCATCACACAGTAGAAGGTAGAAGAGTGAAAGAGCTGAACACTGTGAAGCCTCTTTTATAAGGGCTTAATCCCATTAAAAGAAGGAACCCACATGGCCTAATCACCACTTAAAGGCCCCACCTCTTAGTATTATCACACTGGCCATTAAGTTTCGACATCTGAATTTTCAAGGAGACACATTCAAATTATAACAGGGTCTTCGATGAATGACAGATATTTGCTTATTCTAGCCAGCTCAAGTATATGGAGAAAAATGATGTGTAAGCTGAGGGTAAGCATTCAGATTGCTGCATAATTGCACCTGTACACCCTAAAGAAGCAGAACTCCTGTTTGTAGGTGGGTCCACAGAAAGATGAAAGTCCTTTCTTTTCAATGACAACCAACCTAACATCTAACAATAGCGACTAGTTCTGACAATCCAAAACAGAAGATGTAAAGAGTAGCTCAAAAGTACACAATTGTTAAGCTTATGGGGGAAAAACTCTTTTTTTCTTGTTTTATTTTAAAGAAAAGTATGTCCCAACTCCACTTCTGTACTCAGGAATAGGTCAGACCACATTTGTGTGAAAATAGGAATTGGCAATACAGACGAGACGTATTTCAGAAAGGTTCAGTATATAAATGTCAAATCAAATTAGGCTTGTACTTTCCCCTTCATTGAACCATAATTCAATGAGAGTTTTATTATGCAAATTCACTGGAAAGCACAGATCTCTACATCTCTGCCAAACACTCTGAGTACAACAATGGCAGTCCCATCGGTCTAGTAAGAAAATACTATATCTTGAGGACAGGAACTAAAGCCAATATAAAATTGTAATATGTTCATCTTGCTGAATATGGTGACATCTTGAAAGAACACACACTAAATAACACTTGGAGGTAGGACTGTTCTGTGCCAAGTTAACCAAAAGGAAAATGTGTCCTAAGCTTAGCTATAAAACATTCATTTCCCAAATAAGTATTGGACTCTACAGTTTTCAGTACACTTTGCTAACGCTTCTTTTGTTGCCTTTAAGCAAAGGGCATATTTTGTGTTTGTTTCTTTTTTCTAAGTATTACCATATGTATAATTCTTCTAGATTAACTACCAGTCTCATTACAAGTAGTTCAATGTATTATTCACATTTGTCAGACTATCTCAATTAATGGGATAAGGTGAGTCTCTAAAGATTTTCTTGTTCACACACACATGCACACACACAAATGACTAAGGAGATTAATGCTTAAGCAACCTCATGCAACCAATAAGTTAGCTGAGCAATTTCCCAGGAGCTCAGAGACATTTTGAAAAACTTAAATCCTCTAACTACCTATACAATGAACTCATTAACTTTATGAAATTGCAATAAAGCCCACTAATATTCCTTAAACATAGGCATTTACTACAATCTGCACTTCTGGTAAATGCTGTTCAAGAAATTCCTCCACAGCAGAAGGGCTGAAAAATCTTTATTTCTAGAAAATGTTAAAAGAGCCCTTTCAGAATGTGTAACTCCAAACCTAAAACATTTTATTTCCCTCTTAGACTAATATCGATTAAAGGGAGCTTAAGTTTAGTTCAGTCAATGTAATTCCTTCTACCAAATTATAAGAAAAAACCAAGTCCACATCTCTATTGCCAGTCTCATGTGACAACCCTAATTTGAGTCAAACAGCAGTCAGGGATCCTGCTAGGGCCACACCCTGAGCTATGCCTAGAGCATCACAGAATAAGAGCACCTCTGAGTGGTGAAGACTCAAATGTCACCTAGTCTCACCATCCTCCTTGTTGCCTGGAGCCCTCTTCAATAACCCCCAGTAGAAGATCATCCAGACTGTGCTGAAGAATTCCAGTGATGACACACTCACTGGCCATTCACACTATCCCTGGAAAATTCCGAATTCGTGAAAGTTTCCTATGTGTTCTTGCTATCTTAGACCTAGCAAAACATCTTCGCTATCTACGCATTACATTGCAGGGACATAGCAAAGCCTTCCACCGGCCTATGGCATCCTATATTTGCCCACTTCAACATACCTATTCTGGGCTAGGGGTCCATGTCTTCCCTAGTTTTCTGAGCCCCAGACCCAGCACCACAAGTCCCCATACCCACTTCAGGCCCAGTTTGCTCTGATGACTATTTAGACCTACTTCTCCCATACATCACTCAGCACGTGCTCAGTGACATAATTTGTTACCTGCTCTCTGGCTCCACATAGCTACAAGACTATAGGCAAGAGGTTCCCCCATCTTCTGCCAATTCCTCCTCATCCTGCCCTGACCAGGTCTCCCTCCAAGAAGCCAGAATCATAGAGAACTAACATTAAAACCCCCTAGAAACTTTGACTCACATCTCCCCCTTCTGTACTCTGAAGTCAAACAGAACAACTAAAATGTGGTTATAAGAAAGCAGATCAGAGTTTACCAAGAGTAGAGAATTTGTGGGCTTCTGTGGGCAAGCAGAGTTAGAGGTCAGAGCCCACCTAATATCTAAAGACCAAAGCCCAGGACAGAGAAAGGGAAAGGCTAGCTCCTGAAGGCTGTACTGACTCTTGGTGCAAGGCAAACCTCCTTGCCTTGGTCCTGAGTCAGCTCATCCAGTCTACTTTGGAATTTGCTCCCTCAGTAATTCTCTCTCCTACATCTTAGCTTCTCTTTGATGATCATGTGTGACCCCTTTCTCCCTCAGACCCCTGTAGAACCACCATCCCCAGATGGGCCAACTTTACTTTCTAAGTGTATTGTGAATTCTCTCCCCTCCAACTCTGCCACTACCGGCTTGGTCCAGCCACACATGGCTTCATGTTTCCCTTCTTGTCTCTGGTTTGTTAGCCTCAAAACCATCTAGTTAGAGAGACTCTTCTAAAATGCAAAGTTGGTCACGTTTGCTCCCACTCACCCTTTTCAGTGGTTCCCCACGGTCTTTAGCATAGAGTCAAAGGTCTTCCATAAGGCAGAAAAAGACTCCCTCCTCTGGCCTCAGTGGACCTTATCCACTTTACACCTCACCATTTTCTTTCATTCTCTGCCCCAAATAAAGAAAAGGTATGCTTTATTTCCTGCACACTCCAAGCTTGGGGCTTTGCCTCCATGCCTTTGTTCTTGCTATTCTCTCTGCCTAGAATGCCCTCGGCTCACTTCCCCACTTCTGACTTGAATATGTCATTTTCTTTTTCTTTTTTTTTTTTTTTTTGAGACGGAGTCTCGCTCTGTCGCCCAGGCTGGAGTGCAGTGGCACTATCTCGGCACACTGCCAGCTCCACCTCCTGGGTTCACGCCATTCTCCTGCCTCAGCCTCCCAAGTAGCTGGGACTACAGTCACCTGCCACCATGCCTGGCTAATTTTTTGTATTTTTAGTAGAGACTTTGTTTCACCATGTTAGCCAGGATGGTCTCGATCTCCTGACCTCGTGATCCACCTGCCTCAGCCTCCCAAAGTGCTGGGATTACAGGCATGAGCCACCGCGCCCAGCCGAATATGTCATGTTCATTCTCCAAAATTCAACCTAGACATTATCTACTCCAGGGAGTCTTTTCTAAATCCCTTAACACTAAAGAAGTCTGTGGGCACTTTATACTCTTTGCTTCTCCCTAACATTATCATACTCACCATGCTTGTCTACTTAGGTGCCTGCATGTTTCCTGAGTGCAAGGCATGTCTTAATCCCTCTCTGAAGCTTCAGTACCTGGGGCAGAGTCTGGCACACAGCAGCAGTATTATAAATGTTTGTGCAATGAATGCCACGACAAGTTTTTAAAAGGCAAAACATACCTTGACTGTGAAACCATTTATACTGGTTTGTTAAGCAGTAAATAGTATTTATATATAGAATAATAATGATAATATGTAGTATATAATAGTATAATCACATTTATATAAGTAATAGTATTTGTTAAATAGTATAAATGGTTTCACAGTCAAGGAAATCAGAAAGTTTCTAGATAAGTTCTATAATGATTGAATTGATGATTTGGAATAAGCATGAAATCCTTGTGGGGATGATTAGCAAAACCTGTAGCTAATAATTTCACATCAGTTACAGAATAGAAGGTGGCTTGTATTGAATGGAGGGTGTATTACACTTAGGTCAGAGTACTTTAGGGAAGCCTTTATTCTAGGCATCTAGAGAGCTGGGATCCCTCTATCCTTCACTGCCTCAGCCCTCAGATTTCAACCCTAACCACACCTAAAAGTGGTTTAGATACTAAGAAGAGTACTACCACCTAGTTTCTCCATTCACCATGTTTACAGTCTACTTGGATGAGATGAAAGATGCAGAAACAATATAATTAGAGAATAGGATGATCGAATATGAAAATGAAATCTACAATTGAACAGTAATGAGTTATCAACAAACTAGTAAGCTAAGTAAAACATGAATTCACCATCCTTTTCCTTTCCTCTTCCTTTCTTCTTTACCTCTTTTTTAATCTTTCTGTCTTTACTTTTATATTGCTCTTCTACTTTTCTTCGCTTTCAAGATAAAGAGAGACAGAGAAGGAGTATGAAATTCAAAGAATTTAGGAGTCTTTCATAATATGTTGCCTAAATCTAGCACATACACTCATATATATATATGTATATATATATATGCAACTTCCTGACGTTTCAATAATTTATAACTTGTTAAAAGTGCTCCCAAATCAGCATTCATACCAGAGAAGCCTCAATAGCTATTTTCAAAAGATCAATAACAGACAATTATTTATATTTATGTTCTGTAGTGGCTTGAATGGTGACCCACCCACCCACCCCCTCAGAAAAAAACATAAGTCTGCCCAGAGCCTGCAAATGTGACCTCATTTGGAAAAAGTGTCTTTGTAGTTTGAGAAGTAGAGAATATTCCTCCACCCCTTCCAATCTGATCTTTCATGTTTTGATCAATAGGGGATTGTAGACGTGACACTGTGCCAGCTCCAGGCACTGGCAGCTTCTACCTTGAAAGGACTGACAGCTTGCACATTAGTAGCTTCTACCTGAGCACCTGAATTTCCACTGGAGCAGCCACAGAAGAAATTCAACTCCAAGGAAATCCAGGTTGAGCTTTGCCTAGTCTGGTCCTTTTTCTTTGTATCTGGCTCCTGCAGTGTGTGGTGCAGAATAGGTTTGCCTATGCCTCCTGCTGCCTATTTCATCTCAGCTTTTGGTCTCTTCTCAGCATTTAAACAAGATACATATTTGCCTCTGCACCCTTTCATTGGAACAAGTAACAACATACTCGCAAAGCAATATCTAAAAACATGCTTAGAAAAGAAGCATTTCTCCTTAGAAACAAAACCCCTAATTCTTCATACAAAATAATTTCTATTACAAAACCACCTACAACACTTGCAATCAGATTACCAGTTTCTTCTCAGTTTTCCCCAAGTGGACACTTGCTTTTGTATTTGTATTTAACTAAAGGGTCTATTTAGTTAGTTTTCTCTGAAAAAGAAAGAAATGTACCCCAAAAGAGTAGTCATGTTTCTACCTCTTTTAAGACTAAATCTTTTTGCAGCTTTGAAATGACAATTATTTCAGATTTTATCAGTCCCATTAAGGTTTTAAAAGCCTTGAAAATTATAGCTAAGGCACTGTGTTACATTTACATGCCTGTAAGCTGAAGTTTTATTCTGAGAAATGTTAAAAAAGTTATGAGCTTCAGTGACGTTTCTCTTAACCCCTCATTATCCCTAGAAAATATTAAAGCTACGAGAAAGTAAAGGAGAAGCAGAGACATGGGACAGATATGAAAAGGGCTGTCTCAGAGAGGTTCATACTACTTCAAAAGTAGAAAAGCTGAAATGAAGATAGAGAATTTCATTTCTAGTCCATTTTCTCCTCTTCCTCCTTCTTCTCATCCTCTTTCTTTCCCTTCTCCTCCTTTTCCTTTTGCTCCTCCTCCTCATATTCCTCCTGGTAGCTACACATAATTCACAAACACAGCATCAGGATCCAGAACACAGCTAAGGAGCAATCTTACACTTAAGCATTTCATGTGACTTCTAGAATAGGTTACTCCGAGAGCCAATTTAAAATTACTCATTCGGGCATCAAACATGAGATGATATTCTCATTGTCAGCTCTGTCACCAGCATGATTGACTATATCCCAAGTCCTTTGAGTAAGAGTTGAGTTCACTTCTTAGGCTGCAGAAATTAAAGTTCAGTGTATTCAAATTACACTTATATCACAAAGGAAATAATAATTGCTGATAATTTAGCATATACAACAAAGTGATTCTGAATTTTTTTTTTTTTTGAGACAGAGTCTTGCTCTGTTGCCCAGGCTGGAGTACAGTGGCACGATCTCGGCTCACTACAACCTCTGCCTCCTGGGTTCAAGAGATTCTCCTGCCTCAGCCTCCCAGGTAGCTGGGATTACAAGTGTGCACCACCACGCCCGGTGAATTTTTGTATTTTTAGTAGACATGGGGTTTCAGGATGTTGGCCAGGCTGGTCTCGAACTCCTGATCTCAGGGGATCCACCTGCCTCAGCCTCCCAAAGTGCTTGGATTACAGGTGTGAGCCACCACTCCCGGCCCTCTGAATTTATTTTCAAAAAACTTTTAAGGTAAACATCAGCTTGCCTCCAACACGGAGTCTCTATATTATTGATGCTTGATCAAAAATAAGCATTTGTTAAATAAGTAACAAAAGCTCAAAAAAAAGCATCAGTTTCATAATCCAATGTATAAATGTAGATAAAACATCAAAAATCAATAATGCAGTTTGACTTTGGGCCTTCAAAATATCAAGCATGAACTATTAAACTAGGCAACAGCAAATAAGAAAATCAATGTTCCTACAAGATAAAACAGCCTTCAAAACCTACACAAACACTTAATTTTAGGTTATAAATTTTGTTCTGTTTCTTATTTTTCAAATGTACTGAGTTGGCTATATTTGCATCTGGCTCATTACTTCCACCTGCCTCATCGAAGGTGTGTGTATCCATCACATCTCTCTCTTTCCCTCCCCCCACTCCCTCCCACTTTGTGTCTAGAACACTAATCCTTGTCTTCTCAGCCTGCAGGTCTGGTGACAATTCCACCCTAATTTTTTAGCAATTTTCTTAGCCTCCTGCCCACTTAGCACCAGTATTCAACAAATGTCTTGAGGGGGAAGCTGGCAGTATGTTGGGTTCAGTTTTCCACCCCTCCCTTCTCAAAGGATTCTGACCCCTCAAGGCTCTAGGTTTTGCCTTTCAAGCCCCACTAGACTCTGCTGGTTATTCCCCCTCTTAGCAACAGCTCTGGGCAAGAACATGTTCCCAGATGTCAACCTCTTGCCCCACACCTAGAACTGCCAAATGCCCCAAGGATAAAAGCTGCTGCAGAACACTGACAAATCTCCCCTTTTGCTGGGATTTTGTCCCCTTAAGTACTGATTGCCTCAGAAGTTGCATTATGCCTTTAAACATATTTCTTTTTTAATCTGGCTTTTCTAAACCCTTTACCCCTTGGTGGGAGCATTAGTCAGCTGCAGGCACTCAATCATACCTGAAAGTGGAAGCTCACAGTACATGAATAATACACAGAAGAGGAAATCTGTTAGCTGAAAAAACAAAAGAACAGCTGTACAACCCCACAAACTATCAGAGAATTGAAATTTAATACAATTTCCTCTTTTAATTTTTTTAAAAAATACCACGTTCCATCAAATGAGAACAAGTACTTAATGTCTGGTGATAGGGAAGTTACATTAAATCAGGAGCTCTTGTCCTCTGTTGGTAAGAGTATAAACTGCTACAATCATACTGGAAAATGACCTGGCAGAGTCATGGTAAGTTTGTGAATACCCTGTGGGCCAGTGATCCCACTTCTTGAACTTGTCATGGAATTGTCTGTGGAGGAAGTTGGAGGCAACTTAGGTGACCATCACTAGGTCAATGGCCAAGTAAATAGAATAGACATACACTATAAGGGTGCTATGAGGCAGGTGGAAGCAATGAACTAGATGCAAATATAGCCAACTCGATACATCTCAAAAATTCAGTACTGGGTGAAAAAAAAAAAACAACAAAATGTATAATTTAAATCAAGCCAAACACACAGACATATTTTAGAAGAACATATACATAATAAAGAACACAAACGTATTAGAAACAGATGCCTATGGAAGCGGCTATCAGGAAGGAAGGAGGGAATAAAAGAAAAAGATGAGTAAACCTTTGAAGTTCTTTTGTGGTACCTGGCATGGTTTTAAGCACTTTCCATTGGCTTATTTAATTCTCTCAACAGTTCTGGGAGGCAAATACCATTATAATTCCTATTTTACAGCTGAGGAAACTGAGGCACAAAGTGATTAAGTAATGCCCAACGTCACACAGCAAGAACGTGGTTGGGCCAGGACTGAAACCCAGGAAATCTAATTGGGAGTCTGTGCTGTGCTGCCTCTCCCTGGAGGCTTCAGACCAATAGCAGTACTAGTGCTGAGGGGATGACTCATCCAGTGCTCCATTCCTAAGGTCCCAAAATGAATCGACCAATTTACCTATGAATTATCAAACAAAAAAATCTGAGTAAGTCGAATCGCGTTTAAAGCTTCAATTTCTTTCCATCAGAAGCTCATATTTCATGAAAAATATTTTCCTCATTTCTCCTCAGCGAAGAGTCTAAACCCGAAGCGTGTAGACAATGATAGTTGAACAATGGTTACAGTCTCGGCACACAATTTTATACTGCATGCTTCTTTTATTTGAGAATCAGAGATACGATCTTTGGTTGTGCAGAGCCTTATATTTGAGCCTCACAATTGACCCCAGAGAATTGGCCTTGCAAAAAAAAACAAAAATAAAAGACACTCTGGAGTGTCCAGGGAAATGTCAGGGAATCAATGGTACAGAGGAATCCAGATAACTGAGCTTAAGGTGGGTTCAATACCACATATTGATTTGGGTCCTAGGAGAGGTCCCGAAAATGATTCTTAGGACAGAAGATTAAAAACAGGTGCTAACAAAATAATTCTGAGGCCCCTCGTCTTGAGAACACTGCAAGGGATCAATGCCTATCACCTGATAGGCAAAGTGAGCAAGAAGGAAACAGCCAGTCACCAGCAACCACTGCTTATGAGAATATGCCTGCTGATTCATAAAAGCAGCCAGTCACAGGCAACCACTGCTTATGAGAATGTGCCTGTTGACTCACAAAAGCAGTGTTTGTAGAAATGAATGCAAGAAAAGGGCAAGGGAGTGGGGGAAGCTATTGGGAAGGAAGGAGGAGAGAGAGACAGCATGGAGAGGAAAGGTGGAAACGAAGTGGGGAGTGAGAAATAGAAGAGAGAGGAAAGAAAGAGGGGAGTGAGGGAAAAGGAGAGGGAGGGAAGGGAAGACAAAGCGGAAGAGGAAGCAGAGGCAAGGAGGATTGAGGATTAGCATGAAAGAGCAGAGAGAAGGATTCATCTATCCAGTTTCATAAAAATAAACCTGCCCTTTCCAAGTGGCTGAAAATCTTTTCAAGCCTATTCCTTGAGAAAATCCTACCAAAGTGAAAATCAGTTGCTTCTACCCCCATTTCCCCACTCTTGTCCCCAGCACATACACACAGAAGCCTTTTATTCTTCACTGTATTGACAGCCAGTGCTTACGGACAGACTGAAAGAAAAGGGTACCAGATGTCTGCCCCCTAGCCCATTTGCTTATTTGCTCTCGGATCTGTTGACTGGCTGTCCTCTCTTAGGGTTACATCACAGGGGCCTGCCACCTACGGCTTTCATACATCTTTGCCTGCTAGCTTCTGCTTAGTCTAGCCAATACATAGGAGGCACTGGTAGACGGGGGCCGCGGGGAAGAGGAGGATGTCGGGATGTTTCTCCCTGACTTTTCTCACTAGAGGTAGCATCTGCAGTGATGGCAGTACCTCTACAATGGTCTCAGCTCCTCCAAGCAATGCCTGCTCCACACTGTCAGCTCCAGCCTGCTGGCGCATCTTCCCCTGCGGTAATCTCTGCGTTTCCTCACCTTCCCTTGTCTTCAGCTCCTGAAACAGCTCATCAGAGCAATAAGGTCTCCACATGTAATTCCCTCTTCTGAAATAGCTGGCACAGCCCAGTTCTGCCTGGATCCTGTCTGATATGGTGTGGCACACATTCCATTCCTCTTGTGTTTTTTGTTTGTTTGTTTTGAGACGGAGTCTCACTCTGTCGCCCAGGCTGGCGTGCAGTGGCGCGATCTCGGCTCACTGCAAGCTCCGCCTCCCGGGTTCACGCCATTCTCCTGCCTCAGCCTCCCGAGTAGCTGGGACTACAGGCGCCCACCACCACCCCTGTCTCATTTTTTTGTATTTTTAGTAGAGACGGGGTTTCACCATGTTAGCCAGGATGGTGTCCAGCTCCTGACCTCGTGATCCGCCCGTCTCGGCCTCCCAAAGTGCTGGGATTGCAGGCGTGAGCCACCGCACCCGGCCCCATTCCTCCAGTTCTTAATTCTTGTGTGTAGGAAGCAGAATAATGCTCATCCTCACCCTACCTCAAGATGTCCACATCCTAATCCAGGAATCTGTGAATATGGCATCTCACATGGCAAAAGAAACTTTACCAATGTGATTAAGAGAGTTAAGATGGAGGATTGTCCTTGATTATCTAGTTGGGGCCAAATGTAATCAAAGGCTTCTTATAAGTGAAAGAGGGAGGCAGGAAAGACAGAGTCAGAGGAGTTATGATGATGGAGCAGAGGTCTATCGAAGTGATTTGACTGCTGGAAGAAGGCCAAGGAATGCAGCCCGCCTTGAGAAACTGGCAAGGGCAAGGAACCAGATTCTCCCCTGGAGCCTCCAAGACCTACCTGATACACCTTGAGTTTAGCACAAGGAAACCCATTTTGGACTTCCGGTCTCCAGAATTGTAAGATAATAAATTCGGATTAAGTTACTGAGTTTTTCTACTTTGTTATAGCAGCTATAGGGAATTAATACATTCTGCAAAGGTCATCTAAGACAATCACCCAGCCTAGGGAGTAGGGAACACTAAAAGAAACTGTAGATGTTCATGGAAAAATAAAAGGCATTGTAGGTTCATGGGGAAGCAAAAGAGTTGGAAAAAATTACCAAGGGCCAACCAGTCTCAACACCAAGTCTCCGTGGGCACAGATGTGGGGGTCCTAATAGAGACTAGGAAATGACAAGAATTACTCAGAAACTATATGGCAAGTAAAGCAGCTAATTTATCAATAACGAGAGGTAAGAATGTTGTCAAAGTTGCCTTTTATCAAAAGGTGTCCTGTCTATGAGGACACAAGGGGAATTTTCTTTTATGAGTTTAGTGTAAGAAATTTAAATTAGCCAGGCATGGTGGCTCATGCCTGTAGTCTTAGCTACCCAGGAGGTTTAGTTGGAAGATCGTTTCAACACAGAATGTCTAGGCTGCAGTGAGCTGTGATTGAGCCACTGCACTCCAGAGCAAGACCCTGTCTCTAAAGAGAGAGAAAGAGAAAAAAGAAATAATTGTGTTTCACTTATTTGACTAGTTTCATTTTACTGAATGAATTCTGTGAAGCTTGTTCAGGTAATCCTTCCCCTTTCCAGTTGATTTTTAAAATATATAAGGCCCAAATTGCAGCCCACAGCCGATCATAGTATAGGACTTTATGATATACCTTATATGGACTAACCTCACTTTTGCCTTCATTGATTTTCCTACTTTACTTTCCCTTTGCTTGCATTTCTTAAATTTATTTGTTCTTTATAATATGCATCTATAAAAACAAAATTAAGACTCTTTTGAAACAAGAAAGGGTATAAATAAGCAAATGAGTCAATTATTAACAATGAATGCTACCAGCAAGAGAAAATGGGAGAAGAAAATGGCATGAATGACAAATGTCCAGAGGTCTAATGCAATCAGCAGTGGATTCAAGGGTATTGGAATAAACAAATCTCCAGTTAGGTCAGGATGCCTTTTGTGGCATGCCCATCATATCAGTGGAGGTTGAAGGTGTGGGTACATACAACAAATAGACAAATGTACTCATGTGCTCTTAGCATTGACTATATTGGAGCCTAAGTATTTTTATTTATTTCCAGAAAAATAAAAGAACATACATGTGCTTCAGGTCATGTTCAACACTGCCCATAAAATAGGTCCAGGAATGCTCTTTTGGACTCCTCCATATCACTTCCTGTCTTAAAATGAGATACTGCAGGCTGGGTTTCATAGCTGGGTAAAAATAGCAAAGACCCAAGCAGCTGCTGTGCATAATGATTACTTGAAGATTTATAATATGCAGGATATAATCACTACCCAAATTAACAATATAGACTAAGGGCATCAGGTAACTGATCTATAGACAAAAAAACATCTTGACAGCAGGGAACATTTTCTTATTTATACAAATGGTCTGTGCACTCAGGCATTCAGTGTAAATAGATCATTATAGCCATTTCCAAGACATTATAATCCATTAAGTAAATTAGACATGCTTTATAAGCCCTAATGATACAATCCCAAGACCAAATATCTCCAGAGACATTTATTCAATTCATCTCTCAGACGGGCCTGGCTATAAGACAGGGCATTTAGCTGAGAAAGCTACCAAGTGGTTCTGTTTTGAGAAAAACCAAGAGCAGAATCTCAAGGTTCAGAGAGTTGATGCCTTCTTTGTGCTGCTGAGCAATAAATGACTATACAGAATGAAACCCTACATTTAAAGTCACTACATTTAAGTCACTTTTTTAATAACCACCAAATCAGACACTTCTTTGTTTCTTCATCACTTACAGTGTAAACAATGATAATCTGAATGGCTTGAGCAGGTTTCATTTTTCCTTCTCAGGCTTTTTCCCAAACTAATCCACCCCTCATTGTCTCTTGCCTGGATTATTTTGGTCGTCTCTTACTGGTCTCCTTGCCTCTGGTCTCTCCTCTTCCTCTACTTATTTAATATTTGGCAGTAGATGAATCTACCTTCAGCAAAACTAGGAAGTATACTTTGCTTTGCCACATTTCAACATAGATTAACATCCAGTACACATTTTTAGTTAAATTATCGAAGTAATCTGAAAGAAAAGGAATCATTTTCCTAATTAAAATGGTTCCAAGAGTCCCTGTTGCCTTCATTCAAGGTCACCTTGAGTTTCAGTTCACCCAAGACTGTTTCAATTTATATGCATGGTTCAGGCACAATTCTTTTTTTTTTTTTTTTTTTTACTTTAAGTTTTGGGATACATGTGCAGAACGTGCAGGTTTGTTTCATAGGTATACATGTGCCATGGTGCTTTGCTGCACCTATCAACCCGTCATCTAGGTTTTAAGCCCCATACACATTAGGTGTTTGTCCTCATATTCTCCCTCCCCTTACCCCCACCCCCTGACAGGCCCCGGTAACGTGTGAGGTTCCACTCCCTGTGTCCACGTGTTCTCACTGTTCAACTCCCACTTATGAGTGAGAACATGCAGTGTTTGGTTTTCTGTTTCAGGCACAATTCTTAAGAACATCCTCTTTCACTCTCAGATGTGTGCCAAGTTTGGACAATAATTTTATTGTTCAAATATAATGTAAAGCTGAAACTCGTTGGCTTAAAATTCATTCCTATCCTGAATAGGAGCTTCTCCAACCATAATTCTGTCAAACACAAGCCCCGGACCCCAGGAAATCTGAAGGGCCAACTCACCACCCTGCCACCCTCCACCCTAAGCACGTATGGGGCAGAGCTACTGCCATGTAGAATCATGGAACCAATAGGCCAGAAAAGACTTTCCAATTTAAGCAACTCCACTATTTTACCAGTGAGGAAACTGATGACAGAGCCAATCACAGGCATTGGTGCTTCAGAACTGTTGGCCCAGGGCACTTTTCTTTTTTTAGTTTTCATTATTCTATTTTAAAATTGATAAATATTAGTTGTGCATATTATAGGGGTACATGTGATATTGTGATACCTGTATACAATGTGTAGCAATCAAATCAGGGTACCTGGGATATCCATCACCTCAAGCTTTTATCTTTTCTTTCTGTTGGGAACATTACAAATCTTCTCTTTTAGCTATTTTTAAATATACAATAAATTATTGTTAACTCTAACTTCCCTACTGTACTATCAAGTACTAGAATTTGTTCCTTCTATCTAACTGTACTTTGGTGCTCCCTAACCAGCTTCTCTCCATCCTCCATCCCCCAGGGCATTTTTCATTCTTCACAGGCTGCACATAATAGGGAGACTGTGAATGTGAGAGAGATATTTCTTTCTCCAATATTAGAGATAGATTTGGGATTGAGCTGTTTACATTCCTCCACACCCAGGAGCTGTGGCAGTTTTAAGAGGACTCCACAGGGTTAGTGTGAAAGCTGTTCTGGTGAAGCAGTAAACCTAAATGACTCCAAGAGAAATCACATTCACAACCTCAATTTAATTCACCTGTGCACTAAGAACAGCAGCATAAGTGCATTTTAAATTAAAGGAAACTAAGCCTCACACACATCTCCCCAGAAGAGATTAGAAATAGGTCTCCATCTTCTTCCCTGCACTCATCTCTTCTCTCATCCACAGGCTCTGAATAGGAGCTTGGCTCTTTGTCCCTCATTTTCTTGTCTTTCTCCCCTGGCATCTTTCTAATAATACCACAAATTGTAGGTGAAAAAAAAAAAAAGGATGCCACACCTGAGTTTCCCTGTCATTCCTGGGTCACACGGGTTGGAGAATGGTAACAAACAATAGGTCACCTTAGCCAGGTTGCCTCAATGTATTTTGTCTTTCTGCTTTGAATTGCTGCAGTTTAGCAGCTAACTGACTTTTAGGAAGTGATTACAAGTGTGGATGTGATAGTTTTATGTATCCATTTGGATGAGCTATTGTCCCAAGTTGTTCAATCTAACACTAATCTAGGTGTTGCTATGAAGGTATTTGGTAAATGTGATAAAAATCCAGAAGCAGTTGACCTTAAGTGAGGGAGATTATCCCGGATAATCTGAATGGCCTGATTCAGTCTGTTGAAAGGCTGTAACAGCAGAGCTAAGGATTCCCTGAAGGAGACAGTCTGCCTATAGACAGCAGCACCAGCTTATGTCCAAGAGTTCCAACCTGCCCTTCCTGATGGCCAGCGCTATGGATTTCAAACTTGCTTTACCAGCTCCCACAGTCATATTAAGTCAGTTCCATGCAATAAATCTCTTAATATATAACTCCCACTTGTCTATTCTTATTTAAACCCTGACTAATATTGGGGTTGTTGGTTGGGGGGATGGGCAGAAGACACTTGACTTTTTTTCCTTTTCTTTGTAGAATTACATAGCAAGAAAGAATGAGATAGGTTTCTAATTGACAAATATTTCAGGCCTGGCCAGGTCCAAGCCTTCCAGCAGGTATTTACACTCCAAAGACAATAGCCCCTTACTGGACTTCATTTCCTCCCTCTTTCACCCAAGCCTCCAGTCTTTTATGTTTGCCCCTCACAGCTATATATGCCTAAGACTTTATAAAGGGTGGCCTCCAGACCAGTGACTCTCAATCCTAGCTTCCACTTTAGAATCTGCTGGTAAACTTTAACAATACTGAGACTTGGCCCCATACCAGCATATATGAACCAGAATCCTGACAATGGGGTCTTGACGTGATTTTTTTATAAGCTTCCAGATGACTCTACTGTGAGTCAAGGTTGGAAGACACTGGATTTGACAGGTCAGTTTTCATTGCAACCTCAACGTCAGCTGAAATCGTCCCACCCTAGATAATCTAGATAAGATTTTCTGAAACCCCATTCACAACTTGTGGAAAGTCCAATGCCCTTGCCAAGATTTCTGTAAATTTGCTAGGGCACTTGTGGTTCTCTGGTAGGGTGGCCAGATGTAGTAAATAAAAATACAGGACATCTAGTTAAATTTGAAAAAATAGTTTGACAGAGGAGTTTTGCCTTTCATTGGGAAAAGGCTGAATCTAAGATGTTTAGGGCGTCCTGACAAAGTCAACACATGCTTCAGGACAAAAAACATAAAATACAAGGGCATGGTCTGTATACACAGGATGCTGGAAACCTTGTAATCCATGTATACCCTCAATCCAAGCTCTTTCTCTCATTGAATTGGTTTGATCTACTTGCAGTCCTACATGTTTTGTGATGGTTCTGCATATATGAATTTAGATGTACATCTTATTTCTTGTCCAAAAAAGCAATACAATGCCTTTGTGGATGAAGCTGACTTTGCTAAAGGTCTGAGGAGGAAAAAAGTGTTAATACTGCAGCAACACAAACAACCAAAGATGAAACATAAAGCACGATGTCCAATATGGTTGTTGTCATGTCACTATATTGTTTAGTCTTTTCCTCTTCCTCTTCCTCTTCCTCTTCTCTCCTCTCCTCTTTGCTCTGTTCTTCCCCAGACTCAAATTCCCATTCTTTTCTAATGGAGAGTGATTTAGCAATCTCTCTAGTTTCCTTGTCTCCTTCTCTCTGAAATGCCTTTACCAGTTTATGGTCCTAAACAAAGATAGGCCCTTCTTTATCAGGGATTCTACTGCCACCCAGAAAGACATTTATTTTTCACCGAGTTTCATGATTATGTTAATATTTTCTATGTCAACAAATACTAATTTTGAGTCTTCTGAGTTTGAAGGACTGTTTCTGCACTTCCGGTTTTCAATAAGGGAGAGTTCCTTCTGCTTTACAATCAACACCGGCCTCCTTGAGTGGACTGATTTGAGCTAGAAAAACTCAATTGCCTAAAACTACACAGTCCATTAGCCTTACTTAGTAGCTGGAATTTACAATGCTACTAAGTCAGCCATTGCGTTTAATGCAGTTTTCCAACATATGCTAATTATTACAATTACCTGCGCCTGTTAATAGTATAGTTTCCTATTCCCAGCTCAGGCTTAGAGAATCAGAACCATGATGGGGGTGATTTCAATGATTAGCCAAGTTTAGGAAACACTGGTCTA
Source organism: Homo sapiens (assembly GCF_000001405.40). Classification (NCBI taxonomy): domain Eukaryota; kingdom Metazoa; phylum Chordata; class Mammalia; order Primates; family Hominidae; genus Homo; species Homo sapiens. The sequence goes on along the minus strand of NC_000005.10, from coordinate 57,591,184 downwards.
AGCACTTGAAGGCCCAGTTAAAATGCAAATAAAGGCATTTTCAATATGGAAAGATTAACATAAACTGGTTCAACGGAGGCGTCCTGGCGTGAAGATCCAGCATGGCAATTCACCTTATATCTCCAAGACTAATTCTCATCTGTTCAGTGGCTGGGCTAGAATAATCTCTGATGTTTCTTCCAACTCTAGTATCCCATGATTCTACACCCACTAGATCCTTATAATTAGGCTTCTAGGCTATAGTCCAGGGGACTAATATATGGGGAGGGAATAATGCCAGAAAGAGACAAATTTTAAGAAGCCAAGGAGTGAGAAGGGAAGTAAAGTCTTGGAAAAGATACTCTAAGCTGGGGGGATCCCAGATTTTTTAGAACTTAGAGTTCAGTGGGAACACAAAAACAACAGGTGCTTGAGGGAGCGAGCAGTGACTAAGAGGACAGAAGAGCATCCCCAGGGCACTTGATTACTGAACTTTAGGATAATCTTATGCAGAGCCACCTCTTTTTCTCTTCATATAGAAATTAACAGTCAGATGTCCTCAATATTCCTGAGGGGTAGGCCAGCCTACTGCACTAATAATTGTAGCACAGGTGTAAAATAAAATCAAATAAAAAATAAAATAAAATAAGATAAAATAAGCTGTGTGATCTTACTAAAATACTAATGGAATAAGCTCTTTCCTTATCCAACATACCCCAACATTCTGCTCAGCACACACGCAATCAAAGTGTGCTGACCCAGACATTGGTTAAATTTAACCAGTGTGTACACGCAGTTTCCACTCAGGTGCAACATTTAGAAAATAATCTGCATTTTGTTAGATGTGCCATGGAAGAGAAGTGTCAGAGTCAGGATTAGGGATTCATGAAGGGCAGAGAGAGGGAAAGGGCAGTTTAGATGACATTTACCCTTTTAAAAACAGCCGCTCATCACCCAGGTGGAGGGACCCCCGTAGTTACTCCATTACTTAGAAATGATTTGATGTCTGAACAATTTTTGAATTCAGATATGAAAGCTTCAAATCATTCATGCAAAACAAAAAGATAACATATGTCCACTTATACTCATTGTTTACATAAAACTAGCATAGAAGAAAATCTAAAATGGTGATAGAAGTTTCAAAGCAATAATAGTAACTATTCCAAAGAAGTATAACCAAACAATTAAAAGACCTAAAATGATTAAGTCAGGCAACATTTCTGGGATGTTAAGACAAAATGAGAGAGAGGAAAGAAGACAAGCTGTGCTCTTCTATGAGGTTACTGGCCACCTCAGATCAAATCCCAGACCAGGCACATTAAGGTCCATGTCTCAGGAGCCCAATGGTAGCAGCTGGAAGATAGCCAGAGCAAAGGCCAGAGGGATCCAGGAGTCACAAAGCCCAAGCTGTACCTTAGTGACTGTGGGCAAGGAAGTTGGTGGCTGGGCCTGCTTCTTCGCTTACAAAATGAGCATATAACACCAAGCTTAATATGATCAAAGGATTAGAAATTCTGTATAAGAAGTTCATTTCATATAGTAAGTGCCTAACACATATTAGCTACTAACATATCCTGGAATCTTCATCATTTACTTTTATTACTATTACTATTTGCTAAAGGCCCTGTGGATACATGCACATTATACATTGTCAGATATAACCTATCTAAGAACAATTACGTTATGTGTTATCAAGCCTGGCTTTGCTAATCAAAACCAACACACAAATGTCAGAATTTTGAAGACTGAGAAATGAAACTGACAAATTTTGACAACAGGATAGTGAAAAGGAAGAATGGGGACATATCAGATAGGCCTGGTAGGGTTACCCAGACAATCAAAAGTCAAAATGGAAGCCTTCGTCTTCCAGAGGAACCACCCCCAAAACTGATATAACAAGGCATTGCACACAAAGCTTGACTCTGACAAATGTACCTCTGGAGAATACCTGGTAGTTTGCTCTTCTAGGGAGCATTGACTCTGGACCCAGCTGTTGGGGTTTGAAGCCTGGCCCCACCACATACTTGCTATGTAACCTTGCGCAAGTCACTTATCCACCCTGTGCTTTGCCTCAGACATACCATGGAGAGAATCCTTTAGCATGTGTCTCAGGGGTTGTGAGAGTTACGTGTGCCTAACACTAAGGAAACTCTATATAAAGGGTCATTACTGTATTATCATCATTGTGACTTACTCAATAAAATCCCACAGAAGCCCTGAGTAAACCTTTTAACTACCTATTTGTATTAGTTGCTACTTTTTTATCTTTAAATTAATACTCTTATTGATTAAATCTTTCAAAGTCATAGGTCAATTAGTCTCAATAATTTTTAGTATAGATGTCTTTTATATATTTTTTTTATTATACTTTAAGTTTTAGGGTACATGTGCACAACGTGCAGGTTTGTTACATATGTATACATGTGCCATGCTGGTGTGCTGCACCCATTAACTTGTCATTTACATTAGGTATATCTCCTAATGCTATCCCTCCCCCTTCCCCCCATCCCATGACAGGCCCTGGTGTGTGATGTTCCCCTTCCTGTGTCCATGTGTTCTCATTGTTCAATTCCCACCTGAGAGTGAGAACATGCAGTGTTTGGTTTTTTGTCCTTGCGATACTTTGCTGAGAATGATGGTTTCCAGCTTCATCCATGTCCCTACAAAGGATATGAACTCATCCTTTTTTAAGGCTGCATAGTATTCCATGGTGTATATGTGCCACATTTTCTTAATCCAGTCTATCATTGATGGACATTTGGGTTGGTTCCAAGTCTTTGCTATTGTGAATAGTGCCGCAATAAACATACGTGTGCATGTGTCTTTATAGCAGCATGATTTATAATCCTTTGGGTATATACCCAGTAACGGGATGGCTGGGTCAAATGGTATTTCTAGTTCTAGATCCCTGAGGAATTGCAACACTGTCTTCCACAATGGTTGAACTAGTTTACGGTCCCACTAACAGTGTAAAAGTGTTCCTATTTCTCCACATCCTCTCCAGCACCTATTGTTTCCTGACTTTTTAATGATCACCATTCTAACTGGTGTGAGATGGAATCTCATTGTGGTTTTGATTTGCATTTCTCTGATGGCCAGTGATGATGAGCATTTTTTCATGTGTCTTTTGGCTGCATAAATGTCTTCTTTTGAGAAGGGTCTGTTCATAGCCTTTGCCCACTTGTTGATGGGGTTGTTTGCTTTTTTCTTGTAAATTTGTTTGAGTTCTTTGTAGATTCTGGTTGTTAGCCCTTTGTCAGATGAGTAGACTGCAAAAATTTTCTCCCATTCTGTAGATTGCCTGTTCACTCTGATGGTAGTTTCTTTTGCTGTGCAGAAGCTCTTGAGTTTAATTAGATCCTACTTGTCAATTTTGGCTTTTGTTGCCATTGCTTTTGGTGTTTTAGACATGAAGTCCTTGCCCATGCCTATGTCCTGAATGGTATCACCTAGGTTTTCTTGATGTCTTTTTTCAATCCGCTTTAAGAATTCATACATAATACAGTAAACTTCAGTAACTATTGGTTGAGAAAACACATTAATTCGACAAATTTTCTTAAAGTAGTATATACATAGCACTGGGTAATTTACAAAGGAAAGAGGTTTAATTGACTTACAGTTCAGCATGGTTGGTGAGTCCTCAGGAAACTTATAATCATGGCAGAAGGCAAAGAGGAAGCAAGGCGCCTTCTTCACAGGGCAGCAGGAAAGAGAAAATGAGTGCAAGCAGGGGAAATGCCAGACACTTATAAAACCATCAGATCACGAGACTCACTCATTATCATGAGAGCACCATGGAGGAAACCACCTCCATGATTCAATTACCTCCATCTGGTCCCATCCTTGACTCATGGGGATTATGGGGATTACAATTCAAGGTGAGATTTAGGTGGGGACACAGAGCCAAACCATATCAAGTAGAATTCCTATTTTTGTGAAAACAATATCTGCTAATTGTTTTTTTTTAATTCTGCCAATTAAAAAATAAAAGAATTCCAAAAAACATTTCAAATCCAGCACCTAAAATAACAATCACCAACATCAAATTAACATAAATCCAGGCATTCTCCAAGGGGTCAGAGGTACAGACAGGTAAATAATTTTAGAAAAATTATTTATACATGGGAGAGTATTACAGGGAACTGGATTAGAAAAGAGAAGAGAGAATAGAATAAGCAGTGACTTGGGCTGCAGGAATTCAATGAAATCTTTTCCAGAACTTTCTCCCATTTTGTTTGTAGTCATGGCAGCCAAGAAGGAATCCAAGTCAATCCAGTGGCCAAGATGGAGAACATTACCACATTCTGTCATAAACACATGTGTTAAAACTCCTCTCTTGAAAGTTAGAATTGATATAACACAGAATGCTCTGCTCTCCACATCAGCCACAAGGACAGATCCTGACTTCAAAAGGAAGCAGCAAAAGGAGGTATAACCTCAACAGTGACCGTCTTGCCAAATCTAGTCAACAAAACTAAAATCACTTGAAGTTCAGTTCAAAATAAATATGTTTTCAATCAAAGTTTGTTTTCATAGATCTTCACTAACATTGATATTCTTGGCTTGGAAAGCACTTGGGTTTTATCTCTAAGGAAGGCAGGCCCATGAACACAGTTGGGGAAGTGGTTGGCGACTGAATTATATGAACCAAAAATTTAATTACTTTTGACAATCACATATAAAAGAGAAGAAAGAGAAAATGGTTAGGATATTTAGAATTAACTGTGTACAGTCAGAATCTCTACCACCATTTCTGGTCTAGTATAGACAAATTGTATTTCATTGCATTGATGTGCATTATTAACCCACAGTCAAAATGCATAAATACTACTTTAGCAATGTAATGTTCCAAACATTTTATAGGAAATTAGAGTCCTTTCAGAGCTATAGTTTCATGCATTTCCCTAAGCAGTTTATATTTTAAGAACTTCTAATGAGGCTATAAAAAGTTCTTTTTATAAACACTGGCAAATATATCCACCACAGGATGGCTTTATGCATTTTAATGAACATATTAATAATTTACTCTTTTAAATTACCACCGTACTATTGCTGATCTAAAGGATGTACCTTAGAGAGTTTATGTGCTAAAAAGGTTATTTTAAAAAATTCTCTCAAAAATAGTTTAGAGGATTTTTTTTAATAAAATATTTAAAACCTATAAAAGTCAACTTGAATTATATTTTGCCATATTGCTCAAAATAAAACTTACAAAATAGTGATTCCTGACCATGGTCAATTGATCTCAATTTTTATGGTCAGGTCCAGCAGTGGAAATAGATTCCTCTAGAAGGAATTCCACAGTAGTATGATAAGTGCTCTGAAAAGGGAACCCCAGGATGTTGCAGAGTACATAGGAGAAGCACTCAGCATGGGCTTGAGTCAGGAAGGGCTTTGCAGAGTAGCAACTTCTCAACTGAGACTTGAAGGATGGGTTCAAGCAGTGTTTTTCAAAGTGTGACCCAAGGATATCTGAGACTCTGTTAGAAGGATCCTGGGAAGTACTGCCTTTTCCACTTTCCCAAAAAGATATAGTAGAGTCCTTACCCCCTCAGAATATGACCCTATTTGTAGAAAGGGTCTTTGCAGAGGTGATCAAGTTAAAATGAGATCATTAGAATAGGCCCTATTCAAACATGGCAAGTATCCCTATAAACAGGAGAAATTTTTGACACAGAAATAGACACACAGATAGAGAGAACTCCATGCAAAGACAGGAGTTATGCTGCCATAAGCTAAGAAACTACCAGGAGCTAGGAGAGAGGATGGATTCTTCCCCACTACCTTCAGAGGGGGCACAGCCATGCTGATCTCAGACTTCCAGTTTTCAGAATTGTGAGGAAATTAATTTATGTTTAAGTCACTCAGTTTGTGCACTTTGTTACAGTAGCCCTAATAAACTAATATTCCAACTATATACTACTTGAAGCTAGATCTTTTTCACATACTTTGACTAAAACAACATATTACAGAGATTGAGTTCAGAAGCAGATATGAGACCAGTGTCTTTTATTGAGCCAAACACTACAGATATTTGCAAAAATGTAAAATGATGCCACTCTTCTCACTAATATGTTTTGTCTTGTCAATAGTCATTTCCATAAAATGTTATTTAGGTATTGTCATTATTTATGTATTGTATTTTAAAGTCAATCAATGAAGAATTATTTTCAAGATTTCTTAGCTTAATTCCAAATACAGTAACAATTTATAGATAATGCCTCTACTCATAAGAACTCTTTGGGGTCCTCAATAATTTTTATAGTTTAAAGGAGTTCTGAGACCAAAAATTTTAGAACTGCTAGGATCAAATTAGCCAGGGAAAGAAGGTGGCAGAAAGACTGTCCAAGGCAGAGGAACAGCACAAGCAAAGGCCCAGGAGACAAAAAGGAACCTCAAGTTCATTGTAAGTTGAAGGTAGAGCACAAGCAGGCAGAAATATGGGAGAGGAAGGTAGAAGCCAGATCACAGGGAAGAGAACAACACACACTGGGGCCTGTGGAGGCAGGGAGGGACAGCATCAGGATAAACAGCTAATGCATGCAGGGCTTAATACCTAGGGTTGATGGGTTGATGGGTGCAGCAAGCCACCATGGCACATGTTCATCTATGTAAGAAAACTGCACGTTCTGTGCATGTATCTAGAACTTAAAATAAAATTTTTTTTTAAAGTTTAATTTTAAGCAAAGAAACAAGGGATTGACCAGTAATTTCTGTTTGAGAAAAGCTCCTTTCAGTGCAATAAGGAGGCTGGAAAGAAGGATCAAGAGTGATGGCAAGGAACTAGTCAGAGGTTAATTGAGAAAAGACAAAATGGTAGCAGTGGGAATGAGGGGAATATGTGACTCAATCAAGAGATTGTAGTTAAGTTTAATCAGAAGGACTTGCTGATTATTACATAGGGGAGGTGAGAGACAGAGAGGCATTTAATTTAGAACAACAACCCGTTTCAGGCTGGTCAACTGAATGGTTAGTGGTACCGTTTAGTAAAACAAAAAACAAAAGTAGAGAGTCCAGTTTAGAGGAGGAAAAGTAATGACTTCAGTTTTACAAATGGTGACCCTTCAGATATCTAAAAGGGGTTGATTCATGAACAATGTATTATATGGGTTTGGTCAGGAGATGAATATGGGCTGAACATACATATTTGGGAAATATTTGTATGTAAATTACAATTAAGCCATGGATGGATGAAAGTATTGATGGTGAATATATGGAGTACAAAAGACAGGAAGATCAAACATGTAACCATTGGAGCATCACCTTTAAGGGAAGGGCAGTAAAAGGGGAGCCCCAAGTTGGAGCAGTCAGAGAAGCAGAAGAGCTAGGAGAGGCAAGTGTCATGGAAGCCAGGAGAAGAGAGACTTTCAGGAACAAAATGGTGTTCAGCAAAGTCAATGGGAAGGTCAGATAAAAAAAAAAAGAATTAGAAAGTGTCCATTGGGTTTAACACGAAGGAAGAAATTGTTTGCTCTGGTAAAAGAAATTTGATTTGGATAACACCTTTCCCCTCAAGCAAATATATGTTTGCATTCATAAACAGCTCCTCCCACCCACTTAGCTCCATTTGCAAACAATTAAATTTATTTATTTAAATAAGAGCTGAGAAGTTTTCTGGGGGAAGTCATTAACTCCAGCCATATTCACAGTTGGAGTTCAAACATATGGACACACATCTGAAAAACCAAAAGAAGAAAGCAGCTCTGGGATTAGAGGGAAAATAAATCAGAGTTCAAGAAAGGAGGAAAAAGCCACTTGGAGCAAATTACCTCTGTGGGCAGAACTTTGGCAGAGTCTAGCCCTGTGCTGTTCAAAATGGCAGCAGCCACTAAACACATGTGGCTACTGAGTACTTGAAATGTAGCTAGTCTAAATTGAGATTAAATGTGCATGGGATTTTGAAGACTTGCTTTGGAAAAACTCACATAAAATATCTCTTAAAAAGCTTTTATATCAATTGCATATTGAAATAATTTTTTGCATGTTGAAGTAAATAAAATATATTATTGAAATTAGTTTTACCTGATTCTTTTTGCTTTTTTAAGGCAGCTGCTAGAAGACTTAAAGTTACACCTGTATTTTGTATTATATTTATCTTGGACACTGGTCTAGCCAAATTTAGCTACAGAGCCTGAAGGTCAACAGGGAATTGTGTATCTAAATTTTACAAAAATAAAAGTACTGGCCTTTTTATCTCTTTAATACTTCGGAACTCAAGCATCCCTGTTTTAGGATCACTACTGCTACCTACAGACTGAGAATGTAACAGAGGGAGGGAGCACTCTCCTTCTAATTTTTTTTTTAAAGCTGCTAAGCCTCAATGGAGGCCCTGCAGGAACTGGACAGTTAAGAGATAAAGAGAACAGCACTGAAACGCTGCCCAAGTTGATTCAAGAACATCTAGAACTCCCAAAAATACCAGCTGGAGATTATGAAAAAAGCTACAGTTCCCCAAGTTAGGAGGCCAAGCCTTGGAGCTAGTCAGGGGACATTAGAGCCACAATGACTACTTGAAGCATAGGTATTAGGATGCTTTCAGCTGCAAGTAAGAAAACATAACCCGGAATAGCATAAACAGTTGAGGAATGACTTACATAACAGAAAGTTCAGAGACAAAGCAGGTTCCAGAGTTTGTTGATCCATGCAGTCCAGCACGTGATCAAGCATTAGCTTCTTTTTATCGCTCCTTGTAATGCTAGGAGGGTATTTTGTTTTGGTTTGTTTTCTCACAGTTATATAATTGTCACTAGAAGAATTTGGAGCTACATACTTCTCTATTTCCATCCATAGAGGGAAAGACAGTGACATTCAACATCTCTTAAAAGCAAATAAGAACAGTCTCCATGGCTACCCACAAACTCTCTTTATGTCTCAATGGCCAGCAATGAAACACAAAGGACCACATGCCCATTCTTGAACCAATCACCAGCCAGCATGATGAGATTACACTTAAACCAATCGGGTTCTCCTTGCCAGTGCTGATGGTAGAAGCAGCATCCTTGGAGGCACTTGTCTTGCAAGAGAGCAGGGTGGATACCTGCACACAATTAGGGATGTGTTCAGAAGGACGGCAGGGAATTCTGCTGTGTAGGCAACTTATAGTGCCCACAGAAACTCTCTTTACAAATAAAAATGAGCCAATGGGGGACAGCTTAAAAACCCAAAAGGGAGAATAATACTTCCAGTCAATTATTCAGTCCTGAGCCAGCATCCCTCAGCCTCTCATTACCCCCACATTCTTTGGTTTGGCTCAGGGAAAACTATCTAACTTTTAGTAGCCAAAGCAATAGGTCATTGTGAAAGTTAAAGCATTATAAAAACAAAGACTTTATTTCAAAGCTGCAAGTCAGTGACTTTCTAAATATCTGTTGTTTAGTACTATCTGGACCTCCACTGCCTCTGCTTATTTGCACAAACGGTGAAGAATCCCATAATCCTCACTCAGTTCCCACTCCATTTCCAGCAGACATACTTTGCCCATCTCTATGTTCCATCCCTTTGATTTTTCATACCCTACCTGCACTTTTCAGGCCACAGTAATGAAAGTGTGTTCTCTTATGACTACTTTCCAAGCCCCGTGTGATACAGACTGGCCACGATCTAAGAGGAAAGAGTAAGCTTGTCAGCTCAGGGTTTGAGTTGTGACTGAGCAGGAGACAAAAGATGTCCTTTAGTGACTGTTGTTTATCACAAAAACAGCTTGGGTTTCGAAATCCTTGGTATTAAATATTGTAATTCCTCCACATGACTCCTTCTGTAGCAGCGCAAAGGTCAAGATTCACAGAAGGAATTGGAACTCCACAAAGTTGTCTCTTCATTGAGCACAGTGAGACACAATGAGAGTACACAGTCAGGGCTAGTGATTAAATGAGACAAATCATGCTGACATGGCTCCAATCAACCCGTGGAATTTTCAAGTTAGAAGAAAACTTCAAGACAAACTAGCCTTCTGTAGTAGGCAAAATAATGCCCCATCACCAAAGATGCTCAAGTCTTAATCCTCAGAACCTATGAATATGTTACCTTACAGGGCAAAAGAGAATTTACAGATGTTATTAAATTAAGGAACCTTAACTGGGAGATTTTGCTCGATTATCTGGGTAGGCCAAATGTAATCACAAGGGTCCTTATAAGTGAAAGAGGGAGGCAGGAGAGTTAGAAATGGGGATGCATGGCTGCTAGAAGTAGAGGGCAGAGTGTTGCAATTGCTAGCCGGAAGGGGGCCATGAGCAAAAAGAAAAAAAAAAAGGAATGCAGAAAACCTACAGAAGCTGGAAAAGATAAATAAATTGATTCTTCCGAGAGTCACTAGAAGGAATGCAGCTCTGCCAAAACCTTAATTGTAGACTTCTGGCCTCCAGAACTATAAGAGAATAAACTTGTGTTGTGTTAAGCCACTAAGTTTGCAACAATTTGTTACAGCAGCCACAAGACACTAATACACCCTATCACCTCAGTTTATAATGACTCCCTTCCCAATACCTGCTATGCACTGAGATCCTTATATGCTTCTTTTCTTTACAGCACTTGCCATTATAGTGTCAGATATTTTTGTTTGTTAACTATCTCCCCAATGAGACTCCAAGGCTCTCAAAGGTAGACACTGTGTTTTCCTTTTTCATTTCCGAGAATACCTAACACAGACTATTGGCAAACAGAAATAATTTATTAAATATCTGTTAACTGGAAAAAAATACAGGAAATAAAAATATATATAAAATTGGGGACCTATCTAAAAATTCCCTAAATGGCAAACAACATGAACAGACAGTTCTCAAAAGAAGACATATAAGCATCCAACAAACACAGGAGAAAAAGTTTCAACATCATTAATCATCAGAGAGATGCAAATCAAAACCACAATGAGATACCATCTCACACCAATTAGAATGGCTTTATTAAAAAGTCAGAAAATAACAGATGTTGGTGAGGTTGCAGAGAAAAAGAAACACACAACAAACAATAGTTGACACTATTGGTGGGAATGCAAATTAGTTCAGTCCCTGTGAAAAGTGGTTTGGAGATGTCTCAAAGAACTAAAAATAGAACTACCAGTTGACCCAGCAATCCCATATATTCCTGGGTATATATCCATAGGAAAACAAATAGTTCTACCAAAAAGACACATGCACTCACATGTTCATCACACATGATTCACAATAGAAAAGATGTGGAATCAACCGAGGTGCCCATCAGTGGTAGATTGGATAGAGAGAGTATGCTACATACACACCACAGAATACTATGCAGCCATAAAAAAGAACAAAACTGTGTCCTTTGCAGTAACATGCATGCAACTGGAGGCCATTATCCTAAGTGAATTGATGCAGACACAGAAAACCAAATAATACATATTATGTCTTATAAGTGGGAACTTAACATTAGGTAGACATAGACACAAAGTTGAGAACAACAAACACTGGGGATTCCAAAGCAGGGGAGGAAGGGTTGAACAACTACCTATTGGGTACTATGTTCACCGCTTGTGCAACAGGATCATTAGAAGCCCAAACCTCAGCCTTACAAAATATCCCCATGTAACAAACCCACACATCCACCCCCTGAATCTAAAAATAAATAATAAATGGGGAAAAAACACATAAACGCACTTAGTACATGGTATGCACTCGGCACATAGCAACTATTATTGCTGGGTATTCTTGGTTCTACTAGTACCCTTCCATCTTTGGTTGGAATCTATTTCTTCAGTGAATAAGAATACAAAGGATATTAAAATAATTAAGTTAGAAAAATACATATCCCCTAGAGGGTCCTAAATCACAGGAAACCAATGGCAGGACCCTCCAACTTCATAGTTATGTGTTCCCCTTATGCCAGAACTGGCAATGCTGGGCACATTTAAGAAAAATTAAGAGCAATATCTCTTTCAATTAAGGGTTTGGGATGTGAATGAAGAGATTCCACTTTGGCCTTTGAACTTTAGCATGGTAGCATCTGTACACCTGAGTGGGGGAGTTATAGATGATGCCTCTTATGGCCTTCACAGAGAGCCTCCTCAGGAAAAAATGTGGAATTCAGTGCACCCATGCATGGATCCTCTCTGCCGAGTCCTTCCACAGCAGAGCAAGGAATACCACTCAGTGACTGACACCTTACACCCTGTCACTCAAGTTCAGATCTCCCTGGTCCTCACTCTCAGAACACTACCAGTGCCAGTGTGGTAACCCTGGGCTAGAGCTAAGCCAGGAGGGTGCAGACCAACAGCACCATGAAGGGATCCCAAACCAGACCCTAAAGAACTCTGAAGGCCAAAGTCCCAGAAGAAGCTACCTTTTGTTGTTGAGTCCAAAAGTCCAGTTCAGGATGAGAATTTTGAGTAAACTTCAAAGGAGTTAGAAGGCAGGATGCTCTGGAATAGAATGGGGGTGTTAAAATTAGGTCAGAAAGGCAGGCAAATGGGCAAAGACATTTGCCGTGAGGTTAGAAAGGCCAAGGCTCATTGAGATTGGACCTTGTCCAGGGGAATGGATGGGTATCTGGTTTTAAAGGCTGGGACAAAATTACAAAGAATTCACCTCTCTGAGGAAGGCAGGGCCAAAATACTACAGGAGTAACAGAAGTGATACAAGGGAAATGACAGCAAGTCCCCAGCTTTCTCTGCAGAAGTAGGTAACACTCTGCAAACTGAGCTGGCTTCCTGACATCTCACCTTTGCCTGGATACAAACCCTGTCCTTTTGAACACAGGTGGGCTGAGTTCATCACAGCCTCCCCAACTCCAGCCTCAGGGCTTCATATCAGGGGCAGATGCATAATCCCAGCCAGGCCAGGGTCCTTTCCCCATGATTTTTCAGACAGTTTTGGGGAAGAGAATAATTTCTGTCTTCTTTGATGCTAGCTGTAAGGACATGATGCACGTTGCCAGCAGTCATGTTATGTAAGGTCATGATGCACGTTGCCAGCAGTTATGCCCTTTTCCATAAGAAACTGGGAGCATGAGGTCAAGCCTCAGAGAGAAACAGGGATGAAAGGGAGACTCCAGGTAGGCTCCAACCCTCAGAGGTCCCAGGAGCTGCCCTGGGTGTAGCCTTTCCTTGGAATCTGCAAACTGTACCAGTAACTCTCCCTGTGGCTTTGTCTGCTTGAAGTTGGTCGCCTGTTACTGTTAACAAAAAGGCTAATTCATTGGATATATACAGCCAGCCAACAAAAAGTGATGTGAAACCTATCTAGGCTCCTGCTTACCTCATACCATATTCACTGAACAAAAGCCCTCCCCTCCTATATACATCACTTCACCCCTGCCACCATCCACCGTCACCTTCCTGGCCTCTTGACCTCGATGTGCAAGTGTTGCCAAGGCCACATCTTTGGTGTTCCCAAGGCCACCGAATGTAGAGGAGAGCAGCCAGCTGAAGGAGACAGGCAGAGGCACAAGCATTTCTTTAGATGTAAATACTTCCTTTAAGGGACTCTAAGGACTGAGAATGACGAAATTTTCTCCTCTTCTTGGTCTTACCAGTTTTTATTGTTGTCGTTCCAAAATACTGTATGGCAGACAATATACATAGGCAAAACATTCATGAGGAGCTTCAAAGAGCAAGGGAGAGAAGGGAATTTCTTGAATAATACTCTTTTTATTTGGTCAACCAATGAATCGCCTATTTTCGCTGGAGCACAGTCATTAACAAAGTTTCCACTTCTGAGTGCTGCTTTCATTCTCTACAGCCTCTCCTACTGAAGTCCAAGGGACAGCCTTCCAAAGGAGCCCCTGGCAACACCCTCATGGGCCTGATCTTATAATATGTTGAGTAAAAAAAGCAAATTGATCCATAAACATTTCCTGGGGACCCAGAAAGATGCAGTGCTAAGCTCTGAGGATTCACAGCAATGCACGAGGTGTAGTCCCAGCTTTCAAGGAGCTAAGAATAATGAAGACAGCAATGACAGCAGCTAACATTTACTGAAATCTTAGCCAGTGCTGAGTTCTGTATGGAGGATCTAATTTGAACAACAAGAAAAAAGAACACAGGAGTTATCTCCATTTTACAACTGAAGAAACAGAGATCATAAGAAAATCTATCTTGCTCAAGGTCCCACAGAAAATGAGTGACTGGGACTCAAACTCAGATCTGAATTTCAAGACACTGCTTTTATCATCTTAGTTTAATAAATAAAAACTCTGTATACAAGGGGCAATCAATAGAGATACAGATGATATAGGTAAGTATAAATGTACATACACACAGAGTATTTACACAAATGTGATGAAATGTTAATACATAAAGAATCTGGGTGAAGGGATGTAAGGGTTCTTTGTACTATACCTGCTACTCTTTTAAGTTTGAAATTATTTCTAAAAGAATTATTTAATAAAAATTAGGCCTACCTTGGGGTACTCTCACTATAGTTCATTAGCTATTTTTTCATCTACGCCAATTGATAGGAGAAAATTGTTGTAATTGACATTTTCTTGTTAATAAACACTATGTTTTTCATAGTTTTCTTTGCCATTTGTATTTTTACTTTTAGTTAATTATGTGTTTGGGGCTTTTTTCACCTTTTGTAAGAGGTGGTATAGTGGATACTGTGGTGTCTCACCCAGATCTTCAGGACTCGAGCATTCTTCTTGCAGCTGCTGAGAATACTAGCTGCTGATGGTTCACAGCTGCATCCCTCACTGGGAATTTCCTCCCCTCGCAGGGAACTGTCCCACTCATGGTTACTTCCCCTCCAGGGGAGCAGCCCATGACTAATGAGTGGCTAAGTAGTAACATAAAGTCCCCCTGGGCTAAACGTTGGGGTGGGAAACTCTGAAATGGCATCCCAGCTCCCAGTACAATTGGGTAAGACCTCAGGTGCAACCACTTTGTGTATCAGCACTTCGCTCTGCCTAGTCCTGTCGTCCTCGCTTCTTCACAGGTGTATCTCCTGAGAGAGCTTCCAATAAACCTCTCCCTCTCAGAGCCTATGTATTAGTCTGTTCTCACACTGCTATAAAGAACTACCTGGGTAATTTATAAAGAAAAGAGGTTCAATTGACTCTCAGTTCCACAGGCTGTACAGGAAGGATGCCTGGGGAAACTTACAATCAGAGTGGAAGGTGAAGGAGAGGCTGACACATTCAACATGGCAGGAAGGAGGAAAACGGAGAGAAGGGGGAGGTGCTACGTACTTTAAAACAACCAGATCTCGTGAGAACACTATCACGGTAACAGCAAAGGGGAAGTCCGCCCCCGTGATTAAATCACCTCGCACCGGGCCCCTCCTCCAACACCAGGAGTTACAATTCAACACGAGAATTTGGTGGGGACACAGAGCCAAATCATATCAGCCTGTTTCCTGGGGAACCCACAGCAATTGGTACATCTTTTACTTATTGATGTGCAGTGCTAAGAGCTGCACTTATTATCATTAAAAAATGAAAGTCTTAAAACAAATTTAAGAAACTTCAAAATGTTCACTGTTAATCTTCTCACTGTTATCACGAGTATCTTTAATATGACTCGTGTCTAACTAACACTCACGCACAATACACAATGTGCTTTTCAAAGGCTTTTATCTGTGGTCCACTTGATCCTCATCATCTTAACCATGAAGGACATGAGCTCTGGAGCCCAGAGCCTGCCTGCATTCAGACTCAAATAATTGCTTACCAAATTACCTAAACTCTCTGGACTTCTATTGTCTCATTTATCAAGAGGGGATGATATTCGTTCCTAATCCATAAATTAAATGATGGGGTGGTGATTAATTGATTAACGATGATTCCTGCTATGTAATAAATACTTAGAACCTCACAACCATCTGATGAGATGGGCTGTGTTAACTGCCCAAGGCCATTGTACGTGCACAAGGTCACACTAACTCTTACCTAGGCTTCAGTTGACAAGTATAACATAAGAGATTATAAAATAGCTATCAGGAGTACAGAGGGTTGTAGCTTTTGTTCATGTCATGATTCACAGTTATACAACAGTATATAATTTCACTGAAATCTCATACTAACCAAGTTTTCTGCATGTTCTCAAATAAACAATTGTGAATATAATAATTGAAGGCATATTCATAATATATTAAATTTTCTATATATAAACTTGAACTAGATATAAATGGGCTTGGAATTATCTTGAATTATGTTTCAAGGCACCTATGACCCTATACTTAAATTCCTTCTATTATATTTTGGCTAATCACAGACCCTGAATATGTGGTAACATATTGATACTTTCAGTACTTCTGTGTTTCTTCTAGAAAAGAGTCAAATGTAGTGAAATAGTTGGCATTTGCTATAATTCTGTGAAGTAGAAAACTAAGAATAAGGTTTCTGCTACCAAATAGAATTACAGAGAGAACAAACTAAGTCTGAACAATGTATTATTTAAAAATTGTATGTTAAATTTTTTTATGACTAGTGCCTCTTCTAGTGTTCCAAAAATAATTTATACAGTCCATGCTCAGGCATTGCTTTATATCTGAAATTTATGGGAGCAGAATGGTAAATAACAATGTATCAATCTCACTAAATTTCAGCATTACAAATTTACTTGTTTGGAGTTTTAAAAGAACGGTGTTTCCCGCATTTGTTTACTGGGAAATATTCATTCATTTGGAATGCCTCATAGCCTGAGAAACTTTCACTCACTGAACCCCCCAAGCTAGATTTGATCTTGAAAATGCCTATTTATTTCATTTCACCAACAAAGTGAAGCATTTCAAATGCTCATTTAAAGTTAGAATTAATTCATTAAAAGTAAGGTAACTAAATACCACTCATCACTGTGCAAAATTACTCAATCTCTTGAGCAAGTTACTTCCCCTCTCTGTGCGCCATTTTTCTGATCTGTAATATGGAGATATTATTATCTACTTCATGGAGTTGTTGTGAGGATCGAATAACTTAATAAATGTAAAGCTGCCAGAACAGTGCCTGGAACATAGGAAACACTATATATGTGTTAGCCATTATAATTGTATTACCATCATCATCATCACTATAATTAAATAAATCTTCAGTCCATGTACTTTAAAAGGTGAAATCATTTCATTTATTTACAATATATTATGATTCAGTCTTTTCTTCTAATTCACATTGGTTTTTCTCCCCCAATTTACAGGTTAGTAAGGTTTGAATATTATACTTACTTTTTGCCCTGTTATAACATGACAGGCACTCACTATGAGACTTTCAAGGCCAAAGTCTCATAATTTTTTTCTGTACAAGAGAAAAGAAAATATATAATTCTATTTTATTCTTAATTAGAAACATTTGTTCTATTCTTAATTGAAGAATTGTAAGACACCAAAGCTGGAGTGATTTGAAAACAGAATTCATCATACATCTTTCCAAATTCCTAGAGGGCAAACTCATGGCAAAATGCTGGTTATAATGAGACCAAACTTTAGGATAATTACCAGAGCTAATCAGGGGTTATTAGTTTGTGAAAAAAAAAAACCTGTTTTCTAAATACAAAATGCATAGTTAAGTCTTTTAACTTAGTCCATGCAAAGGAAACAAATAAACATAAATGATGCAAAAGTCAACCTAGCTTAAAAATCAATATTCTTCCCTTATTTGGCAATAGCGATTTAAACTTACCAATGTGGAAGAGCAAGGACTCAGATCCTCAGCACAAACTTGTAACTGACTGGTAAAAAAACATTCTAGAAAAGATTGGAGTGGAAAAAGAGCTGGACCATGACAATTAGAAGCAATTTATAACTGTACCAACCTGTGCCCTGGCACAAGGTGTAGGTTCAGATAGCCTCTGAAGCAGTGATTTGCTCTGCGAAGGTTGAAGGAGATCAAAGAACACAGTGTTGGTAGCTGAGACATAAAAGTCATCAGCCCTGCTTCTGTCTGCTGGAACATGGAGCGAAAATGGACCAGATCCAGTGTCCATTTCACAAAATGGTGAAGCCCACCAAAGACACCTTCAGCTTTCCTTTTCATATCTTCTCAACCTCAGTGGTGTATTTACTACTTTCCTGTCAGTGGCCCAGCACATTTTTACTTCTAAAACTCCTCTTCCTCACAAAATGAGGATGGACTCATGTCATCGTTTGTACTTCGAAGTTCGTTCACATCTCACTTATTTATATGTGGAATCTAGAAAGCCAAACTCACTGAAGCAGAGAGTAGAATGGTGGCTACCAGGGCTGGGGGAGTCAAGGAGGTTTGGGGAGATGTTGGTCAAACCATATGAAATTTCAGTTACACAGAAGGAATAAGTTCAGAAGATGTATTGCACATCATGGTGACTTAGTTAATAACCATGAATTATATGCTTGAAAATTGCATAGAGAGTAGATTTTAAGTGTTCTCACCACAAATAACTAAGTATATAACGTAATGAATATTTTAATTATCTTGATTTAGCCATTCTACAATGTAGACATATTTCAAAACATGTTTAACTATTAGTTAATTAATTAAAAATAACAGCCAGCCCATAAAAAACTCCAAACAAGCTTCACTCCATACAACAAAGAGGATGTTTGATTGATTCATTCTGTTCTTTCTTCCTAGCTTTTAGATTTCATAAATCTTTTTGCCAAATAGTTCTAAACCTTTGGAGTTCTTTCCAGTGATTTATCTTTCATAGATGACAGCTTCACTCTGCTTCCATATTTTTAAAAAGAAACACAAGATATAGCAGATGTTTCTCCTTAAAGTCATAAAAATTTCTGAGCCTTGTTCTATTCTCTAATCTTATTTTATTAAAGAAATCATAGAAAATTTTTTTAATTTACAGAGTGAATAGCTACTCAAAATAATTTACCATTAATTTTATATGAACTTGAATCCATCTTAGGTTTATCAAGATTGAGTAGTTAGATAACTTATTAGAGGAGTCCTATAGTACATAGTGTAAATATGGTGCTTTCTAAAAAAGATAATATTCCCAGAAAATGCAGGAAGCTATTTAAATAAAATATCTCCATGATTTTAAAGATGAGACAATGATTCTTTCCTATACAATTTCTTTGCGGAGCAAGATGCTGTATTTGTTCCATATCTTTTAAGAGAAAAGCATTGTGTTGGAACAAAAGAACACAGGGAGACTACTGAAATTAATACATCATGGTCTTTTCTCTTAAAGGGCCTGGGATCTGGTAAGTGAGAAAATATTTGCATACCTTTTCAGGAATATCTCTACTATATAAAGCATGTCATTTCTGCATTATAAACAAACCACAAAACTGGTTCTATCATCTACACAATCATAACCAATATCAGTAATATATACTTCTAGTTACAAAGTACTTTTATACTCACTTTTTTTCTTATGACAAACTTATGAAGTGGAAATTATTAATTCTCATTTACACATGAGGAAATTGAAGGTCAGAGAATCCACAGCAGAGGGCCCATATTCCTTCTGTTTTCCAAATACATGCTATTTATCATGCAGCCACTGCTGGAGGATTGGTCCTTCCATACAGAGCCTTCACTGGGGGTATTCTCTAGTCCTGATCAGAAAAGTTGGGCAGCGTCTGCCCACCACCTGTCAGGACCTGGCTTCAGGTCAGCCAGCATATCGGGGACCACCCCACTGTGGGATGCTGCCAACTGCATCGGTCTGGCAACCACGTTTGTTTACCAGCACTTGTTGGCAAGGCCACGGCTTTTGAAGCTGCCTCTCATTGTGTCTTTAACACTTCTGCTCTGACCACCCAGCCTCAGCAAAGCAAGACCCACGTCTGCCCACATCAATTCATTCTGTAACTGCTTAGGGAAGATTTTGCCTCCTCCCTCCTCTGTGTGCTTCCTGACTCAACAGTGACATCAAAGTCCAGGGGACCCTTTGTGAGAGCCTCAGTGCTAGTGATTCCACGACCAAAATACTGGTAAGAGCATGCAAAACAGAGGTTCTTGGGCATTCATCCCTCACAATTCCCGATGCCACCAAATCCCCACCCCCCGCATACACACACATACGCTCCTTTTGCCTCAATTGGAGACATGGTAATACCATCCATTCGTTTATCCATTTTGAGTAGGCAATTTATAGCTCCGAAGCTCACAATAGTTGTTTTCTAAGACATTTAACAAACACTTATATGGCACCTACTGTTTGCCACACACTGTTCTAGGCACTGAACAAAACAATAACTCATTTCATCCTCATAACCACACATGAATTGCATTGTCTCCATTTCACAGGCAGAAAGACTGATACAGAAAGTACTTTGCCCAAGATCACTTGCTAGGGAAGCCAGGTTTTGAACTCAGAAAGGTAATTCCAGTATCCATCTCTCAACCACTACACTCTGCAACCTTTTTCTTTTTTTTCTTTTTTTTTTTTTGAGACGGAGTCTCCCTCTGTCGCCCAGGCTGGAGTGCAGTGGCGCGAACTCGGCTCACTGCAAGCTCCGCCTCCCGGGTTCAGGCCATTCTCCCGTCTCAGCCTCCTGAGTAACTGGGACTACAGGCGCCCGCCACCACACTCGGCCAATTTTTGTATTTTTAGTA
Organism: Homo sapiens; assembly: GCF_000001405.40. Classification (NCBI taxonomy): domain Eukaryota; kingdom Metazoa; phylum Chordata; class Mammalia; order Primates; family Hominidae; genus Homo; species Homo sapiens. The sequence continues at coordinate 57,570,769 of NC_000005.10, read as the reverse complement.
GAGATGGGGTTTCACCTTGTTAGCCAAGATGGTCTCGATCTCCTGACCTCGTGATCCGCCCGCCTCAGCCTCCCAAAGTGCTGGGATTACAGGCGTGAGCCACCGCGCCCGGCCCACTCTGCAACCTTTTGGTTGGGGCACATTAACAGGAAATTACAAAAACGGATGGAGGAAAAATGGATAATGGTGTAGGATGAATGAAGAGACATATGCCATCAGGCTGAGAACATAAAAAAGTGATCTTCATAGATTGATAAGGTACCAGGGCAGATTCTCTACTGACAAATCAAACACTACTTGAAAATTTCAAGCTTCCCAATTTTCTCAAAATGCTTTTACCTCCTCCCTTCCCATACACCGAAAGTAACAAATTTGGAAGCATCTCACCAGTCATTTTCCTTCCAGCTCACAAGGAAGTGCTTATGTATAACATTTTCTGCCTCCTAATTGTCAAGATGCAGAGATTTTACAGATTCACAAACAGAGACAATGCTTTTATAATTTATAAATATTTGTTTTTCAAGCTATAGACACTTCCCTTGAGCTCTTAAAAAAGAAAATCTCAGTAGTTTTACATCTCAAATATCTATGAAATGGTTATTTAGGTGAGGTTTGGGGAGGTTGGGTGTGGGGGTTGTGTTTTATTTTTGCTTAATTTGGTATTCAAATCATGTGGTTATGCATTGAAAATTAGCTTGATCCACACTCATCTGTGGGCCTTTTGTGTGACAGCATTCCACACATCTCCCTGTTTTCCTAATTCTAGTTTATTTTATGATGACTTGGAGAAAATGGCAATGTTATCGCTGAGGAATTTATGTTATAATATTGGTCTTTCTCTGGCCTGAAAAAGACTAATTGTTCCCCATTCTGTGTTGCCACAGCTCCCTCCCTCACAAAGCTATTATTGAACTGTATTTAACTATCTGGGTGGGCTTCTGGTAATAATTAGATTGCCATCTCCATTAAATCCCAGGGAGAGCAGACAGTGAGGGTAGCAACAGCAAGACTTGTAGTAACATTTAACCATCAAAAAAGAGGATGACTTGAAGGCCTCTTTTGTGTTCTCCCTCTGTTCTTCTGGCTTTAAAGCTATAAACATCTGATGATAAAGCATCCTTTAAAAATTCTGAATAATTTATTGGATGCTTGCTTACAGAGGATCCTATTATTTTTTGACTCTTCATTTCTACAATTAGGCAGTGGCTTTGGAAACACATTAAAGACTCCATCAAATAATAATTGTAATCCAAATCCCAATAAGAACCAGATTTTGAATATTGAGCCCTGAACCTCAGCTTTTGATAAAAAGAAGAGAAGAAAGAGAGAGGGTGGGGAGCAGCAGTGAGAAAGAGAATAGTATGAAAGTAGCATGGATCACTGGAAAAAGAATGTCTTGCTTTCAGAAATGGATAGTAATTCTACCTCTCTAAGTGCTTTATTGGGATCCAAGAAAAGTGAAAACATCCTTGAGCTCTTGCCTCCTATATCCAAAACTCAGATTAAATGCATCAGTTAGAACTAGGCTGGCTGCATTATTTTAAAAAAAAAAGAGAGAGAGAATAACAACAGTTAGTTAAATACATGGTAGAAACCTGAGGCTGGCAGTTGAGGGCTGAGATGATGAATCCACAGGCAGAGACCCAGGCTTCCACTCTGTGGCCCTGCTCCATTCTTAGTTTGCCAACTCATGGTTTAAGATGGCTCCTTGAGCACCAGCCATCATGTCTACATGCTGAAAAACTGAGAAAAGAAAGGAATAAAGAAATAATGTGCTCTCTCCATTGAAAGACACTTTGGAAGTCACAGCACACCTATGTCCAAATTGCAATTCTTTGTCTAAACTCAGTCATGTAGCCAAATCTTCATTATTTAAGAGAAGGTAGTCTTTTGCCAGGTAGCAAAGTGCCCGGCATAGGAGAAAGCAGAGAATGCATTTGGGAAGGCAATTGGCAATCTCTGCCCTAAAGAAATACAGTATTCCCTTCCAGGATATTTAAATGTGTCAATGAGATACTAATGTACTTTCTCCAAGCGTGGCATTCAGATGGCACTGCATAGTAGTGAACTGTTTTCTCCCTGCAATGTAGCCTTGCCCATCCTGTACCATTGTTGATATTGCCCACCAGCATTAAAAATGTAGAGAGTTTGAAAACTGACCCCCAAATCTGACAATGTCTTTCAGGTTTTTAGTAGGGCTGTCTACATTGTCTGCATTATTTAGAAGTGTGAAATTAGAAGACACTTTCTGGCAAAAAGCTTTCCAAAACATCAAAATGTAATAATAAATACTAGAAGTAACTGGTAATGAAAACTAACAAAAGACAGAATTCACTTCTGAAACTGTTAGAGTGATGATTGGGGAGGGAATGGAGAGTTGGAATCATTCTGACAAGAGAGAGCTGTAAGGACAAAAAGCACTTAGAGGCCATATGGTATATACCAGTACCACCAGCACTATGCTAACCCTTTCATAGACTGTCTCGTTTAGTTATCACAAGACCCCTATGAGATAGATACCCTTTTTTTATTATTTACAAATAAGGAAATTGAGGTTCGGAAAAATTTAGAGGCTTGTTCGAGGTCAGACATGTAGTAAATGGCAGAAATAAAATGAAAAATGACTTAGAAAGGATTCCCCCCCAAAAAAAAATACTAAATACTAAAAAATACTTAAAAAAATACTAAATACTAATACATAGTAAAATGGCCAAGAGGAAAAAGCTCTTGTACAGAGACAGGATGCCTTGTGAGAAGCAGGGACCTACACTGAAGAGGCACAGCCAGGCTGAGGTGACCTAGCTGGAAGGGAGCCAAGAGTCACACCTGGGACTTGCACTCTGTCCTTCTGCCAGTCTCCTGCAGATGCCCCCATTGGCTTAACCCAACCAGAAGTCCAAGGGCAAGGGTGTTCTTGATATAGTTAATATAGTCTACACAGGTCAGCCTCCTAGAGAAGAAAGCAGGGTTGAAAAGGGAGGAATGAATCTAGAGGAGCAAACAAAATACACAGCACAGCAGGTTTATCACCACTGTCCTCTCCTCACTGCATTCCAGGGCATCGATGGGCAAGGGATAAAGCTTTGCTCGTTTTACCATCAAAACTTCCCCCTGCCACACCAATTCCCCACTCACACCTGCAGAGAACAGTCAGGATACAGGATGTGATTTGCTGCCCTCTTACTGCCAGCAGGTGAGAAGTTAGAACTTTGGAAACTGCATTTTAAGGTTTCCAAAACCTGATCTGAACTATGTAAGGGAGAGACTATCCTATTTTAACTTATCTTGGGGGGTGGAAATTACAGAGCTCCTCCACATGATTTCTTCCATGGTTTGAAGACAATCACAATCAAGACCTTTCTCCTGTACAAATCATCTATTCACCAAAGAATCTTCTACTTAAGTCTCTTGATTCTCTTAAGCTAAAGAAAACAGCAAGCCAGCAACATTCTTCAAGAGACTGTCTTCTGTTTTGAAGACATGATTCTACCATGCTCTTTCACCCTCAGTGAGAAGGTCGCTCATCCATCCTCTATGAGTGATTCGTTTCCCCTTTTTCTGCTTTTTGCACGCTAACCATGGCCTTATTTTACCCTCCTGAAATGCCTGCTTTTTCTAGTCTTTCCTAGCCTAACACTTACTTCCCACCTACTCACTGCTTCAAGAAAGCCAGCTAAGACTAATACATTCCCCAAGGGAGTTTTGGTTTACTTAAATTTCCATAGCAACTATGCTCGTCAGCAAAACACTGCGATCCTCAGTATCTATTAGTACTGCCTGAAATTCCCTTGTACTGTTTTGTAGAAAGTTAATACAGAGAGACTGGGCCCTCTCTTTTTCATGAGTATGTTCTCTTTTGTGGTATGAACTATGATTGTTAACCCATCCCCTATTGGTGGACACTTAGATTCCTTCACGTTTTATCATTGTAAACAATCTATACTGAACATAATTATAAACATTTCTCAATGCTCATCCAGGAGTATTCTGTAGGACAGATATTCAGGATATTTGATTAGTCAAAGGGTTTACACATTGTTATTTTAATAAATACTACAAAATTCCTTTTTAAAAGCCATTTGCCTTCCTACCTAGTGTATGAGAGTATGCATTCCTTCACACCCCTTCCCAACCTGCACTGACACAATGGATACTACTAATAATTAAATGTTTTTCCAATGTGATAGGCAAAAAAAATAGACTCTACATATTTCAATTCAGATTTCTATGATTACCAGTAGGATTAAACATCTTTTCATTTATTTTTAGAGCATTTGTTTTTCTCCATTAGCCTTTTCCCATTTTCTTATTAGAATGCCTTTTTCCCATTGACTTGTAGATATTCTCCATAAAATACAGATTAAAGCCTTTATTTGTGGTATATATTACAACTATTTTCTTCTCGTCTTATGCTTGGCATTCAAGAATGGTTTCACTGTGGATATAAATTTTTAATTTGTATGTGGTAAGGTATATAAATCTTATTTATTCTCCTCATGATTATAAAAATATGAAAACTTATAAAAGCATAACATCCCCTCCTGCCTTTCCCTCTCAGCTTTTAGGACTTTGCTTTGACCACACTGCTATGAACTTTCTCACCCATTTGTGTTGAGCATTTGATGTATTCTCTTAATCTTAAAGCTCAGTTCTTCAGCTTTGGAGATTTTTCTTGAAGTATTTAAAAATATCCTCTTCTCTACTTTCTTTATTCATACTTTCTGAAATATCTTGAACTCTTGACTCAGTTCTCTATATTTCTTTTATTTTCTCTTCAATCTATCCTTTGGTCTTCTTGCTATGTACTTGCAAGGAAATTTTTTCAATTTTATCTTCTAAATCTTCTACTGTGTTTGAAATTTGTTTTCATATTTTTAATTTCCAAAAGACTTTATTTTTGTCTTTTAAATGTCTTACGTTTATAGCTTCCTGTCTTTTATTTCATAAATGAAATATCTTCTTTTTCCAAGGACATTAATGAAAATAGTGCGTTCTGTTTGGTTTCTTTTAAGTTTCCATTTTCCTGCATAGTCTCTATTTTTTTCAAGTTGCTTTTTTTAGTTTGTTTATTTGTTTGTTTCCTGGTCTCTGGCTTTCATGTTAGAGGCTTTCCTTAAATGTCTAGTGATTCTTATCATTCATTTACAATTAAGAGTGAGGGGCTCCAAAGCTGGGTGTGTGTTCTGTGCATGGAGCTTCACAGTGAGGGGAACTCTGGTTGTACATCCTGCTGGGGAAGGCTCAGTGTCAATCTGTTTTAGGTCTTCTCTAGGCTGCTCGTGCTATGCTAGGAGGGCTTAATTCTAGCTAGGAATTGTGGCAGCAAATGGGGAAATCTGTGAAGATTGCTGGTCTTCACAGTCAGGCAGTAGACTTGCACTTTACCACTTACTTTAATGTGGTACCCCACCCTCAAATATGCCTGTGTGCCCCAGTCCAGACCCTCTGTTTATATACTTCAGACAATAAATTTTCAGCCACTTTCAGGAGGGGATGAGACAAGCTGCAGCTACATGGATTGGATTAGGATTTAAAAGCCTACTACTTATAAATAGGGTTTCAACCCACCACACAGGGCTAGGCCCTACCTCCACCTCCCACTTCCACGGGCACCTCATGCTGCCAATTCCTGTGATGTGGGGATTCCATAGTATATATCGGTTTGCTTCTTCACTTTCCCCAAGGCCAATTTAAAATTCAGCTCTCGGTGTTTTGCTAGGTCAGCAGCCCTTCATTCTTCCACTTTCCAGCTCCCAGAACACTGTTGCTGTTTTCTCCTTTCCAAGTCTCTTTACTTTGTGAATGATAGCCTTAAAAAATCTTTTTCCTGTAATTATAACAAACATTTGAAATGGAGTGGATTCACTATGTTTGATTTGCCAACTTTAACTAGAAGATTCTCAGTATTAAAATTTAACATATAGATTTAAATACGTTTGCCTATCAATCTCCAATGCTAATAAGTATCTGTATCCCATCTTCGCACACACAATTACATACACACATAAAGAAAAAGACAAGAATATTAGCACATTTTAAAATCCCTTCTGCACTTCCCTTTTTCTCCTATGTTAAAATCATCTGGAATCAAATTCTAGGTTTATCATTGTCTTAGACTGTCTGTGTTGCTGTAAAGGAATATGTGAGACTGGGTAATTTATAAAGAAAAGAGGCTTACTTGGTTCACAGGTCTTCAAGCTGTACAAGAAGTATGGTGTCAGCACCTACTTCTGGTGAGAGTCTCAAGAAGATTCCACTCATAGCAGAAGGCAAAGATGAGCATGCATCGCATGGAGAAGAAAAGAGGAAAAAAGAACAAAAGAGAGAGAAGGAAAAAGAGGAGGAGGTGAGGGCTGTTTTTCCCAACCATTTTCTTTAGCTAGTAGTATTTTCTTTAACTAGTTGTTCCACCATTCATCATTGTCTCTTTCATTCACTTAACAAATATCTGCTTATTTCCTCCATTTCCAGAATTGTTCTAGGACCATGTGCCCTACCCTCATGGAGCTCAAGTGTTGGGAGAAACGGGCAATAAACAAGTAAGCATCTAACTAAACATCGTTATTTTACATAGCTGTATTTGCTTTATGAAATAAACCAAAGTAAGGAGAGATGAAGGAAGAAAGGTAACATTCTGGATAATGTGGCCAAGGAAGTTCTTTTTACAAAAGTTATATCTGTGCAGAGACCTATATCATGTAGCAGAGCAAGCTGTGCATACTAACATTGTCTACTGTAATCAGCATTCATCCCACTCCTTTCTATGCTTTCCTCAATATCACATTGTAGGCTGGAAATCTACATTTCTTAGACTTCCTTGCCAGCAAGTTTCTGGATACAGTTAGATTCAGCCAATGTGATGAACTCTTGTGAGAGATGAAATATGCAAGGTAGGAAATGGGCTTGTGCCACCAAGATCCACTGGTCTTATTATGTACCCCATCACCCAGAAGAAGCTGGTGGTTCAGGATGATGGAACAGCTTATTGAAAACTCAATTATAGCACCACTTGGGAAACAGCACCTAGCAAAGCTACAGTGCAGTCCTACAAGTTGTTGCATATGTTGCCAAAGAATATCCAATAAAAGGTGTTACTGTCCCAATATTGTGACTAGACATAGTTACATGAAGTCTAGGAGCCCAAGATAGAAATACGAGTCACTTGTCTTCTTAGCACATCTTATGAACCACTCATGAAAGGTTCGCTACCTTCCCCATGTCTTTGGAGTCTGATGGACAGAGGTATTACCCGCCAAGAGAAAAGCAGTCCCACCACGAGACACAGCAAGTGTTCTACTGAATGGGAAGTCACAACTGGACACCTGGACATTTACGGCCTCTCCTGCCAGTGAACTAACCATTTTTAAAGGGTATTATTCTCCTGCCTGAAATGATGACTACTAATTGTCAAAGGACATTAGGACTGCTGCTGAACAAAGGGGAAGAAAGACGATGTCAGGAACCCAGGGAAATTCCCTGAAGCATCTTTTACTAAACTATGCCTTGTGATAAAAGTTTTAAAATAACCCGATATAAACAGGACCCCAAAAGATTAAGGTCCTAAAGAAGCTGAACATAATTAAGAGATCTCAGACCTTTCAGGAAAGACAGTTTGTTCACCACTCCAGGTAGAAGATATCCTGACAAAATGAGCTCCTGGATGAGGACAAAGAGAACATGGATGAATATAGTTATAAATTCTAACTTCAGCCTCATGACCAGTTGAATAAACAAAAATGCAGCAACTATGCATATTTTCTTTATTATTTTGAAGTGCATATATTTGCGAATTTTGACCAATTTTTTCTCTCCCTTTCCCTTGACATAATTGATTTTTATATTATATTTGCCTTTCTTCTTTTACGGTAAAATGAGTTCCTTGGTCAAAAGTCATGTTCAGTGGGATGTAATGAAATGTGGAAAAGGTCATTTTGAAACACAAAGATAAGAAAAAGTTAAAAGAATTAGTAAGGAAAGCAGAGAAGGCCAGATAGTGAGGCAGAAGAAAAACAGGAATGTAGCACCCTGGAAACCACAAAAAGAAGAGATGTAAGAAAAAGGGGAGGGTTCCTAGATTATAATGCTGCTAAAAGATTCTTGTAAGATCAGAGCATTGATCATTGGACTTGAAGAATTGATCATTATCAACGAAACTAAGAGTGTTTTTTGGAGAATATGTGGTTTAAAAACCTGGCTAAATTAGGTTGTATGAAGAATGGGAAGTAAAGCAGTAGAGACAGTGAGTATAGATACCTCTTCCAGGAAAGTCTGTTATAAAGAGAAAGAAAGTGATGGTAGTTTTTGCCTGGAACAAAGGGCAACTGAAGGAGAATGTAGTGTCAACAGAAAATTTTTTCTTCAAGACTTAGAATATTACATTTTAGTAGCCTTCGGGGATGATCTGATATATAAGAAATGTGATGATGTGAAATTGAATGGGAAAAAATCAGAGAGGAGTCCTGGAGTAGGTAAATAGGATGGAGTCTAGTGCATGAGTAGAGAGATTCACCTTAGTTAAGAACATGACAATCTCTCCATTGTAGTAAGAGGCAAGTTGGAGAACGTGGGTACAGATACAGGTAGGTCAGCAGATATTTGAGGGTGTATTCCCTTATTCTCTTTTTTATTTTCAACAAAATAGACTCAAATACATCAGCTAAGCAGGGGTGGGTGGGGAACATTGGAGGATTTAAAGAGGAAGAAGGAAACATGAAACACTCATCAAAAATATTGAAAAGAATATTTATTAGGGATACATGTTGGAATTATTGAGTAATAATGACAACAAGCATGAAATGACAGCATGCTTGACAGCAAGCATAAAATAAGACCAGATAGAAACATTGTGTTCTACTCTATTTACATCAGTGGCTTAGATGTGGATTTTTAAAAGTTGGAAATTTAACTGGGATTTTTTTTTTCCTGTAAAAAGCAAGAGTTGAAAAGGGGATGGGGTGTTTACAAGTGTGTAATCATGACGAAGGACCATGGACTCTAAGCTGAGTAAGGAGAGAAGTGAAGAGAGATGAGAAGTAGGCTGTAACACAGAGAAAACTGGCAGGTTAAAAGATTAAAGTTTTCCAAAGAGTTGAAATATTGTTACCATCAAGCTGCCGGATTAGTGTGCTGGAAACTCAGGAGGTTGAACTCAGCTTGACATTGAAATTCCGGTGTTGGTAGTTGCTGTCTAGGACAAGGTCTAGAGCATGACCATGGGAGTGAAAAAATAAATGATCATAGGAAATGAGAAGGCTCAGAACTAAGTGATGATGAGGTTAGCAAAAATTATGATTTAAGTATGCAGAGGAAGAGAGCAAACCTTCAATGAATGAAAAGGAGTACTTAAATTGTGAGGGAATTTCTGCAACAAGGAAAGGCTGTGTGGAGTGCAGCTGAAGCACTTCAAAATAACTAGGATTTTTAGGGAAGGAGGAAATTTTGTTTGAATAGCAACCAAGGATAAGAAAAACAGTCACCCCAACTTCAAGCTTTTTGGTGTCAAGGGGCTTTACAGAAAGAAACATGCTCTCAAGGAAGAGCCAAGTTTCAGCTAAAACAAGCAAAACAGTAAAGGAAACAAAGAACAAACTTCTTTTATCTCAAGTCTTCCTCCTCCTTCTTAATTGTTTTGTCTTGATTGAGTACATCCTCTAAGGATTCCTTCAGAGAAAGCCCACAGACAGTAATATTATTGTGTAATAATATCTCTATTTTCTCAAACGCTTTTGTATCTTTTTGGATAAAGAACTCTAAGTTTCAAACAATTTTATCTTAACTTTTCTTTCACACATTTTTCTCTTTGCATGTGTGGGCTGAGTTCTGGGGCATTTTCCCCACTACATATTCCAGCTCATATTGCTTCTTCATCTGCAGCCATCCTCACATGCATCTGATCTGAGGTTTGACTTTTTAAAATTATTCTTTCACTTTTAAACACCAATAATTTTAATTGATTTTTTATGCCATTCTATTACTAGTGCATGTTAGTAAAATTGTCTGGAATCTTTATGAGAATTTTAATTTAACTTTTTAACTCTTCCGTTTGCTTTTTGAAGTCCAATTTCTCATGTGTTAGTTTTTTTACTTACTGAATTTTTTCTCATTCACAGTGCTGGGTTTCCTCAAGTGTTTTGTGATTCCTGGTTAACTGCTTGCAATCTGTATATGAGAATTCTTGTTTTTATGTCAATAAATAAACACCCTAGTTACAACAGCTAGTGCTTTATGGTTATGTGAAATTTGACAGAGTATGTAGGTAGCTTGTTTTGAGTATGGAAATTATTCAACCCTCTTGGAGACAGTCTGTAACAGACAATACGGCCCTGTCTCTCATGCCCTGCCACCCAATAAGTGATTATCCTGGGTCAGAATTCCAACCTTGAAGAGATATACTCAGGGTTTATTCTAGGAGTGAACACTGAAGTCAGCCACTGCATTTCTTCCCCTCCTCCTCCCTATACTATCCTTGTAAAGATCTTACATTGATTGCTTCACTCTGCCTTTCTTCTCCAATGCTAGGAGTGCTTCTCAATCAGTTTATTTTGGTTTGAAGACAATTCTGAGTTATATCTCAGGAGAAAATTCTACTTCTGCCTGCAACTCAGTTTAAACTGAGGGAGAAGGAAAGACAAATAATTTCCAAATGCTGTTCTTTAATTAATTTGCCTGTGATGGTCCTCTTTGTGCTTTGATAAGCCAAAGAATAAAGCTGTTCCTACCTTATAGCATACATTAAAATTAACTCAAAATGGATCAATATCCTAGATATAACAGATAAAACCATAGAACTCTTAGAAGAAACATAAAAGTCAATCTTCATGAACTCAGACTTGGCAGTGGATTCTTAGATATAGCATCAAAAGGATGAACAACAAAATTAAAAAATCGATTCAACTTCATCAAAATGTAAACTTCCATGAATCAAAGGGCAATATCAAAATGGTGAAAAGACAACCTACAGAACAGGAGAAAATATTTGAAAATCATCTCCAGAATATATTTAGAAAACTCTTATAACTCAACAACAAAAAGACAACCCAATTTTAAAATGGGCAATGGGCTTGAATAGACATTTCTCTAAATGAATACATGAATGGAAAATAAGCACATGAAAAGATATTCAACAATCATTAGTCATTAGAGAAATGCAAGAAAAACCACTTCACACCCGTTAGGATTCCTATGATTTTTTAAAATGAAAAATAAACAGTGCTGGTGAAGATACGGAGAAATCACAACCCTTGTATGTTGCTGATGGAGTTGTAAAATGGTTCAGCCCAGTGGAAAACAATTTGGTGGCTCCTCAAAAAGTTAAACATAGAGATACCATATGACTCAGCAACTCCACTGCTAGATATATACCCAAAAGAATTAAAAACAGGTTCTCAAACAAATACTCATAGATAAATGTTCATAGGAGCACAATTCATAAAAGCTATTTAATGGGAATAGAGTTTCAGTTTTGCAAGACGAAGAAAGTTCTGGATTGGTTGCACAACAATCTGAATACACTTAACACTACTGAGCTTAACCACTTAAAAATGGTTAAGATGGTTTATTGTATGTTATGCATATTTTGCCACAAGTTAAAAAAAATTTAAGTCAATACACTGGTTTTTATCTCTCCTTAAATCACTTTCTCATTTCAAGAAGCATTCTTACTGCATATCAAATATTGAACTTAAAGTAAATATACAGATTCATTTCAGTTTATTAAGCATTTTTGCATACAATATTTTATTTGAACCAAGAAATTATATTACTTTAATATTGCTATCTTGCCATCAGCCTTTCTCTGCGTTCCCATTCAGTAATGAGAATACTACAGCATATTCTGCATGGCAGAGGTAAGTAAGCAGGTATGGGAAAACACAGATGCCATGCTCACTGTGTAGAACTGCAAAAGCTAAAAGTTTCAGAAAGACTTATTTTTGCAGAAAGTGAGATTCTTGCTCAAGTGCTTTTTCCATAGCCTGAACAGAAGACAAATGGAGACATAGGCCATAATTTGTCTCTACAACTCCCTTGTTGCCTTCCCCTGCATACATGTCATCATCACCACCACACATACCACCCACTGTGGTCTTCATAGGGAACCAGGTACCAGGGACTACAATTTGGCAGTCATGGTGACACAGTTAACTCCAGGAAGTTAAAACCACTTAGGGTCCAGTTGGTATAGCAGGCACAATAAACCTCCTAGAATCAAAGATTTAGAAGCAGTTCCAAGAGTCCATTTTAGCCATAAATACACCTCCGTTGCAGAAGGATACCAATTTAGTCCCATACAGCTAGAGGACATTAACCAGACCATATGCAGCTCCTTGGTTACTTACCTATGCCACTCAGTAGCCAAGAAGGAGGACATTGCAGAGGTATTTGGCCCTTGAAAAGTTTTATAGAAAAGTAGTTTCCAGATTCTACTTGTTATTGTCAGACTTTCCTTTTTCCTAAACTACTCCCTTTTCCCCCGAGCCAACCACACAGACTCCAATGTGCATTCTCTCTGTCTCTCTCTCTCTCTCTCATGCGCACACACACACACACACACACACACACACACACACACACACACACATCTTTAAAGCCAAATCCTTTATCCTTGGCAAGGTTTTGATGTTTCACCAGGATATGTAGGAACTGGACCATGATTAGTTTTTTTTTAAATCTCATGTCCTACCAGGATATTTGTATGCCTTAGAAGATGCTCCTCAGTTGTTAAACTGTACTGTCACCTCCTTGTGGATCTTCACAATCCTGAATTACACCAAGAAGAGGCTGCCTTAGTCAAATGGCCACAGCCAGGAGGTTGTGGACTAATACCAGTAGTGGTCAGTACAAGTTATCATATGATGGCCAAGCCCTTTCATGATCCCAGCCCTGTCCTTTTTTCTGAAACTCCCATTTCCAAAAACCAAGATAGACTGTGAATGCATCCATGGCTTGTTCCATTTTCTCTGCCAGGCCTCACACTGTATAAAACAGACTCTTGTTGGAGAGCTGGCTGGGTGAGTGTGTATTAGTCCATTCTTGCATTGCTATAAAGAACTACCTGAGACTGGGCAATTTATTAAGAAAAGAGGTTTAATCAGCTCATGGTTCTGTGGGCTACACAGGCTTGTGCTTCCGGGGAGGCCCAAGGAAACTTACAATCATGGCAGGAGGTAAAAGGGGGAAGCAGGCAGTCTTCACATGGCCAAAGCAGGAGAGAGAGAGAGCGAAGGGGGAAGTGCTACACACTTTCAAACAGAGAACTCACTCACTAACAACAGCAAGGGAGAAATCCACCCCCATGATCCAATCACCTCCCACCAGGTCCCTCCCCCAGCACTGGGGATTACAATTCATCATGAGATTTGAGTGGGGACACAGAGCCCAACCATACCAGAGTGCTTATTATGTTCCTGAAATAGAGGCACCTACACCCTTCAGAAAATTTGAATTTCTGCTTATAGCCCATGTATTCACTCAATACACTCTAGCACAATCTAGACCACTGCAACTAAAAAGGTGGAGGTTGAAGAGACTATTCTCAATGAATTTAAAAAAAAAAAGTTTAGAAACCAGCCTTGGATAGGGCCTAGTTGCATCTAAGTTTGTCTCACAGTTATTGTTCTTTATAAATTTCTTGATAAAATTAACAGGGATAAGATTGCTTTGGAAAATACACTGCACTACACCACCTTCATCCCAAGGGTGTTTTCTTAGGAAGCCACACATGGAAGACATTGCCACCCACAAAATCAGAAGCTTCTGTTGGACTTCATTAGAGGGAGGGAGAGACAGTTGCTCAGAACTCTCAGAACATGCAAAAATAGAGAAGGAGAGAAGCAGTTGTTTATAAACTTTCTGTTACTAGGGTTTTGATTTTGTTTTCCCCGAAAAATATGTTCAGATTTTCCAATTGCATAGAGTAGACCTGTTGTCTAATTGGGTCTTCACTTTCTCCAGGAACAGCTCACCTCTGTGTGTGGCTGACTTGTGATGAGTGGGAGCACCAGGGTGAGGCATGCTCCCTCCAGCCATCCCAAGGGAAGGGTTTAAAGACAAGAAGGCTCCTGCTGGTGTGCTTCCCACAGAAGCTGCAACACATACACACACACACACACACACACACACACACACACACACATAAATGGGATGCAGACTAAAACACTAAGCCTTTGTCCTGACAACTGCTCAGCTTACATACAGGGTTCTCCTCACCTAGGGGTCGGCTTGTCAACGTCTAGAGGCTCCTGGGCTGAAACAAACCCTATTCCTTTCCTCTCCACCCTCTGATTCCATCTCAGCAACTGCCGGGTTCAAAAATAATTCAACTAAATCAAAGTTTCCAAGAAGGTATTCTAGGATAACATTTCACTAAGCCTTCATTGTAGTACCCTGTAAACGGGCAAACTTGCCTCCAAAACAGTGATCCAACAGATATTGTATAAGAATTGGGCAGGCCAGGTGCAGTGACTCATGCTTGTAACCCCAGCACTTTGGGAGGCCAAGGTGGGCAGATTGCTTGAGCCCAGGATTCTGAGACTAGCCTGGGCAACATGGAAGCCCTGTCTATACAAAATATAAAAAAATTAGCCCAGGCATGGTAGCATGTGCCTGTGGTCCCAGCTACTCATGAGGCTGAGATGGGAGGATTGCCTCAACATGGGAAGTCAAGGCTGCAATAATCTGTGATCACACCGCTCCAGCCTGGGCAACAGAGTCTCAAAAAAAAAAAAAAGAAAGAAAAAAGACTTGAGCTAGTTGAAATGCCATGGAATTGTGTGCAAAGGAGCATCTGGAAAGGATAGAAAAGGCCTATTAAGAGCTAGCAGGAGGCCTTTGTCACTTGCTTGATGACCCCATGTCTGTTACCTTCCCTTCTGTGATAGGCAGAATAATGGCCCCCCAAAATGTCCGCATCCCCATTTCTGGCTCTTATGAAAATGTTACCTTACATGGCAAAAGGGACTTTGGAGATGTGGTTAAGAATCTTGAATGGAGAATATGTGCCACATTTTCTTAATCCAGTCTATCACTGATGGACATTTGGGTTGGCATTAGGAGAAACACCTAATGTAAATGATGAGTTAATGGGTGCAGCAAACAAACACGGCACATGTATACATATGTAACAAACCTGCACATTGTGCACATGTACCCTACAACTTAAAGTATAATAAAAACAAAATCTTGAATGGAAAGATTCTCCTGATTATTTTAGTGGGTCCAATGTAATCACAAGAGAGAGGTAAGAGAGTCAAAGTCAAAAAAGGAGATGTGCCCATGAAACTGAGTTAAAGAGATGCATCTTGAAGATGAAGGAAGGGGCAGTGAGCCCAGAAAGGCAGACAGACTCTAGAAGCTGGCATAGGTGAGAAAACAGATTTTCCTTAGAAGCCTCTGGAAGAAATGCAGCATTGCCAACACCTTGATTGTAGACTTCTAACCTCCAGAACTATAAGGAAATAACTCTGTGCTGATTTTAGCCATTAAGTCTGTGGTAATTTGTTACAGCAGCAAAAGGAAACTAATACTCCTCCCCTGCCTCCATCATCCAAGGAGCCGACACCAGCAAACCATGTTTCCCACACCTCCTTGCCACTTGCCTTCAGTTCTGCTCAGCAATGCTTCTGGCTGACCTGTGATGAGTGGGAACGCCAGGGTGGGGTATGCTCCCTCCAGCCATCCTAAGGGAAGGGTTTACCCAAAGTCTAACTCCTATCCTGGTGTATTAGTTTGCTAGGGCTGCCATAACAAGTGCTGGAAAGACACTGGAGGCTGGAAGGAAGACAGAAGCAAGGGTGCTAGTTCCCCTCTCCTGCTCTGGACCATGCCCAGCAGTTGTTATATCTCTTCAGTGGTCTCAATTCCTATCCTTATTACCCAAGATCGCAGGCTCTAGAAACACTACCACCTCCCTTTCTCCCATCGACCCCATCTTTGAGTGGTTATAGCTCTTCTAATAACACCTTTATTATGAATTTAGCATATTAAACTCCTCCTATTAAAGTACCTGACGAGGGCTATGTTTTCTCAGCTGCGTCCCTTTAAGGCCCAGCCATATGTCTAAGGTTGGCTTCTTCTTATTACCTATAGTAGTGTTGCTTATTCACAGTGGTTAAGATGGGTGCTATATTTAAAATCCTCTCCCACACCTTTAGATCCCCTGGCAGAGTAACATTAATGGCTTTCCGGGGGATTGGCAGCATTTTCCCTTCTTCATGCCCAGCTTCTGTCACCATAACGAACAGGATAACTCCTCACGATAGTAGTTAAGTTGTAATTTTATTAGTTTATGCAAACTGGTATAATTCAGGTGTGGAGCAGTCAGATTTTTTTCCGTGCTCTAGTGACCTAGAAAAATTAGAGTGACAATATCATGAGGAATTCTTTTTTTTTTTTTTAGTCAGCCTAAATTTCACTGGGAAATCAGAAAACACATTTTTTGATGTGTGAAATGAAAGCTCATTCTCCTCAATTTTACTTAGTTTTCTTTCTGTAGTTGAGGTAAATAGGCAAGACTGTATTTCAGACATCACTAAATGAGAACATCATTTGAAACAACTCCATAGACTATTCCTTCTTCAGTTTTATTTGCCCAGGTCTGGGGAGTAGTGGTCTTTTCAGTCATAACACTGGCCCCTGTAAGTAGAATCTCAAGGTTTAACTCCTTTCCTGGTGTATTAGTTTGCTAGGGCCGCCGTAACAAGGTACCACAAATTGGGTGGCTTACGCAACAGAAAATTATTCTCTCACCCTTCTAGAAGCTAGAAATTCAAAATCGAGGTGACACCAGGGTTTGTTCTTTCTGAGGGCTGTGAGGAAGAATCTATTCTATGCCTCTCCCCTATCTTCTCATTGTGTGCTGGTCTTGGTGTTCCTTGGCTTATAGAGGCATCACTCCAGTTTCTGTCTGCCTTGATCTTCACATGGTATTCTCCCTGTGTGCCTGCATCCAAGTTTTCTCCAATCATAAATATAACGTACGTATTGGATTAAGGCCCACCCTAATGACCTCATTTTAACTTGACTACTTCAGTAAAGACCCTATCTCCAAATAAGGTCACATTCTGACGTATTGGGGAATATGTCTTCAAAATATGAATTTGACAGAAGGGACACAATTCAACCCATAGCATCTGATCTCCAAGGAAAGCCTTTTGGTATTCATGTCTTTAATTCAGGTAGACTGGGTTTATGTGCCTTCTACTTTTAATGTATTCACAGGTTTCTCTATGTCAGTGCCAAACACAAAACTCATTTGACCCAAAGGCCTTTTTCTCTATTTTTAATGTTCTTTTCACTGAGAATTGGAAGATTAACTTTAGGAAACTTTCCCCTTTAATCTTGAACATACTAAAGCAGACTGAGGATACTGTCCTAGATTCCATTTATTATTATTTGCAAATTAAGAATCACAATGAACGGGTAATATCGAGTTGTGTATTCCTATTAGTCAAGTCCTTTGAAGTCAGAACAATGGTAAAATATTTTCAGGCTATGTGACAGGAGTAAGAATAGGTGAAACACTGCAGACCCAGGAAGACATCCAGTCATTACACACTGCTAATGCAGAACTAGAACCACTCTGATGGATGTTCCTCTTCTTTTCCCCAAAACCCCTTAATTAATAAATTAATTAAGAAATTAATTTATTAAGTTCTTAAAAAACGTGTTTTCCTACTTCATATTCATTGTTTAGTTTCATTCATTCCTTCTAAACTTTCTGAGGGGAAATTGATTTTACAATATATAAAAAAGAAGGAAGGAAAAGTAGAGTGGACATACTTTAAATCATATAAAGAATCACTGATAGGCCTGGGACCAGACACAGAGTATGAGTCCTGGAAGAATGTCTGTATTTTCTATGATTCTATGTGACAGATATTGACATACAAAGGCCCACTTGACAAACATATAGAACACCTTCCTTTTCTTACTTATATAAAAATAAAACAAAAACACAAAAGCATTGTTTTTTTACAAGATCAAAATTGAAAGTGCTTAGGTCACAGCTCCTAAAGAACACATTCCTAGGGCAATCTAAACAAAACCAAGGCCACTATTCTCATGTTCATAAGCAAAAAGGTACCAACCATACAAAAGGAAAAGGCAACCAGCAACCATTAGTTTCATTCATTAAAAAAATTATTTCTCATTTCCCATAACCTTTACAATTCCTACTCTTCTGAAAAGGTATGTGCAGTGCATATATAATAAATGTATTCAGGGAAGAGTGTGATACTTGGATAAAAAAGTGGTTACACACATTAATTTGGGGGGAATACAGGATATTTAACGAGGAAGAAAACATTGCAGAAGAATGAACAGAGGTTCAGAATATTATTCCACTGCAGGTACCTATTTAGCTGGACACTCAAATGCCAAGTGACCAGCTGCATGGCTCAGCCACATGGACCTCATAACCCAGCCTCATTAAACGAAGCAACATGATCCACTTCCACAAGAAGCCTCTCACAGACTACTTTCCAACTGCCAGTCACTTAAGTGGTCAGTCATCTCTAGTTACTCTTTCCAGTCCTAGTCTAGTAATCCTAAACATCTTTAGAGTATCTTTTGTTTTTTTTCTCTTATGCCTAAGTCATCACCACTTGACTCATTTATCGTGTTAAAATACAGCAAGCACTTTTCATATATAAAGCCCCTTTGTTAAGACTAAGAACTGTGGCGTAATAAAGGGTGTCAGCAAAAATCAGAGAAACAAATACTCCTTTGAGAAGCTTCAATCTTCTGTGAACAACACGCTAAAAACTAGTTGATTATAACCTTCAATTAGAAAACATTTTTATACCCTGTATCTGGGGAAGGAAAGAAACTACCTAGTGGTCTTGTGATGGCAGTCGATTCTTTGTTGGGTCTTCATTGCATATTTAGTCATTGCAAAGGATCAAACGTATCAAAAAGTTTGGCAAGAAACCTTTCCTTCCTTTTCCAATTTCCCACATATTTTACAGACTTTGGCCCTTGAACACAAAAGCTGTATAAGCCTATTACTGTAAACTTATTCTGCCTGAAAATTAGTAGACAGAAGCAATCTTATGTTCTAATCATAGCCTAAAATTGCAGTTTTTGAGATTTGGAACCAAGCTGAAAATTATAAGTCAGAACAAAAGATATTTCAGTCCTTCACGTCTGGAAGAAAATTAGCATTAATACCTGTAGTCTCCAACTCCATATGGACCAAATGGAGGGAAAAGCATGTAATTTCAGTTGCTTTCTTTACTATCTCATTACCCTACTCCCTCATATCCATCTCACATTCATACTGTTTATATAAGCACATTTTCGTTTTCAGAACCCTATCACACACTAACTTTGAAACTCAATAATGTATTTCAATTTGAGTGGGTTTTTTTGCTATTGAAAACCAACAGTTACTGGTATATATGACAGTCATAATAATAATATAAGGCTTAAGAGATGGCTCCAGTGTCAAACTGCTGAAATTCTAATCCCAGTGCCATCACCACTTGCTATTAAGCTGAAACGTATAAAATTGCCTTTTTTGTAAGTAGGTCAAAAAATGATCTAACATTTACAATTTAATATGGTTCGATTTAATTGAAGTCTCATCTATCTGAAATAAGAGGAATAATAATAGTTACTTTGAGTAATTAATGAGATAATAAGTGTAAAGGATTTTGGTTGCATAATTACCTGTAACCAAAATAGCAAGTAATAAGTATAGCAAGGCAGAGCCTCTCAAATTTTAACATGCCTAGGAATTACCTGGGGATCCTACTCAAATGCAAATGCCAATTCAGTAGTTCTAGGATGGCGCCCAAGATTCTGCATTTCTACCAAGTTCCCAGATGATGCTGATGCTGCTGGTCTGAGAGCACTCTTTGACTAGCAAGGTTATAGGATGTTTCCCTTCTCTAATAAGAATCACCTGGAGGGGCGGGGCCAAGATAGCCGACTAGAAGCAGCAGCTATCAGAGGCTTCCATCGAAAAAAACCATAAAACAGCGTGCAAATCCTGCACCCACAACTGAGGTATCCAGGTTCTATCATCAGAACTGACTAGGTGGCTGGCGTGACCCACACAGAGGAAGGAAGAACAGTGTGGTGTGGCAGCCCACCCGAGAGCCACACAGGGCAGGGGAACCCCCACCCCCAGCCAAGAGAGGTGGTGAGTGAGAATCCTACCCAGCCTGGGAAACCGTGCTTTCTCCACGGAAGTGTGCAACCCACAGATCAGAAGATCCCATTCATGAACCCACGCCACTGGGGCATAGGGTCCCAACCATGGAGCCACACAGATTCTCAACAGCCACTCAGCGAGAATCTGCTTAAGCCTGCCAAGTTCCCCGGGGAGAGGGGCAGCAAGCACCACAGTTGCAGCTGCCTGCTGTCTAAGCCATTTGAGCTCCTTGCAGGGGGCACAGCAGCTAACATTGGGACTGCTAGCTGCCTAACACACTAAGCTCCCAGGGTTGGGGAAGGGCAGCTGCTCCAGGCCACGCCTTTCGCCTGCTGGAGCCAGGGAGACCGGACAGCTTGGTCCCAAGAGTTGTCCCCCATAGCCCAACACACTGGCTGTGGCCGGCTGCATCCAGAGTGCCTCTTCAGGCCTGACCATGACCCACCCCTCCTCACTGGGAGGGGCTTCCCTGCAGGAACTCCAACAACTCCAGCCAGGGGCTCAGGAACAAACTCTGATCTCCCTGGGCCTGAGCCCCTGTGGGGAGGAGTGGCCACAATCCCCACAGACCAGCAGACTTAGTATTTCCTCCTGCTGGTTCTGAGGAATCTGGGCAGCCCAGATGAGTGGGTTTCCCCCCAGCAAAGCACACCTTCTCCACCAAGGGACAGCCAAAGTGCTTTGTTAAATGGGTCCTGCTCCCTGTGCCACCCAACTTGGAGAGACCCTCCAACAGGGGTTGTCAGACACCCTATACAGGAGCATTCCTACTGGCATCAGGACAGTGCCTTTCAAGGTCAAAGATCCCAGAGGAAGGAGCAGGCACCCATCTTGGCTGTTCTCCAGTCTCCTTGAGTGACATCTCCAGGTGCAGGAGTGAACCAGATGAATAGGGCATGAAGTGAACCCCCAGCAAACCACAGCAGCCCTACAGAAGGAGGACCTGACCACTGAAAGAAAAACAAACAAAAAAACAGAAAGCAACAGCAACAGTATCAACAAAAAATATTTCCACAAAAACCTCATCCAAGGGTCAGCAGCCTCAAAGATCAAAACTAGACAAACTCATGAAGATGAGAAAGAATCAATTAAAAAAAACACTGAAAACCCAAAAGGCCAGAGTGCTTCTTCTCCTCCAAATGATTGCAATGCCTCTCCAGCAAGGACACAGAGCTGGATGGAGGATGAGATGGATGAATTGACAGAAGTAGGCTTCAGAAGATGGATAATAACAACTCCACTGAGCTAAAGGAGCACGTTCTAACCTAATGCAAAGAAGCTAAGAAACTTGATAAAAGGTTACAGGATCTGCTAACTAGAATAACCAGTTGAGACAGGAATATAAATGACCTGATGGAGCTGAAAAACACAGCACGAGAACTTTGTGAAGCACACACAAGTATCAATAGCCGAATCGACCAAGCAGAAGAAAAGATACAGAATTTGAAAGCCATCTTGCTGAAATAAGGCATGCAGACAAGATTATCGAAAAAAGAATGAAAAAGGAATGAACAAAACCTCCAAGAAATATGGGACTATGTAAAAAGACTGAAACTATGATTGATTGGAGTACCTGAAAGAGACGGGAAGAATGGAACCAAGTTGGAAAACACACTTCAGGATATTATCCGGGGGAACTTCCCCAACCTAGCAAGACAGGCTAACATTCAAATTCAGGAAATACAGAGAACATCACTGAGATACTCCCTGAGATGATCAGCCTCAAGAAACAAAATCATCAGATTCTCCAAGGTCAAAATGAAGGAAAAAATGTTCAGTGCAGCCACAGAGAAGGGCCAGGTCACCTGCAGAGGGAAGCCCATCAGACTAATAGTGGATCTCTCAACAGAAACCCTACAAGCCAGAAGAAAGAGAGGGCCAATAGTCAACATTCTTAAAGAAAAGAATTTTTAACCCAGAATTTCATATCCAGCCAAACTGAGCTTCATAAGTGAAGGAGAAATAAAATCCTTTACAGACAAGCAAATGCTGAGGGATTTCATCACCACCAGGCCTGCCTTGCAAGAGCTTCTGAAGGAAGCACTAAATATGGAAAGGAAAAACTGGTACCAGCCACTGCAAAAACACACCAAAATATAAAGACCAATGACAGTATGAAGAAACTATATCAACTTGTGTGCAAAATAACCAGATAGTATCATGATGACAGGATTAACTTCACACATAACAATATTTACCTTAAATATAAATGGGCTAAATGCCCCAATTAAAAGACACAGACTGGCAAATTGGATAAAGAGTCAAGACCTACTGGTGTGCTGTATTCAGGAGACCCATCTCACATGCAAAGACACACATAGGCTCAAAAGAAAGGGATGGAGGAATATTTACCAAGCAAATGGAAGGCAAAAAAAAAGAAAAGAAAAAAGCAAGGGTTGCAATCCTAAGCTCTGATAAAACAGACTTTAAGCCAACAACAATCAAAAAAGACAAAGAAGGGCATTACATAATGGTAAAGGGATCAATTCAACAAGAAAAGCTAACTATCCTAAATATATATGCACCCAATACAGGAGCACCCAAATTCATAAAACAAGTTTTTAGAGACCTACAAGGAGACTTAGACTCCCGCACAATAATAGTGGGAAAATTTAACACCCCATTGTCAATATTAGACAGATCAACAAGGCAGAAAATTAAGAAGGATATTCAGGACTTGAACTGAGCTCTGGATCAAGTGGACCATCAAGAAGTTTTTTGAAACCAATGAGAACAAAGAGACAGCATTCCAGAATCTCTGGGACACAGCTAAAGCATTGTTAAGAGGGAAATTTATAGCACTAAATCCCCATATCAGAAAGCTAGAAAGATCTCAGATCGACACCCTAACATCACAATTAAAGAGCTAGAGAAGCAAGAGCAAACAAATCCAAAAGCTAGCAGAAGACAAGAAATAACTAAGATCAGAGCAGAACTGAAGGAGATGGAGACATGAAGGGGTGGCCTGCCCCTCCACACCTGTGGGTATTTCTAGTCGGGTGGGACGAGAGACTGAGAAAAGAAATAAGACACAGAGACAAAGTGTAGAGAAACAACAGTGGACCCAGGGGACCGGTGCTCAGCATACCAAGGACCTGCACCGGTCTCTGAGTTCCCTCAGTTTTTATTGATTATTATTTTCATTATTTCAGCAAAAAGGAATGTAGTAGGAGAGCAGGGTGATAATAAAGAGAAGGTCAGCAACAAACAAACATGTAAGCAATAGAATCTATGTCATAATTAAGTTCAAGGGAAAGTACTATGCCTGGATGTGCACGTAGGCCAGATTTATGTTTCTCTCCACCCAAACATCTCAGTGGAGTAAAGAATAACAAGGCAGCATTGCTGTAAACATGTCTCGCCTCCCACCATAGGGCGGTTTTTCTCCTATCTCAGAATTGAACAAATGTACAATCGGGTTTTATGCCGAGACATTCAGTTCCCAGGGGCAGGCAGAAGACAGTGGCCTTCCTCTATCTCAACTGCAAGAGGCTTTCCTCTTTTACTAATCCACCTCAGCACAGATCCTTTACAGGTGTTGGGCTGGGGGACGGTCAGGTCTTTCTCATCCCACAAGTCCAATTTCAGACTATCACATGGGGAGAAACCTTGGACAATGCCCCACTTTCAAAGGCAGAGTTCCCTGTGGGTTTCTGCAGTGCATTGTGCCCCTGGTTTATTGAGACTAGAGAATGGCGATGACTTTTACCAAGTATACTGCTTGTAAACATTTTGTTAACAAGGCACGTCCTGCACAGCCCTAGATCCCTTAAACCTTGATTTCATACAACACATGTTTTTGTGAGCTCCAGATTGGGTCAAAGTGGTTGGGTCAAAGTGGCTGGGGCAAAGCTACAAATTAACAACATCTCAGCAAAGCAATTATTTTAAAGTACAGGTCTTTTTCAAAATGGTGTCTCTTATGTCTTCCCTTTCTACATAGACACAGTAACAGTCTGATCTCTCTTTCTTTTCCCTACAGAGACACGAAAAACCCTTCAAAAAATCAATGAATCCAGGAGCTGGTTTTTTGAGAAAAAAATAAAATAAAAAAGACTACTAGCTAGACTAATAAAGAAGGAAAGAGAGAAGAATCAAATAGACAAAATAAAAAATGATAAAGGAGATATCACCACTGATCCCACAGAAATATAAACTATCTTCAGAGAATACTATAAACACCTCTACGCAAATAAACTAGAAAATCTAGAGGAAATGGATAAATTCCTGGACACACACACCCTCCCCAGACTAAGCCAGGAAGAAGTCGTATCCCTGAAGAGACCAATAACAAGTTCTGAAATTGAGGCAGCAATTAATACCCTACCAACCAAAAAAAAAAAAAAAAACAGCCCAGGACCAAACAGATTCACAGCCAAATTCCACCAGAGGTACAAAGAGGAGCTGGTACCATTCCTTCTGAAGTTATTCCAAGCAATTGAAAAGGAAGTACTCCTCCCTGACCCATTGTATGAGACCAGCATCATCCTGATACCAAAACCTGACAGAAACACAACAACAACAACAAAAACTTCAGGCCAATATCCCTGATGACCATCGATGCAAAAATCCTCAATGAAATACTAGTAAACTGAATCCAGTGGCACGTCAAAAAGCTTGAGTCAGCTTCATCCCTGGGATGCAAGGCTGGTTCAACATATGCAAATCAATAAATGTAATCCATCACATAAACAGCACCAATGACAAGAACCACATGATTATCTCAATAGATGCAGAAAAAGGCCTTCGATAAAATTCAACATCCATGCATGTTAAAAACTCTTAATAAACTAGGTATTTGATGGAACATAGCTCAAAATAATAAGAGCTATTTAGGACAAACCCACGGCCAATATCACACTGAACGGGCAAACGCTGGAAGCATTCCCTTTGAAAACAGGCACAAGACAAGGATGCCCTCTCTCACCACCCCTATTCGACATAGTGTTGGAAGTTCTGGCCAGGGCAATCGGGCAAGAGGAAGAAATAAAGGGTATTCGAATGGGAAGAGAGAAAGTCAAATTATCTCTGCAGATGACATAATTCTGTGTATAGAAAACCTCATTGTCTCAGCCCCAAAACAACTTAAGCTGATAAGCAACTTCAGCAAAGTCTCAGGATACAAAATCAATGTGCAAAAATCACAAGCATTTGTATACACCAATAATAGACAAGCAGAGAGCCAAATCATGAGTGAACTCCCATTCACAATTGCCACAAAGAGAATAAAATACCTAGGAACACAGCTAACAAGGGATGTGAAGGACCTCTTAAAGGAGAACCACTACTCAAGGAAATAGGACACAAACAAGTGGAAAAACATTCCATGCTTATTGATAGGAAGAATCAATATCATGACAATGGCTATACTGCCCAAAGTAATTTATAGATTCACTGCTATTCCCATCAAGCTACCATTGACATTCTTCACAGAGTTAGAAAAAAACTATTTTAAATTTCATATTCAACCAAAAACGAACCCGTATGGCCAAGACACCTAAGCAAAATGAACAAAGCTGGAGACCTCACGCTACCTGACTTAAAACTGTACTACAAGGCTACAGTAACCAAAAAAGCATGGTACTGGTACCAAAACAGACATGTAGACCAATGGAACAGAATGGAGACCTCAGAAATAAAACCACACATCTACAACCATCTGATCTTCGACAAATCTGACAAAAACAAGCAATGGGGAAAGGATTCCCTACCTAATAAATGGTGTTGGGAAAACTGGCTAGCCATATGCAGAAAACTGAAACTGGACCCCTTCCTTACACCTTATAAAAAATTAACTCAAGATGGATTAAAGACTTAAATGTAAAACCCAAAACCATAAAAACCCTAGAAGAAAACCTAGGCAATACCATTCAGGACATAGGCATAGGCAAAGATTTCATGACAAAAACATCAAAAGCAATTGCAACAAAAGCCAAAATTGATAAATGGGATCTAATTAAACTAAAGAGCTTCTGCACAGCAAAACAAACTATCATCAGAGTGGACAGGCAACCTACAGAATGGCAGAAAATTTTTGCAATCTACCCATCTTACAAAGGTCTCATATCCAGAATCTACAAGGAATTTAAACAAATTTACAAGAAAAAATCCAACAATCCCATCAAAAAGTGAGTGAAGGATATGAACTGACACTTCTCAAAAGAAGACATTTATGTGGTCAACAAACATAAGGAAAAGAGCTCAACATCATTAGAGAAATGCAAATCAAAACCAAAATGAGATATCATCTCACGCCAGTCACAATGGTGATTATTAAAAAGTCAAGAAACAATAGATGCTGGCGAGGCTGTGGAGAGATAGGAATGCTTTTACACTGTTGGTAGTAGTATAAATTAGCTCAACCATTGTGGAAGACAGTGTTTTACACAAGGATCTAGAACCAGAAATACCATTTGACCCAGCAATCCCATTACTGGGTATATGCCCAAAGGAATATAAATCATTCTACTATAAAGACACATGCACATGTATGTTTATTGCAGCACTATTTACAGTAGCAAAGACATGGAACAAACCCAAATGCCCATCAATGATAGACTGGATAAAGAAAATGTGGTACATATACACCATGGAATACTACACAGCCATACAAATGAATAAGTTCATCTCCTTTGCAGGGACTTGGATGAAGCTGGAAGCCATCATCCTCAGCAAACTAACACAGGAACAGAAAACCAAACACCGCATGTTCTCACTCATAAGTGGGAGTCGAACAATGAAAACACATGGACACAGGGAAGGGAACAACACACACCAGGGCCTGTTGGGGGCTGGAGGGGGCGGTGAGGGGACGGAACCTAGACGATGGGTTAATAGGTGCAGCAAACCACCATGGCACACATATACCTATGAAACAAACCTGCACATTCTGCATATATATCCCAGAACTCAAAGTAAAATAATAAAGTAAAATAAAATAAAAAATAAGGACTCACCTGGAGCATTTGTTAAAAATACTACTTCCCAGGCCCCTTCTTTGGAGACTTCTGCTCATTCAGTAGGTCTGGGACCAGGCCCAGGTTTTGTTTTTTTTTAAACAAGTACCTGCAGGTGAGTCTCATTATGAGGAAAGTATGAGAAGCAGTATTGTAAACAAGAGGGATGGAAACCAAATTCTATGTGAATTAAGAGTAGGAAAGAAGTTATTTCCAGCAGAGAGGTCGGAGAAAGCTTCCCAGGGGAGACAAACCTTGAAAGATGGGTAGGATTTGACACTAGAGAGATGTGGAGGAGAGTATTTCAGAGTGAAACTAGAATGAGTGAAAACAGAGAGGGGATACTGTGGCACAGTGGGAGCCCATATAAGTAGTTCTGTTCATCTGGAGTATAGGATTCATGAAGGAGAAGATCTCAAATACCATATGAAGACATTTAGACTTTATTTTGAAAAAAATTTGAAAGATGTTGTCTGTTCCTGAGCAGAGAAGTGACGTGATCAGAGCACCATGACTGTTCATGGATTGAAGCTGGGCCCAGATTGGACAAAGAGGAATCTTCATAGATTTGGAAGCCACTCCTGTGGCTGGGAGAACTGAGGGCTTAATGTGACAAACTCAGGATTCAGCCTTTCTTTGTCTCAGCTTCATTAAGGGGAAAATATCCATTAAACATCGAGGTGGTGTTGTGACAAGTGATTTTCTAAGGTGAAGTCCCCCCTCCGTATTCATGGGGGATTGGTTCTAGGCCCCACAGATACCAAAGTCTAGGGATGCCCAAGTCCCTGATATAAAATGACATGGTATTTGCACCTATGCACATCCTCTTGTATACTTTAAATCATCACTAGACTACTTACAATGCCTAATGCAATGTAAATGCTATGAAATAGTTGTTATACTCTGTTGTTTAGGGAATAATAAAAAGAAAAAAGTCTCTGCATGTTTAGTACAGGTGCAATTTTTTAAATATTTTCAATCTGCAGATGGTTGACTCTATGATTGTGGAATCCATAGACACCAAGGGCTGACTGTATTTGTTTTGTTAGTCATTTCAAAGAGAATCATCTGTGAACTGATGTGTGGAGCCCCACAGCAATGGAACGATGGGAGAGTCCTTTGCAAATCACAAGTAAGATTAATCCTCATCATCCACAGAGACTTCCAGAAATTCAGATGGGGGCCGGTTGCAGTGGCTCATGCTTGTAATCCCAGCACTTTGGGAGGCTGAGGCGGGCAGATCACCTGAGGTCAGGAGTTCAAGACCAGCCTGGCCAACATGATGAAACCCCAACTCTGCTAAAAATACAAAATTAGCTGGGTGTGGTGGCGCGTGCCTGTAATCCCAGCTACTTGGGAAGCTGAGGCAGGAGAATTGCTTGAACCAGGGAGTCAGAGGTTGCAGTG
The DNA here is from genome assembly GCF_000001405.40 of Homo sapiens. NCBI lineage: Eukaryota > Metazoa > Chordata > Mammalia > Primates > Hominidae > Homo > Homo sapiens. The sequence goes on along the minus strand of NC_000005.10, from coordinate 57,542,254 downwards.
AGCCGAGATTGTGCCACTGCACTCCAGCCTGGTGACATAGCAAGACTCCCTCTCAAAAAAAAAAAAAAAAAAAGAAGGGTGAAACTACGTCTCAAAAAAAAAAAATTCAGATGGTGTTCTGAAAATTCCTTGCAGCTCACTCAAACCTAATTTCTCTAAGATGCTTCATCTCTTCCTAAAACAGCATTTTATGAAGTCCATCCCCTGAAATCCAGAGTGATTACTAACTAAATAAGCCTGTCTTCAGAAAGCCATAGCCTTTCAACTCAAGGACACTCATAAAACATCCTCTCTATTTTTTAGAACAATGTATTATTAATGCATCAAAGTGTTTAACCTTTTCCAAAGAGAGTAATCGGATGGATGGATGGATGGATGGATGGATGGATGGATGGATGGATGGATGGATGGATAAGTGAGTAGATTAATAAATATATGGATGGATGAATAAGATATTTACCCATCCCCCCAATGTTATTAGAAAGCTAAGCTTTACTCTCAAACTTCAAGCTCCAATCTTTCTGTTGTACCTCCCACCACACTGGTGACCCTCCTAGCTAGCATTCCTGCTGCACTGGCACCCTTTCTCCAGAATTATTCCCACCTGAGGGCCACTGGGCTTTCCCAGGGTCCAGCTAGGAAGCTGCCTCTCTGCCCATTGCGATCTGCCGCTTGCTGAGGCATTTGCTGTCTAAGTGGTCATGTTTGGCCCAATGTCTCAGAGCCAGTGTTGTTCTGGTAACAATAAATGTTTTATTTCCCCTCGTTCATGGGCTTAGATATTCAACCAAGGCAGACTTCTCAAACACTGAAGTCATACCATCTTACACGCTTTAACCTTTTTTTTTTTTTTCCAATGGCAAATGAGATTCAAGAGCATTCTGAGAGGAGCTGGACTGGCCTGGATGATGCAAATTGAATAAGATTTGTGTGTACCCTGCACATTTGCTCAAGAAAATAAGAAAGGAAAAACCCTATTTCATGCTCCAGGAACCCAAGAGAATTATATAGTATGTAGGAATGTGCAATGAAAAAAAATTGATTTGAGGAAAGTAACTGTAGGACAAAGGTATTAATAATGACTTCTAAACCTGCAGTATTGAAGATGCCCTCCACAAGGCCCAAATACACATAATTTTTTTTTCAATATAATACATGTGTACTTGGATATTTTTGCCTCAGAAACAGCCGGCACACGCAGCCTCTGGAATCCCATGTGTTCCACTGTGTACAGTACTTCTGTTGCAGCTGACAAGCATAAATAGTCCTGAAATAGTACTTTGTGCTTTTATTCTCTTTAATGCAAGTAAACACAGGCACTGCTACCAAGGATGCTTAAGGCATTCTCAGCACTACTGATAACTTATTACAGGACATTTAACTTCTGTTTCTCTGTTAATCCCTCTGTAAAAAGGAAACAATACCAACTCATACAATAGAAAATAACAGCTGCTATTTGTTAAGTGCCAACTCTGCATGAGGCCCTTGGTACTGTACCAGTACCAGTATCCTTACATCAACCTGCCAGCATAGTTTTATCATTGCACCCATTTTACAGATGAAAAACTCTAAAACTCAGAGGCTAAATCACATGCCCAAAGTCACACAGTGTATTAGGCCATTCTCGTATTGCTATAAAAAAATACCTGAGACTGGGTAATTTATAAGGAAAAGAGCTGTAATTGGCTCATGGTTCTGCAGGCTGTACAAGCATGGCACTGACATCACTGGACTCCTGGGGAGGCCTCAGGGAGCTTTTACTCATGGCAGAAGGCAAAGCAGGAGCAGGCACATCACGTGGCAAAAGCAGGAGAGAGAGAGAGGGAGAAAAATAAAGAGAGAGGGAGGAGAGAGAGAAGTGAGAGAAAGAGGGAGGGTAGGTGGGAGGGAGAGATACTATGTGGAAACTCCCAGTAGGCTGGTAGAAAAGTAAATGGGGAGACAGCCTACCATACACACTTCACTAATTACTCCTCATCAGTTATCTCCAACCTCACCCCTGGGATCTCACTCTTCTGAACTCACTGTAATAAACTACAACACCGTTTCTCAGTTCTCCCAACTTCCACAACACTTACATAAGTGTCCTTTTGTGGCCACCAGGCATATTTTAACCTCGAAGGGGAGTTTTGGTAGGTAGAACCAGGGGCTTGACCACTGCCCCTATCATGGCTGAATAAGAAAAGGGAAAGCATTCACCAGAAAACAATAATGTAGAATTTGAGAAGAGTATTACCATCCTCCCAAAAATTGCTACACTAAGCACTATCACAAAGACAGTTTTATGATTTTTCAGGCACCCTGGTCTACTTCACTAGGAAAAAGAAATATATAGCAATTTCTCTCAATCACTTTTAGACAGGTTTTATCCCACCAACTTAATAAAATCACAAGGCTTTGTTCACAGGCATAATTTGCAGATTTGGGAAGATGCTCATATATTTGATTCTTGATCAATATGTAGATTCTCCTTTAGCTACCACATTACTAAGAGGTCATCTGCAGTCATCCATCCATATATAAATTAACTCCACATTATCCAAGCCCTCTGAGTCTGGAGATATACTGCTAACCTCAGTGTTTGGGGGAGCTGGCCTCAGGGCTGCAGGGCAAGATGGATCACATTTGTTTAACTGCATGTTTGGGTTAACCAAAAGCCAGCTAATCAGAACCACATGGTATTTAAGCGAACGTCTTTGTGTCTATAAAATAGATTCCTGAAAACTAAGTAAAACTTGTTTAACCAAATGTGCTGTTCTCATTAGCTCACTACTCTTAATGTTTGCTCATAAAAGCTGATTTTGGTCACACTAGTGGTCATCTAAGGGAAGGTCCATATCATAACAAACCTCATGATGACCAAACAGCAGACATATGAAAGAGACACTTCTGCATCAAGACCAGGGTCAAAAATGGAATGCTGGAGTCGTGTTGCTTTCCATGACATCTTTACCCAGCCTCAGGAGCTGCACCAGTAAACTAATGTCATGGTTTTTGCTAGGTTAAGAGTTGAGAAAGAAATAAGATACAACCTAATTACATGATTTCTACCTGGGGTTAGAATAATCTTAGGAGCAAGAAAAGAAAATATGAGTGGAGTCAAATGGGCATATGTCTTTGATCTTTTTGTCTTCTTTTGCCCGTGGTATATCTCTTTTGCAACTTCTTTCATGATAGAAGAATATCCTTCCTCCTTTCTCTTCTTTCATTCCTTTTTTCCTTCCTTCCTTCTGTATCCACTATATACTCAAATTTTCTAACTCTTGAAGGAAGAGGGAAGAAAGGTGAGGGAAGGAAATACAGCCTTGAAATTAAGCTCTGGGAAACAAAATAAGCAGCCCACACATGACTCATGCGGGGAGTTTTGACTTCAGTTTGCATGTCTAGAGAGAGCTGTGGGTTTCAATCCCACCCAGAAGCCATAGATCGAGGAGAGGCTTTCTCTTTCTTCCACCCCTCCTACCTCATTCCTAACCTAATTGAGACCATGCCCTCCCTTAGAGACACTAAATAATTAGATGTGAACTATCAAATGGCTGTGATTCATCCATGATATAGTTATTAGCAGTCTCACATTGCCCTTATTTTTCATGATAACCCCAATATGGAATAGTAAGCATAGACACTTAACCACTGCGTGGAGAGCCCCAGTGGAGAGAAGGTTGGAAAGCCTGCAGAGCTGCAGCAACTGGGAGCTGCCCCACGTGAAAGGAAACGTGGCACTGTGTTCCCAAGGAGATAGTAGCGGATTACCACTCAAAGGCGGGGTGGACAACTTGGCTTTTGTTCCTGTGGGTTTATTCATTGTTCTGATGCAACTGGCAGCATTTTTATGAGTCAAAAAAAAAAAAAAAAGCCTGATGGTTGGAGATGAACTGGTCTTTGAGTCACAAAAAACTTCCTGATGTGTTTATTCAACTGTGATTCTAAAACAGCTTTGTCTCACCTGAAATAGGGACTCAGTACCTTCAAGCACTACGGTTATGAAGACTAAGATACTGAGATCTTAAACTGCCCACTAATTAGACCTTACTAAGCCACGTGACTTGCTCTGGGAGCAATAGTGGGAGTAGTAGTGGATGTACATATCAATATATCCAGCACAGAAAAAAAGCAATATTGTTTTCTCTTCTTTCACACTGACACCTCATCACCTCACATCTGGATGGCTGCACCAGCTGGTCTCTCCTACCTCAAGACATGCAGCAGTCGACAAATCAGCCTTAAGCACTGCTTCCATCATATCATCTCCCTGCTCAGTAACCTAAATTCCTGCTTGCTGAAGCAAATCTAAACTCCATTATCAGGCTACTTAAGGCCCTCCCTAACTCGATCCTCCAATGTGCCTACCCAACCTTATTTCCTAGTAACTTCTAATATTAATTCACTGTGTGGTCCCCCTTAATCTCTCCCTTACTGTATACCACATGCATTTTTGTGCTCAGTTCTATCATTGTCACTCTCCTTTACTGCTCTATATATGGAGAATGACCTTCATCAAATCTATGCATATAAGTCCGACTTAGCATTAAAGCCCCACCACCCAAAAACTTCATCCTACACTGAAGATGCCTCCTCTGAACTCCTACATAATTTATAGTCTGTCCCAAGTAGGTTACTATTTAATTATTGTGGCAGATATTGTAAATTTTCTGCCAGTTTCTATCATTCTCTTCTTCCTTTAAGTAATAGAATATTTTGTTTTTTATCTAAGCACATGGCTCCCAACTAAGGGCTGTATCTCCTAGCTTCTATATGAGCATGTAACCTAAATTTTGCCATGAATGTGAGCAGAAATCAATTATACAATTTCTTCACATCCTGTGAAAACAAAGACAGCATCTAAACAATTTTGGAAATTTTAATTCTAGTTAATTGATAGAACAAGTACAGATAAAATCAATAAAGACATAAGAACACTTTTTTTAAAAAAGCTATAAGCCAATTTGACCTATTTGGTATTTATAAAACACTAGACCCAATAGGAGCCAAATACACATTCAACTTGTATGCTTATGAAACATTCAGCAAGATAGAACACTTATAGTTTGGCTATAAACACATTTTAATAAATTTAAAAGATTGACATATAGAATATATTCTCTGACCACAACAAGAGAATTAATGAAGAAATTAATAAAAATAAGATATCTGGAAAAATCCTCAAGTATTTGGAAATTAAACAACATATATCTAAATAATTCATGAATAAATCAAAAGTCAATTGATTGGATTGAAGGATGCAAAGTATTGTTCCTGGGTGTGTCTGTGAGGGTGTTGCCAAAGGATATCAACATTTGAGTCAGTGGACTGGGAAAGGCAGACCCACCCTCAAACTGGGTAAGCACAATCTAATCAGCTGCCAGTGCGGCCAGAATAAAAGCAGGCAGAAGAACGTGGGAAGACTAGACTGCTTTAGTCTTCTGGCCTACATCTTTCTCCCGTGCTGGATGCTTCCTTCCCTCAAACACTGGACTCCAAGTTCTTCAGCTTTGGGACTCAGACTGGCTTCGTTGCTCCTCAGCTTGCAGACAGCCTATTGTGGGACCTCACCTTGTGATCATGTGAGTCAATATTCCTTAATAAACTCCCCTTTATACATACATCTATCTATCCTATTTGTTCTGTCCCTCTAGAGAACCATGACTAATACAGAGAGATTAGAAATTATGTTGAACTGAATAAAATAAAATAAAATTCAATATATCAAGGTTATAGGATACAGCTAAAGTGATGCTTAGAGGAAAAAATTATAGCTTTAAATGCATTTATTAGAAAGCTAGAAAATTCTAAAACAAATCTATGGCCTATCACTCTAAAAAGCTAGAAAAGGAAGAACAGATAAATCCAAATTATGCAAAAAGAAAGAATAATAAAAAAGCAGAAATAAATGCATGATACAACATGCAAACAGTGAATAAAATCAAAAGTTGGCCCTTGAAAAATGTCAATAAATGTTATAAAATTCCACCTACAGTGATAAAAGATTTTAAAAGAGAGAGAAGAACATAAATTACCAGTATTAGAAATGAGAGACATGACCACAGATACTACAAATACTAAAAGGCAGTATTATGAGCAATTTTATGACAATAAATTTAACAACTTGGATGAAATGGACTAATTTCTCAAAAGATATAAACTACCAAAGCAGTCATAAGAAGAAAAAGAATATATAAATAACCCTATTCTATATTTAAAAATAAATTTATAATAAAAATTCTTAACTCTCCATAAAGAAAATTTTAGGCCCAGATAGCTTCACTGATAAAATTCTATAAAATATTTAAGGAAAAAATAATACTAGCTTTCAAAATTGCTTTAAGAAATGTGCCAATTTACCTTATGAGGACAGCATAACCCTGATACCAAAAAGACATTACAAGAAAAGAAAACTATAGAACAATAATCCTTGTGAGCATATAACAAAATATTGTTTATAAAATGTTAGCAAATTGAATCTCATAATATGTAAAATGGATACTATATCATGACTAGGGGCTGGGTGGTATATCCCAGGAATACAACATTTGAATATCAATCATTGTAATTCACAGCATTAACGGAATAAAAAAGAAAATTCATATAATTATCTTAATAATGGCTAAAAGGCATTTTAAAAATTCAACAACCATTTGTGATAAACACTCTCAGCAAACTAAGAGTTCTTTAATTGAATCTATAAAAGATCTACAGACAACATCATGCAAAGGATGAAAGACTGAATGCTTTTCCCTAGGATTGGGAACAAGCAAGGAGAATGCTGTTACCACTCCTACCCAACATTGCGCTGGAGGTTCTAACCACTGTAATAAAGCAAGAAAAATAAGTAGAAGGCATATAGATTCAAAAGGAAGAAGTAAACTATCTTTATTCACAAATGACATAATTATGTACACAGAAAACTCTTAAAATGATATTTTAATAGCTATTAGAATTAATAAATTAAGCAAGGTCACAGGATGCAAAGTATATACACAATTATTACCTTTCTATATGTGAGCAAAAAACTATTGCAAACATATACAACAATGCATTTAAAATAACAGCAAAAACATGAAGTACACAAAGCAAAACTTAACAAAGACGTATACATTGAAAACTACAGAACATTGCTCAGAAAAATTAAAGATTGTAATAAGCACCATTTTCATGGAATAAAAGACATACTATTGTTAAGATGTCAGTTGTCTGCCAATTGATCTGTACATTTAACCAAATCGAAATATAAATTCTAGCATTTTTTTCTGAAAACTGACAAGCTGATCCTAAAAATCATATGGGAATACAGAGAAGCCAAAATAATTTTGATAAAGAATGAAATTTGAGACATATACTACTTGTTTCAAGAATGATTATAATGCTACAGTATTCAAGATAGTATGGTATTGGTATAAAGGTGGGCATATAGACCATTGGAACAGACACAGACCCATGCATACATGGAAAATTTATTTTAAGAAGGAGCCAGTAATTCACTGGAGGAAAAATAGTCTTTTCAACAAATTGTTCTAGAACAACTGGATATCTACAAGGGGGAAAAAATGCTCTTTAACCCTTATCTCTCAACATATATAAAAATTAACTCAAAATGGAAAACTGATCTAAATTAAAGCTAAAATTATTATGTTTTTAGAAGAAAACATAAAAGAATATCTTTTGACACTTTGAGTTTTGCAAAGATTTCTTAGGTCATATAAAGCATGAATCAGAATATTAAAAGATTTCATCTCAATAATAATATAAGACAACCTACTTTTTCTAATAGTCAAAAAATTTTAACAAATATTTTACGAAACACTACAATAGCTTATAATCACATATAATGATGCTTAACATTACTAGTCATCAGGGCAATGCAAATTAAAACTACAATGGATAGGAGCTTAGGGTACGGGGACAAAAAAGGAAAAAACTACAATGGATATCACAACATAGTTACTAGAATAGCTAGTTAAACACGTTGATGATAACTAGTGTTGGTGAGGCTGTAAAGCAACTAGAATTTTCATACATTGCTAATGAGACTATCGAGTATTAAATTCACTTTCAAAAATTGTTCAGCAGTCTCCTGAAGTTACCAAGACACGCTTACCATATGATCCAGCAATTCCATTCCTGAGTATTTACCCAAGAGAAATGAAAACATATGTTCACTAAAATACTTGTACACATCTGTTTGTGACAGCTATGTTCATAAAAGCCCAAAACCGGAAACAACGTCCATCAGTAGACAAACGTATAAACAAATTGTAGTGAATTTGTGACATAGACTACTACACAGCAACAAAAAATGATGAACCACTGATACACATAACAAAATAAATGAATCTCAAAAACAATACACAGGGCAAAAGAAACAAGATACAATGCAGCATGGCGCAGGGTGCATTGTAGAGTCAGCACTGGCATAAAACTTAGTGTGAGTGTCTGTTTAAATTTACAACTTAGACACCTGACTTATATCACCCAGCCTGAAAGCACCTGCCATATAATTCCATTTATGTGATATTCTAGAACAGGCAAAAATAATCTGTAGTGATAGATATCAAATCAGTAGCCACCTTAGACCAAGAGTAGATGGCATTTACTGCAAAGGGCATGAGGAAATGTTTAGGGATGATGGAAATGCCATTATCTTGATTAGGGTGGTGGTTCAATGCGTGTAAGCAATCTGCCAAAGCCCATTAAAGTATACACTTAAAATAGGTGTATTTTATTTTCTGTAAATTATAATGCAATAATACTGACTTTAAAAAAAATAAAAGAAAAGGCATTGCTCATGCTCCACTTTCACCCCTCTTCTGCCTAGCTGTGTGGGCTGAAATGTGAATGAGGTTGGGATAAGCCAGCTTCAACCATAACAGAGCAACAGGTGAAGGAACCTGGATCCCAGCAGCCTAGCTGCCCCCGAGTGTGGGATCATTCATTCCCGGAGAGAAACAAGCTCCAATCTTGTTTGAGTCATCGCATTTTTGAGTCACTACATAACACAGCTTAGCCTTATCCCCAACTAACATAATTACATATAATTGAGTATCAGTTACTTTATGTGTATAAGCCTTATCTATTCCAAATAGACTAAAACTTCTTCATAAGACAAGCCTGGAGAAAAATAAGCCTTAGTCCCCAGATCACTTAGAACATACAGGCTCATCAATGATAGCCATTCCCCACACTTCCCTCTATCACCCAGATGTCTCATGTGACTGAAACCCTGCAGTGGTGGTCAGTGCATTCTGGCTGGCTGAGTAGTGCCTTCTTTGTCACAGGAATACCCAACAATTAAGCAAACATACTGGAATTATTTCATGGTCTCCTGCAGAAAGAAAAAGAAAAAAAATTAAAGAACTAACAGTACATGTAGTCAAGAACACAATAAGAACATGATGAATTCTCAAAAAAAGGCTAACAACATAATATTGAAAAGGTAATGGAGTCCATATGACACCAAAATAATCAGTTCAAGAGAAAAATAAAACTGTTTAAATTATCAAAACACTACCAATGTCAAAACACTGCCCCCACCCACCCACACACACACACACACACACACACTGATTAAAGCTTTAAACTTTTAATTCATTCTGTTGTTACTACATAAACAATACACCCCTATGACATTCTTCCCATTAACCTCTTAGAACCTAAATTCACATCTACTTTAGAAGACTGGAAGAATAGAAGGATGATAGAGGTTTTTCCAAGCAGCAGGCGGTAGCAGTAGTTTTAGTGTCACTCCTCTAAAAAAGTACAGTGAAGTGAAAGAAGGGGAGGGAGGGCAAGTTAGTATCATAAACTGATGAATGGCTCTTTCTTTTTTCATTGAGCACCTACTGTGTGCAAAGCCTTATCCAAAATTCTAAAAAAAAGATTGGTGAGCCAAAGTCACTGTTTATAAATAGTAGACCTGTGCCCAACTTTTATAAGAGAAGAAGCTCTTTGTTAAGTTTATTACTTTTTAAAAGATTGGCAAAATATCATTTTAGGGCTCAGGCATGGGTATTTTTCTCAGAAGATGCTGGTCTAAATCTTTTTGTGGCATGTACCGTCACTTCAGGAGTTGGAAGTTTTTCTGTATAACTCACTAAATGAGTAAATGGATAGAATAAGATGAAAAGTCATGAAACCCAAGGACATTTGAACTCAATACAGTGAAATTATTCAATGTTATTTTATTAGAAACTTTTTCACTAACTTATTCATTTAACAGAATTTACTACAGAATGCAGAAAGTTTCCTGTTTTCACCTCATCATATTTTGTTTTAAAAAATTACATTACTGACCAGGAGACATTTAAAATGTTTAACTTACTAAAAGTGAAAATAAAGCACAAATTAAGAATTCACTGATAGAATACAGTCATTTCTATTCCTTCCTTGTATATAAATGTCTATATTATCCATTATTAGCCAACTTTCAATGAGCAAAACTGAAACATACAATCTTTCCATTCTTAAGATTCCCTCGTCTCCAGCCTCATTTTTTAATCTTAACTCTGAGAACATAGAAAAAGAAAAAGAAAAAAAAAACTAAACACTTGCATTGTATTAAATCACAGGTGTTGAGAAAAACCTTTGCTGTCTTAGAAACATCCTAAGTATGCTTACAATAGTAGTTTTTTGCAATGTAGTTCATTTATTTTTAAAAACACAAAGTAATGAACTTAATTGCTAAGTAACCACTAGCAAGGTTTCACTTCTGTGTCACTTTAGGAAACAGAAGGAAAATACAGTCTCATACACTAGAAGCACACTTACAACTCCACCTTCTGTGTAGACTTTCTTCTCAGTTTGGCTAGAGTTACAGAACTGACCAGGTACAAAACTCCTGGCAAAGAGATTTATTTGAGGTCATAAATCAATAACTCCTCTGGAGCCCTATAGGAAAGAGCCCCTTACCATCGGCACTGCTTCTTATCTCTTCCCTCCCGTGCCCCTTTGGGGTGGCACATATATTCTGTTTTTGTTTGTTTGTTTGTTTGTTTGTTTGTTTTTCTAAACTCTTGTCATTTTATTTCTGCATGGAGTCTTTTTAGTTAAGCGACTTTTTTTACATATACTTTAAGTTCTAAGGTACATGTGCCCAACGTGCAGGTTTGTTACATAGGTATACATGCGCCATATTGGTTTGCTGCACCCATCAACTCTTCATTTACATTAGGTATTTCTCCTAATGCTATCCCTCCCCCAGCCCCCGACAGGCCCCGGTGTGTGATGTTCCCCCCCTTGTGTCCATGTGTTCTCATTGTTCAATTGGGGTGGCACATATATTCTTTCCTGAGCAGGAGCAGCTAAAGAGGGAACTTCTGCTCCCCCATCCCCCTTTCATTCTCTGCCCACCTCTTCACATGCTACCCCCTGCCTCCAACGCCAGTGGAGCAAAAATTGTCCATTTCATCATCTGAGTCCAGGACTTAGATCGGCTTGACACAAGAGTGATTGTGCCCTGAAAGCAGGAGCCCTGGCATGTTCTTCCAGCTTCCATATAGCATGCCGGCAAAGACCAGTCTCCAGGGCTCACCTCTTTCCCTCAGCCAAAACCAAGTAGCTCACTCTCACTCTCTTTCCAACTGTCTCCACATCCATCACTCCTTCTCTTCCATCTCCTCTGCCCATGACTGTGGGGCTTTTCGATTCAAGAGCAATAAAATAGGAAGCCTCACTTAGGCCTGGAGCCTAAGTAGTTTTCCAGTGTGACATTTATACAATGAGATATTTGGATGCTTATCAAATATTTAAAAAGTCATATCTCATTTCCCATTTGGCAATTGTTTTCCACTGTGTGCTCCCTCCTCAAAGATTTTTTTTAAAAAACGGTCGGGGGGTAGTGATTGTGAGGATTCCCAGACACTGCCCTGAACACCCACGATCAGGACTAACTTCCCCTCCTTACAATCCTGCATTGAGCAAACTACAATGTGATCCTCAAAACAATCCTTTATCTTTATTTGCACAATACTCTATAATTTGCAGTTTTCACACCTACTATCTCATTGAAGTCTCCTACAACTTCACGAGGTTGGTACAGCAGAGAACATCAACTATAATAACAATAATAAGGCTAAAAAGAATCAGTTGGCTCACACTGTGAGTCTACAGAGAGCAGGACCTGAAGCTGAGATCTCTAACTCGTAGTTCAGGACATTTCCCTCCAGGTATGACCACAGGCTCTCAGGGTTCACTTGCTTCTAAAAGAGAGAAGTGGAACTATACTCAGGAAACGTGTACTAGTGGGGATTTTGTGAACATTTGGACATAGAAGCCATGTGCAAGCGTATGTCTGTGTGTACACTAATGTTGGCAAAGGACCAAAACAAAAGAGACTCATACCATTATTTGATCTAGCATCATTTTAGTAGGTCTTATTATTTTTGCAAATTGCTTTCAGGACTAAACGTATCTATTTTTCTGCTTCTTGGAAATTTGCACAATAGCAAGAGTCCTCATAACCTCTTTCTCTTGACCATTCTTAGTTTAACACAGGGAACCCTACTACCAGGTTTCCCCACCTAGATGAAATAATCACAAATACTATCATATATAATCAGATGATTTCACATCCTTCTTTACTTCCATAGAAAAAGCAGCATGCTTCTAAAACAAAGAGATTTCGTTACTAACAATATCAAAGTTTACTTGCTGCTTTTTTTCTTCTCTGGCACTTTGATCTACGAAACATTACTTTTAAACTAAAACCGTACAATTGAAACTGGAGCACACACCAAACCAGTAATAAAGTGGGAAGATAAAATAGAGGTCACCAGATATCTTCATCAGTGTAAGTAGAAAAGCCAGCCCTGGATGGCTGGTGTAGAGATCTGTCCTCACATTTCAGGACAAAAGCAAATCCCTATTGTGATTAAAAAAATGGTTCTAGATGAAAATAATAAACCCACTATGTTATTAATAGTAACAGTCTGTACCCAAACTACAACCAGACTATAGACTTGGGGCAAAGGGACAGTAACAACCACGTTAAACAGACTTAGTAGGTAATGAAGCTTCAACCAGCTGGGATGAAATCAAATCAGTCTCCTAGTTTACTTTGTTTGCCAAGTTCTGGGTTACAGATGCTGCTGAGGGTCTCTAAGATGAACAGACCAAGGTAAGTATTGACAGACTCTTTCGGTCTGAGAAAGCTGTCAGACACTGCTCTAATGCAGAGGGTATGTGTTCCATTTGTTCATGGTTGTCATTTGACTAAGGGATCTAACCAAATTTGCATATACTGGAGTCTTAAGAAGTATTTTCATCAAACATCTGGAATTGGTGTTTAGTTTGTAGTCAGAGTTGTAACATGAATTCCACAACATTTTCATTAATTGCATGTATTATGGCATCTTTTCATCAGTTGCAAAGCTTAGTTGCTTACAGGATGAAAAGGAGACTCTAAATCCTGAGACCTTCGCCAAGTAGCATAAGCTCAAGGTAAACTGATTCCTCCATCTGTTAAATAGTGGGGGAGATTACCTTGCTTGGTTTGGGTCCTGAGGCTTAACCAATTCATTTGTTGATTTTTCTCCATGAAATCCTCATGGAGTATCAACTATATCCTAGTCAGTATTGGAAGGAATGGAGGGGTGGAGCCAGGGGTAAGATATAGCAATGAACAGACAGACAAATATTCCCACCTTATGGAGTTACATTCAGGTTGGGGAGGTGGCAGGAGGGGAGAAGATCCAACAATGAGCAAACAAACTAGCAAGTACGTCAAAATGTAAAAGGTGCTGTGGAAAAACTAATGGCTGGAAGGAAGATAGGGAGTGTGAAGGTGATGGTAGGTTTCTGTTTTAAACTGAGGTATTAGAGAAGTCCTCAATGTAAAGATGGCAAAAAAAGAAAAAAAAAAAGTTGAAAATACTGTATTGTTTGTATCTTCCCAAAGTCTGGCAAATACTCAAGTGAAGAAACTACATTTTAGGAGGAACAAGGCAGTCTACTCTTCGTTCTGATCCCCCTGTTCTAATCCTCTTCCAAAATGAAGTCCTAGTGCACTATCTGAATGCCCATAAGTGAGCACTACATGCTATGCAAGATTAATCTAAATGTTATTCTAGGATCTTATTAGTTTTTCATTAGGGGAGTAGTGAGAGGCACCATCATTTGAAGAAAGATCACAGAACCGGAATTTGGAGGTTCGAGTCTCTAGTCTCAACTCTGCCATAAATCTTTTTGTCACTTAAGGCCAACCGTTGATTTGTTTGGTTGGTTGGTTGTCTGGTTGGTTGGTTTTAATGGATCGCTAAACATTTGGGAAGTAAAGTATATGATATAAAAGCCACAAATTAAATTAGAAAGGAAAAGAAAACTTTTCAGTACTATTTCTAGTGAAAAAAAAAAAAAACTCTTAAAAGAGATTTAGAGAATGAGAGTGATATAATTAGTCAAATGAGAGATGAGACGCGAATCAAAACATTCAGAAAGAGGGCACACTGCATCAGAGGATGAGGAATGGTGAAGATGAAAAAGAAAAGTCATTTCCTTGACTGGAACCAAAATACTGAAGAGATTAATAGCAGACAGTGAAAGAAAGAGTGTAAACCAGAGCCCACTGAAGGATCAACTCGAGGATGTGAGAACTTCATGTCTGATCTAAAACTTCAAGGGAAAAGGAAACTCTGTTCATCCAATTACGTAGGAAAAAATAATGCCATTTAAACAAGAATCAAGAAAGGAAATTTGAAAAGTAAATTCAGAGAGTGAAAGCAAACACTTTCAGAGTCAAAGATAATACCAAGAAGACAAAAAGATAACATCAAAATAAACTCTAAGAGTGGTCTATTATGATATTCTGTATTGTCCAACAGTTCTAGAATTGCCATTTAGTATTTTCATATTCAGAAAGGGAATGTAATTCAATGTAAAGATAGTCTTAACAAAAGACTAGGGTGCCAGAAAGTAAAAAGAAAGCTACGAACTAAAAATTCAAATTAAATCATTACCCCAGATTTGTTGTTTGATGACAGTCTATTTCTATTACAGACTTTTTGCATAAAGGAAAACTGTGGCTTTGGAAAACATTTTAGAAAACATCCAGTTTATCCTTCAGTTATTAGAGAAGTTTCTCAAGTGCAGAGAACTTGTGCCATCACAAAGGGCAGTTAGCAAGAGAGAGTGCAACACAAGAAGAGAATCAGGACCAGTATCAGAACTAGAATCAAAAGTGTGCTCTTAACCCTAACCATTCTAGGAAGAAGGCTTTCATCAATGTCCTAGGTAGAAGAGATTGGTGGTTCATGCCAGAATGACCTTTTACATCAGTGGTTTTTAAATTTTGAGCTAAAGAACTCTTCCAACCAAACCTCATTTACAGGCCCAGTATAAACAGACAAAAGAGGATCTAATCTACTATGGAAAAGAGCCATGAAATCCACCTTTTCAGGTCTCCCTCAGCCCATAAAGCCACTCAGTTGGACATGGTGGTACATGGTATGAAAACCAATGGCTTTAAATCATACTCATATATTAGGATTTAAATTTGCTGTATGGGGAGATTAAATGTACATTTAAAATGTGTATATATATATAGTATTTACATAAATACACATGTAAATATATTGCATTCGTCCATTTTGCATTTCTATACAGGAATACCTGAGACTGGGAAATTTATAAAGAAAAGAGGCTTATCTGGCTCACTGTTGTGCAGGCTGTACAGACAGCATAGTTCCAGCATCTGCTTCTCATGAGGCCTCAGGAAGTGTTCACTCATGGTGGAAGGTGAAGGAGAAGCAAGTGTGTCATATGCTAAGAGAGGGAGCAAGAGAGAAGGGGAGAGGAGGTTCCAGGCTCTCTTGAAACAACCAGCTCTTGTGTGAACTAATAAAGCAATAACTCAGTTATTACTACAGGGAAGGCACCAAGCCCTTCCTGAAGGATCTGTCCGCATGACCCAAACACCTCCCCGTAGCCCCACCTCCAACACTGGGGATCATATTTCAACATGAAATTTGTAGGGAACAAATATCCAAATCATATCGTATATCTCTTTAATACATAAAAATGAATTTACATTAACTTTTCAATAAAGCTGGTGTCTGTCTGAGGTCCAGAGTTTATTGAGGACCATCTGAATCTGGTGAGAGTTTCCACCTTTGGAGTCACTGTCCTGATGGGTACACCAGGCTTAGGATCACACAAAGCAGGTGCCTAATACAGCCCAGCTCCATATGTGTTGACTACATAACACCTGTCTTCTATTTAAAGACATTCCTTGGAAAGCATATTCAGGAATAGTCTATAAAATCCAATGACTAGGTTATCCGAAAGTCTGAGAATAGCTTTGGTAAAGTAAATTACTTTGGTAAAGGAAGCAGAAGTAGGGCTAAAAAAAAGGCCAAAGTAAATCTAAAACTAGAACACAGTCTTTTGCCTAAGTACAATGTACATTAATAGTTTATGGTTCTCTGGACTGTTTTGTTTTTGTTCTTTTTCATTTATTTGTCTTGCTCTTGCTTTTTTTTACCTAGATATTTGCCATTTAGAAATCTTTATCAAACTATCCACAATGACATCTATGTATGTGATGTCCTCTGGGTCATTGGAGTACACAGCCCACTGACATGTACTACACAGAGCTGCACTGAGATTACTATGAGGTGGGGAGCAGAGGGTGAGATATGATCTGCGACAGACTCTAGAATAAATAAGCCCCAAGTTTCCACCTTATCTCAACTGTAATGAATGCATAATGGAAATGAAATCATAGCTATGTATCCATTTCATTTGACATTTTTTATGGGTTAAGGAAAATAAGAAGAGCAGACTCAGATCAGCACTTTCCCGGCAGACAAGTCAGAAAAAAAATGAGCTAGTTAGTTGTGCTTTATGGATCAATTCTTAAAACAAATGGAAGGGTTCACTCCACGCATTCATCCATTTAGACTTATAAATAAAAACTAAGTGAGAAGCATTCAGTCACTCTTCAGAAGGCTTTGCTTGAGAACTGAGGGATGTGCCTCTCAAACTCCCTAACCCTCCCGTTCTCTTCAACAGTAAACCAGGCTGTCTTTTACCACCAAGATTCTGAGACCCAGAAACAAAGACACAACAAGCCAGAGTTCTCTGAATTTTAAGGAACTGGAAATTAACAGGGTGAGGCTTGGAAAGAGGAGCTCTTCCTTCTCTTTCTAATGAAATCCCTCAGAGAGAAACCCCCTTTCCATTTGAATGAAAACCAGAAATGGCAGAGATTATATTAAAAAAAATTTTTTAAAACATTGTCTTCAGTTGCTGTGAAATGAGAGATTATTTTCAAATTTCCTAGGAATAAATTTCACCAGCTGGGTAAACTTTGTAGTTCAGAGGTCTCGCAGGCAATTGCTGGCTCCCATCCAAGCACAGAAATGACAAAAACCCACTTTGAACTCAGACTGCCATGATGATATCCTCTGGAGAACGAAAGAGAAAGAATAAAAAGGTATCTGCAGGATTCCCCTAAGCAGAGAGGTTTGGCTGCAACATACATTTCAAAGGGTTTTATGATTTCTGCTACAAAAAGCAGCATCAGAAGGAGCTGCTGTCTGGGTTCTGAATGAGCACCAATAACACACCTAGCTGGGGGTTTAGGGCAAGGGGTCCCACTCAGTAGAGTGTGCAGATAAGAAAATCGAACTGCCCATTTAGCTGAACAAATTGTTGGTGCGCTGGTTACATTCAGCCTCTCATGGGCCTCTTGAATACATCTCAGGAAGAGACAAAAGGAAAAAGACCACATCTTTGTTTCTCCAGAAGAAAGAGGTATCGGATTTCTTCCTTTAAATCAAGTCTCCAAGTGAAAAAAGGAAACATGAAATGTTAACAGTCTCAGTAAGGTTTCCTCTAATGTCTCTTGTGGTGCCTTGAATCTTTGTAGTTAAGTTTAGACTTAATAGTCTCATTTTTCCAAGGATTTCTCCGGAGGGTTTGTTCAAAGCAGCAACACAAGGTCATCCAGGGAAAAGGAGGTAGGAGAAAATGCCTCCCCCTCATCCAGAAAAATCCTTTTCATCTCGTCTCACAAATGCTACATCAATTAAAGAAACTCCCCTAGCCATCTCACCTCCATGGTCAGATTCTGTAAGCCCTATGTGGAATGCAATGAAAAGGAATGGAAACAGGAAAACTCCCAAGAACTACCTTGAGACAAAGGAGTCTTCCAGAGCCTGACAAGATGCTCCCCTTGACCAAATTCTAGGCAGGCTCTTTTGAGCTGCCTTTTTTGACTAGGCCCCATCCTTGGGCACATTATCAAGAGCCCAGTTTTAGCAAGAATCTTGCTAAATCCGTTTAGAGAGAATCTCCACTTTCTATATATGATTAGCCACAACACCTGACCAAATTATTCATCTTCCCCACTTGGTATCTGATGACCCTGGCCTGCCTTCAGTAAGAATCCTGTCACGTACATTTAGCCAGAATCCTCGAGGCTTTCTCTTAGTAATTTTCCATCCACTGACACCCACCCTGCTCCTTGGCTGTGCATCCTGACTTGCACACTCCATATTTGGAATTGGGCCCAGTTCTATACTGAGGCCTCTTTTCTCCTATTACAATAGTCCTGAATCAAATATTCCTTTTCTGCTGTAAATACTCTCAAGTTCAGGTTTTTCTTTGGCAAGCTTATCCCTTCTGCAAGACTGTGCATAGGAACCTTGACTCTCTGATATGTGGACAAAGCTATTTGTTTATTCACAGAATGGAAGGAATCTTGCTTAAAGTGGATGGTTTACAGAGATCTGGGATGCAGAAATGGTTTTTCAATACTGAGAATGTTTCTTCCATGGAATCAGTGAATTGTTTCAGCTCAGTTTTAAGAAGAAATCACAGGATTCCTGACACTATACTTAGCATAGATGCTGAGGGATGAGAGCAAATTGGTAAGGATTCCTTAATATGAGAAGTCTCCTAGGCCCTCTGATGGAACTTCCTGCCCCTCAAGCCTTGATATTTTTCTCCTGGGAAATCTAGAATTAGCACCCTTGTGGCTAAACTTTTCCCACATCTAGACCTAGAGTGGAATGCCAACCCATCTGCAGAATCACTGCACACTAAAATGTTCCTACTGGAAGGGACCCTAGAGATCATCTGCCAGGGTCCTCATTTTATAGATGTGGGAACTGACACTCCCAAATATTTAACAGTGCTCCTCGCCACCAGGTAATGTCTCCCAGAGGAGTGATGCCTTCCATTTGCAAACAAGCCAAGTTTAGAAGAGACAAAAAACAAAAGGAATTAGTTTAATTCCCAAACATATTCAAGTTCTAGGCCATTCCAATGAAAGAAAAGAGATTGATAAATCATTCTGTACCATAGAAGCCAAAAGAAGACCAAGTTATTTGAATAAAATTTACCCACCTTCAACTGATTTAACTCCACAGTTAAAACACAACATCTCAACTCACATGGACTGTTTTACCCCAAGGGTTCAGGGATGGCCCCCATCTATTTGGCCAGGCATTAGCCCAAGACTTGAGCCAGTTCTCATACCTGGACACTCTTGTCCTTCAGTATGTGGATGATTTAATTTTAGCACCCGTTCAGAAACCTTGCGCCATCAAGCCACCCAAGCACTCTTAAATTTCCTCGCTACATGTGGCTATAAGGTTTCCAAACCAAAGGCTTAGCTCTGCTCACAGCAGGATAAATGCTTAGGGCTAAAATTATCCAAAGGCACCAGGGCCCTCAGTGAGGAACGTATGCAGCCTATACTGGCTTATCCTCATCCCAAAACCCTAAAGCAACTAAGAGGGTTCCTTGGCATAACAGGTTTCTGCTGAATATGGATTCCCAGGTATGGCGAAACAGCCAGACCATTATATACACTAATTAGGGAAACTCAAAAAGCCAATACCCATTTAGTAAGATAGACACCTGAAGCAGAAGCAGCTTTCCAGGCCCTAAAGAAGGCCCTAACCCAAGCTGCAGTGTTACACTTACCAACAAGGCAAGACTTTTATTTATATGTCACAGAAAAAAACAGGAATAGCTCTAGGAGTCCTTACACAGGTCCGAAGGAGGAGCTTGCAACCTGTGACATACCTGAGTAAGGAAATTGATGTAGTGACAAAGGATTGGCCTCATTGTTTACGGGTAGTGGTGGCAGTAGCAGTGTTAGTATCTAAAGCAGTTAATACAGGGAAGAGAACTTACTGTGTGGACATCTCATGATATGAATGGCATACTCACTGCTAAAGGAGACTTGTGGCTGTCAGACAACAGTGAGGAAAGTAACTAAAATCATAAATCCCCATGGCCCTCCCTTATCATATTTTTCTCTTTACTGTCCTCTTACCGACTTTCACTCACTGCACCCCCTCCATGCCACTGTACGACCAGTAGCTCCCCTTACCAAGAGTTTCTATGGAGGATGCAGCTTCCCAGAAATATTGATGCCCCATCGTATAGGAGTTTATCTAAGGGAACCCCCACCTTCACTGCCCACACCCATATGTCCCGCAATTGCTATAACTCTGCCACTCTTTGCATGCATGCAAATACTCATTATTGGACAGGGAAAATGATTAATCCTAGTTGTTCTGGAGGACTGGGAACCACTGTCTGTTGGGCTTACTTCACGCATATTGTTGTCTGATGGGGGTGGAGTTCAAGATCAGGCAAGAGAAAAACACGTAAAGGAAGTAATCTCCCAACTGACCCGGGTACATAGCACCCCTAGCCCCTACAAAGGACTAGATCTCTCAAAACTACATGAAACCCTCCATACCCATACTTGCCTGGTAAGCCTATTTAATACCACCCTCACTGGGCTCCATGAGGTCTCAGCCCAAAACCCTACTAACTGTTGGATGTGCCTCCCCCTGCACTTCAGGCCACACATTTCAATCCCTGTAGCCGAACAATGGAACAACTTCAGCACAGAAATACTACTTCCTTTTTAGTAGGACCTCTTGTTTCCAATCTGGAAACAACCCATACCTCAAACCTCACCTGTGTAAAATTTAGCAATACTATAGACACAACCAATTCCCAATGCATCAGGTGGGTAACTCCTCCCACACGAATAGTCTGCCTACCCTCAGGAATATTTTTTGTCTGTAGTACCTCAGCCTATCGTCGTTTGAATGGCTCTTCAAAATCTATGTGCTTCCTCTCATTCTTAGTGCCCCCTATGACCATCTACACTGCACAAGATTTATACAATCATGTCGTACCAAAGCCCCACAACAAAAGAGTACCCATTCTTCCTTTTGTTATCAGAGCAGGAGTGCTAGGTGGACTAGGTACTGGCATTGGCAGTATCACAACCTCTACTCGGTTCTACTACAAACTATCTCAAGAACTAAATGGTGACATGGAACAGGTCACCGACTCCCTAGTCACCTTGCAAGATCAACTTAACTCCCTAGCTGTAGTAGTCCTTCAAAACCAACGAGCTTTAGACTTGCTAACCGCTGAAAGAGGGGGAACCTGTTTATTTTTAGGGGAAGAATGCTGTTATTATGTTAATCAATCCAGAATCATCACCAATAAAGTTAAAGAAATTCAAGATCGAATACAACATAGAGCAGAGGAGCTTCAAAACACTGGACCCTGGCCTCCTCAGCCAATGGATGCCCTGGATTCTCCCCTTCTTAGGACCTCTAGCAGCTATAATATTGCTACTCCTCTTTGGACCCTGTATCTTTAACCTCCTTGTTAACTTTGTCTCTTCCAGAATCAAAGCTGTAAAACTACAAATCGTTCTTCAAATGGAGCCCCTGATGCAGTCCATGACCAAGATCTACTGTGGACCCCTGGACCGGCCTGCTAGCCCATGCTCTGATGTTAATGACATCAAAGGCATGCCTCCCAAGGAAATCTCAACTGCACAACCCCTACTACACTCCAATTCAGCAGGAAGCAGTTAGAGCGGTCATCGGCCAACCTCCCCCACAGCACTTTGGTTTTCCTGTTGAGAGGGAGGACTGAGAGACAGGACTACCTGGATTCCCTAGGCCAACTAAGAATCCCTAAGCCTAGCTGGGAAGGTGACCACTTCCACCTTTAAACACGGGGCTTGCAACTTAGCTCACACTCAACCAATCAGAGAGTAAAGAGAGCTCACTAAAATGCTAATTAGGCAAAAACAGGAGGTAAAGAAATAGCCAACCATCTATTGCCTGAGAGCACAGTGGGAGGGACAATGATTGGATATAAACCCAGGCATTCAAGCCAGCAACGGCTACCCTCTTTGGGTCCCCTCCCTTTGTATGGGAGCTCTGTCTTCACTCTATTAAATCTCGCAACTGAAAAAAAAAAAAAACTCTATCTTCTTTATCAAAAGAACAGTCTTCAAACTCTAAAGAAGAGAATAATCATGCTTAATAGGGAATTGGAGAGATGACAGATTGCGGAAATAGTTAAGATAGCAGGACATCAGGCCCACCCAAATAACATTCTAGAGCAATAACAAAGTTAAATCTACTGAGTGTCCACTACATGAGAGGCACTATTCTAAATCCTTTGCCCAGATTAACTCACTAAATCTTCACAACATATTTGATAGGCATTATTATTAGCCACATTTCACAGGTAAGGATTAGGAGTTCAGAGGGGTAACTATCAGCTGCTAGAAGTTTCACAGCAAGGATTTCTGCCCAGGAAGGTTAATCAACCTTTCATTAGTATATTATGCTGAGTTGCAAATGAACCTACAGATACAATAGCTAAGACACTGGCACTTATCTCTGCAGGGGAAAGTGCGTAAGACTGGGATTAGGGTCAATAGACTTGAAAAGGTCAACGTTCTTATTTTCAAAAACAGGTAAAAGAAGATTATGAAAATGATATCCTCATGAGTCTGACATCAAACCACAGCAAGTCACGTCTAAACAGAGTTTATGAACTCAGAAAAGAAAGTGATAAGTATTGAGGACCAACCCAGGCTCCTTATGGACAAATCGTGCCTTCTGATAAGGTCACTAAAATGACAGATCAGGGAAATTCTGGAGACACAGGCCATCTGAATTCAACAACACATTGGAAATGTCTGTCTTAATATTCTTAAAATCATGATGAATAAATTTCGTTAGTTGAAAATAATGGCTCTCCCTCTCCATCTCCCTCTCCCCTTTCTTTCTACGGTCTCCCTCTCTTGCCGAGCCTGGACTGTACTGCCGTGATCTCGGTTCACTGCAACCTCTCTGCCTCAGGCTCCCATGATTCTCGTGCCTCGGCCTGCCGAGTGCCTGGGATTCCAGGCACGTGCCGCCACTCCTGACTGATTTTTGTACTTTTGGTGGAGATGGGGTTTCGCCGTGTTGACTGGCCTGGTCTCCAGCTCCTGGCCTCGGGTGATCTGCCCCCCTCGGCCTCCCGAGGTGCTGGGATTGCAGACGGAGTCTCGCTCACTCAGTGCTCAATGTTGCCCAGGCTGGAGTACAGTGGCGTGATCTCCACTTGCTACAACCTCCACCTCCCAGCCGCCTGCCTTGGCCTCCCAAAGTGCTAAGATTACAGCCTCTGCCCACCCGCCACCCCGTCTAGGAAGTGAGCAGCGTCTCTGCCTGGCTGCCCATTGTCTGGGATGTGAGGAGCCCCTCTGCCCAGCCACCCCGTCTGGGAAGTGAGGAGCACCTCTGCCAGGCCGCCACCCTGTCTAGGAAGTGAGGAGCATCTCTGCCTGGCCGCCCATCGTCTGGGATGTGAGGAGTGCCTCTGCCCCGCCGCCCCCTCTGGAAGGAAGTGAGGAGTGCCTCTGCCCAGCTGCCCTGAATGGGAAGTGAGGAGCGCCTCTGCCTGACCGCCACCCCATTTAGGAACTGAAGAGCGTCTCTGCCCGGTCGCCCCGAATGGCAAGTGAGGAGTGCCTCTGCCCAGCCGCCCCGTCTGGGAAGTGTACCCAACAGCTCCAAAGAGACAGCGACCATTGAGAATGGGCCATGATGACGATGGCGGTTTTGTCGAAAAGAAAAGAGGGAAATGTGGGGAAAAGAAAGAGAGATCAGATTGTTACTGTGTCTGTGTAGAAAGAAGTAGACATAGGAGACTCCATTTTGTTCTGTACTAAGAAAAATTATTCTGCCTTGGGATGCTGTTAATCTATAACCTTACCCCCAACCCCATGCTCTCTGAAACATGTGCTGTGTCAACTCAGGGTTAAATGGATTAAGGGCGGTGCAAGATGTGCTTTGTTAAACAGATGCTTGAAGGCAGCATGCTCATTAAGAGTCATCACCACTCCCTAATCTCAAGTACCCAGGGACACAAACACTGCGCAAGGCCGCAGGGACCTCTGCCTAGGAAAACCAGAGACCTTTGTTCATGTGTTTATCTGCTGACCTTCTCTCCACTATTATCCTATGACCCTGCCACATCCCCCTGTCCGAGAAACACCCAAGAATGATCAATAAATACTAAAAAAAAAGAAAAGAAAAAAGTGTTCCCCAAAAGAGGTACCTAGTAGATGTCTGTCAAATAAGAAGGGCTTGAGTCATATGATGCTCTCAAGTAGTCCTGTTCTGTTTCTATCAGTGATCATGATAAAATATATTTTTCAAAGACAAAGATATCGCAAAGTTTAAAGGTATCACAAATAAAAAGACTAAGAGAATCAACATTTTAGAATAATTTTTGATAGGCTGTAATAATGTATCCAAACTCGCAAGATAAAATTTAATGGAGCAAATGAAAAGTATTACACCTAAGATTTAAAAAAAAAAAATCAACTGGAAATATACAGAGTAAAGAATTGCCTTAAAAACAGTTCATGTGAAAAAGACCTCAGGGCTTGAGTGGATGGCAAGCTCAAAATAAGCCCACAGCATGAGCCTGCTGCCAAAGGGCTAATGGAGGCTTTGGCTGAATTAAAAGAAATGTAGCTGTCATTCTCCTGAGCTTTGATCACACCCAGGACTAGATTTACTGTGATCCACAACACATTTGAGATGTGCATTGAAGTGTCTCCAGAGGAGAACAACCAGTATCACAAACGGTCTATAAATCATATAAAGAAGCATAGTACATGTAATTCAATATGTCCAAAATTTAACTTACTATTCACTCCTTACTCCATGTGTTTCTCTTCCAATATGTGCTGTACCATATTCATTACTGACACTATCATCCCTCCCCGCCAGGTTAGAAACCTAGAGATCACCCTATACCACCACCCATCCCACTATTGACTATTGAACTCTCACTCCTATCATTTTTTTTTCTTTTAGAGACAGGATCTTGCTACCTTGGCCAGGTTGGTTTGAACTCTTGGCCTCAAGCAGTCCTCCCACCTCAGCCTCCCAAAGTGCTAGAATTACAGGTGTGAGCCACCACGCCTAGCCTCAATCATATCAATTTCTATGACAAGTCCATTCTTTTCTCTCCATCAACCCTGACTTATTTGGCTTTCAGTATCCATTACTTGGACAATTGCAAAAGCCTCCCAAGTGGTCTTTGTTTCAGTATTGCATCACTTCAATCCACTTTCCTCACTATAAGCAAAGTAATTTTCTCGAAAGTCACATATAACGTTGTTCTTCTGCTTTAAACCCCACTGTCTATAAGATCAAGTCCAAACTCCCTAGCATAAACTCTGATGCCCTCCACTATCTGAACTTTTTTTTCATGACCAACCTCACTTCTGCTCCACTCTGTACTCTACGTTCCCCACATAACTAATTTTTTGCACTTCCTGTGGATATGATTGGAACTGTAAATCAGTCCTACTGTCAAAGAAGTGAGTATGGAGGGCAAAGTGCAGGCCAAATAGGTAAGACCTGAACCACTGCTTATAGGAGTTACCTTCCTCTGCAGCCATGAAAGTATGCCATTCAGACCTCCTTCTGCAGGGGCAACTCCTGCTGCTGTTCCTTCAGATTCACCACTTCTTTTATGTGAGGCCACAATCTCTGGCTGCTCCCAGCCCAAACAAGGTGAAGATGCTGAGGCAGACTCATTCCAAAAGGAGGCAGGACTCATCTAAGGGCAACTTTGGCTTGACATCTTCCCATCAGCCTGGCCAAAATTTTCTTGGAACTGTGCTGCAGTATGGGATTCTTCCTTCTCCCCTCTTTCACAGGTGGAAGAGCTGCATCATGGTCTGAAGGCTCCTTCCGCCTCCTGCTTCCTCCTCCATGAAATTTCTTGCATATCTAATCACATCTTGACATCTGCTTCTTGTCACACAGAACTAACACACCTCCTAGTTTTACTTTTTCTCCTCATGCCTACTAGTTTTACTTTTTTCTCTGATTTCCCTAATGTCTCTTCATCAAAGCCTTACTACCATCACACTAACATATAAATCATTGAAAAGGCATTACTCTTTGAAGAATGACCTGAAGAGAAAAAAACCTGTTCTTCCCCATGTATGGTTTGGAACACCAAGTGCTGTGTAACTCTCCATGCTCTTCTTGTTACCTAAAGTGCCCTTCATCTATTTTCCCCCATAGACTCCTACTTATTGTTCAAAACCCAGCCCCAGCATCATCTCCTCTGTGAAGACTTCTTTGATCCACTTAAGAGTATGTGGTTCGTCCCTCTGTTGGGGCTCCACACTTCCTATTATATCCTTATTATCATACTATCTTTCTGAGCCAACACTTGGCCTTAACCTATAGCTTGGTACACAGTAGGTACTCAGAACTGTTAGCTGAAATAAGTGTTATTTAAAAGATAAGGCTTAATGCAAAAGATAAGTTTTAATGAGGACATAACTACCTTCAAATATCTGAAGGATTTTCACCAATCACAAAAGGTGTTATGTCAAAGACACTCTAAATGAGCACTTTTGAAGCAGTAGTGGGAAAGCATTCATTTTAAAAAGTAGAACAGATTACTTCCTCGCCCCTAGTGTGAAATTACTGCAGTGTGAAAGTATTTTTATTCAGTAAGGTATAGCAACAGTGTAGGTCTGCTTTGATCTAGCAATCCTTTTTAAACCATTATCCCAGGTTTTAGAAGGAGATAGATAAATAACAAACTTCTTTTTCACTGGGTACATGTAGCAATGATATATGAAAGTAGCATTTTCATTTCTTGAGGCAATCTTAGAAAAAATGGCTTAAAAGTATCATTTCTCTCCCTGATAGCATTATTCCTAAGGCACAAATTCCAATTCACTTTGATGCTAATCCTAGGCCCAGCACGAACCATTCCTTAAACTTAAATTCATCATATATAAAGCAACAGAAACCAACCTCATCCTCTGCTCAGAGTTTCTAAGAAAATGTAATAACTTGTTCCATCAAAATATTTTCTCAGGGGAAATATTTCCTTGTTTGGAGGAGTTGTATTCCCCCTGCTTGATTTCTGTTTAGATAGGGCCCTTGTAAGAATTTCTTTCACCAGTAACAACCCTGTTCCTACATACCAATGTGAGTTTCCTACTCCCAGATAAGTTTAAGCACAATTATGAAGAATTTTGCCACATCCCTGGGGGGAAGCGGACAAATATCATAATATCTCCCCAGTGTTGTAACATCCCCATTATATACAAAACATTATGTTGGAATATAAAGCACCTACTCTACATGCTCAAAGTTGTCTGCAGTTATCTTTCATAGCCCTACATTTGCATGATTATTTTATTATGTTTCTCTCCTATATGCCCCATAAGGTTAGGTAGGCTGCATGTCTGTTTTGCTATATTTCTAGCACTATAATAGGCTCTCTATTAATATTTATAGCATGACCAAAGATTCTAGAGTAGAAAACAATTGTAACTCTCCAAATTGAGAAAGATAATGAAACAGGAGAGTCTATGAAATCAGATGTGAATCATGTTCCCTTCTATTTCTTCTGCAGCAATATCAACATCATCATTTTCAGAGGATGGGAAGGTAGAGCAAGGATAAAACTAAAACAAAGTTAGACTGTGTGGCAGGCTAAATAATGGGCCCCCAAAGATATCCAGGTCCTAATCTATGGAACCTCTGACTGTTACCTTATATGACAAAATGAAATTTGCAGATGTGATTGAATTAAGGATATTGAGATGAGAACATTATCTTGGATATCAGGCAGACTCTAACTATAATCACAAGTGTCTTCATAAGAAGGAGACAGAGGGAGATTTGACACAGAGACAGAAGAGCAGAGAATGTGATAACAAAGCAGAGAGAATTTGAAGATGCTATCCTGATGGCTCTGAAGAAGGAAGAATGATCCATGAGCCAAATAATGCCAGGAATGAAGCTCAAGAAGCTGGAAAAGTCACAGGCCTCATCCAATCATGTGAAGGCCTGAATTAAACAAAAAAGCTGAGCAAAAAAAATTTTCCCCATGGGTAAGGGGGAATTCCTCCTACCTGCATGCTTAGCTGGAACATTGTTTTTCTCTGCCCTTCAGACTCAGACTGAAACCTCAGCTCTTCTTGGGTCTTGAGCCTGCCAGCTTTCAGACTAGAACTTATCAATCAGCTCTCCTGGGTCTCCAGATTGCCAACTGCAGATTTTGGAACTTCTCAGCTTCCACAATGGTGTCAGCCAATTTTTTTATAATAAATATACATGCACGCATGCACATGTGCGTGCACACACACACACACACACACACACATATCCTATTGGTTCTGTTTCTCTGGAGAGGCAGGACTAATACACAGGTCTATAAGAATTTCCATGCAAGATATTTTGTTAAATGAAAAATCTTTAAAGTAAATAGCATTCATACACATAAAAAAGAAGAAAAGAAACCAAAGACAACAAGAATAAAAGCCAGGTCTTTATCCATGTAGTTTTGCTTGTATATAGAATATCCCCAGAAAATAGAATAAGAAAAGGGTAATAATGATGAACTCTGGAGTGGGAAACTGGATTCTGAGCACAGGATGGTTGAAACACACACTTTTCACATTATGTCCTTTTGTAGCTTTTTGTTACCTTTCTATGAACATGTATTTCCTCTCAAATAAATGCATTTGGAATAAAAACTAATATGCCTTGACTAAAAATCCCCATCAAAAACCTAAGGATATGTTAAGAGAGGCCCTTCAGCTTGTGGGCTTGGGCGGGGAGTAGCTGGCCATAGTCTAGTGGCATAAAGTGATATTTTGTGCCTTATACAATGGGCTTAAGGCTAAATCCAGGCGTGAAAGTCAGCAAGACTGACCTTTAAAACTAAAGACTCCTTCCCAGATCACCCTGTAACCTGACTGACCCTCCCCTTCTCTACAGGATGGTAGATTAGGGGACAGGGGGCCGGCAAACCCCAGAGCTAAACTGCAGGCAGCATAATGAGCCCTTCACCCTCCTCTGGGGAAAACAAGATGTGAGTTTCCAACAGGACAGCCCCAGACACAAGGGTCTTCTCCTCCTCTATAAGGTTCTCTGACAGCTAATGCAGGCAACCAACCAAGCATCCCGTAAGGCTGGTTGGTATCCAGCTGGGAGCACAAATTACTGAAGGATGAGGAGCCAGGCTGGGGTAACTGTTTTGACCATTTGAATCAGGCACTAACTCTTATACCAAAAACTTTTTCACACTGGTATAAAGTTTTCAAAATGAATTAGTCTTCAGAAGAATCTAGCTCAGATCATAGGACACAGTTTTACAAACTGTACCTTCACATACCAGTTTACCTCCTGATAAAATCAGCTTTCTCCATCTCATAGGCAGAGAATGACAGTTTTGACATCTATGCCCTTAATTTATGAACGTCCATTCTAAATTGTTCAGAGAGACTTGCTACTATGCCACAGACATTTCTCATCAGCTACTGTGATCAGTAGAAATTCAGGACCTGCAATCACAAGGGTAGAGGTTAGGAAGACATGCTAAGCAATCACCCAGCTCCTCTAATATTTTAAGAGAAAAAAACACTCTATTTTCCTCAGAGGGAGGAGAGCAAAACATTGTTTTTAATGTTTCATTACAGGGGACATAGATTAAGAGTCACTTACTAGCTATTTGTCCTTATACATGTAAGTGAATGGCTCTCAAATTGTTTTCTCGTCTGCAAAATGAGAATAATGATTCCTTTCTCGTGGGATAGTGATAGGGGCTAAATGAGATCATGTATGGGAAAGCACATAGTACTCTGTCAGTCACATCATCTTAGCCAGTGAATTTAATTTCCTCTCCATAGGAGAAGTACGGATACTCAGCACAGCATTGTGCATTCAGAAAATTAGTGATACCTTCTCAATTATCTGGTAGCCTTACAAGCTTTTCATGTTGTCTCTGTATTTCAGCTAAAGTCTAACCCACATACCCTGTTTTAATGTTCCCTGGAAACTAACAGAAAAGAGGATTGCTATGTACCATCCACGGGCACAAAGAGGGGCTGGGAGAGGGGAGTTTTCCAATCCTTGTCCAATTTTTAGCATAAAGGAACCAGTTAGCTAGACTACAGTAGGGATTTGGTTTCTAATTTTTTAAATGCTGCTTGTCCTTTCTTTCAAAACCATGCTAGATCTCCAAGCCAGGTCCCTAATTCCAGAAAACATTGCAGCAAAAAGAGCCTCAGTAACAGCCAATGCCCAGATAGTGGTCAAGCACTTAATGTGTTTTGACTAATCTTAATTATCTCAACAACTCTAAGGAAGGAACTATTATTTTCTCCCATTTTACTGATGGGAATGTTGAAGCACAACACGGTTAATCTGCCCCAGGTCACAGAGCTCACATGGTGGACCCAGGATTAACCAAATCCATGTGCTTGATCATTGGGTTAAACTGTGCTCCAGAGACCCAAAGCACTGCCAGCCTTCCAGCAGAAAGAGGAGGCAGTCAGTGTTTGAGGTTAGGAAGGAAACACTTGCCTTTATCCCTTTTCTCAACCCTGCCTTTAATGTAAGGCTATCTTTTAATTCCACTTCTGCCTGATTCTCTGATCTCTGTGCTCTATTCTCCCCGAATCCTTGATCCCTTAGCTTTCATGAGGGTTTTGTTTTAAGATGTTTGACCTGGGTCTCCTTTTCCCAGCTTTTCTCTCCACTTCCATCTTTCAACCCTTGCCTTTCCCAACTCACTGTTCCTCATTCACCTTCTAAGCTCTTATCTGCTTATCCTGCTTTAATTTAATCAGTCTATTCACTCTCCCCGAGTTATACCTCTGGGTTCTGGACCTTCCTAACTTGTCTTTGCAGTCACTCTGCCTGAAATACCCTTCCTCCTCCTTTCACCACTCAAAGCCTAGATGCCCTTCAAGACGTCAATGGATCCTACTCCTGCATGATTTCCTCTCCTGATCACTTCATCAAGGAGAGGGGGCACCCCACTGTATTTCTATTGTCTGCATCCCTCATGGTACACTTCTGCAGACTCATTAAGTGGAGTCTATATTGTAAATTGCCCCATCTCACCTAACACAATGCAATCGAAGTCTGATAAGCTGTGGCCAAATATTAGCCACATCAGTATGATGTTTTAATCAAGCATGCCAGCTATATCAGCTATATCTACTCTGTCTTCCTTGCATCAGTTAAAAGCCCACTATAAAATTCACATTTGTAAAACCCATGTCTGCACATGATCATTCCTATTGCCAGCAAAAGCCATACTACCACACTGTGCGTGCAATTAGGGAAGAGAGCTATTCCTCACACAGAGACAGAGGAGAAGGAAATATCCATTATTAGGAGGAGGAGAAGGAATGGGAGGAAGAGGAGGAGGAAAGGAAGGAGGAGGGATTCTGCAATAGTTAGGGGAAATGTTGGAAGGCTAAATTTGGGTCAATCTTAAAACAACCCCTACCCCAAGGCCTATTCAAAAGAGAAGAGAGGTTAAAAACGAACTCTGAAGACATAATACAAATGTATTTCAGTTAATTTAATATCATTTAAATTCCTGCTGCATGTTGTGAGAATTACAGAATCACACACATTTTTCATTTGTTTTTATTTACTTTCTGATTTGCAAATATACATTTGTACAACTCTAGCAAAATAAAAGCCAGAGTTTTGTCTGTCTTGTTTTGTTTATTTTTGCTGATCATATTTAGCTAGAGGAGTTTTCATTTTTTATTAAAAATAAATCAAGACAATTAAACAAGAAGTCCACTGCTGCTTTCCAAATTCACCAGACCATTGCTAACTCACCAAAGTCAGGAAGCAATAATAATTCTTTTTCTTAATGAAATGTCTTTCCAGCTCCCCAGAAAACTTCAAAGCTCTCTGCTGATGCTTGAGGTCTGCAGCTGCCAGGAAAGAAATGTGTCTCCACTTACCTCAAAGGGGGTATCACAGCACATGAGAGACTGCCTGGACCCACAGCAGACGATCCCCCCACAACACCAGTCACCACTGACTCCATCAGATCAGAGACCAGCACCCTGGTTCCCTCCCCGCAGTCACCACTGACTCCATCAGATCAGAGACCAGCACTCTGGTTCAGAGCAAGAGAATAGAAGAGGTGGCAGTAGAACCAAGTAACTCACATCCCCCACATGCCCATACAAGCATCATAAGGTCAGGAACCACAGACACAATGTTGTGGCTCAGCAAACCCCATCAGCTGTCAAAATGGAGAATGGTAACAGGCAGTTATGCAGTGCTACACGGATAGAAAAATGTTCTTGGGCTAATCCTATCAAGGTTCCAATAAGAACACAATTCTTGTATAAGCAAAAAAACAAAAGCAAAACTATGAATTCTGCTACTTCCTAGCATGCACATCCTCTCATAGTCAACCTTGACCCTTTGGATAAAACAAACATATAATATGTGTGAAGAATTTCAGTTCTATTGTGAACTTTCACAGCTGTCCTGAGAGGGAGGTATTATTATCCACATTTCATAAGTGATGACAGTAATGTTCAAAAGATGTTTTTTTAAAAAAAAAAATCAATGCTAGATTTCTAAGGATGAAATGTTTCTAAAAGGTCTGCAACCATCATTTGTCCTGAGAGAAACAACTTCACAGCTGCTGAACATGGTGAAGCCAGCAGGGCCCTCTCTACCTTGCAGACTCAAGACAACTTGACTTCAACTCAAGTGTCAACAATGCATCTTTTTTCAACTTCATGAATCCTCTGACCATCCAGTTCTTTGGCTACAAATGAATGGATACAGGCAGAATATCACCCAGACTACATTTCTGGTTTTGCCCTCAACTAAGAGTGGAAGAAAATGAGGCAAATTTGAGAATATAAACCAACCCTCAGCTGACAAGCCAGCTGAATTCAGTAACATTGATGCAGGGCAGGTGAGCCCCAAAAGAAGGTTCTTGGCTTCACCCAGGAAATAATTCAAGGGTGAGCTAGTGGTGTTAGGCAACAACTTTTTTTGAAATGTCAGTATGCAGCCACAGCAGAGGCACTGCTCCTTGCTTAACAGGACTACCTCATAGTCAGTGTGCCCAGAGTAGCAGCTCAGAGGCAGTTCTGTAGTCATATTTATATCCACTTTTAATTATATGCAAATTGATGGGTGTATTATGCAGAAATTTCTAGAAAAATATGTGGTAATTTCTGGGTTGTTGGGTTATTGCCATGAAAAGGGGAGGTAGCTTCAGGGTGTTGCCATGGCAGTGGTAAACTGACAGGGCACACTGGTGGGCATGTCTTATGGGAAGCTGCTTCCACCCTGTCCCTGTTTTAGCAAGTCCTCAGTTTGGTCCAGTGTCCAAGCTCCACCTCTGGAGTCCCACCTCCTACCTCAATATGAATGTACCCAGGCGAAACCAAGCAGAAGCCAAACTTTCCACCATTTAACAGGTGAGTAGACTAAGACACGGAAATCAACTCTCTTGCCCAAGAACACACAACTAGCCACTGTGTCAGGAGTCAGGGCTTGAACTTAGATCTTTCTGCTCCCATCATGCATGCTCTTTGCATGACAACCCACTATATCAGCATTTGTTATGGCTCCCTTAGGTTTGGCCAGCCTGGGAGCACAGGCAATAAGCAAGACTCGACACTCTCCAATGTGGTCTCATAACTAAGCTTTAATTTTAGCATTAGCCCCTAAGTTTACTGAGTACCAGAGTTATTGATTTACATTAAGCAGGAGATATCTCTGCAGTGACATAGTCCTTTAGCTGGGAAAAGAATGAAATTCTTTATCCTGACTCACAGATTCTTCAGTTTGATGGGCTGCTAACCATCAGCACCACCCAGAGCCGTCACCCTAGATGGGGGGCAGAGGGGCTCAGAGGTATCCTTTGTCTGTGCTACTTCATATCATTGATGGTGCTGAATATATTTTCTTGAAACTAATGATCCAGGCCTATAAGTTTTATTTCTGTCATTACTGGTCCTAAGTTGACCCATGAAGAGTCCTGTCTGTCATCAGTATACATTTTAGAAGATTAGAGAGCCACATGGGAATTGTGATCAGTGTGGTCTTTCTGTCAAACTGTGCATAGCTTTATTCTTTAGATTAAATGGTTATCCATTGTTCTAAGGATGGAGAGCTTTCTTGGGTGTTGAGCTTTTCAAAAAAAAATTGGAATGCAGCTAGCTTCTGAGGATGGATGCATAAGTCTCAAAGAGAGTAAAGGTGATTTCCAGTGGGCAGAGAAAGGAGGAAAAACAGGGAAGACATAGACCAAGATGTAGAGATGGGAATGCACAAAGTGGATGACTTAAAAATATGCATGAGTAGCCCGTGCCGGCTGAGAGACAGGAATGGTGGCAGCCATCATGAACTTCATCAGTTACTGTATCTGCTAAGAAAACATCCTTTTTCCTTTGGCAATAGATGACAAAAAGCTGGCCCAGGCCCCTCAGTGCTTTGAAAGACCAGTAATTTGGGAATGGAGTGAATGTCATACACCGATTCTCACTTAAATTTCCCTACACAATGAGCACTAATGCTTATGTTATATGAAAACTCCTTGAAGCACAGAGCAGCCTCTTTCTGATTATTTTTGGATAGCTTCCATGTTACACCCAACTTCCTCGTGAGGGTCTCAGTGACCATGACTGCAGAGCCAAAGCACATGAGGCAAGAGGCTTCCCTGCCTTCATCTCCATTCACAATCATGATGGCTCATTGGAAAAATTAACAGTTTTCAAGACAGAAGCAAAGTCAAAAATTATTAGAAATGGGCAAGTTCGGAAATCAAGTCAGGAGGTCTGGTTCTAGTCCTGGCTGGGCTACTCTACCTTTGGGACTTTGGGAGTGATGAGGGAGAGCCACCAACACGATGTGAATTCCTAGTCCATATCAGGCATGCACTATGTGCTTTATATACATTACCAGATTTGACCCTTCTCACAAGCATGTAAATGCTAGCTATCCTCATCTTATGGGTTAGAAAACTGAGACTCCACAAACTCACAGAAAATCAAATAGTAAGTTGTGGAGCTAGAATTTACACCCAAGTTTTTAACTTTCAAGCCAGTTTTCTTTTTATTACATCAAATTGCTTTTCTGTTTTAAGACTCTTTTGTCTTTCAACCCTATTAGCTCAAAAATTCTACAATGATTCTGATTCTGAATAGAGTTATGACAGTTGAATTCTAATAGGAAAAATAATTACTCATATGCCCTATGAATTCTTACCAAAGATCAAAATTAATGAAAGCATAGTCAATTTATTAAGTATTGCAATAAAGTTCTAATAAAAATTTATTTCTTCCTAATGCCTTTGACATTTCAAGAAATATGAGGTACAATGTTCTCCATGAATATGAGAATATCTGAATTATTCTGCAACAATTAATACAACATCAACCTACAAATCAGTGAGTTTTTTAAAAAATCTGCAAAAAATATATTTAAAGGGCTGTATGATCAGGTTTTCTAATAATATTATTCAATTTCTGTATGTATATGTTTATGTGTATGTATATATAAGATAGATAGATAGATAAATTGATAATTGATAGATAGATTGATCTCCATCTATCTGGCCAAATCTAGTGATCAATCTCTACCACCATCTTGCTTTTCCTCTCAGCAGCATTTGACAGTATTGATAACTCCTTCACTCATGATATATCATCTCCACTTGTGTGCTAGGTCTCTGCTCTTTGAACACTGACATTCAACAACTGAATTTTCTGCAATGCCCTATTGCCCTTGAGAATATGGCCTTTATCTTTGGTAGCTGACTAAAACTTGCCTAAAATTCATTTGGTTTATAGCTCTTATCTACTGAATTTTTATCCCTTCAATACTAGCTATGCCCTTCACTAATTAAGGCTAGAATCACTTATCTATTTTCTATATGCTACATCTCTGTCTTTTTACCTATACAGTCTATTTTCTGAACAGTCTATATAAATCCATGTACCCACAGTGAAAACACTATTTTAGTTATACTCCTCTGAGGAGAAGTTTAATCTGATTATGCTCTTAGGAAGAGGCTTCTCATCTCTGCCTTCTCCCAGCCCCTATCTCAGCCCTGGACACGCCCAAATTACAAGACAGACACTTTCTGCATGTGCCTTCAATCAGTCCATGCCTCTCGCTGTGTAAATAACATAATCACAGATGAAAGAGGATGAGCAAAGCCGATATGATTTCTCCCCTTGTCTGAGGCTGAAGCAAAAGGCTCCAGAGACTGTCACAGCACGGATAACAGTGTGTGTCTATGTTTCGTTGGTGCTAATATACAGAAATAGAATGATCTCTTCTATAGTCAGATTGGCTCCAGTCTGGAAATAGCCAGTGAGCAATGCTCATAGACTTTTATTAAAATTGTTAAAGACCACTATCTTAAAAATAAACAAACCTTGGAAAGAGGTATATTAGAAATCATTTTTAAAAGATGCCTAGAAACTTTTTTAATGTATTCTAAAATACAGTACAAAATTGAAAGAACAATACAGTGTTACTAGTCTAGAGTGAGACTCTATCATGGGAAGATTTTCAAAAATGGCTGACAGTAACATTATTTTCTTGTACTTTACATAATTGCACAAAGTGACTCAGAATTGACCTCATGGGTGAAAACAGGCAATGTATGGCAGTAAGATGTCATGGTGAAGTAAAATACATTATGGAAATCACTGCAAAAGCTAAGAGATCAGACTACTTTTCAGAGTCCATGGAATTTGTAATCATCCATTTGCTGCCACATTCCTTTTGAAGGATGTGACCCAGACTTTTGTGAAGGCTCCTGTATATGGACTCCAATTTTTCTATTTACTTATGCTTGACTAAGGAGGAAAAAAGGAGCTTCCATAATCTTTGCAGTCCTCACAGTCGAATCTTTTTTAATTACAGTCTGTTTCCATTCTCATCTGTTCTAAATGTAAATCTGCAGTTGTCCTCAAACAGTCAACTCCAGAAGGGTGCAAAGATTTCCCCTTGTTGACCTAGAATTCATTTGGAGCAGCACAATTCTCAAGCCCCTTTACTGAGTAAAAGTTGGCTACAAATCGAATTTTAATTTGTATAGAGTCAAGATAGGAACTTGGATTATTAGAGAAAGGATAAGCATCAGTGAAAAATGTGTTTTCCTATATCAAATATACAATTAACATTAAAGTAAAGAAACCCATTGTTTTCTAAATGAACATACAGCCTTCTTCTAAAGCAGTCAGTTTCCTAAGCAATACAAATGTATGAAAATTTTTCTGACAACTGCTACATTTTCCTCCAGAGGAATTACACACATGACCTTTGAACTTTCCATAGGAAAAAAAGTGATTGTTCCCAGGCAATCCTTAGCACATCCCTACTATGTATAAGGCATTTATCTTGAGTTCCAAAAGCAGAATGGCCTTTCCTACATAAGTAAGGAAAGGACATACAGCAGCTTTGTGACTCACAAAGTAATCCATTCACTGTCTAAAATGTACAATTTCTACTGCAAGGCAACGCACACTAAGTGAGGCACATAAGCTTTGACTCATCCAAACAACATACTCGTCACTTCTCCAGGTAGATAACTTTCACTGGCCTCACATCCACACTCTCCGCAGTCACGTGACCCATGGGTGTGGCAATGATGCTACTCTTCAGCTCATGCCTGCAGTCTGCCCTGCTTCTGACAGCACCCCAACCGCTGCTGTCCCCTACCCCAGGAGGAAAGGGCAGGGCAGGATTTTCCACACAGTACCTGAAAGGTTTCTGTAGAAACATCTGCTTATCTGGAGGCTGCCAACATAAGAACCTCATCTCCCTCCTGCTCACCTAGACACCTCTGCCCCAACCCATTCACCAGCAGAATCAATAGAAATCCACAACTGCTAAAGCCCTCCTCATTTGTATGTCTGCTCCCTCAGAAGGCCTGTGCTGTCTTTGCTTACATTTTACCTGGCTAGAAGGAGAGAGACTGAAGGGGGTGCAAGGACTTTTTAAAAATGAGGTAGTCCTTTAGGGTCCTCTTAGAATCTTGATAAGCATGAACTGTTCTGAAACACTCTAATCTAGCACTTAAAATGTTTTCCCCCTCCCTAAACCAAAACATATTATTGGTTGAGCCTACAGAAAATTGCCAATATTCAACCATTTTTGACATACAAAAATCTCAATTTCATGTGGTTCAGCCTAATCACAGACTTGAGCCTTTGGCTCTATTCGTTCTAAAGTTCGGCTTTTCAAAGACTCAGTAGACTATTGCGACCTGAAACTTTCCTTTGTAACTTTGTTATTCTGGGAATGGAGTTCTACGTCCCTAACAACTGACCACAAACAAATTTTGGAACATAATCTATTCATAAGTTGAGGTCTGCCTACAAAGAATGTTCTTTCCTGTGCAAGACAGGTTGATGAATTGCATTTATTAGAATTACAGGATAAAGAAACCACAAAAGGCTAACTTTGGGTCTCCAGATAGCCCTCTCAGCCTTCTGGCTCCAAAACATAATCATAATTTAAGCTTGTCTGGTGGTGAGCCAGGCTGGCCCGGGAAAAATTAGTGCAATCAGACTCATGAGTCTAGGTGAAGGCCACAGTTCTCAACATAGAAACACACATAAAAAAAGCTGACTAATCAAAGAGCGAACTTCAGAAATGAAGAAGAGATAAAGAAAACAAACAAACAACAAAAAAAGAGTAGACAAACGTGGGGATGTGATTCTAAACAGTGTTCTCAACCATGCCTGCCTGCCTGTAGAAATAACTTATGGAGGCTTAAAGATACAGGTGCCTGTGCCTCCCCAGACATTCTAATTTCAGTGGGCAGAAGTGTATCTGGGCACCCAAGTTTTACAAAGCACCCTAGGCAGTTCTAATAAGCATTCTTTTTTGAGAACTATGGTTCTAAAGATTAGTCCAAAACCAGGAAATAGATCCATGGAGTAAAAGATAGGAAACACGAATAGGATTTATAGGTCTAAAATGAGCCCTTGATCCAGGCAGTCACCCTAACAGGTGAGGCCATTGTCAGAATTCCTTGTGGTAGTTTCCTGGAAGCATAAAGGCTTCCAGGGAGTCAGAAAGGTGTGTGGCATTAGGAGAACACAGCAAATGGTCATAGGGCACCAGTCAAGGGTTCAGGTAGGACCCTAAGGAGAGGGGAAAATGACGGGTAAAAAACAGGCACAAATTCCACCACTAAGAGAATTCTGAAGATAGGGCAGGAACCAAAAAACCATGGATCTGTACCTAGATGGACATGAGATATCACCGTGAAGCTGAAAGATGAGATTCATTCAATACTGAGTCCTCAGGTCCTTCTTATCCTTCTCCTTACATCCAGGATTGTTCCTACAGCCCAGAGGAGGCTGTATTATCCCAGCAGTAGGGGTAAAGAATTTAGGGGCAAAACCCCAGCAAGCCTTTGTAGTTTTTCCCTTAGAATAAGCAACTTACTTCCTTCTGTTTGCCATGCCCCAAAAAGGGGGACTTTTTCTTGAAATTCTGCTCAAGACCTAATTTTGTACTCTAATGGCATAATATATGGCCCACTCTCTCTCTCAATGTATAGTCATGTACAGTTGCACAGTTTGTACACTGCACAAAGGCACATGACTGAGAGCTAGGGACTCTTGAAGTCATGTGGCCTGGTGCAGAGTTGTTTCTGCCCAGAGGACCCCCTTTTTCAATTTTGCACAAAGACTCAGTGGGGGCTAGGAGTAGCTCTGACAGCAATGAATGATTTGCATCTATTCAAGTATTTGTTGACTGAATGATTAATCTATTGACTCTAACCCTGCCAAAATCGATGGACAAATGCTATGTTTTAAATATTTAACAGGGCATTCTGCATTTACCCTGCACACTGACATTTTCTCCCTAAAAATGTTCATTTAAAAAAGGAAACTCCATCAAGTGTAGCAAGAAAAAGCTTGTACTCTTGCCCAGCCAACTTCATCCACT
This sequence comes from Homo sapiens, assembly GCF_000001405.40. Classification (NCBI taxonomy): domain Eukaryota; kingdom Metazoa; phylum Chordata; class Mammalia; order Primates; family Hominidae; genus Homo; species Homo sapiens. Next base: position 57,502,175 of record NC_000005.10, on the reverse strand, counting down.
GACGACAGCACAGAAAAACATAAAAGCCCCTTGTTTCGCTGTCTTTGTTTCCCATGTTCTGAGGAAAATTGCACTGGAATTATGAACAGTTAGCAAATGGTATATAAACGACCAAAAGCCAAATGACAGCTCTATGAACAGACCCAGGCTGGCCCTGGCAAAGCCAGGCTGCTTGGGTTCTGGAACAAGAATTAAGGAATCAAGTTCCATTCCTGGCACTGTCCCCAGTTTGCTGTTAACCTTTTTTGCTGTCACCTCCTTTGCATCCACAGGGCTTTGTGACATGCACTGCAGTGCAAATGAGACACTATTTGATAAGATCTGAAAACCTCGGACAGAGGCCACAAAGCCAAGTCAATGCAGGGAGAGTTCCTCAGATGTGTCTCTCCCTGGGGCCCAGCTCTCTAAGGGATCTCTCGCTCTCTCTCTCTGGGGCTGTTGAGCTGCTTGATGAGATGTCAGCCTTTAACTCGACGGGAATCATGAGAGAAAAAAACAGATTGTAGAAAATATCTCATTTCCCAATGAGACAGAGATTCTTGACATAGCTTGACCCAGCAGTGTAGAAAAATTCAAGAGAAATGCATCAGTATCTTTAAAGAACAGACACATCCTGTACATCTGAGCTGGGCTTTCAATACTGTCCCTCCTCCAGGCTCACTCAATATTAAACCCTTTCATACCATGTGGCTCCTCCTGAGATTCCATCATAACTGTTTAGGCTCAGATGAGGACAACTCAAACCACTCTATTTGGACCTCATTTTCTGCCCTCTGTCCTTCCTCGCCAGAAAAAGCATTTGCTCTATTTTGTAGATCATATCTGTTCTAAAGGTGGGAACATGGTCCCTTCATAGCTGATGGAGTTCTCTGGATATATCTCCAAGACTGACTTGGTTGGTTTCCAGAAATTCCCTCCTTTCTCTAACACTTCCCAAAGAAGGAAGGATCCGTGAACTCACCTAACAAATTTGTTCAGATCTGCATCTGGTCTCACATCTGTTTCCTTCTCCACCCACTTCACTGGAATGCTCTCCGAGTGTGGGGAGTGTTTGGAACAAATCAGAAGAAAGTTCCTATTTAATAGAAGGTGGAGTGTTGGTTATTACACCTGGGTCCCATCGCCATCTCGGGTGCATCTAATTCCTCAGGAGTCCTGTTCTGACAGCATCCTCCAGGCCTGGTGCTCCCTTCTCAGAATTTACAATGGAAGATTGGGTGGAGGAGGGACTGGCTTTGGTTTTGTTTGTTTTTTGCAGAGAACCGAATCTCTCTCTTTGCTTTCAAATTGGCTTCACCTTCCTCACCAAGGAGAGGCCATTGGGCTGAGCACCTGTGATGATACTGCCCTGGCTCCTCCTCAGCTTACACCATAACTACTGCACCCCAGATTTAAGGCTCACAAGTTGGACCGAGTGATCTCCACAATCCTTCTATAATTCTTTGAGCCTTTTTCATAGACTAAAACAATTTTCAAGTATAACCCCCTTTTGCTTTTCTCCTTCCCATCATTCATATTCAGCCAGGCTAGTTAAAATCAAAAGGAATAAAAAGTAACAAAAGTATATATGTGTGGCTATTATTAATAGGAAGCTATAATTTGAAAACCTCAATCTTCTCATTTGGAGGTAAGATGTGCAACGTCTTTACATGTATCTTTGTCTTTTCAGCCTCATTTCTTTCTCCTCCAGAAAAAGTATCCCCCAAGCAAACAAATAAAAAAATAGAATATATTTAAATTATAAGTAGAGAGGCCGAGGTGAGCAGATCACTTGAGGTCAGGAGTTCGAGATCAGCCTGGTGAACATGGTGAAACCCTGTCTCTACTAAAAATACAAAAATTAGCTGGGCATGGTGGCAGGCACCTGTAATCCCAGCTGCTTGGGAGGCTGAGGCAGGAAAATTGCTTAAACCCAGGAGGCAGAGGTTGTAGTGAGCCAAGTTCGCACCACTACACTCCAGCCTGAGTGACAGAGCAGGACTCCATCTCAAAAAAAAAGAAAAAGAAAAGAAAAAGTGTAAGTAGATATGCTTTAATTTAACCATCCCTACAAAATTAAATGATAGTAATACAGGAGCTAATCTTTGGAGATAAGTAAAACAACCTAATTCAGTGGTTCTCAGCCAGGGCTGATTTTGCCCCCCGGGAAATATTTGGCAATATCTGGAGACATTTTTGGTTGTCATGACTGAGGTGGGGAGGGAAGAAGTACCACTGGAATCTAGTGGGTGGGTAAAAGCCAAGGATGCTGCTAAACATCTTTCAATGCACAGCTCCCTACCACAAAGAATTATGCAGCCCAAAACGTCAATCATGTCAATGCGAGAAACCCTGGTCTAGAGATACCAACAGACCTAGATATACAAAACCATTATTTTTCCATACAACAGAGAAAGTCATGTATTCTCATTAATAAATAGTAGACTCACTAAGCCAAGCAGTCACATAAATAGCACAGTAAAGGTACTATGTAAATTTGAAAGCCAAGACTAAACAGGCAGGACTTGCAGCTTTTCCATAGGTGTTTTTTTTGTTTGTTTGTTTGTTTTTACCAGTTAGGCTCTAAAGAATGTTGCTGCCATCTAGGGGATAGAAAGAGAATCCCAAAAGCACCGTGTTCCTAGCTCCAAGGGCACGAGGTCCAAGCCCTGCAGGCACACTACGCACTCATTTCCCACGTTCCTACACTGAAAAGAAAAAAAAATACTTTGAGTTTTGTGACAAGCAATTGTTTAAAATTAAAAATACATCTATGTGACTCAGAGTCTACAGTGCCTTCAGTTAATTTGTTTTCTCCATTTCACGTGTGTGGTATGAAACTGAAAGTCCAGGTTTCTGATAAAGATAACAGATGTTTGCTGCCTGCTTTTATTTTCATATTTAGTTAGGGTAGAAAGAGGAGGGTCAATCAGTGGCCTCAGAACTCTCTGATAGGACCTCTCTTTCCACACACGCTTTTCTTTGGGTCATAGCAAGACAACAATAAGCTCTAGGGAAATTATAAATCAATAGAACTCCTTGCCTTCTTAAAAAAAAATAGGAAACTTTAATAATTAAATCAACTCTAATTAAAGGAAAATCAAGAAGAACCAGGGTTCAGAAGACAGAGGTGTTCCACCAGCCAAACATGCTGTTATTCCTACACACACACACACACACAGAGAACCCATGCGGATAACAGAGCCAAAAGGACTTCTCTAAGAGCTTTGAGAAGAGCATAGAGAGGGATTTTGCACTTCCGTCCTGTAGTTTTTGGAGAAGCTGGCTCTTGGGCTGCAGGAGTATAGTGTACCAGAGTTATAGGCCCCCTTTCCATTCTTAGCGGTGGTCTTTCTCAAGCTTCTTCATGGCTGCATGGGCTGAACTTTGGTTATTTTTCATGCACCAGAGGTAGAAAGCTTCCAATTCCTTTAACACAAGGGTTCCAAAACATCTTAAAATGATGCAAAAACTTATTTTGATCTTCACAACATGCCTTTGAAATAGGTGTGAATTCTATTTCTGTGTTTTAGGCAAAGAAACTGTTGTTTAAAAAGACTAGGACATTTTATTCTGACTGGCCCATCAAGTCCTGCAGATCCCAGTCCAGTTCATCATTCAGTTTGCAGCTGCATAAAATCGGATGGCTCTTCCTCCTCACTGTTTTAATGGAGCATCCTTTCCCACTTCCCACCTCTACCCTTGCTGGGGTCCTGCAAATACTACTATCCAGACCTTATTTTATTCCAAGGGAAAATGTTGAGGGAACTACCATCAGAGCAAGAGAAGAGAAACCTGTGTTATCACTAAGACATGATTCCACAATTGGCCAAAAAGAAGAATTATCTGATAATCCATGTGACCTCTTTTATAGCCGTCAGACTACAAGTCAATGGATGGAGGATGGATGGATGGATGGATGGATGGATGGGTGGATGGAGAGAAATAGGCAAGGCATGAAATTTCCATTAGCATTCCAGCATTTCTATGAATTTCCTATAGCCCAATTCTCCTAAACAAAGAATCTCATGCAATATTACCTGAGAAAGCACTATCCTGAAGAAATGCAAGGTGTTATTTAAGATAGACACTGTTAGTAACATTTACATTATATTAAATATTAATGTTTTGGGGATACAAAAAATTGTCTATTTACCTACTTCATGGAGTTATTGTCAGAATTGAGTGAGATACAGCAAGAGAAAGCTCTTAAAAGTTCATAAGCAGCACTCTGCATATATAACATGTCACTGTTATTGTCAAATACAGTAAGATAAATTGTCACAAAGTCATTTTCCCAAAGGTGATGTCATGTCTCCATAGACATGGATGCTTATTTCTTCAAGGATCACATATTCTGAGCACCCACCCAATAAAAGCAAACATGACTTGATAGGTAGACAGGATAATTTAAAATTGGCACTACCCTCCACCCAATTTCAGAATATTGTATCTAGTCCAATTCATTAAATTATTTTACCTTATAGAAGGAAAGGACCTATAAAAGATATGTACCATAAGCTCCTCTTTATCAATTTATTTCTTGCTTATGTTTTATATAATTTAGAGGAAATGTTCGTGATATGGATGTGTGAGAAAGATACAAAATTTAACATACATAAAGGTCTCAACTATGTACGTAAAAACAAGAATAGTGATTATCTCTGGATGGTAAGATTACCAAAATATTTTTTCTGCTTTAATGAGAGTCTAATTTTTGTTTTTGTTTTTGTTTTTTTTGAGACGGAGTCTGGCTCTGCCACCCAGGCTGGAGTGCAGTGGCACGATCTCTGCTCACTGCAAGCTCCGCCTCCCGGGTTCACGCCATTCTCCTGCTTCAGCTTCCCAAGTAGCTGAGACTACAGGCTCCCGCCACCACGCCTGGCTAATTTTTTTTTTTTTTTTTTTTTTTGTATTCTTAGTAGAGACGGGGTTTCACTGTGTTAGCCAGGATGGTCTTGATCTCCTGACCTCGTGATCCGCCCGCCTCGGCCTCCAAAAGTGCTGGGATTACAGGCATGAACCACTGCACCCGGCCAATAAAAGTCTATTTTCTTCATCCAATATTAATGAATATTCATTCCCAGACTTCTAGGAATAAATATTTTTTTCAACGCATTCAAGCAATCAGGTATTCTATAAGCCTTCATCCTTCCCTTTGAAACATTTTTCTGGAGCCTCTGTGCCCCACTTCTGGGATTTGCTGCTCTCCAAGCTAGTTTCACAGCTATGGCATCTGCATCTCCCTCCCCGTCGCCCTGGAGATTTCTTTGGCATACCTTCTGGGTTGAGGTTTTTATTTTCAGGGTCTCATGTTTTCTTCTTTCTTGATATTTCCTCTGGTTTTCTTGGAGCACATGGGCTGATATTAACTAAGAAGAGGTTGATGGGAGATAAATCGTTGAGTCTTCATGTGTCTGAAAAGGCATTTATTATTCCCTCATATTAATTGTGAGATTGGCTGGGTATAAAACTCTAGTCTGGATATCATTTTCCCTCTGAATTTCCCATTTTGCTATTGACAAGACTAATGATACTTGGGTTCTCATTTTTATGGTTGTGATTATTGGGAGTTTTTTTCCAGTTAAAGCTTTTAGGACCTTCTCTCTCTGCCAGCGTTCTAAACTCTCGCAATGATGTAAGGTGTGATGTGTGTCCTTTCACCTATTTGTGAGTTAACCAGTTCGAGCTATAGGTTTGCCTCTCAGTTCTGGGCAATTTTCTTAATTCATTTATTTTGTAATATCCTTCCCTCTGCTTTTTTTTTTCCTTTCTGTAACTTCTAGTAGTTGGATATTGTACCTGTTGGATTCATCCTCGAATTTTTTTTTAAAAAAATCCTTTTTGTGTGTGTCTGTCATTTTGGTATACTTTCTGGGATATTTCCTCAACTTTATCTTCCAACAATTCTATTAAAATTTTCATTTGTGCAATATTCTTTTTAAGCTCTAAGAGCTCTTTTTGTTCTCTGAATATTTCTTTTTTATAACATTCTCTTCTTATTTTATGTATGCAATATCATCTTTTATACTCAGAGGATATTATTTATAGTTTTGCCTTTGTTAGCTTTTTCTTTGTTTCTATTCCTTACATTGTCCCTACCTCCTTTCTGTTCCTTTTGTTCCCATTGTTTCTGTTGATTGTGTCTTTCAAATTAGAAGCTTTTGTCAAATAGCTGATGTCCCTGGCTGTCCCTTAACCTTTAAAAGCAAGGCAATAAAAAGCTGACTGGAAGCTCTGTGCCTTAAGGAGACAGGCTGCTCTGTAGGATGATTTGGCTGGGCTTTTGATTGAGGGATCCCTAAAGTTGATATCTGTATGCCTTTCCAATTAGGCTCATCCACCCTCTTGCCTAAGGGATAAAAGCCTGGCTGCCAGCATGTTCTTGAAGGCAGGTTGGGAAAGGAGGCTGAGGACCTCTCTATGCACTATGTAGACTTTTACATAATTCCTCTGTGGAGTCTATTTTACAACAGATGTGGTTTTATAATACAAATTAGCTCCTACGCAGTTGGTAAATAGAAAAATTATGTCAGTATAATGCAGAATTAATTTATATGCAATACTTCCTCTGCTCAAGAAAACAGGATGTGGAGCAGAAGTATAACCTTCGGTAGGAAAGGAAAAAGTTTTTAATGGTTGCTGCTCTGGCAATAGAAACCGTTTGCCTGTGGTTTGAAAATTAAAAACAAGTACTTAAACCTGGGCTTCACCCTCGAAGCGGCTACACCCCACACCTGTGGGACTCTTGACTCCTGGCAGGTGGTATTGTCTCTGTGGCACCTTCAGGGCAGCCACACTGACTGAGAAGGCCACTTCTACTGCATTGTCGGAGTTCCTACCAGCTCTGCTCTTGTGTATGTGTTACTAACATTCTCTCTCAATTATTCCTCTGACTTCACAACAATTGTAACAGGCCCCAGCCACACGCAGCCTGCCTCAATAGTACAAGTTAATTTCCTGAGTATCAATTATTGTCTTTACTAGTGCTTTGCATAAGTTGTGAATTTTCTACCTCAATCTTTTTTTGCACATGGCCTTACTTTTTGTGTGCAAGTTTGAAAACTGAATTTTTCAGGAATCTCATCCTTATTGTGCCTTAAGCTTGTTTCCAAAACTGGCCACAACTCTTTCTTTCCCTGTAGCCACGTTCCTTTGCAATGTGACTTTGCAGCCCTGTCCATCAAGAGGTAGACCCTATCCCTCCCCAGCTCTTGAATCTGAGCTACACTTGTGACTTGCTTTGCCCAACTGAATGCATAGAAGAGACACTGTGTCAGTTCCAAGCCTAGGCCTCAAAAGTCTTTGCATGCCTCGACTAGCCCTCTTGGAACCCTGCCCAGCCACAATGTAAGAGCCTGGGCTTTGCCTACAGGAGGAGAGCAGACCACATTCACCAGAAGTGAGTCAGCCCGGCTTTCCCAGCTAAAGCTTCAGAGATAAGGGGCAGGGTTGGGGAGGAGTTCTCTGATGAATTTGCTTTTTTATCCGTATCTTCAGCCTATTTCCCTGTTTCTGACCCTAATTTGTCCCCACTTTTGGAAGTTCCTAGGTTTCCATTACTGAGTCTTTCTGGGACTCTAGTAAGACCACTTTTGCTTCTGGGCCTCCCCCACTCCCATGGAGGCTCTGTTTCCTCAGGGCTGAGTTACCACTGGTTCACCTCTCTCTTGCTTTAAAAATGTTATTGCTGTTATTGTTATTGTCCTGCTCTCTTTATCATTGTTTTTAATGTCTTTTTATTTCCTTACTGCAAAGTTTAGTGGTGTTTGGAGAGAACATGTAGATAAACCCAAGTGTTTAATCTGCCAAACTTAACAAGAAGTCTCCTCACTTCATTTTACAGATGAGGAAACAGAAGTCTATGAAGCTAAGTGGCTTGCCCAAAGCCACCTGAGTAATTAGTAAAAAATCTGAAACCACCTAGAATTCTGGAACCACTCCAATGTTCTTTTCTCTATTCCATGCTACCTTTGCAATTATGTCAGGAAGCCCATCTGATGGAACGAAATCCTCCCCTCATTGAATGTCTGTAGATTTCTTCTGTGCACATAAGATTCTGCAGTGCCATCGTCTGTTCCAGCCTTGACAAATACAGTGAGAAGCCAATTCAATCAGCATTCTAAAATATACAATAAAAGCATATTACTTTTCCCTGCTGATGTTTAAACCATCATCCACATAGAATTGCAAATTTTTGTATGCTCGCAGATTATGTGTAAACTCTCAGGCACAAATTAGAAACTATTCCATCAGTGTTTAAAATTCTAACTACATAAACAAATGCCTGTGCTCTAAACTGAAACAAATTGCAAGGTATACAACGTAGCCTTGTTGGACAGGGCAATGACTTTCAAGCCAGTAAGAAATGGCCAGAACAGGTGCTTCAGAATATGCTAATAACCTTTCCTGACATCCAATGGCCCACAGATATCTAGTTACAGGTATCTAGTTTCTGCCTATAAGCATCACTGATTATGCAGAAGAGCCTGCTTCAGATGTCAGGGTCACTTATGCGAAGCCTTCATATCATCTCCCAGCCCATTCCGGGGATGTGCTCAGCATCTCCACACAACTCCAGTGGGCATCAAGTCAGTGTGGAGCATCATAGGAGCACACAGAACATCCCATACCTCCAAACCCCAGGAGTAAAAAAGCACTACATCTAGATAGGTAAGAGACATCTCCTGTCTTGTCTCTTCACATCTAGACACTGCCTAAATCAATGAATCCCAAAAAACAATTTAGCTTCCATAGAGAATGTTGCCACACCTGACACAATAGAATGAGCCTCTGCCTGGTTTACAGAACTCAAACCACTCAAGTCAAACACTAGATATTTGCTTCAGTGTCTTTCACCAATTGTCTACCTCACTTTAGCCATCCCAAGCTTCCTTTTCTTGTGCTAACAATAGATTCCTACCCAATACATGGGGTTGGCTCAGTACCCATTAGGATACCTGCCAGGAATGTTGTGCTACCATTCTTGACCCTGCTTCACAGTGAATAGGCTCCACTGACCAGAGCTGAGCAAGCATCCTGGAGAGTCACAGAAAATGCAACGAGTGTTGCTAATATTTTGTCCAATTTTTGCTCTTACCATGCAAACTGCTAAACACTTTAGAGGCATCATCTCATGTCAATTCCAAGACAACTTTATGAGGTAAATACAATTATTATCTTCCATTTACGGAGGAAGAAACAGACTTGGGAAGCTCTGAAACACCCCACTTTACAAACCTAGGAAGTGTGGGAACAAATCTAGCTTTGCCAGATTCTAGAGTTGTATTCTTAATCACTATGTTTCCATAGTTACTGCAGGACCAGCACAAGGCAGAGAATTTTAGTTTTTATGTGGCAGCAAATTTGGAGCCCAGGAGATTTTAATATTCATGACTTAAGAGTTTTATGACCGTGGTCTCTAGAAAGGTTTGGGGTTGGAAGAGTTATTCACCAAAGTACTCCGGAAATTAGCTAACTATGAAGGGACTAGTGCCTGAACTAAAGCAAAGCAAATAGGGGCAGAAAGCAGCAAAGGTTATAAGAAATATCCCAAAGAATATTCAGTAGAATGTGATGTCATACTATACTTTGTTTTTCAAAAGTGAATTAAATGAGGCCGCGCACGGTGGCTCATGCCTACAATCTCAGCAGTTGGGGAGGCTGAGGTGGGCAGATTACTTGAGGCCAGGAGTTCGAGACCAGGCTGGCCAACATGGCGAAATCCCGTCTCTACTAAAAATACAAAAAATTAGCCAGGCATGGTGGCACACACCTGTAATCCTAGCTACTCAGGAGGCTGAGGCACAAGAATTGGTTGAGCCTGGGAAGCAGAGGTTGCCGTAAGCTTAGATTGTGCCACTGCACTCCAACCTGTGCACAGAGTGAGACTCTGTCTCAATTAATTAATTAATTAATTAATTTAATTAAATGGTTGAGTCAAATGTAATTCTCAAATTAGAAAATTAAGTGATTTTTCAAAATATTGAGAACATTTATATAAACAGAGCACTTGGGAGAAACTAATAAATTTGGTTTAGCTATGTTAAGCTAGAAATTAAATCTATAACATGTTGAAATGTTAACATAACCCAATCAATCTTCAGTTTAAAAATAAATATGGGAAGTACAATAGTCAATGAGTAAACAACTAGAGTTGGAAATCCATGTTCTAGACACTGTTAGAAATAGAATGTGAAGATGATACAGAGAGTATAGTGAAGGAGAAAACCACATACATAAGTAATATAAAACAAAAAGAGAAAAGAACTACAATAGCGATATAAGCTACGGGACTTTAGAGATGCATCAGATTCACTCCTCCTGGGGAAACTGGTGAGAATCTAAGATGGGCTCTCAAAGATGGATTAAATGTCAAAGGATAGAGAAGGTGGGAAGGACATTTCCAGTGGAGTAAGCAGTGTCAGCAATTCTGAGTGACGGGCTCTCTAGGAGTAGCAATTAGTTCCAAAGACTGGAGCATAAGGTTCACGAGCAGGGGAGGAGAAAGGATACTAAAATATCAGCCTGGGGAAGTAGGTCGGAGCCAGATAATAGAGGGCCTTAAAGTCTATACCAAGAAGTTTACTTTGTTCAACAGCTAATGGAAAGTCATCAAAAGCTTTCAAACAGGGAGTGACATGTTCTTATGTGACTCATACTCTAATCTCTTATTTCCATAAATGAATATATGAATTTCATAAAATAAATGAAACTGCCTCATATCTCTCCCCATTCACTCTGCTTTTTATGGCAATCTTACCCTTGGGTAAATATTCCTAAATTATTTTGCATTTTTTTATGTTCTATACAATATTTCCAATTAGCCTTTTATCTAACCTGTAACCCTTTTTTTCCTTTCTGGTTGGAACCGAAAATATCATTAATCTCAACCAGGGATATCAACAAAAGAATTCTTCCTCTTTAAGTTTAGTCCTAAAGTCTATTTATGATACTCTACTAGTTTGACCCAGATGCCATTTGTAACTGGATGTGAAAAGAAAGAGGGCTTGCCCTGAATGCTTCGAGCAAGGCTTTCCTTTGGCAAATTCTTATATTATGGCATCTTTGGGTGCCCTGCTTCAAAGAACCCAGTTTCAGAGGAAAATGATCTGAAGAAGTCAAAATGCTTCTATTTCTTTCATAAAGATAGCCCTCCTGCTAAAAAATAAAAGAAATAAAATTTAGACAAAGTCCCCAGAAGTGATAACATCATTTAAAAACCTGTTCCAGTCTCTTTCACCCCATTCTACCAGAGACAGAAACAGAAACAAATGCTAGGAGCCAGACCTCTGAGTTTTCTCTCCAAAGTGGCAACAAAACAACTAACCAGAAAACAGTTTTATTTTATTATATTCTCAGCAATTTTATTCTAATTGTTAGTTAAAATTCTTCCTTTTGTCACATAAATGCATTCCACCATATCTCATCCTCAGTAAAACAAAGAGGGACAGAACCTCTCTTCCTGCCCTGCAATCTTCTGAATTGTATTCCTTTTTAATTCCTAAAGACTGCAAGCCAAAAATAAAATTCTGAAGACTGCTCACCAAAAATAAAATTCTAGACCCCCCAACCATCTGAAAGGACCCCTTCTTTCAGCAAGGGCATCCCAAAGCTAAACTGAAAAACTAGTTCAGGCCATTATAGGAAGGAGAGTCGGACATGCCTCATTCTACCCTCTTCCCTTTTGGAAATACTGATAGAACAGACTTAAAGTCTGATAAGAAACATTTACAATCTATTCCCTCTGAAGCCCGCTACCTGCTGGCTTCACCTGCATGAAAAAACCTTGGTCTCCACAACCCCTTATCTGAACCCAGACATTCCTAAGTGTTTGACCATAACTTAGCTCTTTCAGCCAATTGCCAACCAGAAAATCTTTGAATCTACCCATGACCTGAAAGGCCCCGCTTCCAGTTGTCCTGCCTTTCTGAACTGAGCCAATGTACATCTTACATTTATTTGATTGATGTCTCATGTCTCCTTAATATGTATAAAGCTAAGCTGTACCCTGACCACTTTGGGAACATGTTCTCAGGATCTCCTGAGGGCTGTGTCACAGGCCTTCGGTCACTCATATTTGGCTAAGAGTAAATCTCTTCAAATATTTTACACAGTCTGACTCTTTCCATCAACAAGACTAAGTGTTACATTTCGGCATTTTTCATATGATTAAAGAAATGTAGCCACATAGTATTTTATATTCTGTTCTTGTAGATACCAATACCAATCCATCCCCAAAAGAAAAAGGACCATAGAACACCGGCTTCCCACTTGTCCTTTTCTCCACATGAAATGCATGCTCCACCCTCAAATGCATGCTTACTGCACATGAATTCACTTGCCTCCATTAGTGGTCCTTCTTGGATAGGAGCCATGCTACAGGAACATGGAGGCCAAGGGGAAATGGAGAATCCGCACCTCTTCTAAGGGGAGTAGCTGCTATTCAGCTTAGTTTGGGAATAAGGTCTCAGTGTTGCTTGATCTTTCTATTTTTTTTTAATAAGAGAAGTGGGAATTCAAAAATATACTTATTTTACAAATATTAAAAACTAAAAATTTGAAAATGTTTGTAGGACGTTGTGTGGGCCAACATAGTCATGCTGAGGATCCCAGTCTGTGTACTCTGCACTAAGCTGTGATCTGGACTGAATAAGCAATCCAGAAAGAATGGCTTTCTTTCTCATCCAGGCATCATCAACTGAGCATATCTTTTTCTCCATCTTAAGGGGAAGATATCCTGATATTAGTATTAATAACATGGAAGAACCTGCTGTGGTTCTCTAGAAGTTTATTTGGTTTTTTTCTTTGGACTTCAAGATTCCACCTGGTTTCTGCTCTGAGATGGCATTTAGATACCTTAAGACCAAATATTATACTAGTATTGTCTTTTCTGCAGTTTCTTCAGTGCTATTTTTCCTGGACTTGGTGACATGGCAACTAAAGGAAGGGAAACCATCATTAAGCAGGTTTTAAGTCCTAATAGTCTGTTGTCCTTGCTTTCATCTAGGATTCCTATTTCTTTTATAAATTCTGTTCCCCTCCTCCCCTGAACTGCACCTCACAGGGCCTTCCTACCCCTTCATTTTTGCTCTGAAAAGAGATAAAGTGCTTCCTTGATGTCAGCAAAAGTAGAATAAAAATATCCTCAGGAAGCCTTACTAATTCGAGATACCTGAAATAATTTCTTACCTGTGTCTCCTAAGATCCCCAAAAACCCTGTTTCCCTTGGCAAAAAAAGAAAAAAGAAAAAAGAAAAAAAAACTTACACTGAGTCATATCCTACCGATCAAAAAGTTTGCTCCTGGAAGTGAATTAGGCAGCTTCCAAAAGTGAAGTAGCCTTTTCATCTGCATCATCCACCTTCAGTGGACTTTTCCCAGGGCAGCACATGTCCATAGCAGCAGACGCTCTGTAGGAGAGGAGACACTGGGTGTGTTCTGCTGCTTGACAAGCCATAATCCCATCTCGCCAGTTATAAGCAGGCATGGGCTTCTAGATGGTCTTCACGAAAATGTGCAGGAAATCCGGCATGATACCTAAGCTGTCACAAAGTCAGACACAAAGCTGTCACCGGAATGAAGAATAAACACTGACCATTACTTAGTAACTGCAAAGCATTTTTTGTTCTTTGTGCTTTTATGACAGTCTGGATTGATTTAAATTAGCCTTTCAGGACCTGTGTTCTCTGGCCCTGGTCTGTATCAGGTCACAGCTGCATTGAGTCATTTCCTCTCCAACTCTCTGTGAGATCTTCCCTTCAAAGCCTTGCAGGCCCTGGGTCACTCATGCAATGTGAATTATCTCGGCTCCCAAATGAATTTTTCTCGACTCCAAGACATACTCTTTACGGTGGTCTGATCATCAGGGCCTTTCTTTTGACCTGATTTCCTGTTCTCTACTTTTGCTTCCTTCACCTCTATAATCTGGTGGTTCCTGTCCATCTGGATTGGCTTCCCCTCTTGGCCTGCTTTAGAGACATCAGATTTGCTCAATTACTCCAGGCTCACCCCACTTCCTAAAGCAGAGCCCCCTTCTCCACTTTCTACTATTCACACCTTGGCATGTCATGGTCAAATCCAGGGGTTTGAAGACAATGCCATTTGGGGTCTGAAAGCTGACACCTGGCAGGCCGCAATTCTCTCTTGGCTGATATCCAAAGGATGCATCTGTCTTCTTGATCTAGTTTTTGCTTTTTAATAGTCCCCTTGCCTATCCTACTATCCTCTCCTGAAATCACTCTCATATTATTTTCTTATTTTAGATAATAGAAGATTTGCCTCTTTACTTGTAAATGTCTTTCTTTCTCAGTTCAGGCATTAACTCGTCATTTTGTTTTCTCCATTTTGAGAGTAAGATATCCTGATATTAATATTAATAACATGGAAGGACCTGCTACGGTTCTCTAGATTTTTATTTGATTTTCTTCTCTTGATTCCAATATTCAGCCTGATTTTCACTCTGAGATGGCATTTGGATAACTTCAGATGTTGTTTCCCAACAGGGAATACAAAGACTTCACAGGGACGGTCCTTGTTGGCTGCCGCTCTTACTAGGAGCCAGCCAGGTACCCTGTGCCCTTTCTTTTAGCTCATCGTTGGGCAGAGATTGGGCTCAGGGCTTGGTCTTGGGTTCTAAATCCCGACACTACCGTGGTGGCTCTATATAGCCTTGGTCAGTTTCCTCTTCAAGCTTCAGTTTATTCCTTCTAAAATGGGGATGATAATCCTAGGTACCTCATAGGGTTGTCATGAAGACTAAAGAAATGATATGTGTAAGGGATTTAGCGTAGAGACTGGCACATACTACATGATCCGTAATCACTATTTTTATTGTTATCCCCTTCACCTTTCAGGATCAGAACACAACATGATGCTTATCTGTGTTGGATGATATATGGTTCCCATCAGTAACGGCTGAACTGTGAATATTGATGCTTCCGATTTTACAACTGTTTCTTCTCCCCTTTCCTTAGAATCAAGGCATTTCCAAAGGTTCATCCACCACACACAGGAATCTGTTCTTCCTCTTAACAACTTTGTTTACAGGTCAATTGAAATAGCCAAAAGCTGATCTATGGCATATTTTAAAAGTTAGTTAGGAAGAAGTGCCATAAAATCTACGTTAGGCCCTTTATCCATCGGGGGGAGCGCTATTGCCCTGTGGAGTGAAAGCTGGTTTTGTTCACAGACAGTGGGCTCACACCAGATAGGGGCTGGGAGCTGTGGTCAACTGCACCAATGAAAAGATTCTTATGCTAATATTTTCCTTCCAAATGCATCCTGGAACTGGTCAAGACGTACCTCACCAAAGCCACTTTTTCCTCCTTTCTGCCCATGCCTGCCTCAGGAAATAGGTGAGTCAGGTTTTACTTGAGGAAGTGTTTGTTGTATTTCTGATTTTTCATGCCATTTTTTACATAGTTCTATATATTCAAACAAACAGAAAATCACAATAAGCTCTATCAGTAATTATTATTGGTGGATTTACTATTTGTAAGAAATATTAAAGCCATATGTTGAGACTTCTCCAGAGAGAAGTAACGGTAATTATCTTTACCATTTTATCTCTCTTTTCCAGAGAGATAAACATGGTATCTTACAAACTGCAAATAATCTCCAGAGAGATTATTTGGTATCGTAAGATACCATGTTTAAGCCATTTCATCAATATGAAATATAAACCTTAGGCAGTATTTAACCACAAAATAAATAAGCTTTTTAACTTTTAAGAAGTGGTCAGCTATATCTAGCTATGAATGAACAGATGAGTATATAATGAAAACAAATCACACTGCTTACAACATTCATGTATCTATTTCTGAAACACATTACAAATCTCCACTAAGAGCAGAGTACAGTTGAAAGAGATTCTCAGAGCATCACCACACTAGAGAGGTAGACGTGTGCAAAATCAGCCAAGGATAGAAGGAAAGAGGGTGTGGTACACAAGGAAGGAACCAAGTGAAGACAGAGAGGCAGGCAGCTGACCTCCATGTACTAAATTGCATCCCTAGGGGGGAGGCTGAACGAGGCCTCATTAAAATGCATAATCTCAGCAGTTCAGTTAAACAGATGAGAGCCTAGACAGGAGATGATCACTAAGACAGGGCCTCCATGACCCATGGGTAAGAGCCTCTTCTTAGATCTCATGTACTACGGAGAGAAAGCAACACCCAATTCTGGAGTTCCTCTTCCTTCCACATGCCTGTGAAGATTCAGACTCTTGTTGTAAGCCTCTAAACTCTTGCTGATTCTGTGTAGAGACCTAGTTCCAAATACATAGTTGATTCTCTGATTTCATCCAAGTTGTTGGTGCTGCTGTAATACTGCCTCCGTTGGCTGCTGGCAGCCTCCTAGTTCCAAACACATAATTGATTCTCTGGTTTCATCCAAGCTGTGATGCTCATGCCTGCAATATTACCTCCACTGGCCAGTGACAGCCTCCTGCCCATCCTCTGAGACTCAGCCCAGGGGTCATCTCCTTTGGCCTCTCCTTCTCTTTGCCCTGACCTCAGGTTCAGGGGCCCCTCATTCCACCTCTATGTCTCCCTGAGCTCCTTCTCTCATCTCCCGTGTTGTATACCTGTTATCTGTGTATTTGGGAGTGACATTCAAGATCTTTAACAACTGGAACAGCGCTGGCAGAGCCCTATCAGAACATAAGCCGGCTGTATCATACCAGTGCCAAACGGCCACCTGTCGGCCTGGGGTAAGGTGACTTTCACCCACAAGACAGTGAACTCTTTAAAAATAGGGCTGTGTTTTATTCATTGATATATCACCAGTGCCCAGAACATAGGAGATGTTTAATAAATGTTTGCGGATTGCTTGAAAAGTCTAAGGTTGACAAAGACAAGGCAAGGAGACACGGTAGCTTCCACCAGTTGTCTTCATATTTAATGCCCATACTTAAACCTCACTCTAGTTTCGTGTATCTGCATGATAGTCAAACTAGGCAAAATGTAAAAGAAAAAGAATATTCTGGGCTTCCATGAGTGAACCTTGAAGGGCCCTAAAGGTTTAGGTAATTAATTAAACATTTGTAAATTCTGGTCAGTTACAAAGTCTGTTACCTCCAAGAACAGTACTCCCTACTCACAGCTTCCAGAGCCCAGTATTTGTAAACCCATCTTTCTATGTTTTACTCAACACAAATTCTTACTACTTTTTAAAAATTTAACCAACTCAACAGATGACATTTTTAATGGCTGTTGAATTGTGATAAGCACCTCTTGCATTATTGAGAGTTAATTAGAAGAGCATAAGCTTATTTTAAGAATACATAACTGATGAAATTTGCTCCTGGGACACCGGAATTAAAGCAGGCTAGACAGTCTCTAGCAAAATCACACATCAGCCACACTCTCAAGGCATCAGTTATGCTGTGTGGACTCAGTACCAAATATCCCTTAGTTGAAGGTGATTCTAAGGACAGCACTCTAGTAAGTGTAGGATCTAAGGCTGCACTTGGTACTATGTGGGCTCCTCCACTAACATTTCCACCAACTTGGCTTTGTTTTATATTCCAGACCGGAGCATTCATAAATGGGGACTTGTGCTAAATACAATGTGTATTTCATTTTTTCCATTTTGTAAAATGTGCATGTAGTTTGTTATGGGATTTTAAAAAATTCCCAGAAGCACCATCCTATAGCAATAAAATGTTGTTTTAATCAAAAGCTTGGTTGTACTACATAACAAGGAAGTTCATAAAACCATTCAGTGTGAAGGTTTTTAACACTGTTGAAGAAGGAATTTTGCAGTTACAGAAAAGATTAAAGGAAAGGACTGTTTTGGTGAGCCCTAAAGCAAAACCATGGATCTTGTGATGAAACATACATTCTGCCATGACTGATTGTCACCAGAAAGGTTTTGAAGGCATATTACAGCACTGGATAAAATAAATCTATATCAAGCTATAGACAAAGAAGAGGGCTGGATGCTCACAGCTTGATGCTACACCATGACTCTCCAAGAGGCTCACTGGGCAAAGACTCAGGTTAGTTCTCCTGGCCTTGAGCTGGAGGGTGTTTTTTGTCCAGTAAATAGGGGCTGTGCTACCTCTTACAAAGCAAGCTTTATTGGGTAAATGAATGAATGATGAACCCAAATAAAGATTATTTTGGAGAACTCAGATGTAGACATGGAAAATTTCTTTGCTTTACAAGAGCTCACAAAGATAATTATATTCTATTCGCCTAACACATAGGGGAGCAGAAGTAATGAGCTTTCTTAAATGCTATTTCTCTGTAACACATTGCTGATGTCCTACATTTTACCATCATACACATCTTTTCAGGTAGTCTGTATTTCTATATGAAACATGGAACCCAAACAAATTGTTGCTATGAAGTGATCAGGGTGTAATATATCTTGAAATGGAAGGAAAGCTAGTATAATTCTAATTGTATAGATTTTAATAACTACATAGAGGTTTAATGTTATAATATAGTATATGTATCTTGAAGATCAAAATGTTTTAAGGATTAGTTTAAATATATAATTTTTCAAATTTGTCTTATCACTTCATTTTGTCCATTGTTGCAGAACTCAAGAGTTGTTGCAAATAAATAAATTTTTATAACCTGCATCTTAATAAATCATGCAAAATAGTTGACATTCAGTCATTATACAATTAACATGGACCCAATGAACCTGGTTCTATGAACAATGTCTAGACACAGTAAATGTTTAATGAAATTTGGTTGTTAGAAATTTATATCAGAAAAAAGTATCTATATGGGTTAACTTTAGCAATCATTCTATTCCTTTCGCTTGATCTCTGATGGATTAGAAGTCTATTAAATATCTCTACATTTTGCTTGACACAAGTGCATTGTAATTACAGCCATCAGGCCATCCTTAGCCATTTATTATTTTCATTTACTAAAACAGTCTCTACGATGATGACACCCTGTGGGATTAGGAATCTAATGGAAACAAAAATCTTGAAAAAGTGAAGATTGCAGGGTAAGACCCCTCATCAGAACAGTATCTTAAGAATGAAAAGGTAAGCTAGTGTAGGAAAAGTGAATCCTCAGGGACGCTAAGGAGGGAGCCTTCCTCCCAGCAGTGTTGCCATACCTAGCACCAGCTTTCTTTCATCTTGCTTTTATATCCCCCACTGCATCATCATAGTTATCTAGAGACCTCACCAG
The DNA here is from genome assembly GCF_000001405.40 of Homo sapiens. Lineage (NCBI taxonomy): Eukaryota > Metazoa > Chordata > Mammalia > Primates > Hominidae > Homo > Homo sapiens. The sequence goes on along the minus strand of NC_000005.10, from coordinate 57,483,037 downwards.
GCAGGCTGACGGTCATGTGTGGGTTGCCTAATTACAGGAACCTGAGATTTGACCACTTGGCAGCCAATTTTCTCTTTATGTAGAAAGATCTAATTGTTTATGTAATCATCACCATCATTAATACCTCAGAGATGACCTCATCCAGAAATGCTGGGAACTGGTGGAGTAGGACATGGGCGGAGTCAGTGTGTTCCTTTAAATACCTGTGGTCCCGGTGCAGCCTCCCGTGTCTGAAAGCATTTCTGGAGTGTTTTAGGCCTGTTCACTTTCTCTTACTCACTGTCTATTCACTTGTCCTGTTCACTCGTCTGGAAGATCTCAGCCAGCACCATGACTGACAATGAGCTGTCTGCCTTGGTAGTGGATAATGGGTCAGGGATGTGCAAGGCAGGCTTTGGTGGTGACGATGCCCCCCGGGCTGTGTTCCCCTCCATGATAGGGCGTCCTCGACACCAGGGCGTTATGGTAGGCATGGGCCAGAAGGACTGCTACGTGGGAGATGAGGCTCAGAGCAAGAGAGGCGTCCTGACCCTGAAGTATCCTATCGAGCATGGAGTGGTCACCAACTGGGACGATATGGAAAAGATCTGGTACCACACATTCTACAATGAGCTCCGTGTGGCACCAGATGAGCATCCCATCCTCCTCACCGAGGCACCCCTGAACCCCAAGATCAACCGGGAAAAGATGACTCAGATCATGTTCGAGGCTTTCAACACACCAGCCATGTATGTCGCCATCCAGGCTGTGCTGTCCCTCTATGCCTCAGGACGGACCACAGGCATCGTGATGGATTCTGGGGATGGGGTCACTCACATCGTGCCCATCTATGAAGGTTATGCCCTGCCTCATGCCATTCTACGCCTGGATCTGGCAGGGAGAGACCTGACTGATTACCTCATGAAGATCCTGACAGAGCGAGGCTATAACTTCACCACCACTGCTGAGCGGGAGATTGTGCGAGATGTCAAAGAGAAGCTGTGCTACGTAGCCCTGGACTTTGAGCAGGAGATGGTCAGGGCAGCCGCATCCTCCTCACCGGAACGGAGCTATGAACTTCCTGATGGGCAGGTGATCACCATTGGGAATGAACGCTTCCGATGCCCTGAAGCCATTTTCCAGCCTTCCTTTCTGGGCATTGAGTCCAGTGGGATCCATGAGACAACCTTCAACTCTATCATGAAGTGCGATGTGGATATTCGCAAGGATCTCTATGCCAACACCGTGTTATCTGGAGGGAGCACCATGTACCCAGGCATTGCTGACAGGATGCAGAAAGAAATCATAACCCTGGCACCCAGCACCATGAAAATCAAGATCATAGCTCCCCCAGAGCGGAAGTATTCTGTTTGGATTGGGGGCTCCATCCTTGCCAGCCTGTCCACATTCCAGCAGATGTGGATCAGTAAGCAGGAATATGATGAGGCTGGTCCTCCTATCGTTCACAGAAAATGTTTCTGAATGGGCTTCCATATTAGTGGGCTTACATTTTCCCTTTTCCTAGGTCACAGTGATGGTACTGCTTTTATCCGCTTTCAGTAGAATCGAGGTAAATACGTCACTCTTCCTAGTGTAAACCAGCAAACCCATCTCTCCATCCAAGTAACCTGGGCTCTTACCCAGATAACCACATCCGGTTCTCCATCAAGTGAAGGTGAATTCTAATACCATATTCCTTTTTCTTTGCCTATACTGTTCAAAGATAGGTAGGCCAGCTTAAATACATATAAGTGACAAGGAGTAAAATCACGAGAAATGTCATTTCAGAATGGATAACTATAATTATCAAGCTTTAAAACTTAGTTCTCGCTAAAATATTTAACAAGAACAGGCTGTATAAACTTGTTTAAAAAAAAAAGGTGCGTATGCATTTAGCAGCCGTGTCTTACTAGTTAAGTATCTTTGTTTTGTTTACTTCTTTGTATGGAGATAATGAATTATAAAGTTCAATAATATCCATATATACATAAGCACCAGGGAAATAAAATATATTGTGAAATATGCTGATGTATCTAGCTATCTGAACAGCTAATGTGAATTTCTTTACTCCCAAAAGTCATCGTTGTACTAGGTACATATTTTAATTGTTTCCCTTACTAAATAAGCATAATGAGACAGCCACCATTCCATTAATGTTTATAAATCATCTAAATTTTCAGCTCATAGTGGAGTTCTGCTGGTCAAATTATATTTTAATATCTTTCTTACTGAACCTTCTCATACCAAAACTACAGACAATGTCTAATTCTTAAGAGAGATAGATATTATAATATCAAATTAATGTCATTATGGTACAATTTGACAGAGGTAATTTTATTTCTATTTCTTAGTGTAATAGCACATCTTAAATAATTTCTGTAGACCAGGATTACAGATACTTCTCTTGTGCAAGGATTTCACTGTGGGAAAATATAGCTGCAGCATCTTTATTAATTATACATTTTACTACCAGTATACTAACACAGTTTTATCCTTGGAAAGCTTTTAGAATAATTCTACTTTATTATGTCCAGTAACTAGCAATACTTATTTATGCAAAGTGTCTCTGAGATACTAACATCTTTGAAAATATCAATGTATGTTCCTATAATGTCTAAAATATTTTAGTTACTCCAGTGATGATTTATTAACCAATTTTAAGTACCAGTATGTTTATTCCAATCTATGCAGTGATTTCTGAATATTTGGATATCAGCATTATTTGTATTTTTCAGGGTAATTTCTGAAAATTTAAAATATTTATTTGGATTGCTTATTCAGGCATTATAAGGTACTCTGGAGGAAGGAATCACTTCTCTTTTTTTCTTAGTTGGGAAACTTGTACTTATGTTATAAATCTTTAAAATGGAATCAGTAAGAATTTTTTGTTTAAGGTAATACTTTTCAAATAATTTGATTATTCCTTATTGGCTTTATCTGACAACATAATCTTTAAAATGCATGTAACCAAAATTAATCTCCAAAAACACTTTATTTTATATAACTTGCTTTCAGTACATTAAAATTGCTTCATACTTGTATACTTAGATTTCCTGTTATTTCTCCTCAACCATTCCCTTAGAATTAGAGAATGATCCAGATAGCATCTCTTTTTATATGTGTGACCTATTCATCTGTATGTTACAATTTTGCACCTCATACATTTAATCATGTAAACATTAAAAGGCAAATTTTAAAAAAAGGATAGCTAGCCATTTAACATTATATAGATGTCTCATAATCTAAATTTTAAAGCTGGGTTTTACTGGATGAACTGATCTTCAGGTAATTAATAGGCAGAGACAACATCAACAATAATAATCATAATATTTTGGATTTATATGCTGCAATGCATTCCATTTGCAGAGTGAGTAGTTCTCACAAACATTCTGACCTGCATTCTGAATTACCAAAAAAAAAAAAATATGACTTCCCACCCACAGACTATAAATGGGACAGGTAATGTGAACTTACAAGAGAGTGAGCTATAGAGCCCCACAACATTAGGTGAAAATATGAGCCCCATAATGCAAACTACGCATTATAAATCTTGAATTACTGTGGTAATTTAAGAGTTTATTATATATAAAATCTACAATTTCTAGATAACAAGTTGGTAAAATGCCAGAAACTTAAACCTAGAGTTGTGGGATATTCTTCTCTTTATCAACATTGACTGACTTATGGATGAGTTTAATGAAGAAACAGCCTGTTTCACAACTTTATATTTTAGAATCAAAGAATGACATCTACATAGGTAATACGATTAACATGCTATTCATGTATCATTAGCCTGGCTCATCAACCAAGTTATTTAGAGAACTTTATATAAATATAGGGTCCCTGGCCCTGGGCTCAGAGCAGTGGGTCTAGAATGAGCACTAAAAATCTGAATGCACAGCCAACTAGAGGAATTACAGCTCCACAGAATTCAAAATCCCAGCACATTACAGGCTCCATGGACAGGAAAGGTCTCCAGACACTTGCTTCATCCATCTTCCTCTGAGGATGAGACATCACTGAAGCAGCCTTCTCAGATTAATTTCATACCTCTGTAAATGATTTTCATTCTCCCTCTGTGATGCCTCCTGAGTAGCAATATAAGGCCAGGGCTGTATCACAATTCCCTGCACACTGTTATTTCCCAATCACAGGTAATATTTTTCTGAAAACATGACTGATCCAATGCCAGTTCCGACACTCTTCTACTCTTCTTTCCTAACATATAAATGTGCTTATTTTTCAATAGTGAGCTACAGTAGTCCTGGGATACAGGTTGAACTATACCCTATCTAGATATGCAATGCACAATTCTGTAATACAGAGGGCCTAAATATGAGTATTACATTATCCAGGCAATCAAAGGATAATCCTTTGGGTGACAAGGACTTTGCCATATTTGTTCACTCATTACACAATTATTAATTCAATGTCCTATGCCAGACTGTGCTTAAAGAACAAGTTGTACTAAACACAAAAACTTTTCTTAAGTGTCTCAGGCAGCATTATGATCACTAATTATTGGGGCTGGTATGGTGATTAATTCTTATTTTGAATACTTCCATTGGACTGTACCAGAAACTCATTTTAAAAATGTGAAACAAAAAAAGTTCACAATTTTAAAGGCTCATTTCAAAAGGATCCTTCGAAAGTCTAGAAAAGGATCCCCTCTTCCAAGAAAAAGTGACAACTCCTCCCTTGAATCCCTACTGTATTGCTTACATGCATACAGCCTCATAAACACATCGCAAACATGTGTCCACCATTCCCATCCCCAATATCATCAATATGCACCTGGGGGACAGAGACGGGGACAGTATTTATTCCCCCTTTGAATCCTCCAGCCTTTTCCTAGTGCCAGGTACATCATATTGATAAACCTGATTTGAATTAACAAGTTAGTGAGTTCATGGATTCTGATGTACCTTGTGAACCCAGTTCTGCATTGTCTATTTTTTACCAATCTATTCTCAGCTTCTGGTCTGTTAGCATCTGTTCCTGGTCTGTTAGCATCTGTTTTGTTGGTAGAATATTTCCTCTGAAGCATATTTTCTCTTTTTCCTTTCTTCCTCTCTTTTCTTTCCTTTTCCGTCCACTTCTCCCATGCATCTCAACATGTAGAGCTGGATTTTATTTTTTCCCCATCATAATGTTATTTGTTCCATAGTCAAAATTATCATTAACATCATTTTTTAACAAGACATGGGATTTTATTAAGAGCTTACATACAGGAAAGAGAGTCCAGCAGCAGTGGGCTAGACAGGAGAACTGCCTTACATACAGAAATGGTCTAGTGGTGGCAGGCTGGAGAAGATACCCACCTTCCATACAGTATAGTGGTGGCGGGCTGGACAACATAACCACACAGCCCAGACTAACATCATTTTAATACCACTCATTTATCTTAACTCTGATCTTCTCATGTGGTTTCTTTATTTTAACTTTTATTTTAGAGTCAGAGGGTACATGCCTCTGACACAGGTTTGTTACCTGGGTATATTGCATGATGCTGAGATTTGGGGTACAAATGAGCCCATCACCCAGGTACTGAGTATAGTACCCAGTAGCTTTTCAAACTTTGTATCCTTTCCCCCCTCCAGTAGGCCCCAATTTCAATTGTTGCCTCCTTTATGTCCATGAGTACCCAATGGTTAGCTTCCACTTATAGGTGAAAACATGAAGTATTCGGTTTTCTGTTTCTACATTAATTTGCTTTGGATAATGGCCTCCAGCGGAGCTGGGTTCTAATAGTCTTTCACTTGTCCATAAAATTTGTTATTCTTCTGATTGGTCAAAGGATCATCAACCTCATCTTTTGGAACGTGTGCCATCTATGTGGCTGCTGAAATTTAGAAGGAAGAAAGAGAAAGATTTAGAGAGAGAGAGAGGGACAGAAATGAAAGAAAAGGGGAGAAAAAGAAAGAAAGGCTTTCACAGAGTACAGTAGTATATTCAGCTCTTTTAATCTGTCTGCATTCTTGCTGATATTTTTCTCTTTTTGCTAAGCTCCAATTGCTCTAGAGTTGACAGTTTCAGATATCTGACTAACAATTCAGACATTATAATACATTAAAAAGTGTGCCTTTCTGGTAACTATTCACAGGCTCCTTTCAAAGTTTACAAAAGATTCCTTTCAAAAAATGTTTGAAGTTAGGAACTAAGCATGTGGTTTGCCCAGTACTGCTTCCAGATGTTGATAAGTACAGCTGGAATGTCTTTAAAGATATATATGTGTATATCAGTAGACAGACTACTCATTAAAATTAATTTATACTTTAAGACTTCCTTTTTAAATGTAAAAGGAACTGTTTGAGTTATAACTGTAATTTAAAAAAAAAACTAATCCCATAAGTAATGAAGACTCTAGAGCCTCCTCAAGTTTTCCTGCTTTGTTTTTCATCCTATTCCAAATCTGATGTCCTAACCACCTTATAATTTTAAGTTCAGTTATATCTATTCAACAGATGTTCCAGTATGATATGATGACAGAAATTTTATCTAGACAACACCATAACACTGCTTTAAAAATGGAAAAATCTTATTTAATTGGCTATTTGACAATATATGTTAAAATGCAAGTTACTCTCTCCAGGATTTGGAATGAGACATTTGTAATCATACATATACTAAATGACACTGTCTGGTTCAAAAGAAACAGAAACACAGAGCCAACCCAGCAAGAAGGATGAAAGTTTCTGCTCATGTCCCCTTTGTGGGTGTATTGCAGTAAGAATAGCTTTTTTAGCCACTTTATAAGTTGAGAGGGAACAGGCAAAGCCAGACACCAATATGATATTTTAACATGGCTCCTTCTCTCCCACCGCATATTCTCTGTGACCCACTCAAATGTCCCTGAATATCAGCCCTTCTTATAGTAGAGAAATATTAGTTTGGTGCAAAAGTAATTGCAATTTTTGCCATTAAAAATAATGTAGCTACTCGACATTGTTTATTTTTTTTCCATAGTTGGCTGTCAAAGGAAAAGCTGGCCTCACCAGTAAAGACAAAGTCATGTACTTCAGTGGAAATGCTGTGATCTTCTAATGCAGTCCACCATGTTCATAATGGAAGTTTTCCACAGAAATATAAAGTTTTCATAAATCTTGAATTATTCTGGTAATTTGAGAGCTCATTACATGTGAAATCTATGATTTCTAGATAATGAGTTGGTAAAATGCCAGAAGAAATGTAGAACACACCCTTATTTTTTACAAAAATGGCATTTATTCAATGATGAGAATCAAAATATTATATCTTTGGCTAAATTAGTCAATTTTATCAAAATGGAAGAAATTATAAGCAGTAAAATCAAGACAAAATGTACAATTTTAATTGGAGAATTTAGTCCATTTACATTTAAAGTTAATATTGTTATGTGTGAATTTGATCCTGTCATTATGATGTTAGCTGGTGATTTTGCTCGTTAGTTGATGCAGTTTCTTCCTAGTCTCGATGGTCTTTACAAATGTAAATGGACTAAATTCTCCAATTAAAAGACACAGACTGGCAAGTTGGATAAAGAGTCAAGACCCATCAGTGTGCTGTATTCAGGAAACCCATCTCACGTGCAGAGACACAAATAGGCTCAAAATAGAAGGATGGAGGAAGATCTACCAAGCAAATGGAAAACAAAAAAAGGCAGGGGTTGCAATCCTAGTCTCTGATAAAACAGACTTTAAACCAACAAAGATCAAAAGAGACAAAGAAGGCCATTACATAATGGTAAAGGGATCAATTCAACAAGAGGAGCTAACTATCCTAAATATATATGCACCCAATACAGGAGCACCCAGATTCATAAAGCAAGTCCTGAGTGACCTACAAAGAGACTTAGACTCCCACACATTAATAATGGGAGACTTTAACACCCCACTGTCAACATTAGACAGATCAACGAGACAGAAAGTCAACAAGGATACCCAGGAATTGAACTCAGCTCTGCACCAAGCGGACCTAATAGACATCTACAGAATTCTCCACCCCAAATCAACAGAATATACATTTTTTTCAGCACCACACCACACCTATTCCAAAATTGACCACATACTTGGAAGTAAAGCTCTCCTCAGCAAATGTAAAAGAACAGAAATTATAACAAACTATCTCTCAGACCACAGTGCAATCAAACTAGAACTCAGGATTAAGAATCTCACTCAAAGCCGCTCAACTACATGGAAACTGAACAACCTGCTCCTGAATGACTACTGGGTACATAACGAAATGAAGGCAGAAATAAAGATGTTCTTTGAAACCAACGAGAACAAAGACACAACATACCAGAATCTCTGGGACGCATTCAAAGCAGTGTGTAGAGGGAACTTTATAGCACTAAATGCCCACAAGAGAAAGCAGGAAAGATCCAAAATTGACACCCTAACATCACAATTAAAAGAACTAGAAAAGCAAGAGCAAACACATTCGAAAGCTAGCAGAAGGCAAGAAATAACTAAAATCAGAGCAGAACTGAAGGAAATAGAGACACAAAAAACCCTTCAAAAAATCAATGAATCCAGGAGCTGGTTTTTTGAAAGGATCAACAAAATTGATAGACCTCTAGCAAGACTAATAAAGAAAAAAAGAGAGAAGAATCAAATAGACACAATAAAAAATGATAAAGGGGATATCACCACCGATCCCACAGAAATACAAACTACCATCAGAGAATACTACAAACACCTCTACGCAAATAAACTAGAAAATCTAGAAGAAATGGATACATTCCTCGACACATACACTCTCCCAAGACTAAACCAGGAAGAAGTTGAATCTCTGAATAGACCAATAACAGGAGCTGAAATTGTGGCAATAATCAATAGTTTACCAACCAAAAAGAGTCCAGGACCAGATGGATTCACAGCCGAATTCTACCAGAGGTACAAGGAGGAACTGGTACCATTCCTTCTGAAACTATTCCAATCAATAGAAAAAGAGGGAATCCTCCCTAACTCATTTTATGAGGCCAGCATCATTCTGATACCAAAGCCAGGCAGAAACACAACAAAAAAAGAGAATTTTAGACCAATATCCTTGATGAACATTGATGCAAAAATCCTCAATAAAATACTGGCAAACCGAATCCAGCAGCACATCAAAAAGCTTATCCACCATGATCAAGTGGGCTTCATCCCTGGGATGCAAGGCTGGTTCAATATACGCAAATCAATAAATGTAATCCAGCATATAAACAGAACCAAAGACAAAAACCACATGATTATCTCAATAGATGCAGAAAAAGCCTTTGACAAAATTCAACAACCCTTCATGCTAAAAACTCTCAATAAATTAGGTATTGATGGGACGTATTTCAAAATAATAAGAGCTATCTATGACAAACCCACAGCCAATATCATACTGAATGGGCAAAAACTGGAAGCATTCCCTTTGAAAACTGGCACAAGACAGGGATGCCCTCTCTCACCGCTCCTATTCAACATAGTGTTGGAAGTTCTGGCCAGGGCAATCAGGCAGGAGAAGGAAATAAAGGGTATTCAATTAGGAAAAGAGGAAGTCAAATTGTCCCTGTTTGCAGACGACATGATTGTTTATCTAGAAAACCCCATCGTCTCAGCCCAAAATCTCCTTAAGCTGATAAGCAACTTCAGCAAAGTCTCAGGATACAAAATCAATGTACAAAAATCACAAGCATTCCTATACATCAACAACAGACAAACAGAGAGCCAAATCATGAGTGAACTCCCATTCACAATTGCTTCAAAGAGAATAAAATACCTAGGAATCCAACTTACAAGGGATGTGAAGGACCTCTTCAAGGAGAACTACAAACCACTGCTCAAGGAAATAAAAGAGGATACAAACAAATGGAAGAACATTCCATGCTCATGGGTAGGAAGAATCAATATCGTGAAAATGGCCATACTGCCCAAGGTAATTTACAGATTCAATGCCATCCCCATCAAGCTACCAATGACTTTCTTCACAGAATTGGAAAAAACTACTTTAAAGTTCATATGGAACCAAAAAAGAGCCTGCATCGCCAAGTCAATCCTAAGCCAAAAGAACAAAACTGGAGGCATCATGCTACCTGACTTCAAACTATACTACAAGGCTACAGTAACCAAAACAGCATGGTACTGGTACCAAAACAGAGATATAGATCAATGGAACAGAACAGAGCCCTCAGAAATAACGCCGCATACCTACAACTATCTGGTCTTTGACAAACCTGACAAAAACAAGAAATGGGGAAAGGATTCCCTATTTAATAAATGGTGCTGGGAAAACTGGCTAGCCATATGTAGAAAGCTGAAACTGGATCCCTTCCTTACACCTTATACAAAAATCAATTCAAGATGGATTAAAGATTTAAACGTTAGACCTAAAACCATAAAAACCCTAGAAGAAAACCTAGGCATTATCATTCAGGACATAGGCGTGGGCAAGGACTTCATGTCCAAAACACCAAAAGCAATGGCAACCAAAGCCAAAATTGACAAATGGGATCTAATTAAACTAAAGAGCTTCTGCACAGCAAAAGAAACTACCATCAGAGTGAACAGGCAACCTACAACATGGGAGAAAATTTTCGCAACCTACTTATCTGACAAAGGGCTAATATCCAGAATCTACAATGAACTCAAACAAATTTACAAGAAAAAAACAAACAACCCCATCAAAAAGTGGGCGAGGGACATGAACAGACACTTCTCAAAAGAAGACATTTATGCAGCCAAAAAACACATGAAAAAATGCTCATCATCACTGGCCATCAGAGAAATGCAAATCAAAACCACTATGAGATATCATCTCACACCAGTTAGAATGGCAATCATTAAAAAGTCAGGAAACAACAGGTGCTGGAGAGGATGTGGAGAAATAGGAACACTTTTACACTGTTGGTGGGACTGTAAACTAGTTCAACCATTGTGGAAGTCAGTGTGGCGATTCCTCAGGGATCTAGAACTAGAAATACCATTTGACCCAGCCATCCCATTACTGGGTATATACCCAAAGGATTGTAAATCATGCTGCTATAAAGACACATGCACATGTATGTTTATTGCGGCACTATTCACAATAGCAAAGACTTGGAACCAACCCAAATGTCCAACAATGATAGACTGGATTAAGAAAATGTGGCACATATACACCATGGAATACTATGCAGCCATAAAAAATGATGGGTTCATGTCCTTTGTAGGGACATGGATGAAATTGGAAACCATCATTCTCAGTAAACTATCACAAGAACAAAAAACCAAACACCGCATATTCTCACTCATAGGTGGGAATTGAACAATGAGATGACATGGACACAGGAAGGGGAATATCACACTCTGGGGACTGTGGTGGGGAGGGGGGAGGGGGGAGGGATAGCATTGGGTGATATACCTAATGCTAGATGACGAGTTAGTGGGTGCAGCGCACCAGCATGGCACATGTATACATATGTAACTAACCTGCACAATGTGCACATGTACCCTAAAACTTAAAGTATAATTAAAAAATAAATAAATAAATAAATAAAATAAAATAAAAAAAGTACAATTTTAAAATTTTGATGGACTCAGAGAAACAAAAGTTGATGTAGAGAAAGGAAATTTTATCAATGAAAAAGATGGTAAAATACCAATTAAAAACAAAATTCTTGTGCAACCAAACTTTAGATCTTATTCCTTCTATCTAACTATATTTTTGTACTCACTAACCATCCCCTCTTTATCTGCACTCTTTCCTACCACCCTTCCCAGCCGCTGGTAACCATCATTCTACTATCTCCATGAGTTCAGTGTTTCCTAGCTTCCACACATGAGTGAGAACATGCAATATAGTTAACGGTAATTTAGCGTATATCTCAAAAGAACTAAAAGAGTGGAATTGGAATGTTCCTGACACAAAGAAATGATAACTGCTTGAGGCGATAGATATCCCAATTACCCTGATTTGATCGTTATATATTAAATGCTTGTATCAAAATATTACATGTACCCCACAAAAATGTGTTACTATTATGTGTCCATGATAATTAAAAATGCTTTCTTAATTCTTTATTTTTACCTGATCTCAGTAGCACTTACTCATTACTTTCATATTTGAGTCACTGTAGCCAAAATCTGTAGCCAGTCTGCTTGACTGCTCCTCAAACATTGCCCCGACAAAGGAATTCTTCATAGGGTCAAGTATGTAGGATGAATATAGTAGATACTGATTGATTCATTTTTGTTTTTGTCTTGATTTTTAGCTAACCAGCAACTTAATGCCCTTTTTATTGACAAGAATTTCCTTTAATTCCCTTTTGTGTGAACCTTGATGGGAGGCAAGCCCCTGAGTTGCACTTGTTCATTATCAGCTAGAACTTAGGCTCAGCCTATCAGATACTCTATTCTGAGATTTTCAATACTTAGAATCTGACAAAGTGATGCAAATTTGCAGGAACTGTTGAGAAATTACTCATGCATTTTGTGACACAGGAACTCATCAGTGACGATGGCATGGTCCCATAATAGAGTCCTAACCAGACTATTGCTTTGGCACAACTTAAGCTAATTTTCTTTTTGGTTTCTGTCCATTTCCCAAGAATGGAATCTGTGAGCTATTCATTATTCCTTCAAAAATATTTTTTCCTGCTTAAGCTATCTAAAGGCAATTTCTGCTGCATGCAATTAAGTATGTTGACTGAAACATATTTTGGTACCAGGGAATGGAATTGTAGATAACAGACCCTTAAAGAATTGGGCAATTCTAGGATTGGTCATCTGGCTCAATTCAGGCTAATGGCAGTTAAAAAAAAAACCCACTAGCATTCATTAAGGGGAATCTTACAGCTCATGGCAAACAGGAGAGAAATTGCTCATTAAAATATCTCCTGGGATCACTTAAAATAAAACACTTTTGGGGGTCAAGGCTGTGGGGAATAAAGCTTTCACTGTCATTGAACAGTATAAAGGATATGAGTAATTTCATGTTGAAGAATGGATGGCTGCCTTCACTGACTCCAACCAGCTTAAAAGAGAGTATAACAAAGTTAAATTCCTACACATATCTCAAAGCACACACTGAGCTAAAAGAATCTTTTATCTCTTAGAGACATAGGGCTGAGTACCTAAAAAACAAACTTCATTGATTGAATTCACAGCTTCACTAGGACTTTCATTTTAAATTTAGGGCAAAGATGGAAAAGAATGAGACCCCAAGAACCGGAGTGGCTATTTAGGAGAATTTGAGAATCTGGAGATCCCAAACATCCAGCCCTGCCCCTTTGAAGCCAAAGCAGCCTCTTTTTCCTCATTTGATGAAAGCTTTATCATTTGGTTGCACACCTAAAACAGCCTTACCTAATGGAAGGTCCTGAAAACGAACAGCTAATTTTAACAGTTAGGGTCCTTGTAAGTAAAATAGAGAATACTCAGAGGGTTTTAACTGAAGAAAATTTAATTAAAGAATGTTTACAGAGGTCTAGACAGGATTAAGGAATCAATAAGGTATGATGAGACATAACAGCAAGAATCCATTATCATCTCTAAGCTTGAAGGATTAAGAAAAAGGAGAGGTGCGATCATAGCCCAGCAAGAATGTCAGAGAAGAGGAGCTATGGCCATAAAGGAATACAGTCCCAGCCAGGACCCTGGCAAAAGAAAAACAAAGAAGAGAAAATAAAATCCCTGACCTCTGCCCTCCTTCACTCCCCAACAATTTCACTGGGGTATCCCATTGGTCTAAACCCAGTAAGAAGCCAGAGATCAAGGGAAGCCAGGTGATGTAGTTCTTAGAGGTCAGCATACAAAAGGACAGAGCAAAACAGGGTCTTTATTTGCAGTCATGCAAACAATGGATAGGTCTGGAAAAATACAAGAGGTATCTTGTAAGCTAAATCTGGTGGTAATTCAAAATGCGGCTATTACTCTAGACATAGATTTTATTTGCTACTTATTGGAGCAAATTAGTAAATTCCCTGTAGCTATTAACATAGTTAATAGTTTTTCTCTGGGATAAAAAAATAACTTTTTAGAAATTTGCTTTTACCTGGTATGGACATAGATAACTTTACCATCTTGCTGCAGTTTTAAGACAATTGCCCAATTCTGTAGTACAATTCAGTGTTCAATGACTGTCTCATAATGCCAGAGGACATCATAGTGGTTTACATCATACTTTGGAATCTACAGAGCAGAATGTATTGTGTAACTTCAGCAAATCTTACTAAGAGTGCAATGGATAAATCTCACAAAAATACAAAACAAGGGTTTTACTTCAGGCAACTTTTTTTTTTGAGGGAGGAGGATGGAAATTAGGATATATTTTTAGACGATAGGCTCCAAATAACAAAATGCTATCACCTTTGAGTGATAATTTCTCCAATGGATTTAGGCTACATTGAAAGCCATTCTGGGACTTGACCCTTACAACCCAGCAAATGCGAAATTTCTCAACAATTCTGTGGTAGGTGGAGTTACTCAATAGAGTTGGGAAGCATCCCCTAGGGCAGGAGTTCAGCAGCATCCCTTACGGCAGGGGTCCCCAAACCTTGGGCCACAGTACTACTCTGTGGCCTGTTAGGAACCAGGCTGCACTGCAGGAGGTGATCGGTGGGCTAGAGAAGCTTTATCTGTATTTACAGCCGCTCCCCATCACTCATATTTTCACCTGAGCTCCACCTCCTGTCAGATCAGCGGCTGCATTAGATTTGTAGGAGGGCGAACCCTATTGTGAACTGCACCTGGAAGGGATCTAGGTTGCACGCTCCTTAGCTCCTTATGAGAATCTAGTTCCTGATGATCTGTCACTGACTCCCATCACCCCCAGATGGGACCATTTAGTTGCAGAAAAATGAGCTCAGGACTCCCACTGATTTTACATTAATGGTAACTTGTATAATTATTTCATTATATATTACAATGTAATAATAATAGAAATAAAGTGCACAATAAATGTAATGTGATTGGGTCATCTCAAAACCACTCCCCCACCCCCCAGTCTGTGGAAAAATTGTCTTCCACAAAATCGTGGTGCCAAAGCATTTGGGGAGTACTGCCCTACAGTTTTAAAGCGACGCATTACCCATTTCGACAAACAACTATACTTCTCTTAAGAACGAGTTCTTAAGCCAGGAGCAGCGTCTCACACCTGTAATCCCAGCACTTTGGGATGTGGAGGTGGGTGGATCACAAGGTCAGGAGTTCGAGATCAGGCTGACCAAAATGGTGAAACCCCGTCTCTACTAAAAATACAAAAATTAGCCAGGCATGGTGGCACACACCTGTAATCTCAGCTACTCAGGAGGCTGAGGCAGGAGAATCGCTTGAATGAGGCGGAGGTTGCAGTGAGCTGAGATTGCAACACTGCACTCCAGCTTGGGTAACAGAGCGAGACTCTGTCCCAAAAACAAAAGAAAACAAACAAAAAAGAGTTCTTGAATTGCTATTGAGTATAGGTAGAGATTGACTATGTCATCTTAACATGTAACTTGCAACCTGAACTACTTATTATAAACTGGTTAACCTAGCCGTAAAAACTACCATGCCAGCAGCACTCCATAATCAGGTCGTACTAATTTCAGGCTGAGACTGAGTAAATTCTGAAGGTATAAATAAGTTGCACAGACAGATTGCTCACATCCAACCCACATAAGTCCCCATTTTTTACTGGTAGGTCACAGTGGTAGTGTATGTTTCCAGGAATTAATGTTAACTTAGAACCAGTATCCAACAATCTCTGAAACATATGCCTGTAGTATACAGTTACCCTTGTAAATGGTGCAGGGTATTCATATTTAAATTCACACATGCAACTTCATGAGGAGTTGCCTATAATCAGTCGTCTAAGGCGTAAAAAAAAAAGCAAGCCAGACTTACAGAGAGATGCCAGCAACCAGAAACAGATTCTGCAGTGTTCAAACCCAGCCACAGCAATAGGCTGGGAGAGCAGAGAAGGGGGTCATCCTAGCAGGCAGATCTGCAATCAGTGCAGGGTTTTTTTCCACTTTAACTTTGAGGTAAGAATTTACATTAGTTTCAGGGCAGTGGCTAACAAATAAAGGAAATAAAATTGAGAATGATTGACAAAGAAACTTAAAGGGGAGACATGAAGGAGAACTCGGAAAGGGAAGTATTCGTATCTCATGTGAATGCATTCTCAACAGACCTTACTGTGGAGGAGACTTAATAATCACATCGACCTACTGCTGGACTGTCAGTCTTCTTTCTCAGATGTTCAAGTGCCTGAGCAGTGAGTTCATAAATAAAAAAGCCACGATAGAACAGTGCAGAATATGCAGAGGACCTACACCACAGGCTCACACTGCCCAAGGCTACTCTGGCTGCTTCCACAGCTGAGTGCCAGCTTTGCTAACATAAGCGACCAGCCCTAAGCCCTGAAAAAGTGACATACTCCAGAGGAGCCAGCCAGAGCCCTGATGGCATGTTGATTACATTGCACCTTTTCCCTTATGGATGAAGCACTGGGATTAAAAGTGGATTTGGATTTGCCTTCTCTGCCAATCTTGATTGCTACTATTGCTTCCTAGCAAGAACTCACATTATAGTAAAAAATGCAGGTCAGTAGGTTGGGCATTAAAGAGCTTCAGTATCTAGTCTGGTACTATATCACGCAGAAGTAACTGGCCTTATAGAAGAGTGGAATGATGTACTGAAGAATCAGCCACAATGCCAATTAGGAGACAACGCTTGAAAGGTTGGGGTGCTGTCCCCCAGGATGCAGTACATACACTGATCCAGTGAGCAAGAAATGGTGTTTTCCCATGACTGGGATACATGGACCTTGCAATGGAAAAATAGAAGTTGGGGTAACACCCCTCATTATTACAGCTAATGACTCCCTTGCAATTATAGTTATCATCCCCATAGCTCTGCCCTCTGATAGTTTAAAGCAGAAGTTGGCAACATTTTTCTGCAAAGGGCTGAATAGTAACTATTTCAGGCATTGCAGGGCATGCAGTCTCTGTCACAATCACTCTGCCACTATAGCTTGGAAACAGCCATAGGCAATATGTAAATAAATAAATGTGACTATGTTCCAATAAAACATTTATTTACAAAAACAGGTGACAGGACTATGGGCCATCATTTCCTAAATCTTGGTCAGAGGAGGAATACTTCTACAAATGAACATGAAGATTATTTCATTTCATCAAAAACTAAAACCATCCCCTGGCCATTTTTAGCTCCCCTACCAGTGGACAAACTGGCATAAAAGGAAATTACTATTGACATAAATAACTGATCCTGACAATAAAGAAGAAGTAAGTTTGCTGCTTCATTATGGAGACAAGAATGAATATGGATAAGGCCTAGAAAATCTCCTAGAGTACCACTTACATAACTATGTTCAGAGATAAAATTAACCAAAGATACTATAATTTCATATAGACAGAGCGCGAAGGCTCAAGTTCTTTGGTGGTGAAGGATCATCCCACCAGGTAAAGTAAGATCAACAGCTGAGTTGCCCCCCGAAGGTTTCCTTTGGGAAGAGAAAGTAATGAGTTCCAGATTCAAAATGTTGTTTCAGGGTCCAGAAAGACGTTGGTTGGTATACACCTGGCACAGCAAGAAGGTAGAGATAGAGGCTATAGTCCTCTTTTCTGCAACTCAAAAAGACATCTAGATAGAATTGTCTACTATGTAAAACAGCTGGGACTGGCAGACCAGAGGCAGAGAAGAAGACACCCCAAGTCAACCAGAAAGCAAACACAGCACTTATGTGGTGGAGTAAATCAACACATTCAAAATAACAGCATAAAGGTGCTGAGGTGGGGAGGGAGGCAGTATGTTTATCTTCATGACCATTGTTTCATTAATTGTGATTAATATGATCTGTGCTGAGAAGATTGAGAATACTAAAGAATAGTAAGCAATGTGTTTGTTCTCACCAGATTGCTCTGGATGAGAATACAAGACGTAAGTACGTTAAAAAATATAAATTAAAATGAAGACAACTGTACAAGTGATATTAGGAAGTACATAAAATTTCTAGTGATAAATTCCATGATTCAATGACCTCTGAGAAAGAATAACCAGCTTTGCTGGTGACTGCTGGAGCAGGGGCTGGTGCTCTTGTGTACACGTTTTATTTTCATGAAGCCATTCAGGGTCTCACGAAGGTGTTCTTTTTTTTAGAGATGGGTTATGTTGACCAGGCTGGTCTCCAACTCCTGGCCTCAAGTGATCTATTCCAGCCTCCCAAAGTGCTGGGAATACAGGCATGAGGCACTGCACCCGGCCTAATTAAGGTGGTTCTAACAGCTCCCGGAACACTAATGTGTGGTTATTTTTAGAGGACTGAGAAGCCTATTCCAAACAATTTTGCAGGGGGGATTAGGGCTGTGATAAATTGTAATGGACCCAAGAGAGGGCCAGTGTAATGACTTCTGGACTGGTAGTATCACAGAAGACTTCTATACGAGGTGAGTTACAATTTGAAGGGAATGTTGCAGTCCTCTTCATTCTGTGTGTAGCAGCTACATTTTTTATTAAATGGTAAAAACAAGGCGTTATCCAGATGAGAACCAGAGGCAGTTTAGAATCAGTAGACTATGTGGAGGCAGCAAAGCATAAAGAATATGGATTGCTGATGAAGCTGGATCAGGGAAGATCAAAATTGAAGTTCAGGATCCTTTCTTTTCAGACCCTAAACTTCTGAGGGGAGCAGATAACACTAGGCTAAGAGAAAGAAATTGCCACCAGCAATTTCTGGTGAAATTGAAAGCAGCAGCCCAAGAATTAATGTGATCCACAGCAGGGCAGCCTTGCACTTATTGGTATGCTCAAGAGAGAGATCAGGCTATGTGTGGGTAGCATGGAGCCAACTGTATATTATCTTTCAGGTAACTTGAGTGTTAAGGAGTGGCAGGAGGTCTTGCTCATTACAGTAAGAACCTACAGCATCATCAAACGATTAATGCTAGGTAAGTTGTTCAATGGGGCACATTTCCCAGGCTTTTAGATTGAAGACCTGTACCCAGAGAAGAATGACTGCGGCCTGAGAGTAACATGCTTCACGTGGATTTCCCTAGGCATGTGGAATAGAATTTCAGTTAAAAGTGAACATTTGCTTGGAACTTTTAAAGTTTCAACCACTCACATTGGTGGAATCTGTTCTCTTTGAAAATGTGAGAAATGTTTGCCATTTGAAATTTTTATTTCCAGACCCAGAAATATTAAGGTTTACAGCTTTAGGAAAGAAACACATGCTTTAAAATGTGATGAAATATCAAGCCATTCCAGGGAATATGCTTAAGTAACCTTATATGAATCCAACAAGACTTAAGAGTATAGATAACTTGGAGAAGTCAACCTCTTCCAAAGGAAAATCTGCAGCATTTCCACCAATTCTTTTAATATAAACCCATTACACATTGCCATAAATAGTATAATAAAATATAACATATGTAGCTATATTTGATTTATTCCAGGAAATAAAGGAAAATGGTATAAAGAAACACTCTTTACAGTATTTCTAGAGAGACTAATAGGACTACCTATTTAAAAATCCAAATCTAATAAAACTAAGAAATAATGAACTCTTCATTGCTAGGCTTCAATTTAAAGACAAAAGACACTGAGCACTTCAAATTGAGAAGAAAAACCAATTCCATGGAAATTATATAAAGTTGGTTGACACCATATAAAACTCTTGAGTTTTAGATAAAAGTGCTCAAGTCAGGTCAACATTATCTTTTTTAATTCTTCAAATACAGACAGTTCCAGGAAAAAACGATCTAGTCTTTGCTCCTGGATTTATTATGGAACTTTCACTTCTTATATTTGCCAAATGATTTGAATAATCTCATCACAATACTTTCTTGGAAATTACAGACAGGGACACATTATGTCGCTCAGTCAATATATGTGAGTCAGTATATACATCTGTCCAATCTACCAAGACATTCCATGTCCTTGGCTGGAATAATAAAATGACAACTGGAAAAGAGAATAATGAAATTGACTTCTGGTGGTTTCTCTAGTCCCCCACACGGGTGTACATACAAATATGATGCCCTGCAAAGAGTCCAGGATGAATTAGACCACAGGACTGATGAGTGCTGTGACACGAGGAACGGTCTTGAGCATCTGTGAGGTTACAGACTTAACTGTTTCTTCACAAATTAGATTGTATTACTTTATATAAAAGTTACTCCCTGAGGAAAATTTTCTTTTATTTTTTCAATTCTCTTTTGAATCACCTTACATTTTCCAACCAGCTAATGTGGTAAGTGGTTATGGGAGAGGAAATTTTAAAAAAATGAACAGAGCTATTGCTTCTTTCTTCTTTCTAAACTGTTCCCAGGATATCGATACTTCCACAACCTGGGTCCCAGAGACAGCATTGTCCACCGGTGGACTTGTCACTTTCTGACCTCCTTCCCCATCTCTGTTCCCTCTTCTTGGACATCCCTTCCCACCTCAGATATCACCTTCAGTCGGTCACTGCGTTTTCCACAATCACCACCAGTTCCAAAGCAATCATCCACTCCCATCAACTCAACCTTCATTTACTATCTTTTCCAATTCCTCCTCTTTAAAAAGAAAATATTTTGGAGCTGCTAAAAATTCCAGCTTTTTATGTTAAAATATCTAACTGACAAAGATTGTATATATTCAATGTATACAACATGATGACTTGATATAACTCCATTTGAAGTTGAAGCAGTAGACAATTGGTTTATTACAGAGTCCTGACTACTAGGCTACCCACAGAAACTTGTTTGGTTTTAGCTTAAAAGTTAGAATTTCAAAATATTACTTAAATAACCAAAATGTTTCCCAGGCTTAAACCAGCTTTGTGATTGCTTTGAAAAACTGGTCCTGCTTTGTGTTTATAGATGGAGCTGCTGAGACTTGAGTGTGTAGCATGTACTCTCCAGATCTGGTCTATTCTCACTAGTCATTACCAATTCTTTTTATCTTAAAAGAGGCCAATTGTCACATTATGGAGAAGGTCATGGTATTTCAAAAGAAGTGTAAGCTCATTTAAGAAATGCAGCTTGTAAAATTGCTTCTTTTTTTATAGCAATCAAATGGGTTATGCATATTCTTATGCATACAGATATTTAGCAGCTATTGAACACCTAATGATAACAGAGAGACATAGCCAATAATATATGTGCAATTCAACTGTTGCAGTCAGTACCTGATGCAAGAGGTAACTGGGTCCTCGGCAGGGTAAAGTGGGAGCAATGACCCACTTGTTAGCTGACTGCACAGAGGCTGCCTGTGTGTGTTTCTGGGGTTAACAGTCCTCAGTTTCATGAAGCTCCTGAGTTCCTTAATTCTTTTGTTGCAAATCCCCAAATAATAGAGTTGAAGTGATAACTCGCACAGTGAGGTGTATTCGTATCATAAAGGAATTTCATTTTGAAATCCTTATGGCCAAGCCTTCCTTCTTGCAGGAAAAGTATTTTGGATTCTCTCTGCAGGTGAGCATCCCATAGGAAAGTTAATAATAAGAAAGCCTGTAGCACAGCTGCAACATACATGAAATGCTTTGTGGAGGCTTGACTCAAGGCTCAGCAGGGCACGAAGTGATTCAAGGCAGAGAGTCGTGTGTAGTCAACTAATCAGCTTTCCCAGTCAAGGCAAGTCCCTCAGAAGCCACCAGCCTGGCCTGTCACCTGGGCCTCTGGCACAGACGCCTACCTGCCTGGTTCACTGGCACCTCCACAGGACAGAGGCTCTCTTCTCCACTAAAACATTACAGAGCACATTTGGACTTCTCAAAATCTAAGTCCAAAAACTGAGGCCACAGTGTGTGTTGCTGGGAATTGGGAAATGATATGAGCTCATCAGAAAAATAAAGATGGTACTGGTACTGGTACCAAAACAGAGATATAGACCAATGGAACAGAACAGAGCCCTCAGAAATAATGCCACATATCTACAACTATCTGCTCTTTGACAAACCTGACAAAAACAAGAAATGGGAAAAGGATTCCCTGTTTAATAAATGGTGCTGTGAAAACTGGCTAGCCATATGTAGAAAGCTGAAACTGGATCTCTTCCTTACACCTTATACAAAAATTAATTCAAGATGGATTAAAGACTTAAATGTTAGACCTAAAACCATAAAAACCCTACAAGAAATCCTAGGCAATACCATTCAGGATGTAGGCATGGGCAAGGACTTCATGTCTAAAACACCAAAAGCAATGGCAACAAAAGCCAAAATTGACAAATGGGATCTAATTAAACCCAAGAGCTTCTGCACAGCAAAAGAAACTACCATCAAAGTGAACAGGCAACCTACAGAATGGGAGAAAATTTTTGCAATCTACTCATCTGACAAAGGGCTAATATCCAGAATCTACAATGAACTCAAACAAATTTAAAAGAAAAAAACAAACAACCCCATCAACAAGTGGGCGAAGGAGATGAACAGACACTTCTCAAAAGAAGACATTTATGCAGCCAAAAGACACATGAAAAAATGCTCATCATCACTGTCCATCAGAGGAATGCAAATCAAAACCACAATGAAATACCATCTCACACCAGTTAGAATGGCGATCATTAAAAACTCAGGAAACAACAGGTGCTGGAGAGGATGTTAAGAAACAGGAACACTTTTACACTGTTGGTGGGACTGTAAACTAATTCAACCATTGTGGAAGTCAGTGTGTCGATTCCTCTGGGATCTAGAACTAGAAATAACATTTGACCAGCCATCCCATTACTGGGTATATACCCAAAGGATTGTAAATCATGCTGCTATAAAGACACATGCACATGTATGTTTATTGCGGCACTATTCACAATAGCAAAGACTTGGAACCAACCCAAATGTCCATCAATGATAGACTGTATTAAGAAAATGCGGCACATATACACCATGGAATACTATGCAGCCATGTAAAAGGATGAGTTCATGTCCTTTGTAGGGACATGGATGAAGCTGGAAACCATCATTCTTAGTAAACTATCGCAAGAACAAAAAACTAAACACCACATGTTCTCACTCATAGGTGGGAACTGAACAATGAGAACACATGGACATAGGAAGGGGAACATCACACACCAGGGCCTGTTGTGGGGTCAGGGGAAGGGGGAGGGATAGCATTAGGAGATATACCTAATGTAAATGACGAGTTAATGGGTGCAGCACACCAACATGGCACATGTATACATATGTAACAAACCTGCACGTTGTGCACATGTACCCTAAAACTTAAAGTATAATTTAAAAAAAGAAGAAAAATAAAGAAAAGCATCCCAAGAGCAGTGGAATGGAGGCTATGATTTCTTTTTTCTTTTTTGTTTGAATTAATAATTTCTAAAATATATTTTATCTTTACACTAAGACTATATTTTTTTAACTTTGATTTTGGGTTCAGAATTATATGTGCAGGTTTGTTATATAGGTAAACTCATGTCACGGGGATTTGGTGTACAGATTATTTCGTCAACCAGGTACTAAGCATAGCACAGTACATGATAGTTACTTTTCCTGATGCTCTCCCTCCTCCTACTATCCTCCCTCAAGCAGGCCCCAGTGTCTGTTGTTCCCCTCTTTGTGCCCATTCGTTCTCATCATTTAGCTCCCACTTATAAGTGAGAACATGTGTATTTGGTTTTCTGTTCCCACATTAGTTTGCCAGGTAGGCAAGAGGTAGTTAAGATATATGGCAAGGAGACCCCATGAGTTTCCTATTGCTCTTGCAATTACCACAATTTCTTGACTTAAAGCAACACAGGTATATTAGCTTACAGTTCTGGAGGTCAGGAATCTGAAAAGCATTCTACTGAGCCAAAAATCAAGGTGTCCACAAGTCTGTTTCTTCAGGAGGCTCTAGGTGAATCTGTTTCCTTGCCTTTTCTGCCTTCTAGAGGCCACCTGCATCCCTGGGTTCATGGCTGTCTTCTCCCTTCAAAGCCAGCAGTTACATCACTCCAACCTTTGCTTCAGCCCTCACATCTCCTCTGATTCTCCCACTTCCTCTCTCCCTTGTAAGAAACTTGTGATTACATTGAACCCACCTGAATAATCCCATTTCAACACCCTTAACTTAATCACACCTGAAAAATCCATTTTGCCAGGTAAGGTAACATATTCACAGGTTAGGATAATTGATATTTGGACCTCTTTTCTGGGGGAGTAGCATTATTCTGCCTCCCATGGGGGTGTTGTTTATTTCATTTGGAATCTCATGGATAAGCCTCAGATACTGTGAGAACCACATACAGACAGAAACACAAGCCTGAATAGTAGGACACATTATTGGTCACACCTGGGTGAGACATGGTGGACTCTTGGCTCATATGGCCTAGATTTCATTCCCCACCCCAGGTCCTATTCACTGTGTGATTTTGACCATGTAAATTTGTGTCCTCAGAACTCAGTTTTCTTATCTGCAAATTAAGTCTATTAACAGAACCTATTTTATAGGATTGCTGGGCTGATTCAATGAAATAATGTGTATGTGGTATTATGCACAGTAAGCATTAAATATTATTTATAATAGAATAGAATCATTATATATTATTTATTAATGATGGTCATAGTAAGCATTAAATAAATATTATTAATAAATAACATGTATATATGTATGCATATAAATAAATACATGTGATACATATAAATAAATGTGTATTATTTATTAAAGATGGTCATAAATATGCCCCAAGTAAACAGGAACCAGAAACCAGAGACAAAAAATAAAATACGCATCCCTAATATCTTTCTGCAGCTGCCACAGGTGATCGGGAGGAGATGGAGAGAGAAGAGAAATGTGCTGGCTCAGAGGCTGGCTTGGGGTTGCTGACCTCCATAAAGGATCAAATCCGAAGCAGCCAATACCCCTCTCACAAACAGGCCAAAGAGCCTCTGGGCAGGACCTTGTGCTTTAAAAGAACACCCAACTACAAACACCAAAGCACAAAGATTTTGTTTCCTTTTTTTTTCAGTCTCATAAGAAAGTTTTTTGAAAGTGTGATCATTGATTGAGTGCATGAAAACTAAAGAAAGACGAATGGGCCAATGAGCGCCCCCAGGCCAGATGGAGCTAGGGACTGTGAGCTCTGTGGCATGACTGTGCTGGATCGAAGGAAAGGAGGAATGAGAACCATGGCCTCTGCCCTTGCATTTGCCTAATGTTAAAAAAAAAAAAAAAAAAAAAAAGCAAATCATGTAGTATATGTGGACAGACTTACATCGCCAAATACCTGCATACCCTTTCTCTGTTTTATCTTCTGCTCCAGTGGTATCATCTTGGGAGGTGCTTAGAATTACTTGAAATCCCAGATTTTTTTTAATGAGGTATTTTGGAAGGAAATGCACCCTTCCCAGCTCTCAGGGAGCTTGACTTGGTCTGTGGTTCCCTTTCTGAGTTTGGATAGCTCCAGAGGCCAACCAGGAGTTCTGGGCACTGATCGCCTTCCCCCACCCCAGCAGAGTCGGACTACTGCTCAGCTCATGTGAGCAGCCTGGTCCCCAGTGAAACACTCTCCTTTAGCTTCTAGGGCACCAGCAGCTGGACCAATAGACTATAGGAATCTTAAGCAGGAAGCTGGCCAGGCTTTGGACACAGTTTGGTTTATAGTTGAAATATTTAGACATATAGTATGTGCACCTCCAGTTGTACTCTTGCCTTGGGAGCTGTAAATATGAGGGGCAGATCCATAAGCAGTATTTCCTCCTGCCATCATTAAAGGGTTGTTCGTGAACCAGATAGGTGGAATACATTAGTCTTCCTCTAAGCTCACAGAGACATAGACCTACCCGCAGAGATTTAAAGAGCAGGAGAAGTGGGCAGAGAGAACCCTGCTGGAGAAGAAACATCTTCCAAGTAAATTAAGGTGTCTTCAGGCCTAGAAATATAAAATATAGTTTCTCTGCAAATCAATTCCATGAATTCTATCTGAAGGTAAACAAAGACATATTCAGAGTTGAAACCACATCCCTTATGGTAAAGGAAATTGAAATTACATTAACAGAGAGAATGTCCACTTAAAAACTCTTCAAATCAAGTCCTCTTTTATGTCACATAGTCTTTATCAGAAAAAGGATGTAGGGGTCCAGGTCATTTCAGAAGGTATTTCAGGACAAGCATGTCTGATAAAGCCCTGGGACACCCAGCAGCCAGACTTCCTTGGGAATTCTCATCTGCTGCTCTCTCAAATCCCTGCCAATTCCTGTGCCTTGAGATCCAACCTTCCGCAGGGAGGCTGACCACGCACAGTTGATTGTCCTGAACAATCATCTCCAACATTTCTAGTGTAAGAGTTCCATCTAAGAAAAGCTGCTGCACTGGTACAATAAAACGTCTCTCTAAGGAAATACCCTTAAAAGTGAAAACAACCGATGGAAGCAAAGCTGATCTGAAAGAACCATGTCAATAGGAAAATCCCAAATGCTCAGCCAGGAAAATGAATGAACACATGTGATAGAAGGGGTCAGGAGGGAAGCCAATGCAGAGGATACCCTAAGTAGGTCAGTGTTCAGATTACAGCCATCTGCCTGGCAGCTGCAAGCAAGGGAACAGCACAGGATCTGAACACCCCTCTTCGACCATGCTGAGGGCCCAGGGACACATCTTTCTCTCCTTCCCTTTCTCTTCCTCTCCTTTCTCCTAAAGCTCAACTCCATCTCCTCCTTCTTTCTCCATCCCCACCTTTATTCCCAAACTTACTAAGCAAACGTTCTGACATCTCTGCTATTGCCAAATGTCTAATGATGCATACGGCATATCACAGAAAAGGAATATATTACAGGAACAAGGAAATAAAAAGAAAGCCAAAGTCCAAAGCTTTAACAACAACAAAAAATCTATCTGCGCACACAGGAACTGGTTTTAGAGCAAGCAATGCACAACATTCCATGCTTTTCCCTCAAAGCCCCCGGGCTCATCTGAAAGGTCAGGGAGAAAACGGATGGAGTAGTATAAAGTCCTTTTCTTTCCTAAACAATGTAATCTTTGTAAACTTAATGTTAGGTTTTCTGAAATGCCCTGTAAAATCCTGTGTCTCCCAGCTCTCAATTTCGAGAGTGCAATTAAGCTCCCGTGTGCAGACTTGCTTTGTTTCACCCATGGGCACGTGTTTAGAATGAAAGAGATGGTCTCATCCATCACCCAGATCTTCTTCAACAGGACATAAACGGGGCCACAGAGGGGAGCGAGTCAGGAGTTTATTTGCTACCAACCACTTTCCTTCACCAGTGTCTTGTCTTTCTCCTCTGAGACCTCCCTGAGGCTGCAGGGCCTTCCTCTCCACCTCAAACTCCTACGACTACTGCCCTGAATTATAATTTCAAAGTTTCACAGTTTTCTCAGAACAGTTTCCATTTCCCTGGCTAGACTGAAAGCTTGTTCAGAATTTACATTTCATGTAAGTCTCACCACATCCCCACTCCCGTAGATCCCCTAGGGCAGAGCTGGTTCCTGATCCAGTAGATTCTGAGTTGGTGTTTACTGCCTGATGCGGTGCTGAGAGCTTGCTCCCTGCTGGGAAATGATGGATTTTCATATACGGAGACTTGGTATGAGTACGGAGACATGGTATGAGTACCATGACATGGTACGGAGACATGGTATGAGTAGAGGTGAATGTTATGAAGCAGCCCCGTGTACTGAAAAAGCACTGACTTCAGAGAACGACCAACCGGAATCCGAATCCTAACTCTGCCACTCCTTGTAACTTAGAAAGTTACTTTACCTTTCTTTACTTGCTTCTCTATCTGGAAAGTAGGAAAATAACACCAACCTCTCAGCATAGATACATGAGGAGTACAGTAGATAATATGTTTATTGGCAAAATAATTGGATGGCAGGAAAAAAAATCATCCATGCCCTCCTGGAGAGATTTTAGTATTTTTAAAGGAGTAATATATTAAGAAAATCAGGAGTTGGAGTGAGAGCTCAAAAAGCATTCTCAAGCCATAAAAAGTATTTGGTATATAGGCTTCAGTGGAGAGTGAATGTTTGAAATCTGATAAGCAGAGGCTTTTTATTTATTTATTTATTTATTTTGGAGGAGAAGGAGGAGGAAGAGGTTTAGGTTACACAGATTTGGAGTAGCACCAAGACAAAGTTGAACAGAGCAATTGAGCCTCACATTACATCCCAGAATTTCTTCATGAAAATTAAACTTACAGTTGACATGTTTATGTAATATACAGCAAGTCATTTTGTAATATTTTTTCCCTAAAATATTGTTCCAAATGAATGTCATCTCATAACTAAGAGTATCCAATAACTAAACACTTTGTGACCCAGAGTTGGTTCTTAGTAAGTGACATTTTTCTTTCCTTCTTCTCTCCCGTTTTCCCTGTAGGTATAGGAGAAGAATGAACAATATTAACCCCCTAGGCATGGAGGAGCTGCAGGAGGAAAGGAAGATTTGGAGCCAAAAATAGCCTCAAATTTTTGAAGTCATGACTAGCGCTAAAATATGCCCCTTCCCAGGCAAGAACTATTAATTCAATCACTGCTGTTAGCTGCAACACCACATTCCTCTTACTCTGCCACTGTGCCTTCCATTTCATTCCACAAACATTGTTTAGTACCTCTTCTAACCTAGGTGCCATAGGAACCCCCAAAATGAAGAAAACATTTCCTTGCCTTAAAGGATGTCGCTAGTCAGATGGACATGGCATGTACAAAAATAACAGGGGGCCGGGCACGGTGGCTCACGCCTGTAATCCCAGCACTTTGGGAGGCTGAGGCAAGTGGATTGCTTGAGGTCAGGAGTTCAAGATCAGCCTGGTCAACATGGTGAAACCCCGTCTCTACTAAAAATACATAAAATCAGCCAGGCGTGGTGGTGCACGCCTGTAGTCCTAGCTACTCAGGAGGCTGAGGCAAGAGACTCACTTGAACCTGGGAGGCAGAGGTTGCAGTGAGCTGAGATTGTGCCACTGCACTGCAGCCTGGGTGACAGAGCAAGACTCCATCTCAAGAATAAATAAATAAATAGACAAACAAACAAATAAAATAACAGAGAAGTCAACTGAATGTGCCAAGTCCCTAAAGAAAGCACAAATAAGCAACAGATATTCACAGAAAGTATACAAGGCACCAATTTGGTGGAATCTGGAGGGCTCTGTAGAAGAGGTAGCATTCAAGATGGTCATTAAGGCTGGGTACAACTGTGATATGTAGATTTGGGAGTAGAGAGGACACTCCCACACATCGTGATGTGATTTTACCACCCACCCTCACAGCAACCGCCGCCACACCCTCTGCCAGCCAGGGTCTGGGCAAGGCCTCAGTGTTTTCTTGGATTCTAATGCACCTCCCACTCGGACCCTTCAGCTCTGGCTCTCTTTTCTTTATCACATACAGATTAGAAGCTATAATATAAGCCATACACCTCAAAACACCCAAGACACTTCCAGATTCCAGCACTTCTTTGGGATCACTCAGCAATCCCATCTGTAGTTTTCTGTGCCTCCCTTCTTTTTCTCCCTACCAACATGTCCCATTCTTGTCTCTAAGCTTGTGCTTTCAAAGCAGAATGCCACATAGGATAGCAAGAACAGGAACTCTGGAGTCAGAAAGGCCCAGGTTAGAACCCTGATCTGCCACATATCAGCTATGAAATATTTAACCTTCCAGAACTTCCAGTTTCTCATTCATAAAATGGGCCTAATAATTTTACTGTATAGGTCTGGTGCCCTATAGAATTAGGATTAAATAAAACAGAACATCTGAGAGTACCTAGAATGTGCTGTCTCATAGAAGACACCATGCTATCAGCTCCTTCCTTCTTCGTATCTATTAAAAGTAATGGCAAAAGCCACAATTACTTTTGCACCAATCTAATACAATGCTTGTTCCACTAATAACATGTATTCAAATTTGCCCCTGACCCTCCAGAAAATTTATCACCTACCAGGAGAGAATGGGTGCCTTTGCCCATGGAGACTGACTCTTACCAAAGCAGCTCCTTTCTCTTTCTGTATTTTGCAGGATAATTTTAGTCCTCTCACTGCAAGAACATTTTGTTCCTAACCAGTTTGTTTATGCTCTATATCAGTTTATATTTGTACAATCACTGATGTGTTTCTTTTTTCTATTTATTTATTCACTAAAGTGAATCTAGCTTAAGTGTCTACCACATGTGCCTAGAGGGCTGAAACCAGCCCTGTTTCACTTGGTTTGCACAGCACTTGGGCCAGGGCAATGAAAAGAAAAGCACTCAATCAATACTGTCTAATGTTGGTGGACTTATAGTAAACTTTAATACTTTTCAAAAGCTTTTATTCTTCCCAATTTCTAGCCCTGGCAGATCTTCACAAAGTGGATCAGAATTATTTTCTCCTAATCAAATTGAGAAACCAGGCACAGAGAGGTGAGAAGGCTCACCCAAAGCTGCATGGTCTGAAGGTAAAAGACCCTAGCAGCTGGAGTGTCTGCCTGCTGGCCCATAAAGCAAAGGAACAGGGGCAGCACAGTGAGTGACCCGAAGAAACGCTGAACCTGGTTCAATCTGGTCTCCACTTCTTAAAACTGTTATGAACATGGACAAGTGAGTCAACTTCTCCAAGCCTCTGTTGTATCATCTTTAGATTTATATTGTGATACCTACACTTGGTAGGGGCATGCTTGGAATTAAAGGAGATAACAAACTAATGTTTCTGGAAGAATTTTTGCTAAATAGTATGCTCTCTGCTAGAACAAATATTGTTCTCTTTCTTTCTCTTTCCTTCTTGACCTTGTGAGAAATTCTAGGGACCAAGAGACATTGCCACTTAGAAGGAAATAGATCAAAATTTGAAGATGGTCTTATTTGGAAACCCTTGGTAGCCCCTAACCAGAACAGAGGCTGTAAAATGCTTAGAGGAAACCTAGAGCTATGAATTATAACCAAAATAGTTGTTCCTTTTTCTGGGCTTTGACCACTGCTCGTGATTTACCCCTAAAATCACTTTTCTTCCCATTTCTGGATCCCTCATGAATGATAGGCGTGGAAAGACAGCAGACCCCAGCAAAAAAAGAAAAAATTGGAGGGCCAATACTTCTTCAATAGGAAGAATCACTTAAAGACTGGTCCTGTCTGTGCATTTTATCCCCATCAGCTGCCTCCAACATTCTCAGCAGTGAAATCTGTGAGCGCCAGGCCAGCACTGGCCAGGTCAGGAGAGACTCCTCCAATCAACTCTAGCCATTCCATCTAACCATAAATGACTCCATCTCCGCAAAAAGGGACAACTGACACAGTGAACTCAACTTCTAAATGGACAATACTCACAAGCACAGCACACCAATTATTGCAGTTGGCACATCTCGAGGCTCTACAATTTAATTTGACAGGAAACTGCCAACTACAATTTAACTTGACAGGAAACTGCCAAATGCAAGGTTATTATGGCTGTCCCGTGCCCAAGACAGCAGCCAGCAGCATGCTGCAGCCTGACTCCTTTGATAGAAGTATATCATTTCCTGTCTTTCTCCACCAGTGAATACTAACAAAAGAGCAGTAGGTTTCATAGGTAACCCATTACATCAAAAGCATCTGTGTCCAAATTAGATGCTTCCAAGCTCTGTGTTCTCAGCTTATGCCCCAGTGCTGGTTTTCTCTGGCAGAGCTAGTGAAGTGAATAAACATAGAGGCATTTCTCACGCTCAAGAATGGATATCAGCAATGCATGTTACCTTTTGCACACATTAAAGACCTTGTAAATCAGACTTGCCTCCTCTGAAAAACAACAAAAAGAGTGTTTAGCTAGTCACAGGGAAAAGATAATGGAGTTCAGATCACAGAATGAGAGGTCTTTGGGTAACATATCTTGGAGAACTGCCAACCCTAATTCAAAGTTTTGCTTATTTTGACCAGGAATGAGGGTTAGCAATTGTCAGGTCATCCATTGTACCCTACATGGAATCCAAAGAAAATAAAGCAAAAATTCAGGAGAACACATTTTTTAAATCTGGTTTTCTGTGAAAAATAAATAACAGCTTATCACAATAGGAATGAGTGCTTCTAGAGATTTTGATTATTTTGAATCCATGGTCTGAAGTCTTTGCATTCCACAGGAAAGCTCCTACAGATTGTGAAATGTTCTAATTTGGTGTGACAGAACCCTGTATGGGAAGACCTATCAAGGAGTATTGTCTGGCTTCTTGGCTTACGTTAAATATGTAGATCATTCTTTCCTTTCTCCAATTCTCCTCATTCCTCGGGCTAATCTCTTCTGACTGCCTCAAAACCATCCAGCCCTTTACCAGAACTTCTCCAGAAGAGATTTGTCTTAGCTGGGCTCCCTCAAATCTCCAATGGTGCTGGGTGCTCTAACCATTTTCCCACCCCCATAATGTTCACAGACTAAATAAAATATAGATCCCTTCCCCTCAGATTCATGCCCAGCCCTAGGAAAAATGATGCTTCAAACGCTCCTCCTCCTGGGCCATCCCACTGCTATCACCCAAGTCCAAGGCCTCTTCATCTCTCACCTACTCTCCTAAAGTAGCTTTCCATTTGGAATCCCCACATTTCATTTCTCCTATCCAATATATCCTCTATTCACTTTTTATTAAGCTTCTTAAACTCAGCTCTCACTATATCATTGAACTGCACAGAACCCTTCCTGGACTCAATCCCTACCGAGTTGAAGTATGCATTCCCAACTTTCTGCACCCACCAACAGACCCAAATCACAGCCAATGGGTTGCCAGCACCACCATGTCATAATGAGTACAGTCACTATGGAGAACAGTATGGAGGTTCCTCAAAAAGACTAAAAATAGAACTACCAAAGGATTCAGCAATCCCACTGCTAGGTTTATATATGAAAGAAAATAAAGCAGTATATGGAAGAGATATCTGCTCCTCTATGTTTATTGCAGCACTATCCACAATGGCCAAGATATGGAATCAACCTACGTCTCCATCAACAGATGAATGGATTTTTTAAATGTGGTATATATACACAATGGAGTATTATTCAGTCACAACAAGAATGAATTCATGTCATTTGCAACAATGTAAATGGAACTGAAGGTCATTATCTTATGAAATAAGCCAGGCGAAAAAAGACAAATATTGCACGTTCTCACTCATATGTGGGAGCTAAAAAAGGACTGAATGGGAATAGAGAGAGTAAAACAATGGTTACGAGAGGCTGCAAAGGATAGTACAGAGTGGGTGGAAAGAGAGGTTAGTTAACGGGTACAAAAATACAATTAAATAGAAGGAACAAGATCTAGTGTCCAGTAGCACAATAGGATGACTATAGCTAACAATAAGATATTGTATATTTCAGCTGGGCATGGTGGATCACACCTGTAATCCCAGCACTTTGGGAGGCTAAGGCCAGTGGATCACCTGAGGTCAGGAGTTCAAGACCAGCATGACCAACATGGAGAAACCCCGTCTCTACTAAAAATACAAAATCAGCCGGGCATTGAGGCGCATGCCTGTAATCCCAGCTACTCAGTAGGCTGAGGTAGGAGAATCGCTTGAACCTGGGAGGTGGAGGTTGTGCTAAGTTGAGATCACGCCATTGCACTCCAGCCTGGGCAACAAGAGCGAAAGTCCATCTCAAAAAAAAAAAATATATATATATATATAGAGAGAGAGAGAGTATATTTCAAAATAACTAAAAAAGTAGAATTGGAATGTTTCTAACACAAAGAAATGATAAATATTTGAGGCAATGAGTACTCCAATTATCCTGACTTGATAATTAAACATTGTATGCTTGTATCAAAATTTCACATGTACCCATAAATATACACAGCTGTTATGTATCCATAATAATTAAAATTAAAAAAAAAAATTAAAGAAGTGGAGACATGGATTATCTGAATTCTGGGTCAAAGTAAAGTGAGATGGGGCCCAACAGTTATACAGTGTGTGCAATTTATATGCCCTTCACATCCGTTGTTGTAGTTGGTCTTCACAGTAATGCTCTGAGGAGGTGATACTGCTTTCCTTGTAACAGATGAAAAACCTAGACTTGAAGAGTTAAGTGGCCTATTTGATGGTACCAACAACATGGAGGAGCCAGGATGAATTCGGGGCTTTCATTCCTAGTCTAGTGCTGCTTCTCCCCAGCCACCCACAGAGAGAACAGGGGCCCCTGGTAAGGGAAGCTTCATGGAAACCTTGAGAACTGAAGCTGCCCTTGGGCTTGAACAGACCTTCAGAGTCTTGGAGACAGAATGGCAGTCTCTTCAGAGAGAAAAGCTGTAACCCAATCCTTTCCTCCTCCAAGAACAATAAGTGTGCCTGTCTCTCCAGGACAAGCAGCCATTCAAGGAGAAAGAGACAGAAGAAACCCAGCCAAAGAAAACCTGCTGTGCCTGGGAAAGGAATATGAAGAGAGAAGTTTTCCCTTTTGTAGGAAATCAGCCTTGGTGGGTACCTACCTCTTCCAAAGAATAGACTAGACAAGCCAGAAAGGGTCTAAAATGCAACTGAGAAAAGAATTTTTTTAAAGAACAGCAATAAAATTGAGAAGGAAAAAAAAACTTAATTGGCTCTTCATTCAAGCTAAAGATTTCTTTTCCATGTTCACTAAAATAGAATACGGCAAAGATAATAAATATAAAGAATGAAATTATTTATCTGTAGTCTACAAGTTTCCTCCAAACGAAACTCAGTGTGGTGAGGTATAAAGGGCCCTTTATATAAACTCTTGTGGTTCAAGCTTTTCCAAGAAAATTATTTCCCAAACAACTTGGGCCGTGGCCTGGTTGACACTCTCTGCTTTTGCCATCACAAAGACAAGACAGGTCCCAAAAGTGCCAGATGAAGGAAGGGAAAAAAAATGGCTTTTTAACCTCAGGGTGGGATCAACAGTCGAGGGCAACTCAGTTTCTTACATGGCAACTTCCCTCTGGAAAGGCCAAGGGCATGTGAATGCCACACATTTCTGGCCAAAATTTGCAATTCAAGACAAGAGCAGGCATCTTCCTCTGCACAGCTTCTACAACGTCTGTGGGATTATCACTGGATGCACACTCACACCCAGAAAATCCCACACTAGAATCTCTCCTCCTGACCCAGTTTCCTGAAGAAATTGGTTCTAGAGTGGAAGTTCCATGAGAGTTTTGTTCACTGCTAAGTGCTTAGAAAAGTTCCTGGCAGGCTGTAGGTGCACAAAGAATAAATAATGAATGAATGAGTGAATATCAGTAAACTCACTGCATGCCCCTAATAATCCCTTCCCATTTCCCAATAATCCAAGTACTAGGTAGAGCCAGTTTAGAATCCCATACACATAGTGGTTGAGAGGAACTTCAAAAGTTGATTTAATTCATAAAATGCAGCCTGTCTGAAATTCTTGAGGCTACCAACTCAACCTTGAAGAATCTAATGTTCAACCACTGTTGAACCAAACTGCCTGGTCAGTGAGTATTTCCACTGTCCTAAGAGTATTTGATTTTTAATACAGCAAAGCTGATAGAATCTGCTTCCATCAAAGCATTCTAAGTAGTGTTGATTGTTCATACTCCTAGAGCAGCCCAACAATGGAACTGATGTTTTTTTGTTTGTTTGTTTGTTTGTTTGTTTTGAGATGGAGTCTCGCTCTGTCGCCCAGGCTGGGGTGCAGTGGCGCAATCTCGGCTCACTGCAAGCTCCGCCTCCTGGGTTCACACCATTCTCCCGCCTCAGCCTCCGGAGTAGCTGAGATGACAGGCGCCCGCCACCACGCCCAGCTAATTTTTTGTATTTTTAATAGAGACGGGGTTTCACCGTGTTAGCCAGGATGGTCTCGATCTCCTGACCTCGTGATCTGCCTGCCTCGGCGTCCCAAAGTGCTGGCATTACAGGTGTAAGCCACTGCACCTGGCCTGATGTTTTAAAATATATATATATATACATATGTATATATCCTCTTTGAATACACCTGTTTCTGTCTTCATTCTCCCAGTCACTGATGCTTAGAATCTTGATGCCCTCATTAATGCCTGCTTATCCTTTTCACAAATACAATCAACTCAGCCTGGCAGGTCTTTCCTATGTGTCACTCTCATCACTTTCCAAAGAGCTGTCATTTCAGCAGTCACACCAAGTTCCGGTATCCCATCCTGGACTATGGGATACTCACCCACGTGATCTGACAGCTTTCCAGACTCTCCCCTTTCACCCACCTAACACTTCCCTCATAGATTTATTCAAAAAAAGAAAATCAGAGCCCTACTACTTGTCAAGCTGATCTCCTGACTAGTCCCACACAGGGAAGATGATATTAGTGCTCTCATTTTACAGATAAGGAAGCAAAGGCTCAAAGAAAGAGAATGAAATGAACAACTTGGATATTCTATCATATACCCTGCATTGTAATTGGAAAATCCTGTTCTGGTCTTCATGGACTATGGGTTGTACCCCAAAGATATGAGATAGATTTCTACACATGCCAGATACATTTCTGCCTAAGCTACTCTTCCTGCCAAGAATGTCTCCTCACTCCCTCCTTACTCCTTCCTCCAAGTCATATTTATGTGGCTAAAATGGAAAAAGCTTAGGACTTGAAGTTATAGACAAGCTGTATGGTCTTGGAAAAGCTACTTAGCTGTGCTGAGCATCAGTTTCCTTGGCTGTAAAATTGAAATTGTAAAAATAGTGATAATAATAATGATCACAGGTTGGTTGTGGAAATTTAATGAAGCCTTGTAAATTCCAATTATAATGCATGGCATGTGGTAGAATACTCAAGTTGTCCATCTTATTCGCTTTCATCGAGCCTCTGGTTTCTTATCCGTAAAATGAGAGTGCTGATAACATCTTCCCTGAAGGACTTTTGTGATGATGAAGTCCCTGAAGGACTTTTGGATACTGGTAACACTTTGGTGGTTTTTATCACCTTTTCCTCCCAGCTTGACTCACAGGAGCCAATGGGAAGTCTTCCCCCAAGAACCTTAGGGTACAGCGATACTCTATCACCTTGACATTGACTGTCTGGACTTCTCAAGAATGTAGCATAGAGTATGTTGAGATGTTTTGGTTGTTGTTACGCTGAGGTTTCTTTTGGCTTTCTCATCGATTCTTATCTTTCTCATGTGTCCACTCAAATTGACTGCAAGCCCCTGATGACAGGAACTACATCTCATGCAGCAGCTTCCTATCCCATAGAGCCTCGCACACAGGGAGTCAACAGTTACTTGCGGTGGCTGCTGCGGCCAGGGGTGGGACTGGCAAAGGGGGTGAGAACTCCATGGGTGCCAGCTCCAGCTAAGAGGGCTTCTAGCTGAGAGGCTCCATGACCCGGTTGAGGCTGCTTCTTCTCACCGATGACCTGGGAACCATGTGCCAGATATTGCTGAGAAATTGAATCATCAAGTAACATTGGCAGGAATAAGGGAAGGATCTGACTACTACCCTGCTCCCCTTCAGCACATTCCAATTGTGTACAGCAAACCATTTCTTCTTCCCTGGAGAAGGACAGTGCAGGAAGAGAGGTAGGCCTACACCGCAGAGCTGCTTCTTGTTCCTGAGGAACACATCTGTCTCCCTGGGGGCCTCTCGGGCCTCAAAGTTAAATGAGGCCTTTCACACAACCCCATTTGGAGTTCCTGTGAGCTAAAATAGTCACACACTCAGGGTGATAACTGTGCAGTTCCCAAAGAGCTGTCATTTCAGCAGTCACACGGAGTTGAACTACCTCCCTCATACTCTTTTTATGTCTGCTCAGTACGATTTTTTTCTCCCACTCAACAGGCTAGGATTTTCCTGTCTGAGAGCAGTGGCCTCTTTCTCAAACACCCTGTAATTTAAATTGAACAACACTCCCCAACCTCCCGTTTCTTCATAACTAGCTCTTCCCTGACATTGATGAGAACCAGTGAGGGTTAGAGCAGTAAACTCTCATGTCCATGGCTGTCTGTCTCTGCCCATCATTCATTTCCACTCCCTCCTTGCAGAGCCAAGCCTCACAGGGAAATCAGAGCTTCTGCATAGCAGAATTACTCCTAGAGCATAAACTCCAACATGTGTACACTGTAAGCCAATTAAGTCATTCTCAGCATTTTCTCCTGTCTCAAATAAATAAGGATTAGGGAAGTCCTGCCAAGCAGGGTTCCTGTATGGAGAAGTTTTATCTCCTAATGGGCCAGGACTACAAAGCATATAGCAGAAGCTCCAGAAGACAAGAAACCCAAGTCCTATTCTCATAAATAAGTGTAAAGGGGCAATCTCGGGCCAGGCTCAGTTGCCTCTTCCTCCTCATCTTTATCATCTAACCTCATCTGTTGAAAGCAGATAACAACATCTTTTTTGCTTGACAAAAGGGGGCAAACACAGGTGATCTCTCAAGATGCCCTCCAGTTCTGGGGTCTGAGATGCCATGGCATGGGGATGGTGGGAGGATGCATTGCAGAAGCTCTAGAGCAGTGGTTCTCAGCTGGAGGCTGCTGGTGGTGGGGATAGGGTGCCACCAGCATGTAGTGGGTAGAGGCCAGCGATGCTACTAAACATCCTGCAATGCCCAGGACAGCCCCCCTCAATAAAGAATTGTCCAGCCCAAAATGTCAATAGGGCTGAGTTTGAGAAGCTCTAGTCTAAATTAATCCAACAATAATTTGGGGGAAAAGATAAAACGAGTGAAGAAATCCCAACACTCCTGCACCCTGAAATGAGCTGAAATTATTTCTGAAGGAATATCAATCTGGAGGTAAAAAGAGGGACAAAGGCCAAGCGTGGTGGCTCACACCTGTAATCCCAACACTTTGGGAGGCCGAGGCAGACAGTCACTTGAGGTCAGGAGTTTGAGAACAGCCTAGCCAACATGGTGAAACCCCATCTCTACTAAAAATACAAAACTTAGCCGGGTGTGGTGGCATGCACCTGCAATCCCAGCAACTTGGGAGGCTGAGGCAGGAGAATTGCTTGAACCTGGGAGGCAGAAGTTGCAGTGAGCCAACATCATGCCACTGCACTCCAGCCTGGGTGACAGAGCGAGACTGTCTCAAAAAAACAAACAAACAAAAAAAAACAACAAAAAAAGAGGGATAAAAATCTTATAGCTCAAACCAAAGAAAGGCGTCATTTGTATACTTAAAAGTTAAGGGATTTCTGCTAAAAGGCCAATGGATCCAGGCTGAAAGAAAAGGCTGACTGCTGAATCACAACTCTCCTTCCCTAGGAAATGGTACAACCCTACTTCTTGTAAGCAAAGGAAAACCTGTCAGAATACCCTACCACCCCTAATGTGGAGGGCTGGGAGCCAGAGATAAGAGCAGGCTGAGGGGCAACCAGCACAATCCCATCCAGTGTTCATCTGGCACCAGCTGATGGACAGCTTCCCGAATTTAGCTGAATTACAAGGTCCAAGAGCAAACACAGCCACACTAAACCAAGAGCTTGCAGGTAGAAATCCTAAGAAGTCCCTGGATGAGGATCCTTCTCAGTGCAGTGGGACTCAACCTCTCTACTCTCCCTTCAATGGGATCTTCTTCCACACACACCAGCCCATTGCTCCAGGACAGAGGTGAGTCTCAGCCAGCCATGCCCCTCAGTGACCTCAGGTTTTGGACATCTGGCAACTGGTGTAGCAACAGAAATGAAGATTCTTCGCTGTGACTCCTGAGAATGCTGGGTTCTTCTCCAGGATCTCCTGGCCCACGAGACCTCTCAAAACATCATCTAAAAGTACAACCCCTGAACCTGACATTTGGGAGGAAGAATCTAACTGCCAACAGGTGGACACAAGAGGACTCAAACAAACACGTTTGTACTTTCTTTAGTTGTTACCACAGTGGGATATTTCTCTTCTTTCTCAAGAGTGAATACACAGAAAACAAAATTTAAAAATTAGGGACTGTGAAGGTGCCCTGCAGTGTGGAAGAAAGAGGTAAATAAAAAACAAAAGAAGTAGAAAACAGCCCATTTAAAAAAAAGATTCACTGTTGCAAAAAAAAAAACAAAAACAAAAACCTTAACATTTACTATCTTTCTTAACAAAATTAATACAAACCTTGATTAATAAAAGAAGAAAGGGTTAAACATAAGAACCATAAGAATAAGTCAAAAAAAAAGCCTGCAGCGTTCAGGAAATTATGTAATAAAAAATGCTATAGAAGAATTTAAATCAATCTTTTAAAGAACAGAATGAGAATGTGGAAAATTAAGTCATGTAGAGGATAAACACAAAAATTTCTCCCAGAAGCATAGGAAAATGACAAACAGAAAAAAAAATACACTGAAAGGAAAAATTATTTGTGTAGATAACAAAAGTGACCTAATGCATGGGTGATTAGTGCTTTTTTTTATAAGAGACCAGGACAAATGGATTCAGAGTAATATTGTAAGAATAATGTTAAAGAAGAAAGTCTCCAGAAACTGAATGAGGACTACCTTCACCAATGAAGTATGGTGGTAAGTGACATCCACGGCTAGGTCATAAGAACGTCATGTGCTTCTGCCTTGTTCTGTTGGGTTGTTGTCTTAGAACCTGGCCACCATGCTGTGAGAAAGCCAGGCAGTCATGTGGAGAAGCCACATGTGGGTGTTCTGGCTGAGCTCTAACTAATTTCCCAAGCAGCAGCCACACATGTGAATGAGTGAGCCTGCAGATGACTCCACCTTTAGGTGTCCTCAAATGACACTTTGTGGAGCAAGATGAGCTGCTCCTCCCAAGCCCTGGCCAAATTGTGAGTTCATGAGCAAACAGAATGGTTATTGTTATTTTAAGCCCCTGTGTTTGGGGGTTTTATTATACAACAATAGATAACTTGAACACCAACCAAAAAGCTTCTCAACTAAAAGGAAGTAAAACATGTTAAGCAGTGGCTCCGGCACAGTGATTTGCTATTGCTGCCTTGGAGCTGAGATATGAGTAATGTGGGGGTGGGGGCAGCAGAGGGTTCAGATTTATAGTCTTCCCCTGTAACATCATAGAAGAGGCAGCCACTGAGCTGTTCTGGTGTTCTGGGCCCATCCCCAGAGCATTTTTCCAAAATGCCCACTGTGGTTTTCTAAGACATTCCCTGGCAATTGCCTAGGGGTTGAAATAATTTTTGGATAAGTTTTCTACACACACACACACGAACACACACACACACACACACACACACACACAGCACAGCAAAGTTATTTATGAGACCAACAGGTCATCTTTTAATGTTTATAACTCAACTTGGAGGGTTCTTTTCCAATGGATTCAGGAGCCACTTAGGTGAGATAAACAAGGAGAGTTGCCCTGCAATATTTTTGAACCAACATGAGCTGCAGCAAATTACAATTCTCAAAGGTGTTGTGGGAGGAGAAAGTCAACGCCTAGTGCTTGGGGACCTAAATTATCTTGTGGCTGATGCCCTATTCTTTGCAGTTCTCAAAGTCCTGCTTCAGTTGTTTCCTGTGAACAGTTGACACCCACTTTCCTGGGGCCACCTCTACCCTTAGAACCTGAGGCAGCCTCCTGGGAGCTGATAAGAAACACTTCTAGGCAGCTCCATCACCCACCCCATTGGGGCTGACTCATCCATAACTTACTCCTCAGGGAAATTGAGAACATCTGTTTAAGGCACACAACACTGGCCACGTGACAGACTGGATGGAATGGGGGGTGAGGTGGATAAAAGGAAACCACTGAACCTTTTAAAAACAAAAACAAAGGGCTTAATATGCAATGACCAAGTATAGTAAATGTATTCCTGCTCACGGAGCAGCTGAGCTGAGCCCACTGAAAACACAGGTGTCCCCTTTATCTCAGACAATAAGCTTCAAAGGAACTTAAAAATGAGGTAGAAGAAACACAAGGACCAGCCCAGTGTGGCTTCTCCTACAAAGCAGGCCAGGATAGAAGAAACCATCGCAAGCCTTTCTGAATGCACACCCAGGATCATCCCTCCATCTGTCCCTGCTTCCCTTCCAGCAAACCCCAGGACAATGCCCTCTCCCTGTCACTACCACTCCCCACATTTGCCCTCACCTGCCCAACTGGGGCAGGCTTCCTCACCTTGCCTCCTTGACTGACAGTAAGGACAAACACAGAATCCCATTTTAATTTAAGAATTTTATAACAAATTCTGTGAGGAAACTGACAAAGGACCTCAAAAATAGGCAACATAGGGAAGTGACAGATGTCCAGAAGTCTTACAGAGTTCACCTTGGGGTGAGTCGGCACCTCAGGCAGGGCAGAGCAGGAAGAGGTTGGCCAGGTCCTTGCTGTGGGCTCACAGAGGAACAAGCACAAAGAAGAAGACCTTCCTCTCACCATCCTCCCTTCCCTCCTTGGTCATGCTGAGCTTTCAGAATGCTTCTTTTAGGCCGAGCGCAGTGGCTCACGCCTGTAATCCCAGCACTTTGGGAGGCCGAGGCAGGCAGATCACCTGAGGTCAGGAGTTCAAGACCAGTCTGACCACCATGGAGAAACCTCATCTCTACTAAAAATACAAAATTAGCCGGGTGTGATGGCACATGCCTGTAATCCCAGCTACTTGGGAGACTGAAGCAGGAGAATCGCTTGAACCCAGTATGCAGAGGTTGTGGTGAGCCAAGATCGGGCCATTGCACTCCAGCCTGGGCAACAAGAGTGAAACTCCATCCCCCAAAAAAAAACAGAATCCTTCTTCTGATGTCCTCATTGTGGTCTTCATCCTCATGAAACACACTACCTTTTCAAAAAAAAAAAAACCTATGTAAAAAGTTATATTTTTAGAGAATGTTCCCCCGGGAAACAATTGCTCCCCTAATCCCTCCCCACCATGAAATGAAAATATGCATATCAGGTTGGCATACTGTGAAAATCCCGAGGACTTAAAGTCTGTAAGTTCCAGACCTCACCAGGCTTGAGAATTTCTCTGCCCTTTTTAAATTTTATTTCCTTCCCTTACAGCCTTCCCTTATGTGTGTTTTTTTTTCTTTCTTGGCTCCAGTCTAGAAAATTATATTTTTCTTCCTAAGATATCAACATGTCTTTTC
Source organism: Homo sapiens (assembly GCF_000001405.40). Lineage (NCBI taxonomy): Eukaryota > Metazoa > Chordata > Mammalia > Primates > Hominidae > Homo > Homo sapiens. The sequence continues at coordinate 57,440,288 of NC_000005.10, read as the reverse complement.
GAGCCTCCATTCTATACTTAACTTTTAGTCCTTCACGCCCCAGTATTCTTCACCCAGAATCCTATCAGCCACCTGCTCCCATTTCCTATATAACAAAGATGGTATTCCCACCACCAGGGATTCCTGGGCTCCCAGCCCATCAGGGGTGCCATTACAGGGAGCCCCCACTCATAACCATGTGATCACAGGAAGGTCTCAGGATTAGCTAAGGACTCTGAATTAGCTAAGAATACTCATGCCCCATAACACTGATGTAAATCTGAAACCTCAGAAATATGGTAAAATCTTTCAAGATTAGCTATGGTTTTAGAGATTTTGTGTCCAATGAGTGGATTTGTCTGCCTGATGTAGAAAAAGGAACGGTAATAGCTAACACTTAATAGCTCTCTATATACCAGGCACTGTTCTAAGCATTTTAGATACACTGACTCATTTCAGGATGATACCAACTCTATGAGGTGTTGCTATCTCGATTTTATAGAGGAGGAAATTGGGGCTCAAAGAGGTCAAGCAATTTGCACATAAATCTCTCAGCAGTAACTGGTAGCACCAGGATTCAAATTTGGGTAGTTTGGCTCCAGAGTTTGGCCTCCTAACCATCATGCCACACTGGCTGCAAGACCTAGGGTAAAAGGGTCTTGGGAAAACTCAACAGATTACCCTTTATGGTAGAAAGAGCAATGATAATAAAGTTAAAAATCAGTGGTAACCCAGAATAGCTGAGTGATGTGGAGCAAAATACTTAACCCTCTTCACTTCAGGTTTTTTATTTATAAAATAGGGAAAACTAAACTAACTCACAGGATAAACGTGAGGATTAAATAAGAGCAAATAAGTATAAGAGAAAGGCATATTAGTTAGGAATTGTATTCCATTGCTTAATAACAGATGCTAGAAATGAGAGATGTTTCAACAAGATAAAAATTTCTTCAGCTCACACATATTTTTAAAATGTCCAGAGGTAGGCAGTCCTAGGCAGCTATAGCTCTACAGTGTCATTAGGGATCCAGATACCTATCTTTCTCTACAATTCTGATTAATAGCGCATGGCTGCACCCTCAAAGTTGCCTTATGATCCAAAATGGCTGCAGCAACTCCAACCATTATGTCTGCTTTCCAGGAGAAATAGGGAGAAGGAGTTAAGGAATAGAAAAAGTCTGGATTAGCTGATGTCCTCCCCTTTACAGCACTTTCCCAGAACCTTACCCAACAACTGTATACATTTTATTAATTAGAACTACATCACATGACCACTTCTAGCAGCAAAGGAAGCTGGGACATATGGCCTCATTACTGAGCATACAGCCATCAGAATGAAATCAGGGTCTGTACTAAATGAAAAGGGGATATGGATATTGGTTAGGCAACAAGCAGTCTCTGGCCATAGAAGGAAACTAAATTTCATTGAGCATCAACTCCCCGCCAGACACTTCACATAGATTTTCTCATTTGACCCTTGTAGCAATCAAGAAAGATTTAAATGTTGTTACTACATTTATACAGAAAGAAATGGGATCGAAGAGAATAAGCAACACCATTCTTCATACAGGGAAACAGATTTAAAACAGATCTAACTTCAAAACTTGAACTCTATCCATAACATCATTCAGCCTCCAAAGTTTCCTCTAAGGAAAAGTATTTTGTAAAAGTTCAAGCATCATGTGCCACGTATACCTTTAAGACTTCTGTTGTATTAATACTTGAAATTATGTCTCAGTTACTTCCCTGGAGAAAGCAACGAACTCGCTTCAATTATTTTGTAAAAATAGAAATAAAACTGCGTATCATTTCAGTTGGTAGAAGAGGAACAGTCACTGAACATATATATATCCTGGTTACTGATGTGTCCACGTTTTGAAAGCATTTCCTGGCCTTCCTCTCCAACAGTCAGGATAAACAGTCAGTAAAGGTCATTCTGCAGAAGGCCGACTGTCACCCTGAGTAATATCTATCCCTCGTGTTTCAACCCCTTTTCCTGCAGCCACAGATTGTTTATATTAAAAAGAGAAGATGATCTTTATGTTTTCTCTCTTCTTGACTCATTTTGAAAGGAGGTATGGCAGAGAACATAGAGGAATTGCATCCAAATCCTATAGCTACATTTGCATCCTGGGTCCATTCCAGAAATCTGAGTGTTAAGAGAGTGAGGAGGTGCAAAGCAAGGAAGGAAACAGAAATGCTTGAACCCCCATAAACAGGCTCTTCAGCATTGTGTTTATTCTCCTTCCTCCAGTTCATTTTCCTGCCCTAAGGAGAAGACAATCCTGATTTGCAAAAACTAGGAATAAATTGTTGTCTTTGCACTTTTTTTCTACAATGTGACCCTCGGTGCATATAGACACACACCTGGATTATAACAGGCCTTGCTTTGCAGGGCCCTTTGAATGGCAGATACAGAGGCTGAGCATTCAGGCACCCAACATATTATGACTTCTACGGCCTTTTCAAGTGACCCAGAATACTTGCTCCCCCCAGCCCCCACCAGCAACATTTCTTTTGGAAGACCAAGTCATTTATGCCACTTCCAAGATACCACAAATTACCTATGAGTATTCTTTCCTGAGAGCTGGTTTTGATTTGATAGAAAAGAGAAAATGGAAACAGCACAATGGGGACAACACAAGGGTGGGAAAAGACAGCCTGGTGGCTTCAAGATGAACTTTCTTACCTTACAAGTTTTTCTAATGGATTAATGTAGCAAAAAAAAATTTATACACTTCACACAGCTTCTCTGAAGGGAAGAGACTTTTGATGGCTTAAGAAAATGGCACAAAAAAGACTGGGGGAGATGAGGTATTTTCAAAGTACAGAATGCATAAGGGTGGTGGGGGGTAAAGGTGGCAGATGAGACATGAGAGAATAGGCATCTGACAATTGAGAAGAAGAAACTTTTGGGAGTCAAGAGGGAGAATCGAAAGGAGGCCTAAGGCTCCCCATCCACCTGCTACACAGCATCTCCTAGACCTGGCACTAAATCACAGCTTTTCCAAAGGGTGAATTTGTACTAGGGGCTACCTGGACTTCTAGCAGTGAGATGAGGGCAAAATTTAACACAAGGAAATACAGGAGGGAGTCATTTCAGGTCGGTAACATAGAGGAAATAGATTGGTTGGACTCGTTCCACCTACATTGGAGGCTCATCAGTGGGGTTTGTGTGTTTTCTACAGCAGGTGAGAGCCAGCCCTGAAAGATGATGGGAAGTCAGAGTGGAAAGACCTAACAATAGTGTTCTACAAATGTATCAAAGCTACAAAGGAACAGTATTCTCAATGTACCTTTGATATATTTCAGTGCTGTCCTAAGACCCAGGTAAGAGGGGTCCTGCCTTAGATACCCAACTGTGCCTATGACCAGTTTATATCAGTCAAGGAGCCTGCACAGCCAAGGTGAATCACATCCCCCTTTGATACCACTCTCTGGGTCCTGAAGACTCTGGAGTTTCTTGCCCAAACATCCCAAGCCTGCTTCCAGGTCTTATGTGGGCTTCCTCCCAGATGTGACCTCTTAAGAATAAACTGCACAGCTGGTGTATGCCACTTAACCCCAAGAGGCAGCTGTTTGGAGGAGGAGTGGATAGAACTGGAATGTGGGCACACAAGGCCCATTCAGGTATTGATTGGAGTTGATTCCAAGAAGGGAAATGAATGGGTCAGGTCGGAGATGCATTCTCCCACACTACACCATTGTAGTACTCCATAGAGATTTTGAGAAGTCACAATTTTAATCAGACTTTCCAGTTTATTACTAAGATATGTTTATAGTTTATTTAACATCTTTCAGCCTGACTTACAAATTTCAATATTTAGACATAGGGTACATAGGCTTCCATTTGAACTCTTTCCCTAGACCTCTCAAATTTGAAGATGGGTCCACTGTGTTTCACTAAAATCTCTCCACTCCACGATGAGGAGATCACTAGACCCAAAGGCAGGATATAGAGGGTTCTGTCTAGGTTCTGTCACTAGCAATCAGTGTGCCTGGCGGTGCCATGTGAACTCCCTCGCTTCAGAGTCCCCTTAAGGCTATTGGGCTAGAAGTTTCAGTAAGTTCCTCAGTGAACAAGGAAATCTAGGGCATAATTCACCAACAGGGAAATGGAGCAAGGAAGGGTTTTTCCAACTTTAAGGTACAACCAGAATGAATGCAGAAATAATTCCAATATCCTGCTTTTGTGCTGTACCTTTTCCATTGAGAGAACTGTTTTGAACCAAGGTCTGAATCATAAGAAGGAAATACTCCCACAGACCTACAGCTATGGAAATTCTTGCACTCCTCGACCCACATGATCACATTTTTCTGTGATTAGTACAAGGTTTCTCAGATAGGTGTTGTTTGCATTATAGAAATGCTTCCAAAATCAATAAGAAGTATTATACCTTATCTCTCTCCAGATGGGAAAAACAATAAAGAATGTTGTAAACCGTGCCTGGGAGGCTGAGAAGTGCATACATTCATGTCAAATACAAAGTGACCACAGCCCAGGACATAGCATTCATCAGACCTCACTGTAGAAGCCAGTTCTTTCAGAGGAACCAGCCCAGAGAAACCACATTACAGAAAGATAAGACTAAGAAATGATTTTGTTTTCCTTGCCACATGTTCTACTCCAAATAGGAAAGAACATCAGAGAGCTAAGATCCCATTAAAATTTATGGGAGTCTATGGTTTCCATGGGAGAACAAGCTTGATTTTATTTGAGTTATACTATAAATCTCTCATCTTTAAGTTGGAAGAAGTGCATAGAACAGAATATGGCAGAGAAGCCACAGCCCAAAGTGTAGACATAAATTATATCAAATGAGGACAAAAGGTAACTACTTGGGTGGCACAACATGTAGGGTGGTGTTATAGTCCGTAGAAATCGAAGACACTTAACTCATTGCAATAGGCATGGTCCAGACTATAATGATGGCATTAGGAATAGAAGGATGAAATGTAATGCGAGAGGGGAAAAGTCAGTGTTGTATTTGGGAAAAGAAAAAGGATGAAAAAATAATTATAAACAATGACCTTGAGTAAGTGGAAGAATGATGCCACCAACAGAAATGAAGAAGTCTGAGAGGGACCAGGAGAAATCCATTTAGACATAAGTTTGAGGTGGCAACTGGGCATCAAAGTGGAGCTGTCGGGTAGACATCTGCAAATTTGAGGCTGAAGCTGAGAAAAGAGAACATAGTTTGAGCTGTGGATTGGGAGTCATTCAAAATTTATGTCAGAGATGAAGCCACAAAAGCAACGATATGCTAAAAGGAAAAAGTTAGTAGAGCCTAAAGAACTATGGGTTAAGAACACTGTTATGGAGTGGAAACAATAAAATGGAGCCAGAAGAAACAAAAAAAAAAGAGAACGAGAGAGAAAAAATGGTACCTGGAGAGCTAGGAAGAAGAAGAGAACCAGATCAGGACAGTTATGGAGAAGAAAATTTCAAGAACAAGAGTGCAGCCAGATTTAGGTTAAGGAGAAAGAAACCTGAGAAAGTATATGGGCATCATTTAGAGGGAAAGTCAGAGCTAATACCAGGATGACACATTGAGAATAAGAGAAGAGAAATTATCAATAGCAAGCATGCACTACTCTTTTGAGAAGTTTGGCACGTCTCAAAAAAAAAGGAATAACAGCAAGGGATAAGCAGCAGGGGTTACATGAGTATGATTTTAAGGAGAAGGGAACACCAACCAAGTACCTAGCATACAGAGGTGGTGGGTCACTGAGGCCATTCTTACTCCAGGAATACCTGAATGAATGGGTTACACCACAGTCACTGGGCAAGTGCCAAATGACCCCCATCGTAGTCCAATCCTGCTTCTCTGCTGTCAGAGCTGATTAGACTTGAGTGTCTGGAATGTGCCTGGATTTTCTCAGAGAAAGGAGCAATAGAAACACAAGACATTGTGATAAGCCACACATGCATATGAAACAAAAGTTGGCCAGAGCGATTCCAAAGGTAAAGGTTGATCTTTATGGGAAATGACTCAAATGTCCCCATGGACCTATTAAAATAGGGATTTCACAGACTTGAGTACAATAGGCTATCAATATGGATTTGAGACACAGGAAATTTAATTGTGACCGCAGCTCTGCCATTTTCTTTGGGTGACTCAGGACAAGCTCCTCAACTTCTGAGTTCTAATTTTCTTAACAGAAAAAATAAATAATACCTCCCTGACCTATCATACAGTGTGTTGGGAGATAAAGATACTTTAGAAATTACAGAGGTCTCCACAAATGGGTATTTTGCTTCTTTTGTGGTACTATTGAAACAAATAAAATTGTATCGTTAATGGTTTCATAAACTTGAAACATATGTTGTAAGCCTTCTGTATCATCAAAAAGTTCCATCAAAGTTGTGTTAAAGTCTACCATCTGAAACCTTTAAGGTGGGTCGGGGGGAAGGATTTACCTAAAAGCAAGCTGATGGGTTGTGAGTCTCTCTACCCTTAAGACTGGTGATGCAAAGTTTTTTTGTAAGTATTTCTCTCAAAGTCTTACTTTCAGGGGCTTCCGTGAAAGTAAAGGAAATCAGAGTTCTTCTTACTGATTAGGGACTTTAAAATGTTTTAGGTTTTGTTTCAAACTATTGGAAAAAGTGATTTTTCATTTCATATTTTTTGTGGCTAGTGAATTGACCATCAGGGGACTAATTCAATTCAGCTGTTGTGTTTTATGCGTTCATTTGAATTTCCCAACTGAATTATAGCTGCTTAATTCAGGTTTTTTCCATTTAAATGTTGGTCTTATAATACATTTCCATACAAAACAATCTGGTCTCTTTATGGGAGCATTTTGGTGGCCAAACATAGAAAAATAAAAAGTTTTTAAGTTCAAAGAATTGGTAGTTTTTGTTTCTACAAAAGAGAAAGAGAAAGATGGAGAAATTAGATAGGGTTCAGGTAGGACTAAATACCTAGATGTGAAGACTAAAAGTATGAACTGATTCTTAAAATTTTAAGTAGAGAATAGTTAAGATTGAAAAGAAATAATGAGTTTTCTTCAAATATAAGGAGGGCCTCATTTCTAATAGAATATCAGTGATATTTCTATTCAGTTAAGGACCAAATATATGTCTCAGTGCTTTGGCAATGTCAAGAACAGAGAAGGTTTTCAATGAATATATGCCAAATGAGAGCATTTTTTAAGTGCCCTAAATTAAACCATAAGGAACTGAAGTTATATATGAAGAATAATTCCCTGAATGGAATGGCAAAGCTACCACAGGGTGGCGTGAATCTCTGGGACATACTACGGTGTCCAGGTACCTCACTGGGCAGTTAAGTATTAGGCTGTATTCTTAACTCCTTAAGAATGGTTTGCTTGCAGTTCTTCCTAAAGATAAAACATTTCTAGACAACCTTCCCAGACCATTCATTTCTGGGATTCCATAAAGAATCTGAAATTGAAGGTGAAGGAGATTAGGGAAAGTGAAGCAATTGAGCCAAAAGGATATTCTTCCCATAGAGAATGCTTTGGTTCATAAACCTACCTTTTTAGGTGAGTTGGGATGCTTTGAACAAATTTTTTTAAAAGTGCCTTCAAAATTCAAAATTCAGTAGCATTGTGAGGCTTGGTATAAGGCCCCATTTGCTTCACTGGACAGAGAAAGGACTGTAAGTCTTCTGTATTTAACCTTCTTCTCTACGATATACCTCAGCTAGCTATCAGATGCACTTATTGAGTCTCTACTATGTGTAAATTACTTGCATATTATTCTCAAAATAACTCTGCAGAATTCATAAATGCAGGTAATTTACTTCAGAATATCTAGGTATTAACTAGCAGAATCTGGATTTATATCCAAATATGCCTGGTTCATGGTTCATGTTAAGCACCTCTTCATTAGTATGGCTATTTCTATATGACAAGAAAATCAAAGAAGATGGTTTGCTATCACTTCTTCCTGCTCCTTCCACATGAAAGGAGAAAACTGTACTTCAAGTGATTCCCTCGGTCTGTGGGTGATTGAGTCAGCCCTCTGTAAGCTGGACTGTGATCTCAATGGCCAGTATTGCAAAGCCCCACACACCACTGACACAAAGAGTTAAGAGGGCCTCCTCCCTCTGGCAACAACAGTCCAGACCAGTCCCAAATAAAGGGTCATCGCCTCCTAATCTGGTCATTTTGCTCCACAAAGTGTTTACTTCTGGCCCCATGGATAGCCAACGTTTCTATTGGAGCCTTCATAGGATGACCTCACAATTGTGTTTGCTAAGTCTGGATGTATTTGCCGCCTGATATTCCACCTTTGTCCATATGCCTGGAGGCTTCAGCAGTAGGAGGAATTTACAAATCTAATAAATAATTATATGCAATATTTACTGAGGCCCATTCCTATTACGTCAGGTCCCATTAAAATCTAGAGGGAAAAAGTGCTGATTCTTTTCCAAGAGCACTACATCACATGCTATAAAGTATTTCCTTATTAGGCAAAACAGACAAATGGATTTCGGCTTTTTAAAGACCCTTTCCCCTGATTCAAATAAAGCCCTCCTGATATAAAAACTCTTCGAAGATCTCTTTACCTCTTGTCGGTTATGAGTGCCTCTCCTGTTGTAGGTTTGAGCCAAGGCTAATAAGGCTGAAATACCAAAGGAAAACCCTTTTTAGTGGAGTACATCATCTTTCCAATTACAATTGGGAAACTCACATTTGAACACTTGCTTTTGAGACTTTTCTGCCTGATTTCACAAGATGAACGTCCATGCTTGTCCCTAGATTGGCTTTTGTTTCCGAAGTGACTTTTATTCCATTCAAAATATACCTGCTGTGCCCCTCCTTTTGTCTGTTTTCATAATGAGAAGTTGCTTAAGAAAATGTGAAAACAAATTATTGTCTAATAATATCTTGTACAGTGCTTTCTGAAGTTTACCGAGCATTTTCACAAACATTACCTTATTTAATTTTTGTATTATCTTTGCAAAAACTCAGTGAGGTAAATAACATTATAATGATTTTCCAGATAAGAAAATTGAGGCTCAAATAATTCTAATTCTGTGCCCAAGATCATACAACACTCTCAAGAGTCAAATCTAGTTAGTGATAGAAACTGCCAATTGTCCCCTCATATGTCCTCTCCCTTTCTTCTTTTAATAACAGAATACTCAACTTTTAGCTGGGCACATGGTCACCCAGGAAAAAAGACTACATTTCCCAGTCCCTATTATGGGTAGGTGTGACTATATCATCGAGTTTTATCCAATAACATTCTAAAGAAAGAAGCATATGCAGCCTCCAGGAAAGGCCTTTGGGAGGTACCATGCCCTTCTTTACCCCTTTTCTTCTTACGACTAGCTAGAATGTGGACTTGATGGCAGGAGCAGGAACAGCCATCTTGGACTACGAGGAACCCATGGAGGTCCTGCCTGGCAGAGCAACAAGGTAGAAGGAGCTTGGGATCTGCTGTGATATAAAGTAACCATACCACCTGGACCACCTACATGCTGGCATTAAAGTGAGAAAGAAATACAAGAGAGAAATTAAAGAGAAAATAGCTACCTTGTTTAAACTGCAATTATTTTAATTTTACTAATGTCAACAATTGAACCTCACTTTAACTGATAGTAAGACTCAACTGATAAATAATTTAAATCCTTCTCTACAAGATGATGGAGATAAATGACTGAAGAGAAGTGATCTGACTAGACTATATGGCTTTTTTGCAAATGACTTAGAGCACCAGCTGATATGGGAAAACCAGGTGACTTCTGAGGGGTTTGACACAACCACTTGACCAATTAATTTATACGGAAACTCATTTTTCTATCTTTGTCCTCTTGGGTGGAAAAGCAACAATATTAACATCCAACCTCTTAAATGTTAACCTTCACCAACTGGCAATCCCAGTGTAAAGAAATCGTGGAGGTGGTCGGGCACCATGGCTCACGCCTGTAAGCCCAGCACTTTGCGGGGGTCAAAGCGAAAAGATTGTTTGAGCCCGGGAGTTGGAGAGCATCCTGGGCAACACAGTGAGACCTCGTTTCTGTAAAAAAATTTAAAAAATAAAAGAAAGAAAACATGGAGGTGAGAGTTTCATCTCTGATGTGATGCCTTGGAGGATGTGCTGTCTTCCAAACACCAAAAGCCTAGTTCTGATACTAAATCATGCATGAAAGACCACAGCTGAACCTCAAGACACTGAGTGGTCCTGCCATGCATCAGTGCAGCCCAGTGAGGGGCTTCCATTGCCTTCTGTCCCTAGTCTGGGCTGGGGGTCGGCCTGCCAAATCCCAGCAGGCACTGATGGAGACAAGGAGAACAAGACCACCTCAACAGGCCAGAACTAGAGAACATGTCCCCAAAAAGCCAAATTCCAAGGCACAGCCTGCTCTGAGACCAGGCCACCGTGCCAAAGAGCTGGAGGGAATTTGGCAAAGAACTGAGAACTCCAGATGGGAAGCATGAGAGGGGAGCAGACACTTCTCCACACTTGTCAAAACCCTCTAAATCACAGGCCATAGCAGCATGCATAACCACCTTCCCACAAAGGCTGAAGCACGCTTCTGAAGGTGGGCACTTAGACAGGGCTATAAGCCCTGATCACGACCCAGCTACCCAAAGCCCCTCTTTGGTCAGGTGGGGAGTCGAGGGCTTAGAGAGGGTGAAGGACTTGTCTATAGTCATGCAGATTGTTAGAGGAAGTGCTGGGACCACCAGGGCTCAGCCCTACGCCCACTCCACCCCTCCCCCTGCCTAGCCCTCCATCTCATACTCCACTCCTCAGCTTCAGAGTGGTAAAGCTTTTGAAGTGATTGCCTAAACTCACTCCTGCGTCACTTCATCCAATACAATTCAAATGAAAAAAAAAAGGTACATGCATGTGTATGTTCATCGCAGCTCTATTCACAATAACAAAGACATGGAATCAACCCAAATGCCAATCAACGATAGACTGGATAAAGAAAATGTGGTACATACACTATGCAGCCATAAGAAGGAATGAGATCATGTCCTTTGCAGGGACATGGATAGAGCTGGAAGCCATTATCCTCAGCAAACTAACACAGGAACAGAAAACCAAACACCACATGTTCTCACTTAGAAATAGGAGCTGAACAATGAGAACACATGGACACAGGGAGGGGAACATCACACACTGGGGCCTTTTGGGGGGTGGGGAGAGGGAGAGCATCAGAATAAATAGCTAATGCATGTAGGGCTTAATACCTTGGTGATGGGTTGACAGGTGCAGCAAACCACCATGGCACATGTTTACCTATGTAACAAACCTGCACGTCCTGCACATGTATCCCTAAACTTAAAATTAAACTAAATTAAATTGTATAAAAAAGAAAAAAGGTGAGTGAGGCTCACATTGCTTTACCTGGAGCGTTCTTCCCTGTGCCTGGCACTCCTCTCTCCATGCAGCCCCTCCTGTCTGGGAGTTTAGTCATGTTCTTTCCCCGGAAGCCATTCTGATTTCTCAGAGTGTGCTAAATGCATCTTCTCTGTGCTCCCACAGATGTTGTGTCTGTCACAATCTCAAATTTGATCCTGTTATATTAAGATGATCTGTTTGCTTAAGTATCTTCCCCATTAAGATTTAAACTCGCCAGGTGCAGTGGCTCACGCCTGTAATCCCAGCACTTTGGCAGGCAAGGCAGGTGGAACACCTAAGGTCAGCAGTTTGAGACCAACCTGACCAACATGGTAAAAGCCCGTCTCTATTAAAAATACTAAATTATCCAGGAGTGATGGTACATGCCTGCAATCCAAGCTACTTGGGAGGCTGAGGCATGAGAATCACTTGAACCTGGGAGGCAGAAGTTGTGGTGAGCCAAGATCGCGCCATCACAGTCCAGCCTGGGCAACAAGAATGAAACTCCATCTCAAAAAAAAGATTTAAACTCTACGAGGGCAAAAACTCTTAGTTATTCATCTCTGACCCCAACAATCTGTTCTATCTACGTCTTTCACTCATATCATCTAATTCAATTCTCATAACATCCTTATTGTCCCAATTCCACAAATGAGAAGACTGAGGCACAAAAAGGCTCCAGACCTTGCCTAAATTACACAACTAAGCTATCCAAGCAGCAGAGATGGGGTTTAAACCCAAGCAGTGGAACTCCTGAGAGTTTGTAATCACTTTGCTGTACCATTTCTTCTCCATCAGATTAAATGTTTCATGCTCATATTTCAATTAAAAGCCCACGGAGACTTTGTGGAGGGACTTCATAAATGGAAAAAAAGAGTTTCTTTGTCATAGCATTTCCAGACCTAAAATGCAAGCCTGCCATAACAGATGTTGTCCATGTCCTGCCCACAACCCTGGGATCATTCACTGTGCTCAAGTGACTCCCCGGTGCCAGTATCTATATTTCCTGCTCCAGTGATTTATTTTCTGCTGCCCCTGTGCAGCAGGCCAAAGTACCAGGGAGTTAGCACCTTCTGGGAGCAGCCCTCAACCGATGGCTCTAGGGCATTGGTGTGTAAATGTCCTGCCTCCCTCATCCCTCAGCTGGGATCATCCTGAGGTGTGGGTTTGCACTGTTCCCCACAGTCACCCCAGGATGAGCTCCAGTTGCCCACTATGGTAGCTGGCTTGGTAGCGCACCTACCTTAGCTGCCTTCCCTCCCTGCATCGTTCTCTACTTCCCTGGTGGTATTTCCATATTTCCCAAATTAGCTGGGGTTTTTTGTTTTTTGTTTTTGGTGATCAATTACCATTTGCTGAGTGTATATGGATGATATGATGTAAACTGAGAAATGTGAGTTATCAGAAACTAAAGGGCTGACGGACAGTTTCAACACCCACTTTACATGTTTTTATGAGGACTAACTAATGAAAATATATCCTGGCTACACAGCCCTTGTGGGGAGTTTGAAGCATGGTTTGGGTCATCTGGACTGTCAATTTTAGCCCTTTAGTGTCAGATAACTGAGATTTCTCAGTTTACATCATGTCGCCTATATACATTCAGTAGATAGTGACTGATCACTGTTCTCACACTGCTAATGAGGACATACCCAAAACTGGGTAATTTATAAAGGAAAGAGGTTTAATTGACTCACAGTTCCACATAGCTGGGGGGGCCTCACAATCATGGCAGAAGGTGAATGAGGAGCAAAGTCACGTCTTACATGGAGGCAGGCAAGAGAGTGTGTGCAAAGGAACTCCCCTTTATAAAACCATCAGATCTTGTGAGATTTATTCACTATCAGGAGAACAGCATGGGAAAGACCTGCCCACCCCCATGATTCAGTTACCTCCCACCAGGTCCCTCCCACAACTTGTGGGAATTATGGAAGCTATAATTCAAGATGAGATTTGGGTGGGGACACAGCCAAACCATATTAATTACCAAGATGTATGGGCTGGGATAGCACAGCACAGGGAGGCATTAGGCAGTCTTATAGTTTCACAGGTACAAGAGCCTTTTTAGATATCTGCAGGTAAAGGGCTAACCATTTTTATTTCTACTTGAGAATTTGACTTTTGGTTAACTTTCTCCCTCTGTCCCCTAACTAACCTTATAAAAATGATGTCAACTCTGTTGTCTGGCACATTACTGATAATAATAATGACTCTTTATTGGTAACTTGCATCTGGACTGGGCAGAACTATAAATGAACCATAAACCCCTGATGGGAGTTGTTATAAGAGGTATTGGCTGTTGTGGGGCAGGAGTCTTCTAAATCAGGGCCACAGAGAATGGCTCCTGAACAATTGTGTGGATAGTGGTAAAGACTGCTGCAAGGACTCCCACAGCAGAGGAGCACCTGACACTGTCCTCTGACATTCTAAAGTTCTTGTCCTATAGTATTTCAAGTAGACTGGGGCCAAGGGGGCCTGTGGTCATGATGTGAGTCTAAATATTTCATTGAACCTAAGAAGAAGGTGCCCTAGTAGGCACCACAGTATCCATGCACAAACTCTTCATCTAATTCACAAAATACTATATCTTATAAAGGCTACATGTGTGTTTTCAACATTTAGGAAAGATAATTAAATAACTGTATACTTTCTCCTGTACTTGTCCCTTCACCACAACACCTATGCTTAAAAAAAAAATTAGTCGTTATTAATGATGAATCATTTTTACCTTATACTGAGGCCCTTCCTGTCTATGCAGTCTACCCTCCCTCCCTCCATCAGCATCTGCTACCTACTAGATATCATCAGTCACACTGCTTTTCACACCATTTGTCCCTCTGGTCCACTTTAAATTCAAACAAAGTTGGCTTTCTTTCTAGCCAGATACTATGATCATTTCTCACACCTTATTTCTAACTCTTCCTTTGTTCTCTCATCAAAATCTAGACTCTTTATGACCATGTTCTTAACTATTTGGTTCTCTTCCCACTCATTTTCTTTTCTGGGGAGAAAAAAATTCAAAATTCATTTACCAACAGACAGCATCAGCAGGTACAACTACAGGGGTTTCTCCACAGATTATACATTCACAAGACATTATTAGCTCAACATTGAGAAAGCCACTGGTGTGTTTTCTGTAACAATATCCACTTCACAGTGTGAATAGGTACTATTGTTGTATTCACTTACAATTCCAGAAGGAAAGGCACAACTTGCCCAAAAAAAGCAGGGGTGGAGGGAATCCTAAAGTGAAGTGCAACAACAAAAAGACAATACTTTGGCCAATAGTCTTGGATCCACATTTCAGTCAGGGCCTTCCACATAGAGGGAAAAACTTTTCTCCCAGAAGTTAGTCTTTCTTTCTTTCTCCTTTCTTGTTAAACCAAGAGCAATGTTTCATTTGCTCAATATTACATGCACAAAAGGAGATTGCAAAAAAAAAGACATCACAAAACCATCTTGAACGTTCAGCGCTTCCCACCAATACATCAACTCTTAGGTTTTAGACAGGGCCTGGGAATATTTTAGTGGTCTTAAACTAGGAAAACAGACCCTATGTCTATGATAACTAAAAAATAAATGAGGTAGATCAATTAAAGCTTTCACACCCAGGACTTGCCTGTTCCAGCTTCATAGCCTTCATGAAATATTCTGCAAGAAAACCAAAAAATCTCCATAATTATTTGGCATAAGTCATAGAAGGAAATTCAACAAAAAAAAATTAATATGTGAACCTGTGATAGGAAAAATGCCCTTCCATGAGTTTCTTCTCAAGAATGAAAACCCAGTTCTTCAATAAAGTAGGCACTGGCAAACTAAATTAAGTCATCTGAGATTCCCCGCTCAGGTGCCCACCTCTTCTGGAGTTCAGGAAGAGGAAGTCATCTAAGAAGTGTGAGGAGGACGTCGACACTCTCGGGGCTCCAATTGAACTGTATTTAAATAAGCAGCAACACACGTATTGATTCCCTAAGGACTAGCATAAGTCCATTTGAAGGCATCCTACTTAAAGTTCTAAGGCTGAAGCAATTTTTCAATTTTACAACCTTAGTTTTTTGTATTTTTTTTATTATTACATTCAAAAAAACAAACAATAAGATGAGGACAGGGTTGGGGCATATAAAACAGGTCCCTAAATAGATGACAGACCTGCATACAGTTACCATAGAAGTATACAGTACCCCTCTCCCCTCAGTTAGGCTATGTATTTGTCTTTTCCACTGTTGTTCAGTAAGTTCCAATGGTTCTACCTTGAAATAGGTAACAGTCTTTGGAAAAAGTCATTCTAGGTTGTACAAAGGCTCTATATATACAGTTTGTCACAAGAAACAAAGCTTCTTTCCAAAATTTAAAAAAATTAGTGTGTATTTGTTTTGGTATTTTTTTTATTTTTCAATTTTTTGCAAAGCAATATAACAACAATTGTGATTGTAGAACTTGCCTGAGGTTGTGATCACAACCATCGTAAACATCATTTGCGTATCAGTAAGAAAAACAAAACAGGAGGGGATGAGTTCTTACAAAAAAAAGCGGATTCTAGAGATTTCACTCCATCTGCATTTCTCCTTTCGTGCAAGTTCTTCTTTAGCTTAGCTGACTGCAATCTTGTTTTCTTCCAGGAAGTGAGGAAACTGGTTTTGGGAATGCTGTCAGTAGCACATGGTTTTTCCACATCTGCACTGATACCTGATTGGGAGCCATCCATCTTGGAGTAGGTGAATCTGCTACTGCAGCATCACGGCATTGGCGAACTTCTTCTGGCAGATGGGGCAAGAATGCTGCGTCTTAATGGACGTGTTGGTTCAGTGAACCCCAAGGTGTGTCTTCAGGTTACCTTTGGTAGAAATGACTTGGCCACAGATCTCACACTGGTATGATCTCTCCCCTTTGTGGATGCAGTAATGCATCTTGAGGGAGCTCTGGCAGCTTAAGACTTGGTCGCAAATGAGACATTCGTTGGGGTCGGTGGTCCCATTCCCTTGGAAGCCACCAGTCCTTTGGGAATTATGTTTGGTCCCACCCCAGGATGTATAGGTCCACCCTCACTTTCTGGAGAAGGCCCAGGCTGCAAGTTGCTTGGCCGGGGGCCACCCTTGATGTCCTTGGGGTTAGTCACCAAAGAAGGATTCTCAGGTAGCTTTACCAAGGGGGTTACAAGGACAGGTTTGCTGTCTAGAGAGAGACTTGATTCATCTACAGGGAGGGGTACAGAGAGTGCATAGGGGATGCCATTGCCTGTGGCCACTTTGTCCTGGAGCTCGGCCAACAGCTGGGGGTTTGCCTTCACCTAGGGATGTCAGCAAAAGTGCACCTTGAGGTCGTTCTTGGTGGTGAAACGATGACCACAGACAGAGCACACGAAGGGTCTCTCTCCAGTGTGGGAGCGGAAGTGGATCTGCTAGGAGCTATCAGTCCCGAAAACCTTGCTACAGCACTTACACTTGTGCTTGTAGAGGACGGCATCATCTTTCGATTTGACATCCACCACGGAGATGTCCGGTGGCTTCCCTTCCCTTCCCTTGGTTGGGTCTAGCGCCACAGTGGAGAAAGGGCTCTGGAAGAGCAGCGAGCCCGGGGCCTGAGGATGTAAAGCACTGGGGAGGCAGAACATGACGTTTGGGAGCAGCCGGGTCCCATCCGGCTTTGGAACAAAGGGCGTCAGCCCTGGGGACAGGGAGCTGGTGGCAGAAGGGATGCCGGCGTGAGGTAGCTTGGCTTGTTTCAAGGCGTCCAGAGACAGACCTTGGCTTCCAGCTTTCTGGCTGAGCAAAACCACAGCTGCAGAAAGCTGCTGGGACATGTGGCTGCCCAAGGTCTTCAGGGTGTCGGCCCCGCCCCGCTGGAGTGCAGGCGCGAGAGGCTAATGTGTTCACCGGGATGCGGATCTGCTTGGTGAGCTGGGTCTGCTGTAGCTGCTTCTGCTGCTACAGACACAGTATCGGCTCGAGGATGCTGTTGGCGCCAGGCACAGGGGCAGGCAGGGCATCTGCGCTCCGCCGATTCACAGCCACCTTGGTGCCCCATAGTGCCTGCAAGGACACGTTAGTGTTGGCCACTTTGCCTTTGGGTAAATATCTTATCTACTCGGGGGTGGGTGACAGGGCCGTCTCTGTCTTTAGATACGGCCAGCTTCTCCTTCATGTCCCCTGAGCTGCTCCCATTCTCCCTGTGGCCATCCTCACTGCTTGGACTGGGTGGCTGGTGGCTCAGTACAGCTTCAGAGATGTCTTCTGAAGGCACTGGACCCTCGCCATCATTCATGATGAAGACGGGTGGATTTTTAGTGCAATTTTTCTTACGTTCCAAGAACTCAGAGATGCTAAAGAACTTTTCTCATAGACTTGAGTTTTCTCATAGACTTGCGTTTTCTCCCACCGAGCACCAAGCTCCCCCGCCGCCGACACCGCGGGGGCCACATCTACAAACTCCGGGGGGGTCGGCTGCTGCGGCTGCTGCTCGCCCTGGTCCTCCTCCGAAATGATGTGCTGGGATTTCGCGTGCTTGGGCCTCGACATGGTGCGAGCAACCAGGCGCCAGGAGAGCCGCAGTTATTTGCTCTCTCTGCCACAAATTCCAGAGTTGGGAAATTTACCCACCTTCCCAGCTCATTTTCATTCTGACTTATGTGGACACTCCCTCTATCCCCAGAAGAATACTTTTCTGTACTGCCAAAAATATACTGTGATTTGAGAATCTTTCTTTAACAAAATTCAAGTGCTTATTAGCTTTCCATCATTGTACAAATCTTCCTGTCTATGGCTACCTTACCGACTCCAAGCTCCCGCCGCAAATCAAAAGTATAAGTATTAGAAAAGTAAACCTATAAATATGACAAAGATGTAAAATGGCCAGTTTTGTCATAGGCCAGTTCTTAACATTGAAAATCCTTCTGCCAGTGTATTTTATTTTCTGCTATTCTCTTACATTTGTTTTTCACGAGGACCCATAAGAATACAGAAGAAGAAAACTTAGATCCAAAGGACTCTCAACCAACAGTGGTGTTGGGACACTATTTAGTTTTTTCTACAGCTGGAAAAGGAGAGCTCATGTGGATTTTCACAGCTTCCTTAAAAATGCAGGACTATGACTCCAAGCTCTCAAAATATCTGGAGGGAGAGCTGTGAGCATACTGGAGAATTCACTGAGAAATCTGGGCTCAAAGGAGAACAAATTATCATTCCCTAAAAAGAATAGGAGTGGGCATCTGGGCACTGGTAGCTTTCTTTCTAAGAAAGAAATTGTTCTGCTTTTTGAGTAAGGCAAGACAGAGCCATAGGTGAAACTCTATACATACCACTAGGAATGAATTAAACATTTATATCAGATATGCTATATAGCGCATCTCTATAAATATATTTATTGATTATCCTAAATCATATTATTTTAAACAGTCAAGGGTTTTAGTTAACAAAGATAAGTTTTTTTTATTCTACATAGAATAAAAGACTAGAATTCCTTCTTAGGTAGTATCCCATTCCCACGTGCCTTACAAGTTGGATCTTGGAAACCATGATGCTCTTACCACTCCTTTGCTGGTGCTGGAGACAATTGCAAGTGCAGCTACTGAAAGGAAAATTTTAACTGTGAAGCATCAAAGTTGCCTGGATCTTCACAGCTCTGAAGCAGAATCTATTGTTGTTTTGTTTTTGCTTTGTTTGTTCTGTTTGACAACATTTAGACAAAGTTTAAGAAGACAAAAAAGTAGACAAAAGACAAAGACTAACAAAGGAAATCCAGAAAGACCATCCAAAACAAAGACTCTCTAGTTCCAAGTCTTTTTTATTTCTATATAAACTCGAGGCATTCAGTCACTAGTCTTTTATACTTGTGTCTTCTTGACTTGAAATAAAATGTGTCATGCTAAGAATCCAATTACTTGACCAGAGACAAAATTTCATTAGTCACCAAAGAGCGATAAAATACTGCTATGTTCAAGGAGGTTCAAACATGTTGTCATCATTGCAAACTCAGCAACAGTCTAGACTATGTAACCTCTTGTTATCAGAAATCAGTCAGGGAAACTCCTGGAAGAAATAAATCCCTCATATGGCTTCAGTCCCACCTCACCTCTCAACACCATCATGCTCTCCACTGCAATCATGAGTTTTATTTCAGTTCTTCAAATACCGCAAGACTTCTCTTATGTCCAGGTCTTTGAATATGCAGTTGCTTCTGGATATAATATTCTTCTACTTATCACTTTATTCATTCCTCTTTCAGATCTCATATCAGTATCACTTCCCTTAGGGAGCCCTGCCTGGGTCCCTCTCACAGCATATCACCTAGCAGAGCACTACTGCATTAATAATTCATCACTTAATGTGTACAGGCCTTGCTAGACTCTGCATTTCATGGAAGAAGGGGCTGTCTCTATTACCACTCTATCCCTGAAACATAATACAATTCCTGAAACTCAGGGTCACTCATAAAGATTTATTGAATAAATAAATTGACAGAACACTTAGATGTGCAACTAAGACATAATATAACATCAAATTAATATAGGACAATTCTATATGGGCTGGTGGGGTCAAGAGTCAGCTAGTGACCACAAGCACAAAAACAGCTAAATTTCCACAAGTCCAAAAGCAAGGAAACTCTTTAGCCCTTGATGTCAAAAACCAAATATCAATTTGGAAAATTGTGCCACTAAATCAACCAAGAAAGTTGTTTAAAATGCAAGAAATGATCAACTATAACTCAATTTAAGGAAACTCCAAGAAGTTGTGTGTGAAGCATTTTGGTTTGTTCTTGGTTCACTTTCTTTCTTTTTTTTTTTGAAACTGAGTCTCACTCTGTCACCCAGGCTGGCTGGAGTGCAGTGGCGTGATCTCGACTCACTGCAACCTCCAACTCCAGGTTCAAGCAATTCTCCTGCCTCAGCCTCCCGAGTAGCTGGGATTACAGGCATGCGCCACCACGCCCAGCTAATTGTTTTGCATTTTTAGTAGAGACGGGTTTCACCATGTTGGCCAGATGGTCTCCATCTCTTGGCCTCATGATCTGCCCACCTCAGCCTCCCAAAGTGCTGGGATTACAGGTGTGAACCTCCACGCCCTACCTCTTGGTTCATTTTCAAAACACCATGTGGGAGTCTTGGCATATTGAAGCAAACATGATAGATTAAAAGTAGAAAAGGTGCATAAATATTAGATCAGAAAATAAAGGCAAGCAAGTCAAGCCTTTGGAAAAGCAATTTTCAGAAGGGCTAGAAGAGGACTCTAAGTGTTCAAAAGTGGCCTAAAAGTGACCTGGAACAGGAATAAAATAAAATAAAGGCAGCTTACTTTATTGATCATTCAGTACATGCTTTGCAAGGTGATAAACATTTTGTAAGCATTGCCTCTTTAGTCCTCAGAACCCCCTTGCAATAAGGTAGGCGCCATTGTACTCTCACTTTATAAGCAAGGTAACTGAGGTTCTAAATGGTTAAGTAATTTTCCTAAGCTTATATAGATAGCTTGAAAACCCATATTCAAATCCATATTTCTTAAACTCATTGCACTGCAAATTACCCAAATCTAAAATTCCTGCATCCCATTTCTTCTAAATCCAAATCAACATCTGCCCACTCAGTGACACTTACAACCAACCTGCATTGCTTTCCCAAGTGTTCTGGTGAAAACACTCAGGAAGAGTCAGTTCTCCAGAGCAGCCACAGAGCATTCCATAAAGAAACACAAAGAAGAGCTCCAAAATTTGGTGAGCCAGCTCTGTGGGCATAGCCTCCTGTTGAGGCTCAGAATGAGAATGCATTAGTAAAATATTTAGTTTTTTTTTAATTCTGCACACATGTCATTGTGTGTGAGTGTGCTTCTATGTGTGCTTGTGTACATATATATGAGCCTAAATGCTCTGGAAGAATTCACACCAAACTCTAACAGTGGTGATTAATGGGAATGGGTATAGAATTAGAAGCAGGAATTAAGAAGAAATGTTTCTTTTTAGGCTTCATACTTCTATCATACTCATGATTTTTACTAGGCAATTAAGGCATATTTTAATTTTCTTAAAAGGCATCTAGCTCATGTTTCTGCTGGATAAGAGAATAATCTTATATTAATTGCAGCTATGACAGGTAGCTCTCTCCTCTTACCCACCTGCCGTGCTGCACAGCCTCCTGATACTTTTCCAGGGGATACTCCCTTCCTTATTGCTGCTGGAGCAATTTCAGCCTATTGTATTTTTTCCTTTCTTCATGTACTAACTTCTTCGATCATAGCCACTAAGACCCCATTTAATTTGGCTGCAATAAACATATTCTTAACTGCTCCCAGAATACTTCAGGGCACTATGATCTCTTTGGCCACAAAAATTTGACTCTAACTAGGGCTCAAAGATATTCTCCCTTCAAATAAGTGGCCCATACCAGTGATAGCAATGGGTTCTATCTAGTCCATTAAATTTCATGTCAACTCACCTGTAGGATTAAACCTGAAATTATCTTTAATTTGTCTGTCTTTCTCGTTTCCTAAATATCCAGATTCTGCTTCCCCACATTATCATTTTATTAAGTACACAATTGACACATGAATATGCTCTTTATGAAAGAGGAAAACCACACAGAAGTATATCAAAAAGTAAGACCCTCCCTTGACTTTTTCTCTAATTGCAAAGTTTGTCACTAAAAATTGTTTGTGTGCATCCTTCCAAATATATTCCAATGTGTTTGTAACATCATTGCATAATATTGTTTTGTGACTTGCTTTTTTCATTCCTCCATTCCAAATATATTTCAGGTCCTTTCAAGTCAGCATATTTGGCTCTGCTTAATTTCTTTTCATGGTTTCATGGTATTTGTGGTGTGACCGTATCCTAATTAATTTAAGCTCTACCGTACTGATGGAAATCTGGAACATTTCCACATTTAAACTCTTACAAACAAGGCTGCAATGAACACCCTAATACATAGCTCTACATACACATTTTTAGTTTTTCTCCAGAATAGTTCTTAAAAACAAAATTCTTATTTATTGTCAATTTTGATAAATATACCAAATTGCCACCTAAAAATGTGCCACTATTGTTTCATTCTCTAGCTTTATGGATATTTTTATATCTGAAGTAAGAAGATAACCCAAGAGTTCCTGCATTCCTTGTGGAGTATTCTTCCTTTTCAAAATTACCTTAGCGCAATTCTCATTCAGTCAACTTTATGATCAGGCTTTCAAGTTCCACTAAATTTTTCTGTAAAGCAAGAAAAGAATGAAGAACTGAAGTTCTTGCTTCCTTGGGCTTGCACTCACTGTGTGTTCCACCCTGTAAGAGAAGCAGCCAGCACCCTGGAACAGCAGACCTCTGACCTGGTGGGCACCACGGTCGGGAGGGCCAGCTTCATCCCCTTTACCTAATGTCACACTCAGGGCAGCCTGGACAAAGGGCTCTCTGGATCCCACCTTGCCTGTGGACTTCAGGTGAGAGTGGCATCAAGGTTCTCAAGGAGTAAGACAGAGTGGGCTATGACGTCAGCCTGTCCCTATCGTCTATGCGAGCCTAGGGAAGTCACAGGCCCCTCCCTCATTGGTTGGTAATATGAGTTTCGCTACTGTAACTGCAGAGGCTTGCTATAAGGACTAGAGATAGTGTCTGAAGGGTCTAGCAGAGTACCTGGAGCAGGTTAAGTGTACAGTGGTTCAAAAAAGACAGGGGGACTTGTTTTCACTCATTTTCCATCAACCCCTTTAGGAACCTAGAATCCAGTGATTTCTCCTCTCCACTCCTCACCCCTCCCTACAACTCCTCTGTGAAAGCAAAGTTCACCCTGACATCAGTCATCACTTGGTGTGAATGTATTAGGGGCAAGGGGCTATGAAATCTGTGTCTCAGGAATGACCCAGGCCAGGGAACCTAAGCTCTCATCATCTTCTCCCAGCCACAGCCTCAGGCCTTGAACCCTTCACTGTCTTAAATTGTTCTCCTGTCAGACTGTTTTCCCCATCTTCCTATCATTCATTCATTCATCCATCGAATGCTTAGAGAGCATTTGCCCCATGCCAGGTACCATGCAAAGCTTGGGGGATGCGGTGGAGACCCAGTGTCCACCCTGCCTTCAGGCGAGGGCAAGCATTCCCCTCTCCATTCTTTTGCACAAGCACATTTATGTGGCTGTGGTCTAGGATCCCTTTTCAACATGTTTCTCTCTGCTGCCTGCCACTGTCCCTAGCCAGGCTTCCCCCACCTCCCCTGCATATCCTGCCTCCTTCACATACAGTTGTCGTGCTGTGAAACTGTTAAAGGGCTTCTGCTAGCAAGCATCAAGGACACAGCCTTAATAATCATGTTCTTTAAATCAAATCAGCATCAAGGACATAGTATTGAAGAGCCTTATGCATTAGAATCTCTTCCCTCGAGAAACTTTGCTGTTTGAAATCATATCAGGACCTGCAAAACCAAAATAAACCAGCTTTAACCTAAGACAGATGGAATGCTGAGTGTGTTAAAGCAGCTCTGTCTTGGTCTAGGAGTCCATCAGTTTCCTTGTCACCACTTCTGTTAATCAGAACCATCTGTGCTTCCCTAGTAACATGTATTAGCTCTGCTCAAGCATAGCTGGGGGAACTGTTCCCAAATGCAGGGCTCACTTGACTGGCAAGTTTAATAAATTAATGTTTGTTTTCCAGAACTCAGGTCTGTTATCTTATCAACAGTGCTTAATCTCAGTGTTTCCATGGAATGGAGTCCCTCAAGTCTTTCATGGTTGGATGACCAAGATGAAATAACTAGACGTGCTACTAAGAGATTTTTCAGGTGAGGGAAGGAGGACCCAGACAAAGAGATGAAAGGAGGTTGGTGAAGAGTCTCCACGCTAGACCTGAACATGATACAATTCTATTTCCAGTAAATGTGACCAACAATCCTGTCAAGCTCCCATCTCCTATGGGATGAGAAGCTCCTGAAATAATATCTTAGACTACCTCATAACTTTTCAGTTACATACTGTCATGAAGATAGATTTATTTCATTATTTAAGACTCAACCCAGTTCATTTTAAAACTGCAGGCTTGGCTAGAGATAGTGTCTGCAGTGGCTCATACCTGTGATCCCAGTACTTTGGGAGGTCGAGGCAGGTGGATCACTTGAGGTCAAGGAGTTCAAGACCAGCCTGGCCAACATGGTGAAACCTGTCTCTACTAAAAATACAAAAAAATAGCTGGGCATGGTGGTGGGCACATGTAATCCCAGCTACTCAGGAGACTGAGGCAGGAGAATCACTTAAACCCGGGAGGTGGAGGCTGCAGTGAGCTGAGATGGCACCACTGCACTCCAGCCTGGGTGACAAAGTGAGACTCCATCTCAAAAAAAAAAAACACTTCAGCCTTGTCTTTGAGTAAAAGCTATGAGGGTGTATAGTGGAGAAAGTGTATAGTGGAGAGTGTATAGTGAAGGAAGTATGTCTTATGAAGGGAGACATGGCATGTCCTTATCCCTCAACTGACTCAAGATCATGGCTTCATGCTCTCCCTCCTGCTTCCATGGTCAGGAAAAAACTAAGGCCTGAATAGTTAAAATCAAGATCCTTGCTCTTTACCTGGTCTAAGTGCTTCTGGAATACATGCATGCTGTGAGAGGAAGGGGAAAGAGAGAGATTTCATGCACATTTCATTTGTGTATGTCCACTTTAAAGGGAACACGGTCTCAAGAAAAACTCAAGATTCACTGTTTGTAGGTGTCAACGAATTAACATTTTCTAGGTAAAAGTAATGCCACTGGCAATCATTTATGGGTATTTGCCAAATGTCTGTTAGGCAAACCTCTAACACATCAGATCCATTCTCTCAGTAAATCTATCTGATTCAACAAAAACTGTGTCCACATACACGGAGTGTGCAATTGTTCATATCATTGTCTGCTTGTGACATTAAAAGCATAAAGCAAACCATGAGTTCAGCCTTATATATTATGTAAATAAGATTGGATTTATTCAGTATGACTGAGGGTACTAAAAATAACATAGCGTTTGTCACTGGAATCTGCAGGCAGGCAGCTCAGAATGTTCACTCACAAGTAAAGGCACAACAATGAGACATGCCACTAGTACCAATCCAAATCAGAAGTGTTCACTCATGAGAAATATTTTCATGATGAAACAAAAGAAAGAGCAGCTAAGAAAATTTGACTTCTGCTTAACAAGCAATCCAAAAAGCCCTGCTCAAAAGATGTTTAATAGTGGAATCTTTTTTATTCTGGTGGGTTATTCAATTCTGAGCTAAAAGTGCACCTTGAATGATGGATTAATAGCTATGAAGGACATGAGTCTAGATTGACATAGAAATGAGTAAGGCAGACAGAATATGAACAGATATACAAACACATATACACACCAGGATGTTGGGAAACGGGCCTGGAAGAGGCCAGAAGACAGGGAAGATAGCACTAGACTGATTTCTTTTGAAGAATTACGGGGAAAAGGAAGCGCTGATGGAGTAAAAAGGAAAAAACCCTGCCATGGAGGCTATATTTGACCTTGGTTCTTGGTTCCCTTCACCAGTAGGTTAAATCAGTGTGGAGCTTTTTAAAAACGTCAGGCTGCTGAGTGATCTCTTGCTTTAAGGCTTCTGTTGCCATGGGAACAGTCATCCTCTATTATCTGAAAGGTGGTTAATAACTGGATATGAGAGTAATCAGATTCTGTCCCAAACCTGAATTAAGCTCACTTCTGTCTGTGATACTGCCACCCTGGGTGTTATTACTGAAAATTCAGAATATGTTGGGAACTAACATCCAGAAAAAGATACTAGGTCTATTCCAAGAATTGATTCAGATTCCTTGGTGTGGGTCTGTGAGATATGACGACAAAATCATGATGCATGTGTTTGAGTGCGAGTGCGTGTTTCAGCAAACAAACCAGAACTTGCATAAAGAGAAGCACTCTGTGTCTTGCAAAGAAAACGAGGGGTATGTGCTTAGTCCAACGCTGCTATCACTGTTGGAAACTTTTCTAGAGCTCTTCTTTTTGATACTATCTTCATAGCCCCTTTAAAAGCCACTCTGGGAAATCCATTTCCTAACCTTGTAGACATGTCTTATGCAGTGAATACATAATTTTATGCCAGTGCCAATGGCCACTGTGATTCCAGAGCAAGAAGGAGTGAAATATTTTTATTTAAACTAGGAGCAGAAGCCACAAACCATCCTTAAAAATTACATCTATGGCCACGTACAGTGGCTCACGCCTGTAATCCCCAGCACTTTGGGAGGCCAACGTGGGCAGATCATAAGGTCAGGAGATCGAGACCATTCTGGCCAACATGGAGAAACCCCGTCTCTACTAAAATACAAAAAATTAGCCAGGTATGGTGGCACGCGCCTGTAGTCCCAGCTCCTCAGGAGCCTGAGGCAGGGGAATCACTGGAACCCAGGTCTCCAGAAGTTGCAGTGAGCCAAGATCGTGCCACTACACTCCAGCCTGATGACAGAGGAAGACTCCATTTCAAAAAAAAAAAAAAAAGATTACATCTACACAGACCTATTGGGATAGCTATTACTCAAAAACTAGAAAATAATGAGTGCTGGGGAGGATGTGGGAAAATTGGAAAGCTTGTGCATTGTTGGTGACAACCCAAATGGTGCAGCCACTGTGGAAAAAGGTGTAGAGTTTCATTAAAAAACTAAACACTGAATCACCATATAATCCAGCAATTCTACTTCTAGATATATATTCAACACATTGAAAGCAGAGACTTAAACAAATATTTGTCCACCAAAGTTCACAGCAGCATTATTCACGATAGCTAAAATGTGGAAACAACCCAAATGACCATTGACAGATGAATGGATAAACAAAATGTGTTATATGTATATATTGGAATATTACTCAGCCTCAAAAAGGAATGGAATTCTAATACAATTCTACAACATGGATAAACCTTGAGGACATTATGCTAAGCCAAACACATAAATTAAGCCCAACAAAAGGACAAATATTGTATGATTCCACTAATATGAGGTACCCGAAATAGTCAAATAATTCATAGAGAGAGAAAGTAGAATGGTGATTGCCAGACACTAGGGTGAGTAGGGAATGGGAATTATTATTTAATTGTTATAGACCTTCAGCTTTGGAAAGTGAAAAGGTTCTGGGGATGGATACTGATGTTGATTGCACAACAATGTGAATGTACTTAATGCCAAGGGATTGCACACTTAAAAATGGGTAAAAGGGTAAACTTCATGTTATGTATATTTTACCACAATAAAAAAATTTCTATAAAGTCAAAGCCAGAAGTATCTTAATTATCTTCAAACCTGCCAATTCTCAGTCAATTTCTCACCTTCACAGCTGATACACACAGAAGTTCTCCAGGACCAACTCAAACATTTGAAAATAAAATAGTTTTCCTGGCACCCTAGGCCAGATCCTGGTTTGCACTAATAGAAGAGAAAAGCAACCTCACAGTAACAAGACTCAGTCCTACGTGGCATTGCCAGATTTAGCAAATAAAAACATACAACACCCACTTAAATTTGAAATTTAGATAAGCAACAAGTAATTTTTTGTATATGTATGTCCTAAATGTTGCATGAGACAGAGTTACACTAAAAATTTTTGTTGTTTTGCTAAAGTTCACATTTAAGTGGGCATCTTGTATTTTATCTGACAACACTAATCCTAAATGAAATTGCTTCTGGCCAACAGCATCATCTCTTACCTTTAAACACTGACTCAAAGTCTGCCGCTGCCTGAGTCAGCTGCACTCGGGCATAAACCACACACACTGTTATCAGACCTTCTAGTGCAGAGAGCAGAAAATAAAGCACAGATCTGGTCACAGCCGTTTTCTCCCATTATGCAATAGTCAATATATGTCCAAAATCTGCCACTTCAGCCCTTGTCCTCAGCCTTGGGGTTAAGTTATATTCCGTCCTACCCATTAGCTCAGCTCTCCATGAGGTCTGGAGCCTAGACTAGCCTGGTGGATTGCATCAATCCTCCCTAATTTCTCATTGAATTTAGAAATATCACACTGAAAAGCTGTTTACCACATCATTTCAAGCTCTCTTATATAAATATGTTCATGATGATTTCCAGTGACAGGAAGGCCATTTTAAAGCTATCACCACCAAGTTTTTCTGTAAATACACCCCCTGCGTTATTAAACAATTAGTATAATTGTCAAGTATATGTCATGAAAAGGTCATTACAGTCTTCATTTTATATCTAAGAAACAGAACAGTCACTGGCTTTCTCAGTCAATAGTTCACTCTAAATCCATCACTTACTTCTCTCCACCTGCCTTTCCAACCCCCTGGGATGCTTCTTTTCTTAAAATCTGGTGCCATAATTGGGCATGTGTGTGTTTCCTGCCTTGATACCACTTGTTTGTTTTCTTGGGTCTGATAATCCCTATTGTTACATCTGTAAAAAGGAAATATTCAAAAACATATGAACGACACTAATATGGAATTGGTCACGAGGATGGTTTGTCCTTCACTGTGTCACTCCTGGGATAGCTCAAGGGACACACATAACCCTTTCTACAGAGCCTATTCCATTCTAGTTCCTCAGAGCAGAAATATGCAACTCAATCCAGCAAGTACCCATAGGGCTCCCATTATGCAGAAGGCACCACTAACTGAAGCCAAGGAGCCAAATTATTAAGACATTGTCACTGCCCACTAGGCACTTATAAACTCAGGATGTTTGCCCTTAAGCTTATGACCACACCTTTTACATTTTCCCCCACTGCTTTCTATTCTTCCACCTACTCCTTTAAATCCAGGCATTTTGCTGGGATCTAAGCTTGGTCTGCCTCTGTTTTGTCCTCCATTCTGTTCCATGGTTCAACTTTTATGTTTATGTTGTGTCTGCCAAATTCTCTTACTCTGTCCTAGGCCCAGATTTTCCAAATTCCCTTTGGACATCTCTATCTGGATATTTGTTCCAAGCTCAACACACTTCAAACCCAACACATATTCTTCCTCCCCAATTCTTGCTTCTGTACTCCTATGTCAATGGTATCACTATATTCCAAAGAGAGGAAACTGAAACTCTTCCTCCTCACCCCTCCACACAAGCAATTACAATACCCAGCCAGCTCCACTCCTGCAATGGCCCTCAGCTCTGCCCCTGCTCCCTCCCACTAGCCATGCCTTGGCTTTTTTCCTCATCCTCGCACATGCGTGCCACAGTTATTGTGGAACTGTCTCCCTAACCTCCAAACTCTCCCTTCTCAAATCCATCTTTCTGGCTGCTACCAGACTTATCCTACAATCACTAGTTAAATCACACTACCCTCCCACTCGAAAACCCTGAGTGTCTCCACATTGCCTGAAAAAAAAAAAAAGTCCTTAGAATAATATTCAGGGCTCTGCCATCTGGCCTCAACCTCATTTCTAACTCTCTCACTTCATTGCCCCAAATTTCCTATATGTAAGCCACATAAAAAATTGCTCATCTGGCTCTTTGATGAAGGTGTCTCCTCCTTGTAAATTGCCCCCTCTCCTGGAAAGAGCCCAGTTGCTTGAATCAACATATCTTAATTCAAATGCACTTGTGTCATATTGGTCAAATTATCTTTACCTGAGTTTCCTTACCTTTAAGATGGGGATGATAATTACATGTACCATGGAGTTTTTGTAAGGTTTAAGAGATAATACATTTAAATGAGCTTAGCACAATGCCTAATGTGCACATTTTAGTTCCTGTCATTGTTATTTTTTTAAATTTACCTGTGTTTATCAACTACTATTCATTCTTTAAGGCCCCAATAAAATGCCACCTCCCCACAGAAACTTCCTCAATTGCCTTAGTCAAAAACCATCATTAGCTCCTCCTTCCACCTCTCATCAATAAGTGTGTCACTCAAGATAGCACGTTTTTCACATGACTTTGCATTCTAATTCATTATTTATAGGTACATCCTCCCAACTCTTCCCCAACCCCTACCCCCACCCCACTCACAAGCTCATGAGTGGCAGCCTCCTGTTAATGTAAGGCCTTTTGGGGATCCAGCGAAACTCTTTCAATTTAGTACCAGAGGATCAAAAGAAAGTCCTCGATTTTCAAACCTAAACCCCTGCTGACAACACTTCTCTCAATTGTACCTGAGGCTACAGAAAACCTTTTCATTTTCTGTTTTTACTCCAGTTGCTATAGTAAATGGCTAGTTCTCCCTCATTTTCCTGCTCTTAGAATTGGTCCTTAATTATAAGCTCTTACCTAACAATTGTTTTCAAAAAAAAATTTAACAATTATTTTTTCATTCACTAGAAATCATAGCTTTCTCTTCAACTTTTGCTTAAAATCTACGAGAACCACTCCATGGTGACAAAAAAAAAAGATTTGAGAAGTTTTGGAATAATATCAATAAACAAAAGATGACCAACTACAAATTATACATTTGGGTGTGTGAGAGCTCCCAAATTTATCATCAAGTACACCTCATCGAAGAAATACAATTTTTCCAAAGAGGTTCATGGTCTAGAGGTAAAATATTTTCTATGTCAAAAACTGCAAATTTTGTTCATTTTTCATTAAGGTATAATGGTCTGCCAAATTAATAAAATTTGGATGGACTTGCTCAAAATTTCACATTCCAATTAGAGAGTAGGCCAAAGCTCATAGAAATTTTACCCAAGCAAAAACTTGTAGTTTCACATCCAGACCCTGCACTTCATGTTCTCGACTTTGCAAAGGAAATCCTAAGGAAGATGAGCACAAATTAAGCCTCCCAGTTTCACCGAGAGGCTTGTTTTCCTTCTCAAGCATTTTCAAATTCAAAATAACCTTAATTTACAGAAAGTTGAAAATCATTCTGTTTATTCTACACATTTGGGGGATGTGTATACAAATATTTACTGGACATAAAACTTCAATGTCTTACTACAAACCATCTGACTTCAGAAAACTGAATACATACAGCAATAATTAACAACAGATGAAAATTTTACATGCTCAGAGTTCCATACCTTGAACTTGGGCATACCCTTCAGGGTAGGTACTCATTAGAGCAACAGGGCTTTTGAGAAGCAGGTTTTCATTACTAAATTCTGTTTCTAGAGCACCACTCAGACACAGAGGAAAATATTATTCTGTGAAATGAAGTGTGGTTAAAAATAGAAAGCGAATTAGTAGCCAAACTTTGAGATTTCCTGAGTTGAACTTTAATCCTGTCCAAGAAGTGGTTATTGTGAAATCTTTCTTTTTAGCTACAACAAATGAATAACTAAATGAAATTCACCAGTAGAAGCACCACAGCATGGAAGTTATGAAGCTCTCCACACTTCCTAGGAAGAGAAGTTTGAGTTTGAGCTTCAACTTTATATGGTGGTGTTTCTCAGATTTCATATTTTAAACCATCTAGGTAATCTATATCTACCAATGATTCACAGAATCACAGAATTCTGGAATGCAACCATTTCATTTTACAGATGAAGAAAAGTAGCAATGTGCCCACAGTAAAATTTCTAATCATTTACAATGTTGGGATAGGAACTCAGACTACCTGACCTTTCCCCAGTATTCCTTTCATTCCAAAACTAGGCATGCCACAGCCCTTCTGCCAAAATCGCAAGACTGTGGGTTGCAGGGCCCTAGAGGACAAGATAATAAAGAAGCCAGAGTATGCGCAGCAAGTTGCCCACACCCCGTTGCTAAGCAGGCCCTGAAATCACCAAGAAAGAGACCACTTCCATCCTACATCCACTCGGAGCATGTGCCCTCAACCCAAATACTCGTGACAGGTGTCTGGAGTGGGAATGGCCAGAGCCCACCATTATGAACCCCAGAGTGGATGTGGGCAGCTACTAGAATTCTTTCTAGGTCCATGCTAGCTGAGAAAACCCCAGCTGCCACCAGATGAAGGAAAGATAGTTGCTGCAGGCTGGAGCTACCAGCTTCTCCCTGGTCAAGATTTCAGCCTTCCTTGTGGAAACGAATCCTCCTCTATTAGTCCACTAGGGCTGCCATAACAAAGTACCACATACTGAGTGACTTAAATAACAGACATTTATTTTCTCATGATTCTGGAGGCCGAGAGTCCAAGATCAAAGAGATGATTTCTTCTGAGGCCTCTGCCCTGGGCTTTTAGGTGGCCATCTTCTCTCTGTGTCTTCAAATGGTGTCCTCTGTACATCTCTGTGTCTTAATTTCCTCTTCTTAAAAGAACACAAACAGTATTGGATTAAGGGCCACCTGAATGACTTTATTTTAATTCAGTTACCTCTTTAAAGACCCCATCTCCAAATATAGTCACATTCATAGGGACCAGGAGTTAGAGCTGCAATATATGAATTGGGGGATAAAATAGTTCAGCCCGTAACACCTCCTGAACATATCCAAGAACCAACCAGAAAAATCCACTGGCTTTCTTCCTTCCTACAGCTCTTGCTTCTACTAACTGCAGCAGATGCAGACTCATGCTGGTGCTGACCACCCAGCCAGGCCTTAAAATTACACCATCTGCCAGACTGGCTTCCCCGGTTTGGGCATACTCCTCTTTCTCTCTCTCTCTCTCTCTCACTCACGCCACTCTCTCGCTCTCTCTCTCTCTCACACACACACACATGCACACACATATACACACAAACATACACACACACATACACAGTATATTTTTGACTCTCTTGCGGGTCTATGTAGATCAGACTCTTCAATTCTGTTAATATAATCATAGAAAATGTCCTAAATTCTGAAAGAACCATAAGAACTTCTAAAAAGCCCTATAGAGATCCACTGGGGAAGAAGCTCTGTCAATCCCATTTAACCCACTGTGGTAGGCAGAATTTTAAAGATGTCCTCCCAAGATTCTCATCTCTGATTATTCAATCGAATATGAATCTAAATACTACTGTGAAGGTGTGTTGCAGACAGAATTAAGGTTACCCATGAGCTGACTTTAAAAAGGGAGATTATTCTGGATGACCTAGGTAGGCATAATTATGATCACATGAGCCCTTAGAAGCAGAAGAGGAAGGCAAAAGAGTCCTTCAGAGAGGTGCTGCAGGATGGAGGAGACCTAAGAAGAGGCTGGAGGGATGCAGAGTGTGAGAGGCACTCCACCCACCATTTCTGGCTTTGAAGATGGAGGAAGGGGCCATGAGCCAAAGAATCCAGGTGGCCTCTAGAAGCTGACAAAGACCCCTGGCTAAGATCCAGCAAGAAAGTGAGGACCTCAGTCCTGCAAACACATGAAACTGAATTTGGCCAACAACCTCAATGAGCTTAGAAGTGAACTCTTCCCTAGAGCCCCCAGAAAGGAACGCAGCCTGGCCTTTTTGTGAGCCCTGAAGCAGAGAAATCAGCCTAGCCAACCTACGGTTCTGACTTACAGAAGTATGAGATGATAAATCTGTGTTGTTTTAAACTCTTCTTAAGTTTGTGATGATTTGTTACAGTAGTGATAAAAACTATTACACTCATCCTGTTATTAAATGTAATTTCCCTCCATTTTTCTCTTTCAGGGGTAAACTTCTTCTTACATCACCTAAGCATTCTGAGTGGTAGGTATTATTATTATTTACCATTAATTAGGGGTCCACATTAAACTAAAAGTTATGCAGATTCTATAAATGACCCCTCAGAATCAGTAGTTTACACCCTCAAACAGGACACTACACATATATCTTCATATATCCACAGTTGTTTCTCTGCCCTGAATTCTGCCAATGACTGCTAGGAGTTGACTGTACCCTTTGGATATCAAAGATTCCTCCAGAGACCTCTGTCCTGTAGATAAATCTTGAATCTGATCCCAGAAAGAACTGCTCTAATCTGCTTCATTGCTATTTGTAATGTTCACTGTTGTGACCTCACATAGTACTTGGAAATAATAATGGCATGATGTTTTTTAAAGCACTGTTTTGAAATAAATGAAGTGAAATTTCAGAAAAAAACCCACACCATCAAGGGGATAAAAATAGCAATAAGAAAAAGGAACAACCCAAGCTCTAGGCAAGAATCTCCTGAGAGAACAATAGAAAAACACAACTCTGTTTTGGCACAAAAGTCCCAGGAGAGATATTGTTCCAACCCACCTCTAGGGCATGGCCACCCCTTCAGCTCTTCCCAACACAGAACCCATATTTGTAACTACAAGCTAGGATTTCTTTGGTCAGCGCAAAGAGGCCTTAAAATCTGTAGCAAACTCCCATGATTCTAACCACAATCTCTCCCAAAAGTTGCCTCCAAGTGTCAGATCCCTGTCACTGGTTGCCTGCTAGACATTTCTTTCCAAGTCTCTCATGAGCACCTCAGACACCACTAGAACATGAAAACTCATTGTCTTCCTCTCCAAAGCACACCATTTCTCAACTTTCTCTTTCTTTTGGGCTACCATTTATTGGACATCTGCCTTGTACCTGGCACTGCACTCATATGTTACATACAACATTCATTTAAACTCACAAAGCTTTTACAAATGTGGAAAGTGTATTTCAGAGAGCTTAAATTGTTTCTTAAGATTAGGGCCAATTTTGCTGGGAATCATCCCTGTCTCCTCTAAAAAGAAGCAGCTTTCTTGCCCTTGTGGGTGCTAAGCTCTGATCTTCTGGTCCTGTACTGCTGGTAGCCATCTTGCCTGCCACGTGCAGAAGAAATGAAACACTGAGAGAAATGAGTTAAAATATGAGGGAAGGTGAAATGATGGAGAATAGAGTGTGGAAGACGGAACACAATCGGTCAACATCCTTTGAGTGTTTGGATCAAGTACCTGTGGCCACTTCTGTTCTGTATTTTCTAGTTTTGGAGCAAGCAAATTCCCTTTTTGTGCTCAGCCCTCATTGAGTTAGGCTTTGTCACTTGCAACCCAAAGTTTTGACTAGTATGTCCCTCTGTTCAAGAAAATCACTGCTACCTTTTATTCTCTTTTTCTTTTCATTTTGGTGTTTATGAAACTATGATTAATGAAGTAATGCAGCTACACTGTGGTTTTTAATTAGAATTAATTAGAATTGTGGTTCATAATTAGAATATATCTAACATATTAAATCACTTGCATGGTGTTTCCAGGGGTTTTATAAGTTCCTTGGTTTGGTTGTTTGTCTTTTGGTTGTTTTTTGTGTGTGTTAAGTTACCCAAAATTTTATTGGCTACTAAAAAGTATCAATTTATCTGACAGAACAAATAATATAGTTCATTTAAAAAATTAAAATTCCCATTGGGATTTACTCCAATCTGTGATATAACTGAAGTTTTTCACAAGATGGTATTTTTCCTCAACAATTTTAGTTCTGTAACGAAGTCACATTTCAATATTTAAATTAGATCTAGAGATTTTTAACAAATATTGAATAATATTTTTAATTGTTTACTATTTTTCAAGCTATTATTTTTAAATAGAAAAAAATTCTTTTTTGAAAAAAAGAATAACGGTCACTAGATACAGGAGTAGATGAGCCCACATCTAAGGTAATGTCAAGTGAGTAGTCAGGATTTGTTTTTGAAAAAACTTAAAATACATTTTATAAGTGAGGTATAGTTTTCTAGTTTATGAAAACATAAAATTCCATTTAGTTAGAAATAGTCCTCCCAAGTGAAAATCAGTATAACCTTTTTCAAGGTCACTTTGGCAGCACCTACAAACAGGTCACATGCCTTCCCTCAGCAATTCTTCTCTAGGAATCTGCCCCTAGGATACCAGAACAGTTACAGCAGCACTGCACACAAGAGAAAAAACTGACCACGTATAAATATCTTCATAAGATTAAAGATATTTATATGCACAACAAAATACTATACAGCTATTAAAAGGAGGTATTAATTGGAAAGATATACACTATGTATTAGTTTAACAAGAGCAAATTACAGAGCCATGTATACAGCATTAGACTATAAAACATACGAATATTACAAAGCGACTTTAACACCTTTTGACCTTGACCCTTGTCATCCACTCTGGCATTGTGCAGTCCCTCCTGATCTTTTCAAAGACCATTTATTCATCTTCTCTCCTCCCCACCTCCCCTGCCCCATCCCTTATGAAACTCTCCAGTGTCTCTTCCCACTGCTCTAAATATGTAGACCCAAGTCCAACTCATGGTCACCATGGATCCTCTCCTGTTCCTGGATTTCACACAATCCTCCTTCACCACCTCACCTTTGTGCATGTATTTCCGTCTGCCCTCCTCCTCACACCCTAGACCTCTGTCCCTGCCTCTTTCCCTTATCAATTTCTACACATCTCTGTTGGATAGTTCCTATTTCCTCCCCAGATCTGCTCGCCACCCTTCCCCATTCTACTCTCTGCCCCAAGAAGCAAACCTGGTGGGGCCTGTCTCCCTTGCCCACTGGCTTCCCATTAGGTTCAGCCAATAGGAAGCCCAGCAGGAGCTAGCGGGGGACAGAGGTATTTATTTCCTCAGCTCCTTTCCCTGCTAGGCCACTTCAGGATTTCTGGTCCTTCAACCAAAGATTCCAGCTCCTCTCCATATGGCTCTCTCCTTCTGGGTTCTGAAGTGGCTCCCTCATCCTTTCAGCCCAAGGAATGTGATGATCCCAGTGTTACTATCTTTAGGTGCTTCACTATCCCACATGACTCTCCTCCTCCCACCTCATCTCTGTAAAGGGTGCCTGAATTAAACTCTCTTCAAATATTATCATCTGTGTGAGCTAGGACAGGGGCATCATCTCAGCTTAACTGTCACTTGTTTGGTGATGGGATCCACAGACTAGGTTGCCCTGTATAACATGGCACCCTGACTATGGATTTATAGCACCCATCAGAGTTTGCAATTATATTGATTTCTGTAATTAATTTTTTCTCTCTCTCTCTTACTCTCGCTGTCGTTCTCTTTCTCTTTTCTCCACCACTAGACTGTAAACTCCTTGAGGGCAAAAACAATGTCTTTTTATTCTCCCTTGTAGCTACAGTAATTAGCTCAGTGTTTCCCACATTGTAATGAATAGTATTTGCTATTGGTCCTAGAATTAAATTCCGTATTGCTCTATTATTGCATATATCCTTGTAGTGTCCTTTTCCCTCAGAAAGAATCAAAGCACTGATTGTCATCTGCTTCATTGTCCTGCATGCAGACATGATTAACAAATGCTTGTCGCACTAAATTGAAGGCCTACAGGAAGCCATGTATGCATTTAACCGGATGGTCTTTGACAATATTCACTTTGGCTCTGATTTTGGAAAAATATCAAAGATCAAATACATTCTAAAAATAGTGAACAAACTGTTTGGGGGGGAAATACACTACTCTCAGAGTTACATTTATTTTCTTTTATGATATGAAATTCTTTTTATCTTTTGTCAAAACATATGGACTAAATTAAATTGAAAAGATTATATTCCCTTACTATGCAGTTTCATAATGTCTTTCTTCAAAATTGAAAACTCTCAGTTGTTTTAAATGTTATTTTGCTAAGGATTTCTTCCCCTAAACTGACTAAAGAAAATGGAAGTGAAATAACGTGGATGTAATTATACCCTGAAAGAAATTGTAGCAACTGATGTGGAAAGATGAAAATGCCAAAGACAAGGACTTGCAATGAATGACAGGTGGAAGTTTTGAAAGCGTATGATCTTTTTACTGTTCTGCTCTCTAGTGTAATGCCTTAAAAGAGCATAGCAAAGCAGATCATTATAAAGGCAAGTAGTATAAGGTAGATCATTTCAAAGGGCATCTTTGCAAAGCAGCTTACATGTTCCCACTAGAACCATATTATAATTTAAGATTGAGTCCTCTACTGTAAGACTCTACTGTAAGGTACACACATAGTGGAAATAGTCACATAAGTGATTCCAATGGATGAGTATACAGATTAGAAAAAAATAGTAAAACTGGTAGAATCATTAATTTGGCCCAAACAAATATATAGCTGAAATAATAAATAGTAATGAAACATTTATTTACCATCATTTTGTTTATCTTTCCCCTTAGAATTTAGAAGAGCTCATGCATGATTTGTATAGTTCATGTATCCAAAAAACAAATTAAAACTTTCCAAGAGATGTAAATACAAATGCCTGTTTCTTATTTGTATGTTTGCAGGCAGAGATTAAAATTTTATCCATTGACATTTCAACTCTATTCAAAGCAGCAACCATTCTTTTCATGATAACCATTGCAAAATCTAAATATTTGCAGTCACATTAAGAACCTTAGTTGCGGGCCAGGTGTGGTGGCTCATGCCTGTAATCCCAACACTTTGGGAGGCCAAGGCAGGTGGATCGCTCAAGTCCAGGA
Organism: Homo sapiens; assembly: GCF_000001405.40. Taxonomy (NCBI): domain Eukaryota; kingdom Metazoa; phylum Chordata; class Mammalia; order Primates; family Hominidae; genus Homo; species Homo sapiens. The sequence goes on along the minus strand of NC_000005.10, from coordinate 57,401,848 downwards.
GTTCAAGACCATACTGGGTAACACGGCAAGACCCCTTCTATTCAAAAAATACAAAAAAAAAAAAAAAAAAGGAGTCAGACGTGGTGGCACATGCTTGTGGTCCCAGCTACTTGGGAGGCTGAGGTGGGAGGAACACTTGAGCCCAGGAGGCAGAGGTTGCAGTGGGCCAAGATCACACTACTGCACTTCAGCCTGGACAACACAGTAAGACCCTGTCAAAAAAAAAAAAAACCTTAATTGTTACTACCCAAGGGAATCTACAGATTCAATACAATCCCTATTAAAATATCAATGACATTCTTCACAGAAATTTTTGTAAAAGTTTTAACTTGTATGGAACCAACAAAAGACCCCAAATATCCAAAGCAATCCTAAGCAAAAGAACAAAGCTGGAAGCATCACACTACTTGACTCCAAAATATACTACAAAGCTGGAGTAACAAAAACAGCATGGTACTGGCATAGAAACAGAACATAGACCAATGAAACAGAGTGGAGAACCCAGAAATTAATCACATATTTACAGCCAAGTGACTTTTCTAAAGGTGCTAAGAACACTTATTGGGGAGTGGACAGTCTCTTCAATAGATAATGCTATAGATAATGCTAGAAAAACTGAATATCCATATGCAGAAGAATGAAACTAGACCCACACCTCTCACTCTGTATAAAAATCAAATCAAAGTCAAACAAAGACATAAGTGTAAGACCTGAAACTTTAAAACCACTAGAAGGGCCGGGAGCAGTGGCTCACGCCTGTAATCCCAGCACTTTAGGAGGCCGAGGTGGGTGGATCATTTGAGGTCAGGAGTTTGAGACCAGCCTGACCAACACGGTGAAACCTCATCTCTACTAAAACTGCAAAAATTAGCAGGGCGTGGTGGTGCATGCCTGTAATCCCAGCTACTTGGGAGGCTGAGGCAGGAGAATCGCTTGAACTCAGGAGGCAGAGGTTTCAGTGATCCAAGATCATACCAATGCACTCCAGCCTGGGCAACAAAAGTGAAACTCCGTATTAAAAAAATAAAAAAATAAAAACTACTAGAAGGAAACATAGGGGAAACACTTTAGGACATTGGTGTGAAAAAAGATTTAAAGTCTAAGACCTCAAAGGCACAGGCAACAAAAGCAAAAATAAACAAAAGGAAGTATATCAAACTAAAAAGCTTCTGCATAACAAAAAAAGAAACAATCAACAGAATAAAATGCAACCTACAGGATGGAAGAAAGCATTTGCAAACTATTCACCTAACAGGGGATCCCTATCCAGAATATACAAGGAACTCAACCATCTCAACAGCAAAAATAAACAATCCAGTTAAAATATGGGCAAATGATCTGGACAGACATTTCTCAAATATATAACAATGGTCAAAAATATATGGAAAAATGCTCAGTATCACCAATTATCAGAGATAAATGAAAATCAAAACTATAATGAGGTACCATCCCACCCCAGTTACAATGGCTGTTATCAAAAAGAGAAAAAATAAATGCTGGTGAGGACGCAGAGAAGAGGGAACTCATACACTGTTGGTGGGAGTGTAAACTAGTAAAGCCAGTATGGAGGTTCCTCAAAAAAATAAAAATAAAAATAGGACTACCACATGATCCAGCAATCCCATTACTGGGCATTTATCCAAAGGAAAGAAGATCAGTGTATCAAAGAGACATCTGAGCCTATATTTATTGCAGCACTATAGCCAAAATATGTAATCAACCTATGCATATAACAACAGATGAATAGATTTTAAAATGTGGTGTATATATACAATGGAATACTATTCAGTCATGAAAAATAATGAAATCCTGTCATTCACAGCAACATGGATGGAACTGGGGGACATTATATTAAGTGAAATCATCCAGGAACAGAAAGTTGAACATCACATGTTCTCACCTGTATGTGGGAGCTAAAAAAAAAAATTATCTCAAAGAAGTGAAAAGTAGAACAGAGAATCCTAGAGGTTAGGAAGGGTAGGGGGAAGGGAAGGATGAGAAGAGATTTGTTAAAGGACACAAAATAATAGCTAGATAACAGGAATAGATTCTAGTGTTCTATACCACAGTTGAATGACTACAGTTAACAATAAAATACTATATAGTTTCAAATAGCTAGAAGGAGGATATTGAGCATTCCCAAAACAAAGAAATGATAAATGTTGGAGATGATGGATATGCTAATTACTCTGATCTGATCACTATACATTACATGTATCAAAAAATCACTATGTACCCCATGAATATGTACAATTATTATATGTCCATTAAAAAAATAAAAGAAAGGAACTTTAGTTGTATGAGTAGATTCATGGAACTTGTATTCATTTATTCTTTTACTTCCATAATATGGTAGAATCTCAGATGTAAGAGGAAAAGGAGCAAGACGGTTAACTGCCAAAAAGACCTGTAAGTGGAAGTAAGAGAAAAGATTTGGGAGTCAGTTCCATGTCAAATGATGCACTCCAGTTTCTTCTGCTTCATCTGATTTGGATCACAAAGCTGACAAAGGGCAGGCCTGAGGTGGAGAAGCTAGCTCATCTGTGCCCTGGTCATAAATCCTTTGTGTTCTTAGAGGTTTCATCACCATCCATGTTTGGCAGCATTTCTCTCATCAGAAAAAAAATGAAATGTCAACGGAGGATATAGATGGATGCGTATTTTTTTTAAAAATGTCATCGTAGTAGAGGTTATGTCCTAGATTTTCTACTACTATAAGTTCTCGGAAAACTTGACATTTCTGTGAATTAACACCAAAAAAGCACGTTCTCTTCAGCATCAATTTCCCAGAAAATGCACCTGATTAGGGCTCAGGGTGGAACTTCAGAAACGGAGTTGGAAATTCGTGCCTTCAAACACGCTTGCTAATTTAGGTCTTCTCCCACAGTCACAAGACGGCTGGGGTGACAAGACCCATCCCTCAGAGGATTCCATGTAACCTTCACTCTGAGGCCTGGAGGTCTCTGTCTCACATCACCAACTGCTTTTTAATTTCCTCCACATTATAAACTAAATGCCAAGTCGTGACAATACATTTCCTAATGGGAAAATAGAGACTTCACAGGCGCTAGAAAAGAACGAAGGACATGAGCTGTCTTTAAAAAGAGCAAATTGACTAATGGCTTAATAAATAGGCTTTCTCTACTGAGTGAAGCAAAAATAAGTTGAATGACAATGCCACGTTAAAAAGAGATTATAATGGAACTAACCCTCGACCCATAACTATAGCAGGTTAGATCAGGAGATGGCTGTCATGAGCAGGAGTCTGCAGGAATTAATGACTCTTAAATGACTTCTGGCTTGGCATTTTCATAGTATGCTCAAAACCATCTGCATTGTAAACCAGGACTTGTGTCCCTGAGCAAGACATTCAATCTCTCTGAGCCTCCATTCCTTACTTGTAAAATAAAATGGACTTCTGTGCACAAAAGAACAATTTGAGGAGCCGGGCACAATGGCTCACACCTGTAATCCCAGCACTTTGGGAGGCTGAGGCAGGCAGATCATTTGAGCCCAGGAGCTCGAGACCAGCATAGGCAACAAAGCGAGACCCTTTTTCTACAAAAAAATCAACAAGTTAGCAAGGAGTGGTGGCATGCGCCTGCGGTCTGAGCTACACAGGAGGCTGAGATAGGAGAACCGCTTGAGCCCAGGAGGTCGAGGTTGCAGTGAGCCATAATCGCATAACTGCACTCCAGCCTGGGTGATGGAGTGAGACCTTGTTTCAAATAATAATAATAATAATAACTTCGGGAGTTTGTTTAAAATGTAAGCTATCAGGTCTCATTCCCAGAGATTTTGATCAGTAGGTCTTGAGCAGGAATCTTATTTTCTAGATATACTTTCCAAATTTCATTCCACAACATAAGATGTGCATGAGGTTTTGTTTGTTTTTTTAAAACTTTTTCATTTTTATGGGTACATCGTAGGTCTATGTATTTATGGGGTCCATGGAGAGGTTTTGTTTTTAATTTTTAAAATTCTACCTCTATAATTCTTCCTTAATTTTTAAATATTATGGAATGTAGTATAAACATTTTCTGTTGACAAAGTATGCAAAAGTTAGCTGTAGATTTGGGCAACATACATAAAAAGAGAAAAAATACAAATGCCTTTTAACTTAATATGGAAGTAGTCCCTGCTTATCTGCAGGGGAAACACCTCAAGACCCCCAGTGGATTCCTGAAACCACAGGCAGTACTAAACCTTATATAGACTATGTTTCTTCATATATATACATACCCATGATAAAGTCTAATTTATAAATTAGACACAGTAAGAAATAACTAATAATAAAATAAAACAATTATAACAATATACTATAATAAAAGTTATGTGAATGTCATCTCTCTTTCTCTCTCTCTTTCTCTCTCTCAAAATATCTTATGTGCTATACTCACCTACTGTCAGACTGCAGTTGACTGAGGACAATTAACACTTCAAAATGAAAACCTCCAATAAGGGGAGACTATTATAATTTTAAGTCAAATATTCCAAGAAAATAATCCCAAGAGCACACAGAAGTTTTGTACAAAGATGCTCATGAGCAAGTCATTTTAGTGGTTAAAATAAAATAAAATAAAACTCTGAACTTCTGAAACTTGACCTCTGATCAAACTGCCAGGCTAGACCTTCCCCAACGCAAACTCCAAATGAAGCACATCTGCCTCATTATGTGGTATTGTAGGTAGAAAACTATTGAAAAAAATAAATAAATAAGCACCCTCAAAGTGACAAAAACAGAGCAACGGTTAAGTAAGTGATGGTACATTCATAAAATACAATATTATAAAGTAGTTAAAATTGTCAGTATGGATACATTGCAATAGTATATTATTCATATATAAGTTCCATTAAAGCTAAGTTACATGAAAAAAATAGTGCAAACATTATATACACACACACATACACATTGCCACACCCACACATCCTCCCTACCCACTATAAACCTACAGAACAGCACGGGAGAACAAAGCCACAGGCTGCCCACAGAGTGATCCTTTCTTTTCTTTTTTGCCATACTTGATCTGAAACAAATAAAGTTATTTTTCCAAAGAAGTGGTGCAGTGAAAGGGTCCACCCACCTGTTTTAATAGGTTTCTAATTATTTAAGTGTGATAAGGCCAAGAAACGACATCACTGAAAAGATAGAGGTCACACAAGAAACCAGGACCCCCTCAGGAGGCAGAGGGAGGGGGATCTGTGGATGAACGCCTTTTTTGTGGCTTACAGGGAAGGAATTTGCGAGGCAGGGTCAAAAGGCATAGGATGGACTAATTGGAATAATTTCAGTGGGCTCTGGGGCACAGGGGCTGTCCCTGCTTGTGTGATACTGGTCCTGGGGTGATCGGTGTGGGTGGACAGTAGCCAGCGGAGGTAGTCGAAGCGTGGGCCAGTCGCCTGTCTAGGCAGGGAAACTGGCCTCTAGACAGGGCCTCAAAACTGGGTCAAGACAGCATTTAGAAAACAATATTATAACACCTGAAAGAGGTTGCAAAATAAAAGTCATTACTTGAAATTCTCTAACACTATGGGTTGGGGAGGGGCGCACCCAGAGACTACAGCTGTGATACTATTTTATATATATGTTTTCATCCAAGGTTTCTGGCTCGTAACTCCCATAGCGCTTGTGACAGTGTTTTGTTGTAATGTTGGAGCACTTTAGATCCCAGAAGCAGGCCTGAGAAAATACAATCTCTCTCTGACCGTCTCCTGCCCTCCTTTCACCTGCTCCCTTTTTTTCCCAAGGCAGGCCTTAGGAACTAAAAATATACTCTAATTGTTCCCTACCTTTCTGTCTTGCACTGGCCAAAAAGAAATTCCCTGACCTACCTTGTCTGATTGCAGGTCATAAGACCCCATTTCAGAAGAGGTCCTGCCCCATTCCCAGGAGGAAGGAATGCTGCACAGAGAGGCCAAAAAGAATCTGAACAGACAGGCCTTGCTGGGTTTAGAGCATACTCTTCTTATCCAATCACATTTTGACACAGTTGTCTCTGCTTCAATTATGGACAATCAATGCAGCCTCCAAAAGAGGCCCAAAGGACAGGGTTCGAGGGCTTCCGGGGCGCTGAACACATGGAGGCTGGCAGGAAGGCGAAGAACTCACCCACCTGCTAGAGCAGGGGCACGTATCCCAACTCCACAAGGACAGCAGCTCCTGCACTCAGGACCATTCCAGACCTCACCCTATGCATGTTTTCATGTGGCTATTTATTTGCATCCTTTCAGATATCCGTCATAATAAACTGGTAAGCATAAGTGTTTCCCTGACTTCTGTAAGTCACTCCAGCAAATTAATTAAACTCAAAGAGGAGGTCATGGAAACCCCAACTTGAAGCCAGTCAGTCAGAAGTTCAGAAGGCCTGGACTTACGACTGGTAAGAAGGAAAGAGTGGTCTTGTGGGACTGAGCCCTCAACCTGTGGGATCTGATGGTATCTCCCAGTAGACAGTGTCAGATTTGAATTGGAGGACGCCCAGCTGGTGCCTGCTGCAGAAGCGATTGCTTGCTTGGTGTATAAGGGAACCCCCACCACCACATTTGGTCACAGAAGTCTTCTGTGTTAATTGTTGGGGTGTGAGAGAAAAGGAAAAACAGAGTTTACTCACACTCAACAGCAATACTTAAAATCTTTCCATTTATTTTCTTACCCACTTCTCTCACCTACCGGATCGGCTGTTCTCAAAATAACCTGAGAAACATCTCCAAACCTCTGGTTAGTTTCTTCTCCCCAGTTGCTTCCTTCATTTGTCCCCAGAAAGGCTGAGAACAAGTCTGGGAGAGTAAGATCCTCCTGACGGGGGCAAATGAGGGAAGAGACTGACCCTTGAAAGCTAAATAAACTCTGCCAATTGTACCAATGCCAATGTCTGGGTTTTGATAATGTTCTATAGTCACGCAAAATGTTACCATTAGAGGAAACTGGGTGAAGGATACACAGGACTTCCCCATATATTTTTGGTAATTTTCTGTGAAACTATAATTATTTCAAAATAAAAATGTAAAACTGAGACATAATAATAATAAATGAAATTTAAAGATAAAAGTTTTTTAAAATCTTAACCTATCCCAGACCTTTTTTTTTTTTTTTCATCAACTCAGCCGTTTAAGGAAGATAAGTAACAAAAAGTGTATTCAATACTCCAGGGGTCTTTCAGAAGGTGTTGAAGTCATTCTCCTGGAAGATATGAAAACTGAATGTGTTCTCTTGTGTGTGGGGTATGACTGAGGTATTATGATCCTGGCTAGGCAGACAGGAGGACTAATTCATCCCTCAGGGTGTCCTTTCTCCATACAATGTTCCTCTCAAGGGAAACTAAACAAATCTTTACTGAGAACAGAAGGAACTTGGAGGGTTATTGCCAGTCTAAAGGGGCTTTCCTTTCCCCACCTCAATCCATCCATATACATGCTGAGTACTTAACAAATTGAGAAATAAGATTAAAAAATACACTGGGGCAATTAAAATGTAAACTTATCACTGCTAAGGCCGATATTGGAAGATGTTGCTTATATTGCAATCCTGGGGCCTCGTAATACTGATCCTCTGCAGGCCTCCCCACATAGACTGCATGCTCTCTGGGGTGAGTTCACACCCAAGAGAAAAAAAGAAGGGAAAAGGCTGATATACAAGTGTCCAGTTTATCCTTCCCAGGTCAACAAGCAGATTTAAGTCATTCTTCCTCCCCTGAGTGAGTGAGTGAGTGGCCAGGTGTGTTACAGTGGAATGCCAATCACATGACAGCAATCAGAGTGAAGGAAACTCCCCCATCACTACTGTATCCATTTCCTAGGGCTGCCATAACAAATTACCACAAACTGGGTGGCTTAAAGAACAGGAAGTTACTCTCTTACAGGTCTAGAAACTGGAAGTCCAAAATCAAGGTATCAGCAGAGCCATGCTCCCTCCGGAAATTCTAGGGTAGGATTCTTTCTTGCCTTTTCCTAGCTTCTGGAGACTCCTGGCAATCATTGGTGTTCCTTGGCTTGTAGCTGCATCACTCCAGTCTCTGCCTCCACTATCACACGGACTTCTTCCTTCTGTGTGTGTCTGTGTGATCACTTGGCCTTCTTATAAGGGCACCAGTCATTGGATTAGGGCGCACCTTAATCCAGTACAAATTCATCTTAACCAATTACATCTGCAAAGATCTTATTTCCAAATATGGCCACATACTGTGATTCTCAGTGGCCATGAATTCTAAGGAAACACTATTCAAGCAGTCACCGGCCACCAGAAAGAACAAGTAGGTTTATTATCCTTTAGAAACATGTTTTTTTCTAAAGGGTATAGCAAACAAAAGTCTACCGTCATAAATCTTTTCTCTCTTGAAGCATCTTTATATGGGAACTCTGATTTAAAAGAACATGACCAAGGTATTTACACTATCCATGAAGCAGTATTGTGTTCTTTGAAAGTGGGCTTGGATTCATTGTAAATGTATATTTCAAACTCTACGGCAAATACTGAAAAAAGTATAAAGATAAAAGAAAAGAAGCAGAATAACCAAAATGCTCAGAAATGGGGAAACATGAAATCATATAAGATGCTCAAGTAAAACCACAAAAGGCAGGAAAAGAGTGAAAGACAAAACTAGGAACAAAGAAAAGGACAACAAATAGAAAACAGAAACAAATATGGGAGATTTTAACCCAACTAGATCTATAATCACTTTAAATATCAATAGTCTAAATTCACCAATTAAAAGACAGAGATTGTCAATATGGATCAAAAAAGAAGATCAACCCATATGTTATTTATAAGAAATTCCTTTAAATGTAAATATGCATATAGATTAAAAGTAAAGGGATACATTGATGTTCTTGTACAGAATGACTATTGTAAAAAAAAAGAACAAGAAAAAGTAAAGGGATAGAGAAAGATACATCATGCTAACACTAATCAAAAGGAAGTGGAAGTAGCTACAGTAATTACAGACAGAGGAGAGCAAGGAAGTCATCAGGGCTAAAAAGGAGCATTACCTAATAATAAATAGCTCAATTCTCCAAGAAGACATAACAGTCCCTAATGTGTATGTGCCTAACAACAAGCACCAAACTATGTATGGCAATAACTTGCAGAATTGTAAGGAAAAATAGATGAACCCAGTATTATAGACTTTTGCACTCCTCTATCAGAAATGGACAGATCCAGCAGGCAGAAAATTAGTTAGTGAGGACATAGTCAAATTCAACAACATCATGAATCAACTAGAATAATGGGCATCTATAAACTAATTTATCCAACAACAGCAGAATACACATTCTTCTTAAGCTCACATGGAACATTCATCAAGATAGATAACATTATGGGCCGTAAAACACAACATAACAAATTTAAAAGAAGAGAAATCAGACAACATTTGCTCTCAGACCACAATGAAATTGAACTAGAAATAAGTAACAAAGTGATAACAGGAAAATCCTAAAACCCATGGAGATTAAACAACATACTTCTAAACAAACATAGGTCAGAGAAAAAATCCCCCAAAAAATTGTTTAATATTTTGAAGTAAATACAAATAAAAACACAGTTTATCAAAATTTGTGGAATACAGCAAAAGCTGTGATTAGAGGGAAATTTATAGCATTGAAGGTATACATTAGAAAGGAAATCTTTCTGATTTAAATTAACAACCTAAGCTTCCACCTTAAGAAACTAGAAAAAGTAGAGCAAGTTAAATCCAAAGTAAGCAGGAAAAAAGAAATAATGAAAATGAGGGCATATTAAAAACAAAAAATTAATAAAGAAAAATAAATGAAACCAAAAGCTGATTTTTTGAAAAGATAAATAAAATTGATAACCCTCTAGCAAATTCAAATTCAAAAGAGGATACAAATTATTAACATTAGAAGTGAAAGAGGCAACATTACTACAGACATTATGGATATTAAGAGGATAATAAAGGAATTCTATGAACAACACCCTGCTCACAAATTTGATAATCTTGATTAAATGAACCAATTCCTTGAAAGACACAATCTGCCAAAACTCGTACAAGAAGAAAGGGACAGTCTGAAAAGATCATCCTATTAAAGAAGTTGAATTAATAATGACTTTCCAAAACAGGAAGCAACAGGCCTACATGGGGTCACTGGTGAATGCTACCAAATATTTAAGGAAAAATTATACCAATTCTCTACAATCTCTTTAAGAAGATAGAAGCAGAGGAAGTACTTCTAAGAAGGTATAAGCAGAGGAAATACTTCTTAACTCATTCTGTCAAGCCAGTATCACCCTAATGCCAAAATCAAAGACATTACGAGAAGAGAAAACTGAAAACCAACATTTCCCATAAGCACAGATGCAAAATTCTCCACAAAATATTAGCAACTTGAATCCCACAATATGCAAAGAGGATTATACACCAGAACTGAGTGGGATTTATCCTAAGTATGCAAGGATAGCACAAAAATCAATCAATAGCACAAAAATGAACCAAGTGGGATTTATCCTAAATATGCAAGGATACCACAAAAATCAATCAATGTTATCAATCACATCAGCAGGCTAAATAATAAAAAACAAATGCTCATATAAAAAAATAAAGAAAAGCACTTTGGGAGGCCAAGGTGGAGGATCACTTGAGGCCAGGAGTTTGAAACCAGCCTGAGTAACATGGCAAGACCCTATCTCCATAAAAAAATTTTTTTTAAATAGAAAACAAGTAAAAATAAATAAATGGAGAAAAAGCATTCGACCAAAACCAATACTCTCTCATGATAAAAGCTCTCAGCAGCCAGGCGTGGTAGCTCACGCCTGTAATCTCAGCACTTTGGGAGGCTGAGGCGGGCGGATCACAAGGTCAGGAGTTCGGGTGAGACCAGCGTGACCAACATGGTGAAACCCCATCTCTACTAAAAATACAAAAATTAGGCAGGCATGGTGGTGAATGCCTGTAATCCCAGCTACTCAGGAGGCTGAGACAGGAGAATCGCTTGAACCCAGGAGGCAGAGTTTGTAGTGAGCCGAGATCGTGCCACTGCACTCCAGCCTGGGCAGCAGAGCGAGGCTCCATCAAAAATAAAAAATAAAAAATAAATTAAAAAAAGCTCTCAGCAAACTAGGATAGAGGGGAACTTCCTCAATTTGATTTAAAAAAAAAAATAGCTACAGAAAATCTACTACTAACATCATACTTAATGTTGAGATACTGGAAGCTTTCCCACTAAGATTAAAAAACAAGGCAAGGATGTCCCCTCTCATCACTCCTTTTCAACATTGTACTGGAAGTCCTGGCTAATCCAATCAGACAGAAAAAGGAATAAAAGGTATACTGATTGAGAGGGAAGAAATAAAATTATTTTTGTTCACAGAAGACATGACTGTCTATGTAGAAAATTTGAAGAAGCAACAAAAAAACTCTTGGAACTAATTACTGATTACAGCAAGATTTCAGGATACAAGGTTAAAATACAAAAGTAAATCACTTTCATATATACCAGCAATGAACAAGTGGAATTTGAATTTAAAACACAATACTATTTACATTAGCATCCCCAAAAATGAAATACTTGGGTATAAATCCAACAAAATGTGTATAAGATCTATATGAAGAAAACTAGAAAATGCTGATGAAAGAAAGAAAAGAGCTAACTAAATGGAGAGCTATCCCATGTTCATGGAAAGGAAGATTCAATGTTGTCAAGATGTCAGTTCTCCCAACTTGATCTATGGATCAATGCAATCTCAATCAAAATACCAACAAGTTATTTTGTATATATTAAAAAACTGATTCTAAAGTTTATATGGAGAGGTAAAAGACAAAGAATAGCCAACACAAGATTGAAGAAGAAAAACAAAGTTAGAGGATGAATATTGCCTGACTTCAAGACTTACTATAAGGCTGCAGTAATCAAGACAGTGTGGTATTGGTGAAATAATAGACAAATAGATCAATGGAATATAAAAGAAAGCCCAGAAACAGCCCCACATAAATATAGTCAACTAATATTTGACAAAAGAACAAAGGCAATACAATAGAGAAAAAGTCTTTTCAACAAATGGTGCTGGAACAACTGGACATCTAAACATGTAAAAAAAATATAGAGATAAACCTTACACTTGTCACAAAAATTAACTGAAAGTTAATCACAAAAGTAAAATGTACCTAAATGTAAAATGTAAAACTCTAGAAGATAACATAAGAGAAATTCTAGATTATGTGGGTTCAATAATGACTTTTTAGATACAACACCAAAGGCACAATTCATGAAAAAAAAGGTATCAATAAGCAGGACTTTATTAAAATTAAAATTTTTTGCTCTGTAAAAGACACTGTCAAGAGAATGAAAAGACAAGCCACTGACTGGGAGAAATATTTGAAAAAGATATATCTGATAAAGGACTCATATCCAACATATACAAATAACTCTTGAAACTCAATAACAAGAAAACAAACCACTTGATTAAAAAATGGGCCCAAGATCTTAACAGACATCTCACTAGAGAAGATATACAGATGGAAAATAAGCATATGAAAGATGGTCCACACCATATATCATCAGGGAAATGCAAATTAAAACAAGATGTCACTACATGCCAATTTAGAATGGCCAAAACCCAGAACATTGACATCATCAAATGCTGGTGAGGATGTGAAGCAACAGAAATAGGAACTCTCATTGCTGGTGGAAATCAAAATGGTACAGCAACTTTAGAAGATACTTAGGCAATTTGTTATAAAACTAAACATACTCTTACCATATGATCCAGCAACTTGCATTCCTTGACATCTACACAACAGAGTTGAAAACTTATGTGACACAAAAACCTGCACACAGATCCTTATTGCAGCCTCATTCATTATTTCCAAGATGTCCTTCTATAGGTGAATATATAAATAAACCGTGGTGTGGCCAGACAATGGAATATTATTTAATACAAACAAGATATGAGCTATCAGGCCATGAAAAGACTTGGAAAAACCTCAAATACATATTACTAGATGAAAAAAGTCAATTTTAATAGGCCACATACTGCATGAGTCCAACTATGTGATGTTCTGGAAACGGTAAAACTGTGGAGACAGTGAAAAGCCCAGGATTACTAGGGAGGGAAGGATGGAGTAAGTAGAACATAGAGGATTTTTTAGGGCAGGGAAAATACTCTGTATGATGCTATAATTGTGCACACAAGTCATTACACATTTGCTCAAACTAACACAATGTAAGACCCCAAGAGTGAATCCTAATATGTGAACTATGGACTTTTGGTTAATAATGACATATCAACATAGGCTCATCAATTGTAACAAATGTACCACTCTGATGGGAGATGTTGATATGGGGGAGGCCATTCATGTGGAATTTAGAGTATATGAGATATCTCTGCACATTTCTCTCAATTTTGCTATGAAACTAAAACTGCTCTAAAAAAATGGTTTTTTTAACGACCAATAAAACTGAGGCCATAAACACTTTTAAAAAGTAGTTACATAACTGTAGCAAAGCAGAGAATGCTGTTGACATGAGTTAGGCATAGTCCCATCCAGGCTGCCTTAGTTATGGTTAGGAAGGACTTTACAGGTTCTGGTGTAGAAAGAGAAGAAGATGCAAGGGTTTGATGTGGTGATTACATATTGCTTATTCTGAATATTGCTATCAAGGAAAAGCCCAAATTATAATTTTATCAACCTCCACCTTGTTTTATTGTTAGAGGCAGGACTGTTGCACTTAACCAGACAGAGTTCTTTCCCTATGCATCGGACCTTACAAGTATAACATATATCACATAAAAAAAAATGAAGGTAGAAATTCATACCTGGTTTTGCCCAGCAGGGCCATGAGAATCTTAATTCTTAGAGTTATTTTAGGATCCATCCAGTCCCAGTACCTACCTGCTGATCTATTTACACACATGTCTATCTATGAGCATAGGTCTACTCAACCACTCATCAGTCTCAATCAAAAAGGATAAATTCTTTAACTAGGAGATTTTATGTAGATATATCTAAAAGAATTCTGATACCAATTTTTAATTCTTCTTCACTAAAAAATTGGTAACAGGCTGAGTGCAGTGGCTTACGCCTGTAATCCCAACGCTTTGGGAGGCCAAGGCGAGTGGATCACTTGAGGTCAGGAGTTCAAGACCAGACTGACAAACATGGCAAAACCCCATCTCGCCTAAAAATACAAAAATTAGCCCGGCATGGTGGTGCATACCTGTAATCCCAGCTACTGGGGAGGCTGAGGCAAGAAAGTCGCTTGAACCTGGGAGGTGGAGGTTGCAGTGAGCCGAGATCACGCCATTGCACTCCAGCCTAGGCGACAAGAGTGAAACTCCGTCAAAAAAAAAAATGGTGACAATGAACATTGTCGGTGATGGGACATTCACCCAACCTGTCTAGTCCTCTTCACCTGTTTTATGTTTCCCTTGTTCCACATTTTCTATGCTGAGACAGCCACTTTTTATATCAGGTCCCTTCTTATTAATTAGTCACAGATTTTTTTTGTTTTATGTACATGTCCAAGTATGACCTTTTACTACTAAATTTTCTATCAATGGATATTTAAACATCTTGCTTTTTCTCAAGATACGAATTGCTGGATTCCAGTTTTTATTTTTTAATGAAAACAGCTTGTTTTACGGTTTTCTGAGAGAAGTTCTCTGTGTCTTCCTTATCTGTCCTCTCTAGGTCTGTCACTGGATTCTTTCAAGTACTTGTGAACATGACTGTATCAACAGTACCTTGGAGAGTTCCTGGATAGCATCAAGATTGTAAACTGGTGACCCACCAGCCACATGTGTCTTCAGCTATGTTTGGTTTGGTCATACAGCATTTTTAAAACTTAGACTTCATTGCCAACTTTTTTTTTTTTTGAGACACAGTCTTGCTCTGTCACCCAGGCTAAAGTGCAGTGGCATGATCTCAGCTCATTGCAGCCTCTGCCTCCCGGGTTCCAGCAATTCTCCTGCCTCCACCTCGCAGGTAGCTGAGATTACAGGCATGCACCACCATGCCTGGCTAATTTATTTTGTATTTTTAGTAGAGATGGGGTTTCACCATGTTGGCCAGGCTGGTCTCAAACTCCTGACCTCAGGTGATCTGCCTGCCTCGGCCACCCAAAATGCTGCAATTACAGGCCTGAGCCATTGCACCTGGCCCATTCCCAACTTTTAAAATCAGAAGAATTCACACAAAAATCAATATTTTCTTCATGTCCTCTTGAAAACATAAGTTTTTATGGTCTGGTGGCAGTGGGCTGGAGTTTAGTAATAATTGCTCCCTTGAAATGAGGCATTTGTGTTTCAATCATTTACAGAAACCACCTGGTCACTTAAGACAATTGGGTCCAATCCCTGGTTTAACCACATTATTTCCAACATTATGTAGATTCGCACACATATAAAATAAGACGTGGCAGCACTCATTCTGTGACTGGTATATGAGACTAGCAGGCAGCCCTTCTCCCATGCCAACACATTCCAGATATTATACATTTTGTCTCTACATGTGAGAAGACTTGCTGCATTGCTGCCAAAATTCATCCCTCATATGTGGCCTTAGGGACCCAGGACTCTCTGCTCCCTGGCCTTGGCCTACCCAGACTCCCTGACATCCTCAGCAGCTGGCCTCATTTAATCTGAAATAGACAGAATGGTGAAAGGTGTTTAAGAGTTATGAAGACCTGCTTTATTTCCTTTACAACCCTATTTTCTCCTCAGTTTCCTCTGATTTTTCACTCCATCACATTTTGCCAATAAGAACGTCACTTCTAGGCTCCCTGAGAAGCTTTTGACAGGCAGTCCAAAGCCCCATTCTGCTTGGTACAGTGTACACATGCATCTTTGGTGTCACATTTGTTATAAAAGTGTTATAATTCAAGAGTAGCACCTTGAAATTTTGGTGGGCTAAGGGATAGCACCATTTGGTTGGACCCCCTCTTACTTCTCATCCTCAACACTACCACCTATTCCCTGCATCAATGGCAGTCCCACATTTTGCAGAGCTTAGAAAACTAGCCAGTAGTGAAATTAAGACAAAGCATTTGGCTATCAGTATCATAAAAATAGAGTAACAAACAGTGGATTACACTTATTGGGGTAAGGAGACATTTTTCTTACATAATAAGAAAGTCTGAAGATAGGCTAACCAAGGCTGGTTCTTGTGGTCTTTCTGCTCTAACTTCCTTAGTGTTCTGTGTTTTGTCCTCATTGCTGCAACATGGCTACCAAACCTCCAGGCTTCATATATATTTTCCAGGTGAGAAGAAAAGGAAAAGCTGAAAGGCCCCTTCTCATGAAGCTTTTATTTGAATCTTCCCCTTCATCTATCTCCCTTACATTGTTCATCAGAACAGGGTTATATGCAAACTCTTAGGCCAATCACTGGCTAAAGGGAATGAAAGTCCCTTAACTGATTTCAATGCTTTATCTTATATGGCTGACATAAGGGCCTATGCTCCCCAAGATCAACCTGCTACACTCCACCTGCTTCCTGAATAAATCAGGTTCTGTGAGCAGGAAAGAAGGGAGTTGAGGAAGAATAAGGCTCTGTTTAGGCAATAAGCAATGTCTGCCACAGAATGTAGAAGTGGGAGGGACCTGTGTAGCTATGTCTGGGTGGAGAGGCTGAATATTAGCATTTGGATGCTGTTGGCAGTGGCAGAGCACAAAGACGGGTGGATCGCTGACACCTTGGTATCCCATCCTCCTCCCCGCCCCTGCTACACACATACACACACACACACACACCTATATGCATACACACATTCATGGCTGGTGGAGAAAGGACCAAGAAGCACATGGTCAATGAGAGAAGGGTGACTCCTCACTCTTCAAGTGACCCATGGGCAAAATCTCCTGGCAGGGTCCCTTACAGCTCTACCCTCTGCTGGGCAGGGCCATTCCCCCTGCAAAGGCCAACAGCATCTCTCGATCTCTGGGCAAGAACTTCATGTTTGCTGACCCATACTCACTTCTCTTGGCCAGAAGACATTTTTTAAGACAGGGTCTTGCTCTGTCACCCAAACTGGAGTGCAGTGGCACAATAATAGATAACTATAACCTTGAACTCCTGGGCTCAAGGAATCCTACTGCCTCAGCCTTCCAAGAAGCTAGAACTACAAGCGTACACCATCATGCCTGGCTAATTTTTTATTTTTTGTAGAGGCAGGGTTTTGCTATGTTTCCCAGGCTGGTCTCCAACTCCTGGCCTCAAGTGATCCTCCTGCAACAGCCACCCACAGTACTGGGATTACAGGCGTGAGCCCCCACACCTTGTCTGATGTTGTTGAGGCACAGATGTGTGTTGAAAAAAGTGAAGCCTGCTCCAGGCTTCACAGGGGAATTCATCTTGCTAATCACACCTATTTAATTTTTTTCATTTTATTTTATTTTATTTCATTCCAGGATACATGTGCGGGACATGCAGGTTTGTTACATAGATGAACATGTGCAATGGTGGTTTGCTGCACCTATCAACCCATCACCCAGGTATTAAGCTCCACGTGCATTAAATATTTATCCTGATGCCCCCCGACTCCGCCCTCAAAGAGGCCCAGTGTGTGTTGTTCCTGTCCCTGTGTCCATGTGTTCTCATTGCTCAACTCCCATTTAGAAGTGAGAACATGTGCACTCATAAGTGGGACTTGAACAATGAGAACACATGGACACAGGGAGGGGAACATCACACACCGGGGACTGTTGTGAGGTGGGGGGAGGGGGGAGGGATAGCATTAGGAGATGCTAAATGACGAGTTAGTGGGTGCAGCGCACCAACATGGCACATGTATACATATGTAACAAACCTGCACATTGTGCACATGTACCCTAAAACTTAAAGTATAATAATAATAAAATTTAAAAAAAAAGAAGTGAGAACGTGGTGTTTGGTTTTCTGTGCCTGTAATCACACCTATTTTAATATAAAAGGTTATATTTAGATGATTAGAAATTAGTAACCATACAGCTAGTAGAAATTATTGCTCTCTTTTCTAAAATTCTCGGGATTGCAAAGATCATTAACAGCCAACAGAGGCAAAGACAGTCCCTAAGTCCATTTTCAGTGTTAGAGCTTCCTGCACATTCCATCCAGAACGATCATCCAGCCCTTAACAGGTCAGCACTCTTTCCCATCAGATCCTGCCTCGGGTGCAGCTCTGCAGCACTGTGTCCACAGGAATCTCAAGAAATCCTGAGACCTTAGCAAAAACTGTACAACGGTTCTTTAAATTGAAAAAAAAATGTAAAAAACGTGCATCAACACTATTTTGCATTAGCTGCGTCTATGCATGTCATGTAGGTTGGAAATGAATCATCACTTAGAAATTATTTTGGTGCAAAAGCTAAACATAAAGACTCCACCAAATAAACAGTTTTTATAAAAAGGTTTTATGTGACAACAGTCCCTTCTGGGGCATCAACTCCCGGAAATGATGAAATGTGACTCATTAGCATGGAACAACTCATATTCCAAACAGAGACTGCAGTTACTGCTGGGGAACTCGTTCCCCAGAGCAACGTTCTTATCTCTCCGCCTGCTGGCCAAGAGGCCAGCCTGGGTGATGATGCAGCATCCTTTGCTCTCTTGCCCTTATCTGATCAGCTTTTGCTTCAAAACTGAGCTGGATCATTTCCACTCTGCAAAGGTAATGGCCCAGCATGATTCTCACTCCTTTGATGAAAGCCACAGAAATCCCTCAACCTACAGCAAGTTCCCTTTCAGGAGATCAAAGCACTAGTTTAGCTTGCTTATTGCCCACAACTATCCACTATCTTAATAGTTAATGTCCTAAATAGTTATCTCACCCTATAATTGGGACCCCCTTTTTCCAAATTCTAGTATAACAAGACTCTTCAACAGGAGAATTTCTTTGCTCGTTTATGTGAATTATGCAAAATGGAAATTACATGTGTTGAAAACCAGGAGAAGGGGGGAAAGCATAAGGAATAACAGAGAGTGGTGAAGTGGATGGTAGAGAAAGGACAGTGGGTTCATAAGGATCATAGTAGTTAACATTAATTCTGTGCTTACTGTGTGCCACATACTGTGCTAAGCAGCTTGCATGTATTAACACTGAATCATTACTGTAACTCCATGAGGCACGGACTTCTCAGCAAACCCATTTATGCAGATGAGAGTCTGGAGGGCTAGGAAGCACTGCAGAACCACCAACCATCTCCTCTTCTGGGTTCACAGCAAACTAGGCTTTTGTAGTAGGTTGGATTGTTGGCCCCATTTCTTTCCCACCCTGTGTATCCAGGCCTGTTCCATGTGACTTTACAGCCCCTCACACTAGAGACAGAAGATAATTACCAATTGATGTGACTTGGTTTTGCCCATGAGATGTGAGCAGACATAATGTGTTTGCCTGTTTGGGTTTGCCCTCCTGTAGTGTGTGAATCATGTCTCCTAAAAATTTGTGTCCACCTGGAACCTCAGAATATGACCGTATTTGGGAATAGGGTCTTTGTAGATGTAATTAAGGTAAGGATTGAAAGGAACTTATGATCATACTGTCATACTAAAGTAAGGCAGGCCCTAAATCCAATAAAAGTGCCCTTGCATGAGACAAGACGCAGAAACATGAAAAGAATGCCAGAGGACAGAGGTAGAGATTGGAGTAATGCTGCTACAAGCCATGGAAAACCTGCAGCCACCAAAAACTGGAAGAGATAAGTAAGGCCACTTTCCTAGAACTTTTGGGGGGATCATGGCACTGCCTACACATTCATTTTTAACTTCTAGCCCCCAGAACTGTAGAAGAATAAATTTTCATTATTTTAAGGCACCAAGTTTGTAGTATTTTGTTATGACAGCCCTAGGAAACTAATACCTGTCCTATGCTTCTGCCATTACCTGGACAAGAGCTTCCTTCAGGTGGCTGCTGCCCTTTGAGCCTGGACTCTAACATGATCATATGGGTGTAGACATGAGTCCAACTCACAGCAAAGGGTCAAGCCTAGCCAGGGTTGCAGCTGAAGCAGAGCCACCCAGTCAAGCCCAGCCTAGCTCAGCCAGGCTGCAGCCAACCTGCAAGCCATGAGAGTAACAATGAATGCTTAGCATTACTCTGCTTTATTTTATTTCTTCCATAATGGGAACAAGGCAGGATAAAAACCCTCATTCCCTGTGGGATGAAATGAGATTTAGAAAGGTGGAGACACTGGGCAAAAAGGATAAGTAGAAGTCACTGCAAACACATACACCTGCTTCATGATTTTGTCTGGGGCCTCCCTGGCCAAGGTGATGCTTCTTTACCTTTCTATACAGTCAGTCCTGCATTTATCCTCCACAAGCAAACTCAGTGGACTTGTTCACAGTGAGGATTACAGCCTGTTCTGAGCAATGGCTGGACAGGTCACTTTGGCCCAGCTGCTCTCCCTCAGTTGGTCACCCTAGAGCCACATTGACCTTGCTGGGAGGTCATCCCCTCCCAAACAGTTTGTCCATCTTTCAGAGAGAAGGGCTGGGTCTATGTGTGTCCACTTTGCCAAAAGTGGGTCAGAAATTTCCTCTATGGTCCATTTTTCCATCAACAGTCACAGCTGAGTATTGCTTCTTTCAAACTCAGTTGGCAACTGGGCCAATGACTAGAAGACCTAATAGCCAAGGAACAGTAGAGAAATTGATAAATTTTCTCCATCCGTTCATCATCCATCCATCTATCTATCCATCCATCCATCCATCTTTCTTTTTTTTTATTATTATACCTTAAGTTTTAGGGTACATGTGCACAAAGTGCAGGTTTGTTACATATGTATACATGTGCCATGTTGGTGTGCTGCACCCATTAACTCGTCATTTCACATTAGGTATATCTCCTAATGCTATCCCTCCCCCCTCCCCCCACCCCACAACAGGCCCTGGTGTGTGATATTCCCGTTCCTGTGTCTATGTGTTCTCATTGTTCAATTCCCACCTATGAGTGAGAACATGCAGTGTTTGGCTTTTTGTCCTTGTGATAGTTTGCTGAGAATGATGGTTTCCAGCTTCATCCATGTCCCTATAAAGGACATGAACTCATCATTTTTTATGGCTGTATAGTATTCCACGGTGTATATGTGCCACATTTTTTTTTCATTTATTATTATTATACTTTAAGTTTTTGGGTACATGTGCACAATGTGCAGGTTAGTTACATATGTATACATGTGCCATGCTGGTGCACTGCACCCACTAACTCGTCATCTAGCATTAGGTATATCTCCCAATGCTATCCCTCCCCCCTCCCCCCAACCCACAACAGTCCCCAGAGTATGATGTTCCCCTTCCTGTGTCCATGTGTTCTCATTGCTCAGTTCCCACCTATGAGTGAGAATATGCAGTGTTTGGTTTTTTGTTCTTGTGATAGTTTACTGAGAATGATGATTTCCAATTTCATCCATGTCCCTACAAAGGACATGAACTCATCATTTTTTATGGCTGCATAGTATTCCATGGTGTATATGTGCCACATTTTCTTAATCCAGTCTATCATTGTTGGACATTTGGGTTGCTTCCAAGTCTTTGCTATTGTGAATAATGCCGCAATAAACATACGTGTTAATGTGTCTTTATAGCAGCATGATTTATAGTCCTTTGGGTATATACCCAGTAATGGGATGGCTGGGTCAAATGGTATTTATAGTTCTAGATCCCTAAGGAATCACCACACTGACTTCCACCGTGGTTGAACTAGTTTACAGTCCCACCAACAGTGTAAAAGTGTTCCTGTTTCTTAACATCCTCTCCAGCACCTGTTGTCTCCTGACTTTTTAATGATTGCCATTCTAACTGGTGTGAGATGGTATCTCACTGTGGTTTTGATTTGCATTTCTCTGATGGCCAGTGATGGTGAGCATTTTTTCATGTGTCTTTGGCTGCATAAATGTCTTCTTTTGAGAAGTGTCTGTTCATGTCCTTCACCCACTTTTTGATGGGGTTGTTTGTTTTTTTCTTGTAAATTTGTTTGAGTTCATTGTAGATTCTGGATATTAGCCCTTTGTCAGATGAGTAGGTTGCAAAAATTTTCTCCCATTTTGTAGGTTGCCTGTTCACTCTGATGGTAGTTTCTTTTGCTGTGCAGAAGCTCTTTAGTTTAATTAGATCCCATTTGTCAATTTTGGCTTTGGTTGCCATTGCTTTTGGTGTTTTAGACATGAAGTCCTTGCCCATGCCTATGTCCTGAATGGTAATGCCTAAGTTTTCTTCTAGGGTTTTTATGGTTTTAGGTCTAACGTTTAAGTCTTTAATTCATCTTGAATTGATTTTCGTATAAGGTGTAAGGAAGGGATCCAGTTTCAGCTTTCAACATATGGCTAGCCAGTTTTCCCAGCACCATTTATTAAATGGAGAAACCTTTCCCCATTGCTTGTTTTTCTCAGGTTTGTCAAAGATCAGATAGTTGTAGATATGCGGCGTTATTTCTGAGGGCTCTGTTCTGTTCCATTGACCTATATCTCTGTTTTGGTACCAGTACCATGCGGTTTTGGTTACTGTAGCCTTGCCCACAAGAGAAAGCAGGAAAGATCCAAAATCGACACCCTAACATCACAATTAAAAGAACTAGAAAAGCAAGAGCAAACACATTCAAAAGCTAGCAGAAGGCAAGAAATAACTAAAATCAGAGCAGAACTGAAGGAAATAGAGACACAAAAAACCCTTCAAAAAATTAATGAATCCAGGAGCTGGTTTTTTGAAAGGATCAACAAAATTGATAGACCGCTAGCAAGACTAATAAAGAAAAAAAGACAGAAGAATCAAATAGACGCAATAAAAAATGATAAAGGGGATATCACCACCCATCCCACAGAAATACAAACTACTATCAGAGAATACTACAAACACCTCTACGCAAATAAACTAGAAAATCTAGAAGAAATGGATAAATTCCTCGACACATACACTCTCCCAAGACTAAACCAGGAAGAAGTTGAATCTCTGAATAGACCAATAACAGGAGCTGAAATTGTGGCAATAATCAATAGCTTACCAACCAAAAAGAGTCCAGGACCAGATGGATTCACAGCTGAATTCTACCAGAGGTACAAAGAGGAATTGGTACCATTCCTTCTGAAACTATTCCAATCAATAGAAAAAGAGGGAATCCTCCCTAACTCATTTTATGAGGCCAGCATCATCCTGATACCAAAGCCGGGCAGAGACACAACAAAAAAAGAGAATTTTAGACCAATATCCTTGATGAACTTTGATGCAAAAATCCTCAATAAAATACTGGCAAACCGAATCCAGCAGCACATCAAAACGCTTATCCACCATGATCAAGTGGGCTTCATCCCTGGGATGCAAGGCTGGTTCAATATACGCAAATCAATAAATGTAATCCAGCATATAAACAGAACCAAAGACAAAAACCACATGATTATCTCAATAGATGCAGAAAAGGCCTTTGACAAAATTCAACAACCCTTCATGCTAAAAACTCTCAATAAATTAGGTATTGATGGGACGTATTTCAAAATAATAAGAGCTATCTATGACAAACCCACAGCCAATATCATACTGAATGGGCAAAAACTGGAAGCATTCCCTTTGAAAACTGGCACAAGACAGGGATGCCCTCTCTTACCACTCCTATTCAACATAGTGTTGGAAGTTCTGGCCAGGGCAATTAGGCAGGAGAAGGAAATAAAGGGTATTCAATTAGGAAAAGAGGAAGTCAAATTGTCCCTGTTTGCAGACGACATGATTGTATATCTGGAAAACCCCGTTGTCTCAGCCCAAAATCTCCTTAAGCTGATAAGCAACTTCAGCAAAGTCTCAGGATACAAAATCAATGTACAAAAATCACAAGCATTCTTATACACCAACAACAGACAAACAGAGAGCCAAATCATGAGTGAACTCCCATTCACAATTGCTTCAAAGAGAATAAAATACCTAGGAATCCAACTTACAAGGGATGTGAAGGACCTCTTCAAGGAGAACTACAAACCACTGCTCAAGGAAATAAAAGAGGATACAAACAAATGGAAGAACATTCCATGCTCATGGGTAGGAAGAATCAATATCGTGAAAATGGCCATACTGCCCAAGGTAATTTACAGATTCAATGCCATCCCCATCAAGCTACCAATGCCTTTCTTCACAGAATTGGAAAAAACTACTTTAAAGTTCATATGGAACCAAAAAAGAGCCCGCATCGCCAAGTCAATCCTAAGCCAAAAGAACAAAGCTGGAGGCATCACACTATCTGACTTCAAACTATACTACAAGGCTACAGTGCCACATTTTCTTAATCCAGTCTATCATTTTTGGACCATCCATCCATCTTTCCATCTATCTATCTATCTGTCCATTCATCTATTCTTTCATTCGTGTGTCCAATCTACCACCTTACTCGTTTCATTAATGTGTATTGAGAACTTTGCTCCTGTGCAGAACCCTGGTTAAATGCTGTGGAGGATATGGGCAGTAAGTTAGATATGATCCCCACCATCAAGGAACATCTCCTTTAATGGGAGAGATAAAACATATGTACATTACATTTAAAAAATCAGTGAAAATTTATTTATAGTCCGTTTCACCTGGATTATAATTGCAACATATTATGAATATGTTAAAAAGTTGAGGAAGACACAGTCTCTTTATGCTTTCAATAAGCTTACAGTGTGTGGCTGGATTAGTCAAACACTAAAATAATTACGATAAAAGGCACACTATGATACATGATGTGAAAAAGACACAAAGAAAGTGCCTTGGAAATGAGAGGGAAGGTAATATATTTATTTGGATGGGGTGAGGGAGAGGGGAAAGTAAACCTCATGAAGAAAGTGGATTTGAGTGGAGTCATGAAACATAAACTAGATTAGGAAAGATGGCGATAATGGAGAAGCAAAGAAATAGAAGAAGGACACTAGGCCATGTTTAAGAAAGAATAAGATACCCAGTTTAAATGAAGGATAGGGTAATGTGTAGAGGGGAGTAATGGGAGAGTGGAAAGTTTGGAGTCAATGCAGAGCCATTGAAAGTTGTTGAGTGGGTGAGTAACATGGCAGGATCTGGGATCTGGGAAGATTAATGTGCAACAATTCCAGTAAGTAGAAGTCACTGCAAACATGTTCACCTGCTTCATACTTCTACTTCCACTTAGAAAGACTCCATCTTTCTAAACCTCATTTCATCCCACAGAGAATGAGGGTGTTTATCCTGCCTTGTTCCCATTATAGAAGAAGTCTAAAAAGCAGATAAAAACTAATTCCCAATAACATGCTGGTGCTGTCTCAAGGGAATTATATTTTAAAACAGAATCATTGAGAAGGGACAATGTTGCAAATAATAATGGGTCTTAGATTTTAGTTAAAGATGATCATCACAGCATCTGTGAAAATCATAGGAAGGACAAGGTTTATTTTTAAACACTATGTAGAAAAGTGTTTTTCTGTTCGTCCCAAGGTTAATTGATTATCCTACTATCCCATATCTACTGGGGTAATGGGTAAGGCAATTTAAAGACATGCCAAAACCCCAACATGCCTTCAGAATAATCCAAAAATATTAAATGTTCAGTGGAATTTTTCTATTAATGTATTTTATTGTGTTCAAATTTTTGGAAAATTGCCACCCTGTATGTATACATTATGCTATAAATGACAATTTTCTATAACTAAGTTATTTATTAATTAGGAAGCTAAGTAATATTTATAAAGTTAATTTTCTTTTTCTTTTAAATTTCCTACCATTTTAATCAAAAAAAGAAATCATTTCATAATCACGTGGTAAGGATTTTCACCAACCTGATTAAAAGCCAGAGTGCAGGCTGATTGATAGATAAATAAAAGTATGCAAAGTCCCAGCAAGTAGCTGCCTTAGATGAACCAAAGGAAAAAAATTTAAGTATAAAGTGTAGTCTGATTCTTATAAACTTCAATACTGCAATATAAGACATTGTTTTCCCTATCAAATTCACAGATTTCGGTAAATTTTACTTTTAACTTAATTCTTGCCTCAGAATTAGTTATTTGACATCACTTGTAAAAGACATAAAAATAATGTTTGCTTTGGCCTCATCATTAAGGATAAAACAAATTAATTTTAATTAAGCTTTGTATCATTCAAATGTATGCGATCTTGTGACCTGTGTAGTCATTTCCTTCATTATACTAAATCTTATTGCATTATACTATTAAATCTTCTACCTCATTCCAGATTATGCATTAATTCAAAATAAAGTGGCATGCTTCAAGTAGGAAATCAAAGGTTCTGATTATTGCTACAGACTAACTTATAAATTTAGGACCCTCTAGTGCTTGCAAATAAAATGAAGCTGGCACAACATCACAATAAAATGTGTTAATCTAATATTCTGGAGTTAATTTTCTATTAACAAAATTGCTTTTAGATAGATATGTCATCTCACATCCTCAAAACAACCCTGCAAGTTGGGGATTATTACTTTATTTTATTAACACCATTACTATTTTATAGGTTTGAAAACTATGCTAATCAACTTCCCTGAAGTCATAGCAGCTAGTAAATGATGAATTCTAGGGTCTTATAATTTAGTATTTCACATTCTTTTCACTGTATTGTAATTATTTCAAAAAATCTTTCTGCATTTTCCCATTTTCTGCTAGGTTAGTGGTTCTGTAGAATCCTACATATAAGTCTTCTAAAAGGGACTATTATTTTCAGTAGTCCCCAAACAGCCATATACTAATCAGTGCACTCTGCCTAGCTCTGGGGCCCTCAATAAATGCTCATAACCCCAATAAATGTTCTCTGAATAAGTGAATTCATCTGCATCTAGACTAAATATGCTCACTCATAAGAATTCAATCATTTTCTAGGAAGGAGGAACATTTTGAGTATAAATACACACATATATGCGTTTGTGTGTATGTGTGCGCACGCACGTGCATGCATGTGTGCACATACCAAATCACCTCTCTCAATAAATTACCACCAAACCCCTCCAGGGGTTAATCAGGACCAAATTTGTATGAAGTGTCAAACTATAATTTAAGGATCTCTGATGTTCATGAACCCCACAATTACTTTTAGTGACTAAACTGGAGGTGCTGACAGCCACATAAAATCTCTTGTTTTATCAACATCT
Source organism: Homo sapiens (assembly GCF_000001405.40). Classification (NCBI taxonomy): domain Eukaryota; kingdom Metazoa; phylum Chordata; class Mammalia; order Primates; family Hominidae; genus Homo; species Homo sapiens. Next base: position 57,374,842 of record NC_000005.10, on the reverse strand, counting down.
CTGTAAAATACAGTGGAAACTGCACCTGCAACTTGAATTCCTTAATCTGTGTTGCTTTTCTCTCTCTCTCTCTCTCTCTCTCTCTCTCTCTCTCTCTCCATCTCTCTCTCTCTCTCTCTCTCTCTCTCTGGACAATACAGCTCCATGTGTTGCTTTTTGAAAAGCTCTAATAAATGTCAATGATGTGTTGGGCATAGATTATAGGCTTCTTTCTTCTCATAGAAAGATACTACTAACTACTGGCTGAAAACCAGCAGCGTGTCATTAACTAGGATTGTTAAGCCATGGCACTGCTTGCCACTTCAGACATAGGTGTTTATGAGGAACGAGAAGCTGAGCCTCTGTGTGTTCTTGGAAATCCATTCAGTCCCACAAAAGGTCACTCATAAACAGCACCAAAAGCTCACTCATAAATCAGAATCTGCACATACAATTGTATGGAAATGCAGTCGTATTAGCCAGGGTTATTTGAGTTGCCCATCTCTTCAGGTATATGAGTCTCTGAAATTAACCTATTGACTCAATTACTAGAAATTTGATAAAGGGCAGTAAGCACTGAGGTAGGTATTCTAGAACACAGCTATCCAAAATAAACACAATGTGGGTCACTAGGTAATTTTTAATTTTCTAATAACCACATTAAAAAGGACAAAAGAAAAAAGTAAAATTAATTTTATCAATATATTGTACTTAAACCAATATATCCAAAGGAGTATCATTTTAACATATAATCAATATAAAAATTATTGAGATGCTTTACTTTTTTTAGTACTAAGTCTTTGAAACAGTGTGTACTTTACAACTTCATCTTAATTTGGACTAATCACATTTCAAGCACTCAAAAGTTACATGTGCCCAGTGACTGTCATACAGAGCCTTGGATAAGGAAAAGATTGAATGGAAATTCAGTCATGTCAGCAAGGATTCTTTAGGTTGCCCATCTCAGAAATGCAATTTAAATTAGCCTGAGCAATTGCAGGTATCAATATCACTATCAGTCTTTCTTTGGCTATGCAGGCTCTTTTTTGATTCCATATGAATTTTAGGATTGTCTTTCTTGTTCTGTGAAGGATGATGGCGGTATTTTGTTGGAAAATGCATGGAATTTGTAGATTGCTTTTGGCAGTATGGTCATTTTCACAATATTGATTCTATCCATCTATGAGCATGGGATGTGTTTCCATTTGTTTTAGGATTTCTTTCAGCAGTGTTTTGCAGATTTCCTTGCAGAATTCTTTCACCTTCTTTGTTATGTATATTCCTAAGTATTTTTTTTTTTTTTTTTGCAGATATTGTAAAAGAGATTGAGTTCTTGATTTGATTCTCAAAAACAGCTTGGTCACTGTTTGCATATAGCAGAGCTACTAATTTGTGTACATTAATTTTGTATCCCAAAACTTTGCTGAACTCATTTATCAGTTCTAGGAGTTTTTTGGAGGAGTCTTTAGGGTTTCCTAGGTATATGATCATATCATCAGCAAACAGCAACAGTTTGACTTCCTCTTTACTGATTTAGGTGCCCTTTATTTCTTTCTCTTGTACGATTGATCCGGCCAGGACTTCCAGTGCTATGTTGAATAGAAGTGGTGAGAGTGGGCATCCTCGTCTTGTTCCAGTTCTCAGGGGGAATGCTTTCAACTTTTCCCCATTCAGTATTATCTTGGCTGTGGATTTGTCATAGATGGCTTTTATTACATTAAGTTATGTTCCTTCTATGCCAATTTTGCTGAGGGTTGTAATCATAAAGGGATGCTGGATTTTGTCAAATGCTTTTCCTGCATCTATTGAGATGATTATGTGATTTTTGTTTTTAATTCTGTTTATGTGGTGTATCACATTTATTGACTTGCGTATGTTAAACTATCCCTGCATCCCTGGTATGAAATCCACTTGATCATGGTGGATTATCTTTTTGATATGCCATTGGATTCAGTTAGCTAGTATTTTGTGAAGGATTTTTCCGGCTATATTCATCAGTGATATTGGTCTGTAGTTTTCTTTTTTTGTTATGTCCTTTCCTGGTTTTGGTATTAGAGTGATGCAGAGCTTAACTCAGATGTCACAGATTGCAGGTTTCTTTTAATGGGATGAGTTAATAAAGGTGACTTGGTGCACTCAATAAGTTTGCTATTGCTCTTGAGTTTATGTTTTCATTTTGATGTCATAATTTTCATTGTTAAAGAGTTTTTGGCTCTATTTTGGTGCCTTATTTCTAGCAGAAAAGTTTTTAAATGCCAGCTTTTTCTTTTAAAAAAAGCATAATAGCTATAAAATCTAAAATCAAACTAAGTAAAAAGAATAAATCTGAAGGCATCACATTACCTGACTTGAAACAATTCTATAAAGCCATAGTCACCAAAACAGCATGGTACTGGTATAAAAACAGGCACATAGACCAATGGAACAGAATAGAGAACCCAGAAATAAAGCCAAATACTTTCAGCCAACTGATCTTCAACAAAGCAAACAAAAACAACGTGGGAAAAGGACAACCTATTCAACAAATAGAGCTGGGATAATTGGCAAGCCACATGAAGAAGAATGAAACTGGATCCTTATGTCTTACCTTATACAAAAATCAACTCAAGATGGATCAAAGACTCAGTCTAAGACTTGAAACCATAAAAATTCTAGAAGATAACATCAGAAACACCCTCCTAGACATTGGCTTAGGCAAAAACTTCATGACCAAAAACCCAAAAGCAAGTGCAACAAAAACAATGATAAATAGGTGGGACTTAATTAAACTATATTGTTTCTGCACAGCAAAAGAAACAATCAGCAGAGTAAACAGACAACCCCCAGAATGGGAGAAAGTCTTCATAATCTGTACATTCAACAAAGGACTAATATCCAGAATCTACAACAAACTCAAACAAATTGGCAAGAAAAAAACAAACAACCCCATCAAAAAAAAAAATGAGCTAAGGACATGAATAGACAATTCTCAAAAGAAAATGAACAAATGGCCAACAAACATATGAAAAAATGGTCAAAATCACTAATGATCAGGGAAATGCAATTCAAAACCATAACGCGATATAAGCTTACTCCTGCAAGAATGGCCATAATCAAAAAATCAAAAAATAATAGATGTTGGCATGGATGCAGTGAAAAGGAAACACTTAGACTACTGGTGGGAATGTAAACTAGTACAACCACTATTGAAAACAGTGTGGGGATTCCTTAAAGAACTAAAAGTAGAACTACTACTTGATCCAGCAATCCCACTACTGGGCATCTACCCAGAGGAAAAGAAGTCATTATACAAAAAAGATACTTGTATATGCATGTTTATAGCAGCACAATTCGCAATTGCAAAAATATAGAACTAGCCCAAATGCCCATCAATCAATGAGTAGATAAAGAAATTGTGGTATATATGTATGATGGAATACTACTCAGCCATAAAAAGGAATAAAATAATGGCATTCGCAGCAACCTGGATGGAATTGGAGACCATTACTCTAAGTGAAGTAACTCAGGAATGGAAAACCAAGCATTGCATGTTCTCACTCATAAGTGGGAGCTAAGCTATGGGGATGCAAAGGCATAAGAATGATACATTGAACTTTGGGGACTTGGGAGAAAGGGTGGGAGGGAGGTGAGCAATAAAAGACTACACATTGGGTACTGTGTATACTGCTCTGGTGATGGGTGCACCAAAATCTCACAAATCACCACTAAAGAACTTACTCATGTAGCAAAACACCACCTGTTCCCTAAAAACCTATGAAAATAAAATAAAATAATATCACTATCAGATATCAGTATCTCTCTCTTTTCTGCTTCTTCCCCTTATCAGGTTTGTTCTCTCACTCAAACTTTCCTCACAAGCTAGAAGTACGGTTGCCAGAAGCTTCTGGACTTATATTACCCAACATCAACCCCAGAGCAGAAAGAGTTTTTCTCCATCAACTTCAATGTAAAAAACTCCCAGGGAAGATCTCTGATTAGCTCAGACTGGGTGCAACGTTCACTTTTGTGGGTAGGAGGGCAGGGTACTGCTTGGAATCCTGCACTGTGGTATGCATTATACACTGTGTTCCTGAGAGGCCGCATGAGAGTCTCATGGCTGGAGTGGAGAAGAGACTCATTTAAAAAAAAAAGAAAAAAAAGGCTGTGCATTTTCTATAAAAGGGGGAGAGGCATGCATACTAGGCCAAGAACACTGTGCCACTGTTTTTTAGAGAACAGGGTGGAGGGTTTCTCCCTACAAGATCAGCTCCCATTCAAGCATCCCTTCCCGGAGACCAATCAGGAAGTGCAGCACCATAAAAAACTCACTATTCCTGTTCACCCAGAAATAATAGCTGGAGGAAGATAAAACTTAGATCCAGGTTTCCCAACTGAGAATTCAGCTTTCTCTTCAATACATAGGTGATTTTCAATGGAAGTTTTATCATACTCTAAAAAGGTGTTCTCGATTGTCACAATGACTGGGGGTGCTATTGGAATTTAATGAGCAGGAGTCAGGGATGCTAACCCCTGAAAACTAAGAATTTTTCTGGGTCACCATGACTGTTGAATTAAAATGAAAAAAATCTGTTTCTAATTATCTGAGCCTAGAATCTAACTCTATTTTATATAAATATTTTTGTAATGTTTGCGTATACATTTAGTTTTCCAGGAATACAACTACCACATAAATCCAGGGAAGATTGTGCTTGCTTTTATTCCCAACTATACCAAAAATTATTCATTTCAGAAGATTATGTCACAAATAGCAACAACTTTCATAGTATTTGAGTCATGAAAATAGCACACATGTATTACTCTGCATTTTGTAGGGCTCACTCCACTGTTAATCTAAGTGCACATATGTATATGTGTATGTGCATGTGTGGGGACGGGGCATGCCAGGACAGCCAGTCACTTATGTAGATGCTTTGTGACCATTTTAAGAAGGCTCCAGTAGACAAAGTCCCAGGGGCCCACAGCTTTGAAAGAAAAGCAAGAGCTGCATCAACCACTGGTCCCTCTGCCAGGTGCCCTGATGCAGCACAGACTGCTTACCCGAACACAGATGCCTGGATAAGAAGGTGCCGTGTTTCTCTAGCCCTTATTACACACTGTCACATATATTTTTAAGTATCAACAATATCCAGTCGAATGTTGTCTGCTTCTCTGACAAGCGTATTCATTATGTGCCAACATCTGTTTCCTTCTATATGACTTCTAATACAGCTGTGCCTGAGCATTTACATCATTTTATTTTACAGTGGTTTCCTTTTGTTTCTTCTTTATATTACAACTAGACTATTAGATTAATTTTTAAATTATATGTGTTGAGAATCTATAACCTACAAATTTCATTTCAGGATAAAGGGGTCATTACAAAATATGTTTTAAAGGGTAGGCATTGACAGGGTTGAGAATCTCTAAACTACAGCAAGCTCAGGGGAGGTCCCTGGAGAGAGAGGCAGAAGAAGGAACCGGAACAAAAGAGAGGATAAGCTATGATGGAGGCAGAGAAGGACTGTATATGGGCAGAAGGAGAAAGCCAAGGAAGAAAGAGTCAGGGCAGGGCTGGGTGGGGAAGTCATCTACCCCAGCCTTCCACCTCTCCCCCTTCTCTCCCACTCTACAGCGCTGCTCCTCTTGTTCCTTTATCACCCCCAGCCTGAGGATGGCATGAGACACCCAGTGACAGCGTACCCCTGGCAAGAACATCTACAAGCAAGTATCTTCAAGATCCTAAACAAAGTTCCCACTGCCTCTACCTCTAGACTGCAAGATGATAACCATCCAGAGAGAATCAGAAGTCAGTGGCCAGATGCAAGAAACGAGAAGAAACCCCTACTGAAATATTATAGAGTAATTTCAAAAGATAATCATGAAGACTAAGTAGGAATAGTGACATGTGTTAGGCATGCCTGAAGTCACGCAGCATAAAATGATGCAAAATACTTCATTTTGTCTCCCATGTTGCAACAGTGTTTCTGAAAAATGCAAGATTTGGATTTAAAACTTGGTAAGGCAAGGACAGGATACTTTCAAAAAGCAAAAATAATTGCTGTCAGCCAGGTGTGGTGGCGAGTGCCTGTAGCCCCAGCTACTTGGGAGGCTGAGATGGGAGGATCACTTGAGCACAGGAGTTCAAGACCGCAGTGAGTGATGATTGCACCACTGCACTCCAGCCTGGGTAAGAGAGTAAAACACCATCTCTTTTTTAAAAATTCAAAAGATAAGAATAATTGCTATGATACTGTGGTAGGATTTGTATCATTTTTTTCTTTAATGTTTTTCTATTACAATTTAATATTTTCAAAGTAATCTGCTCATTTTGCCTTTCTTCTACTTCCCTTATCAAATCATTTCTTTATTACTGGACTTTCTAAAACTTCCAAATAAATTGGGTCTTTCTTCCATTTGATGGTCCTTTTCAATTTCCATACAAATAGATTCTTAAGAGCTTTACTGGGATGTTAGCAATTAGTATCAGTTGCATCAATATTTCAACCTCAAAATTGTTTCCCACAAATTTCTCTTAGAATGTTAACATCCGTCAAACTCCTCTGCCTAATATCAAAATAAGGCACTCAATTTTAATAAGAGGCGGCAGTAATGCTTTAACATAATAAAATCCTACAGAACACATACACCAGTTTTATGCATCTCGGGGGAGGGAAAATCACAGCTGAGTTTAATTTTTAACATATGTCTAGATGATAGTTAAATGTCTTAATCACATAAACAGGAATCATAGGAGAGTGTATTCAAGCTTGTGAAGGAGAGCTGGCAATGGCTGACTCACAGTATCTGCTCTCCCTTAATCCAAGAAGAAGCTAATATGTGGTTCTACTTTACTGACCATAGAAGATTAGACACATCTAACCTGATTCTCCCTGATTTCTCCACATCCATGAAAACTGTTGACCATTCTCTCCTTTTTAATATCCTTTCTTCTTTTGATTTTCACAAACTGTACTGTCCCAGTTTGCTTCAGGCTACTTCTTGCAGGCAAGAACAATTTCACTGTTCAGAAGGAGGAAACAGTGAGGGAACTACATCTCTAGTTGGAATTCTGATCAGTAAGAAATTGGGTGGCAAAATTGAACCTCTGACTGGTCATCATAACAACCTAGGAAGGGATTGCCAGGCAGGGTCAGATGTTTACCTCTGACTGAAGCAAATTAAATGTCACAGAATTCAGACAAAAGGGAACTTGTTCCCTTGGTCACAGACTCTAAAAACCGGTGAGGTTGACACTCCACGGATCCCTGCAGGGGATCTTCCACCCAGCTGGTCCACCACAGTTTGGTGTCTCTAGTACCCCCAATTACTCCATGCATTCCCCAATCTCCTTCCTGTCTTTCAGACTGAAAATCACATTCCCACACCTCCTGCATGCACGAATCCTATCTTTCTTCAAAGTCCAACTCAAGGTCTTTTTCTGTGAAGTTTCCACTGCCCACCACAGCCTGGGTGGTGGCTCCACCTCTGAACTTCCTATCTTTATTTTTGTATTTGGCACCTAACATAGGGTAGATTCACGTACTTCTCGGTTTTTGCACATGAGACAAAACTCCCAAACTGATCAGAAGCTCCTATAGCAGAAACTCTGCCTCCTCACTGTGTAGAATCCTCATACCCAAAAATAAGGGTCAATTGATGTCATAGTGATAACAATGGTGCTCACTGTCATTTCTCGACATCCCATTCTATGCCAGGTTAATTTGGAGTGAGATATGGAACCTGGGGTCTGTGTCTGTTCATTCCCCAGCCTCCCTTTCAGCCACAGGGTCAAACTTGGAGGAATTTGGTTTCTTAATCTTTAAGTGAGCCACAGATACAACATAGGTGTGGCTCACAGCTCAATGAGTAAGTCTTCATGAATGCTTTGAGTGCTTCTGATGAAAGATGCCACTTATTAATGCTGTTCCTCAGCGGATGTTGTCTTGCTCCTGGAATGTTTTGTGGAAAAACAAACAGACCAGCTAGGTTCTCCACCTATCTCACTGACCCTGCTAGAGTTCCCCTTGGACTTCATGCTGTTGACCTGCTATGTAAATAGGACCTAAACTCATTTCTACAGGTGGCTGGTTCCCCTTCCTCCTCTTCCTGCTCAAGACAGTTATCAGGCTCAAACAGAGAAAATCAATCCAAAAGGGAGAGTGGACCCATATTCCAGGGCCATTCGGTTAAACCCCCCCAAAAAAATCACACAAAGGCAGTTTCTAATTGTAAGGAACATTTTAACTGTGACTTATGGCCTAGAGTATCTTACCCCGCTAATAACACCAGATGCAGATGCTCCAGGACCCTCCAAGGGCCATCATGCCTGGGGGCCCAGGAACATTAGAACAGACTGGAACTTTTTAATCAAATTAAGAAAAATAATGTAAAACCTGAAACTATAATTTGCCACTCTGAAAATTTTCTTGGATAAATTTGTGAACCACCTTGAGCTTCAGGTCTTTGTTCTTTAAAAAGGAAGAGTCTAAGCACTTGTGAAAAGGGTGGCCAAAAATGGGTTTTAAAATGCCTTCTTTTGGTAAGCATTTTCCTCCTATCTACAGCTATCCTGTTGGATTGGGGATCATAGAAGCAATTCATCAGAGATGAGAATGATTCCCCCAGATTTGTTTAACAGATTCTCAATTAAACTAATAATACAAGTTTTAAAACTTTCAGACTTTTAGAAAATGCAGATAGATGTTTTCACTTGAAGAGTATTTTGAGCCCTAATTTGTTGTTTTCATTGTTGTGCATTAGCCACTCTTTGAGGGTGATATATATTGTCCCAGTGTTGTATTCTGTGTCTTATTTTGACTCCCCATTCATGATGATGCAAGGCTACTGTGTGGCCTGATGCTCTCTGGTTCCAGTGTTTAGGAGAGTTAACAGCTCATAAGCCAGGATTGGTGGCATGCACCAGTAATCCCAGCTACTCTGGAGGCTGAGGTGGGAAGATAACTTGAGCCCAGGAGTTTGAGGCTAGCCTGGACAGCATAGTGAGACCCTATATCTAAAAATAAATAAATAACCACATAGACCCTAAATAAATGTTAACAAACTGCCACTCATAAATTATTTGAAAATGAGAGCATCTTTTGAGTTCATATTTAGTAAATATAATATTCATATCTTACAGAATATTAGTTTTTATCATTCATGCAGCAAAAACTATTGAGTAGCTTGATATCCTGGATATGGGATTGGGTACTATTGCTCCCTTCAAGGAACTCACAGTCTGGTGAGAAAGACAACCAGTAAGCAAGCTTTGCACTACAAATGACATAAACAATGAATGTAAAAAAATAAAAATTAAAAAACAACCCACTAAGTGCTTAAAAGACACATCACATAAAAGATTTGAGAAGACGATCTGTCCCAATGGGGGACAGAGAAAAGTCAGGGAAGACTTCCATAGTTCAATGACTCCTGAATTGAGACTTTAAAATAAGTCATAGAAATAATAATAATAGTAATAATAGCCCAACTATGGACAAAGCATTTTCACATGTATCATCTCATTTGTCACGGTAACAATTCAGATAAGATCTCCATGTTACAGATGACAAAACTAAGTCTTTGAAAAGGCAAGACACTTGACAAGGATCACATGGTGAGTATGTGGTTCCTGTAAATGAAATCAATGAACTAGCCAGAGAAACATGAACTGGGGCACATCCAGATTTTCCTTAACTCATCCACCAAGTCCAGTTGAATCGAGCTCTTATTACTAGACGCATTTAAAAAAGAAAGAAGTCAAAGGAGAAAAAGGGAAGGAAATGTATTTAATGTTTCATCCCACCACTTGTGCCCACCTCACCTCGCCCCAAACATCCTACCAAGACCCCAGGACAAAATATTTTCATTCTGAACAATCTTTCCACAACAGATTCTGTGAGGTAGGTGAGATTTAATTTATTCAAAATAAACCACTCAAATCCAAACCATACTCAATATCTTAACCTAAACTTTTTCAGAATGATTTTCACCCTACTTTTTCCAGAGGCAAAATTATATATATATATATATATATATATATATATATATATATATATATATATATATATATATATATGTAGAATTCCCCTGCAGTGGTGAAAGTAGGATTTGAATCTAGGTCTGCTTGAATTCAGAGTCTTATAATAATCAGTTACAAACTTCCACCCACCCTCTGGCCTGCTGCCCAGCTCCTGTGCATTTCACACCCACTGACAATGCCTGAGGCATGTCTCTGTCCATCTGAAAATGCTTGCAGCCAGCCTCCTGGCCATGTGCACAAGGGGCTGAATTGGTAAACAGGTCCCACCCACCAGATCTGATAATACCTGAAATTCCACCAAAGCCTGGAGAACTCAAAATGGAGTTTTGGGGACTGAAAGAGCAACAACAAAACCTCACATTTCTCAGCAGTAGAAACTTAAATAAAACTACCATGAATCTGTAAAGAATAAACCTTAAGTGTGTATTTTTTTAATTTATTGAGTCAAACTACTTGTCCTTAAGCACCTAGTCCAATGCTAGCTGCAAGAGGGGTGCTCGGTAAATATTAACTGATACATTAAAATTTTATTATAGTTTGACCACTGTTTCTTGGAAACTGCCAAATGCATATCGTCAGCTTCTTGAGTGTGATTCAGAAGATCTATAGTCTTGAATATTACTTGAGATAGAGTATTTGCTAGGATACTACATGAGTTGACTTGATTTAATACAGATCAAGAGTAAAATCATTTTAAAACTAAAACAATCCATTATAAAAGCACTTGTTATGTATAGACACACACACACACATATCTTGCCAACCACCTTTTAGTTTGCATATATATCAGTCCAATACCTTTATTCTTTTCTCCTAGATTCTGTTTTCCAAAACTTCAGTCATCTGTGTATCTGCTTCTGGCCCTCTCCATGGAGTTCATAGCCCTTGATGTACACATCCCAGAATGATCAACAAACACCATCTGACAAACATTGTATCGAGAGGTGGGAAAGAAAATTATAGAAAATAGATATTGTTGTATAAAACTTTTTAAATGCAAAACTAAATAATATATTGTTTACAAATGATACATATGTGGGAAAATATAAAGAAAATCGATGTAATAATAAATACAGACTTGAGGATAGTGGTCTCCTGGGGAGGTGTGTGGAATGGAAAAGAAATGAGATTGGGGTGAAAAATTGACATGGAAGGAGCTAATTCTTATCAGTAATGTTCTAGTTTTTATGCTGAATATTGAATACATGAGTGCTATTTTGCTAGTCTTTATATTATCAATATTTTCTTGTATGTACAAAAAATTCATAATTTTTAAAACAAGCCACTAAGTTGTTCACTGCAAGAAAAATATCAATATTTACCCTTTACACGGAAGCTTACATGTCACCATCTTGAAATCACTTCTACCCAGGTGGTCATCAGGTAAAATCTCCCCAGAAGAAGCCACTGTGGCTTTGAGCAGACAAAACCCAGTAAAGTCTCCTGGTTGTCCATTACCACAAAATGGCTACTTTGACGACTGCTAAAACCAATACTGAGCATTACTGAAACATTGGCTGGTTATTCATTCTGAAACATTGGCTGGTTATTCATTCTATCTCCAAAGCATTAAAGAGGAAATATAAAATTTTAGAGGCTACTATCAACAGACAAGTCAAATGATACCCTTGATTTTTGTTTTGTTTTATTTTGTTTACTAGACTCACTTAGCCATCTGTGGAAAATTTTTCCGGGAACACAGCCATTATTTTATTTGGTTTTTTGTTCTTTGGCTTTAATAAATTAATGAGGTGCTAACCAAATTCACACATGATGGACCACAACAAATTCACAAGGTCTGAGAACCTGGATCACCCTGCAGACGATTATAACCATCCAGGTGCGTCTCTTCTCCCCCTCCTATAACGTTTTGATGTGCCAAACGACTAAAGTCTATCATGCATACAAATCTTAAAAGAAATGTCCTGTATGTCTTACAGACTAAGAGTGCCTTATTAGGAACATCAATAATTTTATCACCTGCACATAATAAGCATGTTAGTTTTGCAACAAGTTTCTAAGGGAGAATGATAGAAAGGGGGAAATATGAAATAAGTGAAAAATTGAGTTCTGAACAAGGATCTTACATAAGAGGAAAGGTGAATTTGTTTTATTTATTCCATCCAGATCCAGAAAGCAGTGAACTTTCCTAGCCAACCATAGAGGGGGAAAAAAGCAGACTCTTTTTTGGCTAAGGCAAAGCAACCTGGCTCTAGTGGAGAGAAGGGCCCTCAAATTAGACCAAGCAATTTCTAATTGGTTCTACTGAACTCTCCCACCCTCATAAAGATCGTTTCTCTCACTACCCCACAGCCATCCAAAGGGACATACTTTTTTTTTTTTTTTTTTTTTTTTGAGACAGGGTCTCACTCTGTCACCCAGGCTGGAGTGCACTGGAGCAATTTTGGCTCACTGTAGCCTCTGCCTCCTGGGCTCAGGCGATCCTCCCACCTCAGCCTCCTGAGTAGCTGAGACTACTGGTATGCACCACCATGCCTGGCTAATTTTGCTTCTTTTTCATAGAGATGAGATCTTACTATGTTGCCAGGCTGGTCTCAAACTCCTGGCTCAAGCTATCTGCCTGCCTCGGCCTCCCAAACTGCTGGGATTACAGGCCCTAATGCCCTAATGCCCCATTGACTTTTTCTGGACATTTGAAAATAACTTTCCCACCAAACATTCCTTCAATAACGCAGAGATCATTTGTTTTCTTATTGTTTGTTTATTTATTTTAATATATACCTACTAACATCAAGACATGATCTCTTTTGGGCTGCAAGATGTGAGTTTTATTGATCAACTTGCATAGCAGAATTAATTATCCATCATAATCATTGTTAACATCAATAACTCATTTTTGAACACTGTGTGATTTTCAAAATAATATTATGAGGATGAGAAAATCTCTGGATTCAAAATTAAGTTTTCATCCAAATCACAACTGCTCTTTTAAAAGGCATGATCACAAAGTGGACATCGGTCCAGTGAATCAGCCTCAAGGGATGTGTGAACACATGTTCATGGGGACCCCGTATATAGAATGAAGTAAACATAAAGATAATATGTAGGTGTTGTGGGTGACCTTGAAGGAGGAAAATCCATTTCCTGTTTGATCCAAAGTAACACAACCTGAGAGCAGATACTCAACCTCAAAATACAAGACTGAATCCTTGTCTTTGCCACATGAGGCAACGTACTTGCCCACTATGAGTCCCTTTCTCCATCTGAAAGCGAAGAGGTTTAAACCATAGGTTGTTGAGAATTAAATGAGATGGTTTATGTAGGGTTCTGGCAGAAAGTAGGTGTTCAAATGTGCTGATTAGCCTCTGTGGGGTTTCTTTTGCTTACTCACCCAGGCTTCCATCTGCAGACTCATTTTCAAATTATGCTCAAACTCTGTCTCTCTATTGAAGGACAGGACTCCTTCAATTGCAAACAACAAATACTCAACACAGAGTAACTTAAGCAAAAAAAAAGAACATACAGCTGTAAGAGACTGAATATACAAACAGATCATACATAAAAGATGAACTCTGATTTACAACCTCTGCAGCAACCATCCTAGAAAGCCAAACCACAACCTCTGCAGCAATCAGCCCAAAATATTCAACATTTGTTCAATAACTTCCAGCTTTCCTTCTTTGACCCTGCTTCCAACTTAGGATCAACCAGGAAAAAAAATATGTGTATGTATATGTTCCCCTAGCCAACCTCAAAGGAGGCCCCACTTCTAGTTAGCCTGCCTCCAGTTTCCCCATGCCAGCAACTTCCAATCAGGAAGTCATTTTTCCACTGTAAAGCTTTCCCACTCCTCTGCCTGCCTGTGAGTCTCTGCCAAACACAAATGATGGTAGTTGGCTCCTTTGTAAGCACTGAACAAATAGTCTTTGCTTGTTCTCATTTGAGTGGTCTTTATTCCCACAACTTGAAATCGATGGAAGGATAAAGCTAGGGCTCCCCTGGATCCAGCAGTTCAAGTGAGGCCTCCAAAACTCTCTCTCTCCATTGCTTGCCTCTGAGTATTGGCGCTATTCTCCCCTTCTAGAGTCTGCCTTCTTCCAAGTAGGTGTGCAAAGTACCAGACTTACATCTTACAACTTAAGAACCAGATCAGAAAAAGAACTCTCCTCTGCCAATTTCTCTCATTGGTAATATCCTCAACCACTGCTGTCACCACCAGCACCTGCCCCCTCCTCCAGCCTTAATTCTGCCATCAACATATTAGAGAGGTGCACAGAGCCCTTGCTCCTGGAGGGATAGTTCCTTCCCCAGCCTCAACACTACCCGCCTCACCCCTACAAACTGCCTCAGAGAAGGCTCTGGCCAACATCACCAATGACCTCCACTTTTCCAAATCCAGTGGTCTATTTACGCTCCTCACATTATCCAAACTGACTGTCTACCTTACCCTAGGAAAGCACCACAGCTAATCCCACAGCCAGTGTCCTTATTTCTTATTTCACTAAGAAACTAAAAGCAATTAATACAAAATTGCCTCATTTTCTTATCAGCAACTTTATCAACCTGGCTTCAACTGTACTGTATACTGTGACACATCCCAATGACAAAAAATAAGCCATACTTAATCCTACCTAAGCCCAAACTCTCCACTTGATACTGATTCCATCCTCTCTTTGCTATAACAGTTATTCCCTCTCTGCCCTACATCTTCAATTTTACCCCTTTCTATGGGATCATTCCCAGCAGCATATATGCATACTGTAATACTTCCTTATTAAAAAGCAAAACAAAACAAAACAAAACCTCTCCTTTGTGTTCATTCCACTTCCAATTACTGCTCCATTTCTCTGCTCCCCTTTGGAGCAAAACTCCTCAAAGGATTACTATACTTCCTGCCTCCTCTTTTTCAACCCACTCTCTCCCTCTCTCAATCCACTCTAAGGAGGCTTTTAATTTCCACCTCTCCACTAAAATTGGTCTTATTGAAGACAATGACTTCCACCTTGCCAAATCCAATCATTAATACAGTCCTCAATTCACTTGACCTCCAGCAACATTTTCACAGCTGATTCCTCCACCAGGCTGGAGTACAGAGGCATGGCACAATCTGCTAACTGTAACTTCCAACTTCTGGGGGGATCCTCCCATCTCAGCCTCCCAAGTAGCTAGGATTCCAGCCATGTGCCGCCATACTGAGCTAATTTTCTTTTTGCTTTTTTTTTTTTTTTTTTTTTTTTTTTAGAGATGGGGATCTTGCTGTATTACCCAGGCTGGTCTCAAAGTCCTGGCTTCAAGCTATCCTCTCCCCTTGACCTCCCTCTTTGCTTTCTTCACATACCTTCAATAAAATCCATATTCTCCAGGCTATTTTGTTTGTTTTTCACTAAGACAAGGTCTCACACTGTCACCCAAGCTTGTTTGTTTTTCACTGAGGCAGGGTCTTACACTGTCAGCCAAGCTGGAGTACAGTGGTGCTGTCCAGCTCACTGCAGCTTCAATCTCCCGGGCAGAAGCAAACCTCACACCTCATCCTCCAGAGTAGCTGAGTAGCCAGGACTACAAGCATGCACCACTGTGCCCTGCTAATTTTTTGTTTGTTTTTTGTAGAGACGAGTTCTCATTACGTTGTCCAGGCTGGTCTCTAACTCCTGGGCTCAAGCAAGCCTACCACCTTGACCTCCCAAAGTGTTGGGATTGCAGGCATGAGCCACCACACCCAACCTACTCTCCAGGTTTATTCCTAGCTCAGAACATTTTTCTCCTCTTCCTCATCTTTTAGTGCTGAATGATGCACCAGGACTTATTTTTTCCTTCATTTTAAATTTTATGTATTTATTAGAGACAGCATCTGGCTCTTCTTACCCAAGCTGGAGTGTAGTGGCGCAATCACAGTTCACAGCAGCCTTGAACTCCCCAGGACTTCTTGTTTGGCCCTCCCTCCAACTAACAGAGACTAACCCTATAGATGATCTTATCCAGTTCTAGGTCATGCCATTTACTCAGATGACGTCTAACCTCTCCCCTGAGCTCTGAACTTATATATCCAACTGCCTACTTAACATTTCCTTTTGGATGTGTAACAGACATCTTAAATCTAATAGGACCCAAACTGACCTTCTGATTCTATTCACTTACTCTTACAGCAGGCTTCCTCCATTCAGCAAATGACCCAGTTTGGGTCACATACCAAATCCTGTGATCCACAGGGGAGAGCTCCCCAAATGAAAGAGGATGTTGTTACCAGAAGGGAGATGGGAAAGTCTGCAGGGCAAACCAAAAGCAAGAGTTGTCAAGCCCATTACTAACCCAGCTTCAACTATCCTTGCCCACTCAGCAGGCCACTTTTGCCTCCTGGCTCACTGAGAAAATTAAGACTATTTTACCTACACCTGCATCAATTTTAATCTCCTTTCCTCCAACTCGAAGCCAGCTCTCCACCTGAGCACTTGCTCTTGTTCCTTCATTTTTCTTCATTGGTACTGCTCTGTTGGTAATCTCCTTTTCCTGCATTTTTGTCTTTTCTCCCAGCTGATGCTCTCCTGCTAGCCCACAAACATGTCAAATCTGCACCATCCTAAAAAGTTTCAAACTTCTAGCTCTTGTGTGTATTTACCCTCCTGTTCTCTGTCAGGCTTCTTCGAGATACAATCCTTACTCTCTGCACTTGCTTCTCATTGTACCCACAATGTCACATCAAACTGGCTTCTGTACCCACTGCCCATCTGCTTCCAGGGACTTGAATCACGCAAAGCACTTCTCCACTCTCAACCCACCTTCTCTAATACCCA
Source organism: Homo sapiens (assembly GCF_000001405.40). NCBI lineage: Eukaryota > Metazoa > Chordata > Mammalia > Primates > Hominidae > Homo > Homo sapiens. The sequence continues at coordinate 57,358,096 of NC_000005.10, read as the reverse complement.
CACCATTTTGGCATTATCACTTTCTCTTCTCTCCACCAAGTGCGGACCTTTGATATCCAGCACATAAAGTCATTCAAAACGAACAGAATGATTGGATTCTCAAAATAATAGGCCAATCAGCCTTGGAATAGCTGAGGAGTATTGCTCCAGTGTCTTCATGGATTAGCTGAGAAAAATATCATATAAACTCTTAATTTGCATTAAATTTATAATAAATATGACCACTAGAAATAGTAAACTCAACATAACTGACAAACTAAAAATGTACATAGAGAATTTTTAACAGATTTATTTTTAAGCTTGATTGAATAATCACATTTTCTCAATAACTAAAAATTGACATGGGGAAATATTCATCAAAAGAATATGAAACTAGCCACAACTAAAACTTCATATGGTAAACAGTTGACAGACAAGTCCTTCTTGACTAAATTTGGATCTGTAACATTTTAATTGGGCAAATTGGGCTTGGTTGTCATAATAACCACAAAATGAAACAATATGACAAAAACTATAAACTGGTAAATTGTCCTTGTGAATTTCCCATGAAAAATAATGCTGGTAAAATCGGGGGGAGGAGCCAAGATGGCCGAATAGGAACAGCTCCGGTCTACAGCTCCCAGCGTGAGCGACACAGAAGACAGTGATTTCTGCATTTCCATCTGAGGTACCAGGTTCATCTCACTAGGGAGTGCCAGACAGTGGGCGCAGGTCAGTGGGTGCGCACACCGTGCATGAGCTGAAGCAGGGCGAGGCATTGCCTCACTTGGGAAGCGCAAGGGGTCAGGGAGTTCCCTTTCCGAGTCAAAGAAAGGGGTGACGGACGGCACCTGGAAAATCGGGTCACTCCCACCCGAATACTGCGCTTTTCCGAGGGGCTTAAAAAATGGCGCACCACGAGATTATATCCCGCACCTGTCTTGGAGGGTCCTACGCCCACGGAGTCTCGCTGATTGCTAGCACAGCAGTCTGAGATCAAACTGCAAGGTGGCAGCGAGGCTGGGGGAGGGGCGCCCGCCATTGCCCAGGCTTGATTAGGTAAACAAAGCAGCGGGGAAGCTCGAACTGGGCGGAGCCCACCACAGCCCAAGGAGGCCTGCCTGCCTCTGTAGGCTCCACCTCTGGGGGCAGGGCACAGACAAACAAAAAGACAGCAGTAACCTCTGCAGACTTAAATGTCCCTGTCTGACAGCTTTGAAGAGAGCAGTGGTTCTCCCAGCACGCAGCTGGAGATCTGAGAACAGGCAGACTGCCTCCTCAACTGGGTCCCTGACCCCTGACCCCTGAGCAGCCTAACTGGGAGGCACCCCCCAGCAGGGGCACACTGACACGTCACACAGCAGGGTATTCCAACAGACCTGCAGCTGAGGGTCCTGTCTGTTAGAAGGAAAACTAACAAACAGAAAGGACATCCACACCAAAAACCCATCTGTACATCACCATCATCAAAGACCAAAAGTAGATAAAACCACAAAGATGGGGAAAAAACAGAACAGAAAAACTGGAAACTCTAGAAAGCAGAGCGCCTCTCCTCCTCCAAAGGAACACAGTTCCTCACCAGCAACGGAACAAAGCTGGATGGAGAATGACTTTGACGAGCTGAGAGAAGAAGGCTTCAGACGATCAAATTACTCTGAGCTACGGGAGGACATTCAAACCAAAGGCAAAGAAGTTGAAAACTTTGAAAAAAATTTAGAAGAATGTATAACTAGAATAACCAATACAGAGAAGTGCTTAAAGGAGCTGATGGAGCTGAAAACCAAGGCTCGAGAACTACGTGAAGAATGCAGAAGCCTCAGGAGCCGATGTGATCAACTGGAAGAAAGGGTATCAGCAATGGAAGATGAAATGAATGAAATGAAGTGAGAAGGGAAGTTTAAAGAAAAAAGAATAAAAAGAAATGAGCAAAGCCTCCAAAAAATATGGGACTATGTGAAAAGACCAAATCTATGTCTGATTGGTGTACCTGAAAGTGATGCAGAGAATGGAACCAAGTTGGAAAACACTCTGCAGGATATTATCCAGGAGAACTTCCCCAATCTAGCAAGGCAGGCCAACGTTCAGATTCAGGAAATACAGAGAACACCACAAAGATACTCCTCAAGAAGAGCAACTCCAAGACACATAATTGTCAGATTCACCAAAGTTGAAATGAAGGAAAAAATGTTAAGGGCAGCCAGAGAGAAAGGTCGGGTTACCCTCAAAGGGAAGCCCATCAGACTAACAGCGGATCTCTCGGCAGAAACCCTACAAGCCGGAAGAGAGTGGGGGCCAATATTCAACATTCTTACAGACAAGAATTTTCAACCCAGAATTTCATATCCAGCCAAACTAAGCTTCATAAGCGAAGGAGAAATAAAATACTTTGCAGACAAGCAAATGCTGAGAGGTTTTGTCACCACCAGGCCTGCCCTAAAAGAGCTCCTGAAGGAAGCGCAAAACATGGAAAGGAACAACCGGTACCAGCCACTGCAAAATCATGCCAAAATGTAAAGACCATCAAGACTAGGAAGAAACTGCATCAACTAATGAGCAAAATAACCAGCTAACATCATCATGACAGGATCAAATTCACACATAACAATATTAACTTTAAATGTAAATGGACTAAATGCTCCAATTAAAAGACACAGACTGGCAAATTGGATAAAGAGTCAAGACCCATCAGTGTGCTATATTCAGGAAACCAATCTCACGTACAGAGACACACATAGGCTTAAAATAAAAGGATGGAGGAAGATCTACCAAGCAAATGGAAAACAAAAAAAAGGCAGGGGTTGCAATCCTAGTCTCTGATAAAACAGACTTTAAACCAACAAAGATGAACAGAGACAAAGAAGGCCATTACATAATGGTAAAGGGATCAGTTCAACAAGAAGAGCTAACTATCCCAAATATATATGCACCCAATACAGGAGCACCAATATTGATAAAGCAAGTCCTGAGTGACCTACAAGGACACTTAGACTCCCACACATTAATAATGGGAGACTTTAACACACCACTGTCAACATTAGACAGATCAACAAGACAGAAAGCCAACAAGGATACCCAGGAATTGAACTCAGCTCTGCACCAAGCAGACCTAATAGACATCTACAGAACTCTCCACCCCAAATCAACAGAATATACATTTTTTTCAGCACCACACCACACCTATTCCAAAATTGACCACATACTTGGAAGTAAAGCTCTCCTCAGCAAATGTAAAAGAACAGAAATTATAACAAACTATCTCTCAGACCACAGTGCAATCAAACTAGAACTCAGGATTAAGAATCTCACTCAAAACCGCTCAACTACATGGAAACTGAACAACCTGCTCCTGAATGACTACTGGGTACATAACGAAATGAAGGCAGAAATAAAGATGTTCTTTGAAACCAACGAGAACAAAGACACAACATACCAGAATCTCTGGGACGCATTCAAAGCAGTGTGTAGAGGGAAATTTATAGCACTAAATGCCCACAAGAGAAAGCAGGAAAGATCCAAAATTGACACCCTAACATCACAATTGAAAGAACTAGAAAAGCAAGAGCAAACACATTCAAAAGCTAGCAGAAGGCAAGAAATAACTAAAATCAGAGCAGAACTGAAGGAAATAGAGACACAAAAAACCCTTCAAAAAATTAATGAATCCAGGAGCTGGTTTTTTGAAAGGATCAACAAAATTGATAGACCGCTAGCAAGACTAATAAAGAAAAAAAGAGAGAAGAATCTAATAGATGCAATAAAAAATGATAAAGGGGATATCACCACCGATCCCACAGAAATACAAACTACCATCAGAGAATACTACAAACACCTCTACGCAAATAAACTAGAAAATCTAGAAGAAATGGATAAATTCCTCGACACATACACTCTCCCAAGACTGAACCAGGAAGAAGTTGAATCTCTGAATAGACCAATAACAGGATCTGAAATTGTGGCAATAATCAATAGCTTACCAACCAAAAAGAGTCCAGGACCAGATGGATTCACAGCCGAATTCTACCAGAGGTACAAGGAGGAACTGGTACCATTCCTTCTGAAACTATTCCAATCAATAGAAAAAGAGGGAATCCTCCCTAACTCATTTTATGAGGCCAGCATCATTCTGATACCAAAGCCAGGCAGAGACACAACAAAAAAAGAGAATTTTAGACCAATATCCTTGATGAACACTGATGCAAAAATCCTCAATAAAATACTGGCAAACTGAATCCAGCAGCACATCAAAAAGCTTATCCACCATGATCAAGTGGGCTTCATCCCTGGGATGCAAGGCTGGTTCAATATACACAAATCAATAAATGCAATCCAGCATATAAACAGAGCCAAAGACAAAAACCACATGATTATCTCAATAGATGCAGAAAAGGCCTTTGACAAATTTCAACAACCTTCATGCTAAAAACTCTCAATAAATTAGGTATTGATGGGATGTATTTCAAAATAATAAGAGCTATCTATGACAAACACACAGCCAATATCATACTGAATGGAAAAAACTGGAAGCATTCCCTTTGAAAACTGGCACAAGACAGGGATGCCCTCTCTCACCACTCCTATTCAACATAGTGTTGGAAGTTCTGGCCAGGGCAATTAGGCAGGAGAAGGAAATAAAGGGTATTCAATTAGGAAAAGAGGAAGTCAAATTGTCCCTGTTTGCAGACGACATGATTGTATATCTGGAAAACCCCGTTGTCTCAGCCCAAAATCTCCTTAAGCTGATAAGCAACTTCAGCAAAGTCTCAGGATACAAAATCAATGTACAAAAATCACAAGCATTCTTACACACCAGCAGCAGACAAACAGAGAGCCAAATCATGAGTGAACTCCCATTCACAATTGCTTCAAAGAGAATAAAATACCTAGGAATCCAACTTACAAGGGTTGTGAAGGACCTCTTCAAGGAGAACTACAAACCACTGCTCAAGGAAATAAAAGAGGATACAAACAAATGGAAGAACATTCCATGCTCATGGGTAGGAAGAATCAATATTGTGAAAATGGCCATACTGCCCAAGGTAATTTACAGATTCATGCCATCCCCATCAAGCTACCAATGTCTTTCTTCACAGAATTGGAAAAAACTACTTTAAAGTTCATATGGAACCAAAAAAGAGCCCGCATCACCAAGTCAATCCTAAGCCAAAAGAACAAAGCTGGAGGCATCACGCTACCTGACTTCAAACTATACTACAAGGCCACAGTAACCAAAACAGCATGGTACTGGTACCAAAACAGAGATATAGATCAATGGAACAGAACAGAGCCCTCAGAAATAACGCCGCATATCTACAACTATCTGATCTTTGACAAACCTGAGAAAAACAAGCAATGGGGAAAGCATTCCCTATTTAATAAATGGTGCTGGGAAAACTGGCTAGCCATATGTAGAAAGCTGAAACTGGATCCCTTCCTTACACCTTATACAAAAATCAATTCAAGATGGATTAAAGACTTAAATGTTAGACCTAAAACCATAAAAACCCTAGAAGAAAACCTAGGCATTACCATTCAGGACATAGGCATGGGCAAGGACTTCATGTCTAAAACACCAAAAGCAATGGCAACCAAAGCCAAAATTGACAAATGGGATCTAATTAAACTAAAGAGCTTCTGCACAGCAAAAGAAACTACCATCAGAGTGAACAGGCAATCTACAAAATGGGAGAAAATTTTCGCAACCTATTCATCTGACAAAGGGCTAATATCCAGAATCTACAATGAACTCAAACAAATTTACAAGAAAAAAACAAACAACCCCATCAAAAAGTGGGCGAGGGACATGAACAGACACTTCTCAAAAGAAGACATTTATGCAGCCAAAAGACACATGAAAAAATGCTCATCATCACTGGCCATCAGAGAAATGCAAATCAAAACCACAATGAGATACCATCTCACACCAGTTAGAATGGCAATCATTAACAAGTCAGGAAACAACAGGTGCTGGAGAGGATGTGGAGAAATAGGAACACTTTTACACTGTTGGTGGGACTGTAAACTAGTTCAACCATTGTGGAAGTCAGTGTGGTGATTCCTCAGGGATCTAGAACTGGAAACACCATTTGACCCAGCCATCCCATTACTGGGTATATACCCAAAGGACTATAAATCATGCTGCTGTAAAGACACATGCACACATATGTTTATTGCGGCATTATTCACAATAGCAAAGACTTGGAACCAACCCAAATGTCCAACAATGATAGACTGGATTAAGAAAATGTGGCACATATACACCATGGAATACCATGCAGCCATAAAAAATGATGAGTTCATGTCCTTTTTAGGGACATGGATGAAATTGGAAATCATCATTCTCAGTAAACTATCACAAGAACAAAAAACCAAACACCGCATATTCTCACTCATAGGTGGTAATTGAACAATGAGATCACATGGACACAGGAAGGGGAATATCACACTCTGGGGACTGTTGTGGGGTGGGGGGAGGGGGGAGGGATAGCACTGGGAGATATACCTAATGCTAGATGACGAGTTAGTGGGTGCAGTGCACCAGCATGGCACATGTATACATATGTAACTAACCTGCACACTGTGCACATGTACCCTAAAACTTAAAATATGATTAAAAAAAATAAAATAAAATAAAAATAATAGTAAAATAAAGAAAGAAAGAAAGAAAATAAGTCTAATGCCATTAGTCATTAGGGAAATGCAAATTTAAATCATAATGGGATATCACTACATATACATCTATCAGAATAAAAATTAGTGACAACACCAAATGCTGGGGATGATACAGAGAAACTGAGTCACTCCTACATTGCTGGGAATATGGAATGGTACAGCCACCCTGAAAACAGTTTGGCAGTTTCTTATATAACCAAACCTGCAAAATACCATATGACCCATAATTTGTATCCTTGGGCATTTATCCCAGAGAAATAAAAACTTATATTCACACAACACCTACACACGAATATTTATAGCAGCCTTATTAGTAATAGCTGAAATCTGGAAACAGCCCAAGTGTCCTTCAATGAGTGAATAAACTGCAGTATGTGTGGTATAGTGCAAAATACTACTCAGTATTTTTTTTAAATGAATGATTGATACAAGCAACAACTTGGATGAATCTCCAGAGATTATGCTAAATTAAAAAGCCAATCCCAAAAGATTACCTACTGTATGATTCCATTTAATAACATTCCCCAACTGACAAAATTATATAAGTGGAAACCAGATTAGTCGTTGCCAGGCACTATGGAAGGTGGAGGGAGGCAGTGAGAGGTGAGCATGACAGGAGAACACAGGGGTGCTCGTAGGGATGGACTATTCCATATCTCAACTGTGGTGGTGGATACACAGACCTACACATATGATAAAATTGCATAAAACCGTCAGAAGTATTTAAACCAGAGCAACTCCATCTTGAATAGGAACTGGACAAAATGAGGCTGAGACCTACTAAGCTGCATTCCCAGGAGGTTAAGGTGTTCTTAGTCACAAGGTGAGATAGGAGGTCAGCACAAGATAAGGTCATAAAAACCTTGCTGATAAAACAGGTTGCAGTCAAGAAGCCGGCTAAAACCCACCAAAGGCAAGATGGCAATGACAGTGACCTCTGGTCATCCTCATTGCTACACTCACATCTGTGCCAGGACAGTTTACAAATGCCATGGCAACATCAGAAAGTTACCCTCCATGGTCTAAAAAGGGGAGGCATGAAAAATCCACCCCTTATTTAGCATATAATCAAGATAATACCATAAAAATGTGCAACCAGCAGCCCACGGGGCTGCTCTGCATATGGAGTAGCCATTCTTTTATTCCCTTACTTTTTTAATAAACTTGCTTTCACTTTAAAAAAAAAAAAGAAAAATAATGCTGGTAAAATCATAATGAAAATTGAAAATAATGGATAATTTTAACTGTCCAGAAGATAAAATTGATTAAGGCATTGAGGTAGCTTTACAGAATTAGCTCCACAAAGTATGTGGTCACGAAATGTTATCAAAATCGCTGTAATGCTGTTTAAAAGTTTACATTCACAAATACAGAAAAGGAACATCTATGGAGTCAAATTAGCGGGATAAAAACATATATTTGATTGAAACTGTGTAATTCACATAGCCTTCCCTTCCAGGTAGTTTCTTGATCTCTCAGAATGGCCTACTGCTTCGCTAACCTTTTTTTTATTTTTAAAGCAATTACCTCCTTGTACTGAAATTGCCACCAGAATGTAAGCCCCTCAAGAGCAAAGTGGTTTTGTTCATCTTTGCATCCACAATGCCTAATGCAGTGCTTAGCCCTTAGTAAACGCTCAGTGATTGCCCGACAAAAACGAACTCAGTGAGCCAACACCCGATTAAGACTTCTCAAATTGGAATGTGCATCAGAATCACCTAGGGAACTTCTTTCACATACAGATTCAAAGACCCCACTCTCAGAGATTTCTGAATCACTGGCTGGAGCCCAAAGTGATTTTAAGGCAGGTGTTCTAAAAACCATATTTTGAGAAACACAGGACTAGGACAAAAAGAGTGGTAACTCTGGAGTATCTACCATACATATCAGTTAAGACGAATGCTTTCCACTGTAAGTAACAGAAAGCCTGACCTACTGAAGCAAGGAGTCTGTAATATTTAGGTTTTGGCACTGGTTCAGCAGTTCATGGATATTAAGATTGGCATCTCTGAGATTATCTTGGCTTCTTGTTTGCTTGTCACCTCATGGTTGATAAATGCCTGCCACAGTTCCAGACATAACATATGTTCAAGGCAAGAAGAGGAGCAAGCAGTGCAGCTTGCAACTGTCCCTTTCATGGGGAGAGTTTCACTTATGTTTCATTGGCTAACTGTAAATAGCCATCACCAGCTGCAAGGGCAAACAAATGGGTAAATGTTAGCTTGTCTTGCCTCTGTGGTGAAAAGCTTGTGGAAAAAAAGGGATAGAGAATGACTGCCAGTTTAGCCAAAGAACCTCTGCCGTATTGTAGTCCCCAGCAATTCTTCATCCACCGAGTTCACCAAAGAATAATCCTCCTAACTGGATAGAAAGAGTCTATTACTATTCCTAACTTACAGAAGAAGAAACAGGTACAGATAAGGTAAGTAGCTTTCCCAAAGTCACTCAGCTGATAAGTGACAGAGTCAAATCCGGGCAGTTTAGTTTCAGAATCCATGCTCTTAACCCCTGAATTCCATGAATTTAGAACTAAACTCACGGTGATTGAGTCTCTAAGTAGCTGTGTCCAGCGCAGCTGTTGTCAACTTTCATTGCACTGTAACATCTCCTAGTAAAACAGACCTTCAAATACCTTCAAATACCAAAAATATAAAGGTACATTTATCTTTATACCTCTCTTTGAAATGCAGCCCCAGGATAGGGCAACATTTTTAATATGCATTAAAATTCAAAACTTGTCCTACTGCCTGGTTTATTTTGGGTCTGGTTATCTTTCATCCTACACCTTGGCACGTGAACCCTGTCCAAACTGCAAGCATGCCAAGGAAGTGTTGCAAATGAGATCCCAAGACGACTGTAGGCTTGTCCTTATTATAGCCTGTCTTCCAAACTGGAGGACATATTCAAATTCTCAGTAACACTTAGTCCCTGAGGTCCCTCTAACAATGAAAGCTATTTATTCCAACTAGGCTGTATTCAGGAAGTTCAAACGTCCAAAAAAGATAACTTTTCCCTGGAGCTATGCACATGGCAATGAAAATTAAACAAGGCAAAATTATAAAAATAAGATTTACCTCCTTTAGAGAGCTTGAAAAGTTTTCCCTTCCCTAATTGTAGCTAAATGACATTATCTCCAAATTATTTCTGTGTTATGGAAATTGTAACATTAAGAATCAGGAATGTGGCTGGGCGTGGTGGCTCACACCTGTAATCCCAGCACTTTGGGATACCAAGGTAGGCAGATCACCTGAGGTCAGGAGTTTGAGACCAGCCTGACCAATATGGTGATACACCATCTCTACTAAAAATACAAAAATTAGTCTGACGGGGTGGTGCTTGCCTGTAGTCCCAGCTACTCAGGAGGCTGAGGCAGGAGGACCGCTTGAACCCAGGAGGTGGAGGTTGCAGTGAACCAAGATCACACCACTGCACTCTAGCCAAGTGAGATTCCATCTCAAAAAAATAAAAAAAGAATCAGGAATGCATGCCATTGTTTTTTATCGTAGAAAAGGAAGAGTTGCTACACATTTTTTTTAACTAAAAATAACTTTCTGTACAGATTATTTCATCACAAACCCTTGAGTCACGAGTTTACCCATACAATAAACCTGCCCATGTACCTCTGAAACTAAAATAAAAGTATTTTTTAAATAAATAATGTGTCCCCCAAAAGTTCATGTGTTGGAAGCTTGATCCCCAATGCAGCAGTGTTGAGAGGTGGAACACTCGGGAGGTGATTGGATTATGTGGACTCTGTCTTCACCAGTTGATTGATCCATTCATGAATTAATGGATTAGTGGGTTGATATGTGAATGGGTTATCACAGGAGTGGACTGGTTATCAAGAGGGTGAGTCCACTGTAAAGCCAGTGTGGCTGCCTATCATAAGTCCCCTCACCATGTGATGCACTGTACCATCTCAGGACTCTTCAGAAGGTCCCCACCAGCAGGAGACCCTCCAGATGCAGCCCCTTGACCCTGGAATTTCCAGCCTCCAAAACTGTAAAAAATAAATTTCTTTTCTTTATTAAAAAAATGAAAACAACTTTATTATTTTCTTATAACAAAAGTAATGTATATGTATTGTAGAAAATTTAACACAAAAGAGTAAAAAAGAATAAATATTTTTAAATCCACAATCGCCACTGTGAATACCTGCTCATTTGCCCTCTACTTGTTCTGAGAAAAGGGCAGAGCAAATACAGTTGGCACTCATTCTGAACAACAAGAAAAGGCTAGGACTGAGGTAGAGACCATTTGATGTGGGCCAGTGGGTCATAGCATCCAGATCATCATCATGACTGAGCCAAATAAGGTGAACATATGGTTGTTTTCTGGCATATTCTAATCATTAGGAGTAGAATGGACATTACCTTATCATCCACCATGCTGCCTATGGTCCTTATGTCAGGTGAACTTGCCAAAATGTCACTTCAGGCACACAGTATCAATACTCATCAGCTATTGTCAGGGTGGAAGCCTGATGAGCCAAGTATACTGGAACCAGCAAGAGAAACCCCCTTCCTCCAGCAACGCCCCTCCAGGGCTCTCTGTTAACAAAGCTCAGCATCGTCATGTTTGCTGCAGAGGAGAAATGCTAAAAAGGGTCCAGGTTCATTATGTCAGAGCAGGTAATGAAGGGCTCATATGGAACTGAGAAGCAATAAGTTGATAACTTACACAAACACCCTTCAGATGTTTGTAGAATTTGAGTCTCTTTTTCATGTTTCTGTTGTTATTGTTGTTTTAATGAAAACCTTTCTATGTCTACAAAGATTTTCATTGTCAAACACTTCTCCCAGGCTCGTTTCACAATCCTCAAAGCCGTAGGGTCATCTCTAGCCCTTGAAATGTGAGTGTATTTTATCTTGAAGTATGTGGATTCCAACTACCTCCTCCCACTTCCACCACTCCCACCCTGGTCCAAGCCCTGGTTGTCTCTCACCTAAATTGTTGCAATAGCCATCTGACTCATCTCCCTGCTTCTACTCTTGCCATTTTGTCCCCTAGAAACTAAATCAGTTTATTATGTTCATCATCCACTCAAAGCCCTCCAGTGGCTCCCAATTTCACTCAGAGTAAAACCCAAAGTCTTACAATGGCCTACTGAGGCCAGTAATGATCTTCCCTCACCCCACTAGAATATAATCTCCGAGAAAGCAGAGATTTTTGTCAGTTTTATCTATTTCCATGTTTCTAGTTCCTAAAACAATGCCTGGCTCATAGTAGATATATTTGTTTAATAGGCAAATGTCCCATGCCTAGAACTGCCTCACCTCTGAACTTCTCATTTGTGAAGTCATACCTGTCTTTATCAAAGCACTCGACTTGAATAAAGATACTGTGTTACTTGTAGCCCATTGTATTCTAATTGGTAAAATGAACATCAAATATACTATTCTATGTAATCCCAGGAAATCACCCAAGTAGAATTTACTAGATGCCATTGTTCTCTATAAAAATAGGTAGAAAAAGAAAGAAAAGAAAAAAAAACATTAGTTTGACCCAAAAAGCTTTCTAGTATTTGGCCATTAGATACTTAATTTTCCAATAGGAGGTGTTTTCTATAGCCTGGAGCCATTACTGAAGAGTTCAGTGTCACAAAGCAAGGTAAGCAAAGAACTAATGGAACAGAGTTTTAAGTATTCAGACAACAAATCTTTTTCTTTCCTTTGCTTCTCATTCAAATACTCACTTCTACTTCACCTAAAACATTTCTCTTAAAGTTATATGATACTTTCATTATAAATAAATGACAATAGATATTTATTCTATTGTCTTTGGTTGATCTCCATATGTAAATATTGTTCACAGTTCTGCTCGTATACCCATCCTACTAGCCACTGTGGAACATGCACTACACCCAGCCCCACAATTCATCACATTTAAGCAATATTAATCACAATGAATGCCTGAGAGTCATAATTTTACCTTTTGCAATTACTAATGTGAGCCAATTGTCAAAAGTCTAGGAATATAACTGTAATGGAGGCTATTATTACTTTCTAGAGAAGCAGTAGGAAAATAATGTTGGCCTACTCAAAATCATTTGTTCATCTAAGTAGTATTTATTGAACACATAATATATGCTGTAATGAATAAAACAGAAATATCTCCTGCCCTCATGAAGAATCTAGAGAAGAGTCAGCATAATTTTTCTATAAAGAGCCAGATAGTAAATATCTAAGCTTTGCAGTCCATGAGGTCACATACTCTGCCACTGTAACATGAAAGCATCCATAGACAATACATAGATGAACAAGCATGGATATATTTGCAGATCATACAAAGTAGATGGGATGCCCAGTATGGCATATGGCCATAGTTTGCCAATCTCTGTTCTACCAGAACAGAGATATTAATTAAATAATTAAATATTAAATTAAATATTAATTAAATAATCCATGAAACAGGTATATAATTGCATACTGTGATGAGTGCTACAAAAAATTACAGGGTTGAAAAAGCTGGTATAGACATCCCCACAAAGCTAAGATGCAATTGAGGAGTAGTTGTTAGGCAGGTTTCCTGGCAGAGTGAGCAGCATGTGCAAAGGCCCTGAAGCAGGGGAGGCCTAACCTATTCAAGAAAGGTCAAGCTGGCTTTTGCCCAATGCTCAAGCAGGAGAAGAGGAAAGGAGCTAAAGCTAGAAGTATTATACGGGCCAGTGTGTACAGGGCCTCATGGGTTGTGCTACAGATTTGCTCCATATCCTGAGACCAGTGGAAAAGCACGGAAAGGGAGTAAGACCTTTCATGGAACAAATGCTCACTGCATGCCTACCAGCACCAGACACTCATCTACAGCGAATAAAACAAAGTTCCTGCCCTCATGGAGCTTATATTCCAGTGGGAAAGCCAGACCATAAACAAAAAATATGCAACATAATGTCAACTAATATATTTGTCAAGTCTGTCAAGCAAAATAAATATCAAAAAGAATATGCTAGAATAAATGACTAGAGAGGGATGGATAGTGCTATAATTAGATTTGTGTTTTAATTGTTCTGTATAGCACAGGGTATACTAGTGAGATCAGAAAACTAGTTAAGAGATTGTTGCGGTGGCCCAGTTTAAAAAAATACATATGTATATATGTGCGTGTGTGTTTTAAAAGATATATATATATAACCACTTGAATCAGAGCATTGGCAGTGGACATGAGAGAAATAGATGGGTTGGAGATAAATTTATAAAGTATAGCTGACTGGCCTCGGTGATAGATTCCAAAGTGGTGTCGAGGATGGCTTTCAGATTTTTTTGTTTTATGCAACCATAGAAACCATGGTACTCTTCTCCAAGAAAGGAAAGCTGGCAGGGGACAGCTTGGGAGAGGAAGATGCTAAGCTTACTGTTGGACATTTGAGTTTGAGCATCCTTTAGGAGCTCCAGACAAAAGATGTTGAGTCATCAGTGGACTTGTGTGTCCATGAGCAGTGTTCTAACCAAGTCAGGCAATGTCCATGTGGGAAGAACTGTTCGCCCTTGGACTGGACTGAGAGGTCCCCACCTGAACTGAGGCTCAAGCTCAAAGATAGAGTCCTGTATCTAGGGATGTTGGCTAGAATCATGACAAATGCTGTGGTTTTATATTTAATATTAATATCAAAGCAGCTAAAATGTACTGAGTGTTCATTATATGTTAGACACATGAATTATCTTATTAAATCTTAACACAATCCTATAAGGTATAAACTATTTTCTCTTTTTAGAAATAAGGAATCTGAGCCTGAGAATTTAACTAGCAAAGGTCACTTGGCAAGCAAGAGAGGCAAGATCTACCCCAAGTCTGTCAGACCACCAAATCTGAGCTATTACATGCTGCCAGCAACCCAGCTAGTGATGCACTCACAAGAAAGTTCTGGTAGCCTGGGCTAGGGGCAAAGCTGCGCCATGCAGATGAGGAAGCAGACAGTGAGGGGAGACAGAGCTGGGAGCCATCAACAACAATGACAGCTTCAGAGGGGACACTTTGGACATTTGGGAAGATGAGGCCTCTTCATTGCTGCTAGTGTTATTTTGACACGGATTCCTCCATTTTAGCACACTTGGGATGATGGAGTCTGGAGAAACACCTGGAAGTATGTAAGCAGCCGCTAAGGATTAAGTTAAAACGAGGACCCCTAAACTAGTGGTTATTAAACTTTAGCATGCTTAAGACTCCACAGGGAGGTTGTTAACATTTTAGATTCCACAATCCTACCTCTAGAGAGTCTGACTCAGTGGCTCCAGTATCTGCATTTTTTACAAGCACCAGGTGATCTGGACTGGACAATACTCAGTACTTTGAGAGCTTTCTCTTCTTGGCCTTTCATCAAAAGCAGTTCCAGTCTCCCTGTTAATTCTGATGAGGTTTTCAACTTATCCCTATGTATTGATGGAGAAGAGGGAAATTTGCAACAATGTGAAGCAACATTCACAGTAGTAGGGAGCTGGGTCTCAGAATCTCTTGCATAGCCTAAGTGGTCCAAGCTTACGATAAAGTATCACAAGGACTTTCTTCCTCACAGAGAAAAAAGTCTCTGGTATCTATGGATCAGTTAACGATGCTCAGAAATGATCAACAGTATTTCTGGAAATTCTTTCACTGACCCATGGGAAAGAAATTACAGTTGCAGATGTCACTTTTTTAATGGAATAACCTAGAGACTAAGTACCCAGGAACTGGATTCTAGATTGTCAACTAAATGGCAGGTTCTCTTCCTGGTGGTTGGCAACAGGGTGGCCAACCCAAGATGAATAACAAGTACTCAGCAGGTTGAGCCTGCCACAGCTCTCAGGTGAACAATGACTGGGTGTCTCTCTTTAGTGTGTAGACTTCTCCTTTGCTATGTGTCTATTTGGTCTTCCCCATCTGCCACATATGAATTTTTTCCAATGCGGCAGCACATAAGGGTGTAAACTGTGTGCTTCAACACACAGGCAACTTAATTTCATCTTTGTAGTAGGATTTCTTGTTCTGATAGATTCACATACGAGTTATGTCCACCAAACCATCCCAAAAGAAGAAAAGTAAAATGAGTCAGGCACAGTGACTCACAACTGTAATCCCAGTGCTTTGGGAGGCCTAGGCAGGGGGATCACTTGAGCCCAGGAGTTCAAGACCAGCCTGGGCAACATAGTGAGACCCTGTCTCTACAAAACAAAAAATAAAAAAAAAATTAGTCAGGCATGGTGGTGCTCACCTGCAGTCCCAGCTAATTGAGAAGCTGATGTGAGGGGATTAGTTGAGCCCAGGAGTTTAGGCTGCAGGAGTGAGCTGTATTCACACCGTCACACTGCAGCCTAGGCAACAGAGCAAGACCTTGTCTTAAAAAAAAAAGAAAGAAAGAAAAAAGAAAAGAAAAAGAAAAAACAGTAAAAAGAGGGATAATAAATAGGAGAGCAACACCTCATCAAAGGCTATGAAGAAATAAGATGAAAGCACTAGCTTTATTGTCCTAATTAAGCAGCCAGTGCCAGCATTCATTTACTTGGCTAAACAATTCACAGCATTTTGTACCCGGGGCCACCTAAAGTGTTGTTCTCACACCACTGCCAGTCCCCACTATTGATTTGCAAAATGCCAGTGCTTAGAAATGTCTACAGCAACTAGACCGTGACACGATACCCAAGTACAAGCTCCAGCAAGTTCAACTTGTTGAAAAAGGTGTAGGCCAGTTCAGGTGTGGAGCTTTCTTGGTGAGTTTCAGGTAGGGTGAACTGGGTATTAGCATTGGTGTGTGACAGATTGGAAAAAACCAACCTGGTCCTATAGCAGAGCCATATATAACACACCATATCAGAAGAGCTGAGGCGTTGTGATGTTGTGAAATAGTGAGGCACTATCAGAGGAGCTAAAGACTAGGAATGTAGGGACTCACATTTCTATTATACTTGGTGGTTTTCTCCAACTTCCAATTCTCAAGTATTATCTTGATGATTTCATGTTCCAGAAAACAACATCCAATACTTACAAGAGAGAAAGCTCTTATGGCCCTGGTTTAGGAATTATGGAGGAAGATGGGAAATAACCTTATGATCCAGAAAACAAATTCCTGATCCTCAAGCATAATGTTAGGCAGAAGAAGAGAAAGACTTAGGGGCCAGGCATGGTGGCTCATGCCTATAATCCCAGCAATTTTGGGAGGCCAAGGCAGGCAGATCACTTGAGGCCAGGAGTTCGAGACCAGCCTGACCAACAAGGCAAAATTCCATCTCTACTAAAAATATAAAAATTATCTGGGCATGGTTGTGCACATCTATAATCCAAGCTACTGCTTGGGAGGCTGAGACATTAAAATTGCTTGAGCCTGGGAGGCAGAGGTTGCAGTGAGCCGAGATAGCTCCACTGCACTCCAGCCTGAGTGACAGAGCAAGACTCTGTCTCAAAAAAAAAGGAAGAGAAAGACCATAGATAGAAAGCAAAAGCAGATCAAGATTAAGTGATAACTTTAACACCAGAAGTAAACCAGAAATGAAAGGGCGAGCTATCCAAAATCCCTGCTTCCTTACTGAAGTCATTCTCAGGAGTAATTTAACCTGCATGAATTATTTTTGTCACATTGATACAAAGGTTAAGAATGTGGCTCTTGGGGTAAGCTTAGCTGCCTTGCTTCAAATCCCAGCTTGGACATGTACTCTATGTGTGCTTGTGGGTAAATTACTTAACCCTTCTGAGACTTAGTTTGCTCAGCTATAAAAAATGGATAATAATAATACCTCTATCATAGCTTTATTGTGAGAATTAATGAAACATTACACAAAAGGTACTTAGAATGGTAACTGGCATTTAGTAAATCACTTAATAACTATTATCTATTACTATTAGAAAAAAATCCCACAGTAAGAACTTTTTTAAAACACCTGCATTACTTTTAAGATCTAAAGTGCAAAGAGATTGTCTTTTATATTTAAAAAGCTAAAATAGGCTGGGTGCCATGGTGCACACCTGTAATCCCAATACTTTGGGAGGCCAAGGCAGGTGGATCACCTAAGGTCAGAAGTTTGAGATCAGCCTGGCCAACATGGTGAAACCTCATCTCTACTAAAAATACAAAAATTAGCCAGGCGTGGAGGTGGGCACCTGTAATCCCAGCTACTTGGGAGGCTAAAGCAAGAGAATCGCTTGAACCCAGGAGGTGGAAGTTGTGATGAGCCAAGATCGCACCACTACACTCCAGCCTGAGTGACAGAGTGAGACTCCATCAAAAAAAAAAAAAAAAAAAGCTAAAATATGCCATTTAGATTCCCAAAAGCAAAGCCACAAAGATTAGGTATATTTCTCACAAAACCCCAAGTGGGATTACTTACCAACTTCTCCAAGCCCACTTCTCTAGGGTATTTCCACTGTCTTATATTTTTTTAAGTCCATCAGGGAAGGGGAAAATATACATTTATGCTTTAAAATGCCCAGAATATCACCAAAGAAGACATGAGAAATAGGGAATGGTGGTCATATCCAGAAAGGGCAATACATTAAGAGAGTAGGAAAGAAGGAAGAGGGCTTAATTTTGACTATATATCCTTTCGTACCTTTTTAAATTTGAAACCATGAACACACATTATAAATTCATTAATAAAAATTTTTTCAAAGAATGTGAATGCTCAAGATGATACAGTGTAAAGTAAAAAATGCTAGACTAGTACCCAGGAGACCTGGACTCTATCACTTACATGTTATGAGATCATGGCGAGACACTTATTATCTTCTGGGATTTTGTAGCTGTAAAATAAAGGAATGAATGCCTCCCAAGCCACCTCACTGGGTTTATGTGAGGGTCAAATGAGATTATAGAGCTGCTTTCCAAAGTACAAAGCATTATACAAATATAAGATATCATTATTATTACTGGAACCAGGTCTTCCTTGGTTGTTTTGGCTCCTGGAATCACAAAAGAAGACTGAAAAATTTGGCTTCAAGAATCAGGAGTCGCCTAATAGAGGGAGTAGATTATATCCCTTTTCAAGTTAAAGCCCACATTATAACATCCTTCACTTCCACTCCCTAATTCCATCACCATAGAAAATAAAGTCTAGGCTGGGTGTGGTGGCTCAAACCTGGAATCCCAGCTCTTTGGGAGGCCAAGGTAGGAGGCTTGCTTGAGCCCAGAAGCTGCCCGAGCAACCTGATGAGACCTCATCTCTACAAAAAATTTTAAAAATTAGCTGGCCATGTTGGTATGCACTTGCAGTCCCAGACAAAGTACGACTCTGAAAAAAAAAAAAAAAAAACTTTGGTCTAAATCCTAATCCTCCCCCTACATGTTCAACACCAATAGATGCGATGTCACAATGTGCTATGTACCAATTAGGATAGAGGTGAAAGATCCCAGCTCTATCTGATTTCTCTAATCAGAAGAGGAAGCTGTGCAAACATTCAAAGGCAAAGAAGAATACCTCTTTGCCACTTGGCCCTGTCGATAAATAGGAAAACTCAAGATGTCAGAGAAAAGGGCAAAAGCCAAGAATGGTTTTGAACCCTCTGGGGATCAGGCCTCTGCCCCTGGAGCTGAATGTCATGTGCAGTTAGCCTCAAGCCCAGCTAACCAGCTCTCTCCAGCCTCCCAAACAGTTTCTGTTGCATTAAAAAAATCTGTTGTAAACTGGTGCTTGAGAGGCTCACCTATTAATCTTTTCTGAAAATGTCACTTTTACAGGTTTTGCTTTGTAAGAATAAATCAATATTTACTCAGCATTTATTGTGTGTAAGGTTCTTTGAAATATGTAATCTTGTTTATTCATCAAAACCTATAAGAAAGCTACTATTCACCCTGGTTTACAGTTAAGAAGCCTGAGATTCTGAGAGTCCTGCCGGAAATGCTTCATCATTGTTCTGCCAAGGTTTGAATCCAGGTATCCAGCACTAGATCCAGTGCTTCTTCTCTTCATCTTGGTACTCCAGAAATTAAATTTGCCATGGAATATCCTCAAACATTGAGACATCATATGTGAAATATTTAGCTGCAATATACAAAGAGCCACAGTAAAAGCAAAATTCACACCGTGAATCAGATACTTGAGGTTAAGGCATAAGCTTAAAATGCAGATAACCAGAGGCAGTGTGGGCAACAGTTAAACTCCACCCTGTTCTGCCCATCAGTGCTGGAGGTGATTATGGCCCCTCCTAGGGTCACTGCACACGGTTGTGCAGGTTGCATGCCAATTCACAGTATATATGAATGGTGCCCCCTACAGGTACCAGTGCACATCCTCAACAACTGTCTGCAGCAGTCCAACTTCCCTTTAGGTATCACTTGCAATTGTGACTACGAAAGGTCAAAGTCTAATTCTGTTTGGAAAGATAAACTCACCAAACTCTATATTCAGTGAATTTGCACTGTTATTCAAGGTATGTTGGAGGGAGACAAAAAAAAACTGTGGAGTTTTGCTCTTGTTGCCCAGGCTAGAGTGCAATGGCACCATCTCAGCTCACTGCAACTTCTGCCTCCCAGGTTCAAGCAATTATCTTGCCTCGGCCTCCTGATTAGCTGGGACTACAGGCATGCGCTACCACGCCCAGCTAATCTTTTGTATTTTTAGTAGAGACAGGGTTTCATCATATTGGCCAGGCTGGTCCCAAACTCCTGACCTCAGGTGATCCACCTGCTTCAGCCTCCCAAAATGTAGGGATTACAGGCATGAGCCACCACTCCCTGCCAAAAATAATTTTTAAGACTAATTTTAGCCTACAAATTATCTGTGATTTTGTTATTTTAGGTAAGTTGGAGAGGCTAACTAATAAGAGATATAGAAACAACCATCACTAAATGACGTATTCAAATGAACACTGAAGCCCAACACATCGCTTTACAAACAAATCACACTCCTTGTCCCAGACCTAGCGCTCCAAATTCCCAAAAATCAAATAAGTGTTTTTTGTTGTTGTTGTTTGTTTTGCTTTGTTTTGGGACAGAGTCTCACTCTGTCGCCCAGGCTGGAGTGCAGTAGTGTGATCTTGGCTCACTGCAACCTCCGTCTCTTGGGTTCAAGCGATTCTCCTGCCTCAGCCTCCTGAGTAGCTGGGATTACAGGCACGTGCCATCACACCTGGCCAATTTTTGTATTTTTAGTAGAGACGGGGTTTTGCCATGTTGGCCAGGCTTGTCTCAAACTCCTGACCTCAGGTGATCCGCCCACCTCGGCCTCCCAAAGTGCTGGGATTACAGGCATGAGCCACCACGCCCAGTCCAAAAATCAATGTTCTAAACTCATCCAAATCTCTGACACCCAGAGGAAGTCAGGGAATTAGGTCATCATTGTCAGGGCTTTGCATTTACCTCCCGAAATTCAGGGCTAAAGGAACTGAACCAGGGTAATTCCAATCTCTCAAACCCTACAGCAGCTAACATCTTCCATGAAAACGGGAGTATCTGGTACCCAGACATCAGGGTTCCACTGAGAAGCAGATGGCACACTTGAAATAGCATACTCTCAGGAGGATATACTTGCAAAGCTGTAGGCGTAGAGGAGCCACAGAGATAGTGCTGTAACCTGCAGTTTAATAGTTAGTAGAACTGTGACTGACTAGGCCTAAAAAGAGAGGGGAAGTTACCAAAGAAGAGACTATGCAGACACCACACCTTGAGAAGACCTGTGACCTTCCGTAGATGCACACAGAGGTTCCAGGCAACCTATCTGGCAGGGAGCCAGGGGAATCAATATTTGACCTCATTCATCCCTTCCTTCTCATCTCCTCCTGGGATTCCTTCTTCACTGGACAAACCCAGAGGATGAAGACATGGAAACACTTTGTGGGTCCATACAGGCCAGTTTTTCTGAGCAGAAAGACAGATGCAAAAAGGTGGAGAATGGGGAGGGGAGATGGAGGGACCAGGGACAAAAGGAGGCTGGCACAGCAGTTGAACTATCTTTAGAACAGAATTTGTCCCTCTTGAATTTCTTCATCTGTCTCTGAATCTCTTTTCTACCTTTATGTACATGACCTGTTAGCAGACCTTTAGAGTTAAGTACTAAGTTTATTCTGCTTTTTTTATTTTTTCAATTTTGGGGACAGAGTTCCAAAGGCATCTCACAAATTCACTCCACGCTCAAGTCATTTTTCCATCAGCATATGGCCCTTGGGAAGATCATATTTGAAAAGGGATATTTTCAAAAAGGGTATTTCAAATACTTTCAAAATGCATACTCAAAAAAGATCATATTTCTTGCCATTTGGGGAAATAGGTGTGTGTAAGTACCTTCAACTCTTCCTAAATAAAGTGCTTTGAATCTGCAGCCTGGGTCTGAGGGGCAGTCTTGTTGGTAATTCCCTCCCCAGCTTACCCAGCAGGGCCACAAGTGGTCTTGCATCGGAAGCTTGGAAGAAAACAGCAGTGATGCCCTGGGTTGAATGTTCCTACTCCACTGAATTGTTACTTGATTTCCCCCTAATTTCTTTCTAGAATTATATTTTAAGGCCTATTATTTTATTCCATCAGGACCATGAGATAAAATGTTCAATCACCCCAGCTAAGGAGAACATTCCTGGGGCAGCAGTCTTCTCTCTACACCAGCACATTCAGCAAGCCTTTGGCCTCTGAGAGGTCCTAGACTCCCCTGGAGGTTCAGTAACTCATCAACTTTCAAATTTCAAACCCTTAGAGTATGTGGGATCTGGGGCTGGAAGAAGGAGACTTAAGAAGCACATCCTCCACCAGCCTGGAGATGAATGCTATGCCTTTGTTTCTCTGTAAATTCACCAGAGAGGTAAGACTGGAGTCAATAAATGGGCTAGAGTCCAGAAAATAGCATTCTAAAAAATACCATAGATCATCAAATCTAAGGAGTCAACAATTTGTAAAGCACACCAGTATTGTATGTGCCACTAAGAAAGAAAAAAATAAAAAACACTGCCAATCAATGACACCAACTCCTTGTTTCTTTGAAATTTCTTTGATTTATTCCAAAGGATTTGGGAATTCCTACTTCCTTTAGTCACATTGCTCATCCTATTATAGGCAATCCTTTTGCACATATCTCAGTAACACATATAACACAGTTCCAACTACTTATGAGTATCTTCCTTTTTTAAGTCCCATAAAGCCCTTTAAAAAATATGGAATTTCCTCCATTCTGCCAAGATGGATATTTGCTTCACTGACATCAAAATTATGCTTTGCTGCTCTGTTCCATGCCTCTGTGTAAATAATGACTTCATTCCAGAGCTGAATCATAATGTAAACCTACCGAAATACTTTAAACACCATTGAATAGTACCAACAACAAACATAACTCCATTAAAATGAGGACTCCATGACCAGCAATGAATGACCAAGTTCACACATGCACAAGAAAACACCCACAGATGCCAAGCCAGTAGCAAGAGTAAAACATCACCATTTGCAAATCTCATCCTGATTTCAGAGGTGCTAAAATATGTGTGTGGGGGGTACATCTTAGAAATATTAAAATATGATGAATATTAAAATATACCTGCATCTAGCTGGTTAGTGCCCTAATAACCAGGGTACATTTTTAAAACATTTGAGCTTAGAGAGTATGTGGGTGGGTAGGGTCCCAGTAGGAAATAGATGGCAGACACAAAAAGGGGTGATTTAAAATAATTTCGATGAAGAGACTATTTATCAAAGTGTGGGCAGGATCAAGGGAAACCAACAAGCACCTCTGGGCTAGAAATAGCAGAAAATTGCTACAATCCCTGACCTAAAGATGTAAGAGGAAAGAGAGGTCACCTGAACCCAGAGAAACCAGCAATGTAGAGGAGGCCACCACAACAGGAGCTGTGGCCTTTGGTAGAGGAAGGTGGCTGGATAGGGAGGAAGCAGAAGGAATACATATCCTGACCTCTCACTCTGTCTGTCCTCCAGTCTCCTGTGTTTGGCCACATCATCCAGCAGTCAGAAGGGATGTGGTCCGTGGAGGTCAGCCCCCAGCACAGACAGCAGGGTAGAGAACAAAAAGGAGGTGGAAGACAATGTCCAACATTGATAGTTTTAGCTTAAAGTTTAGTATTCTATGGTGGCCTTGCATGAATTTTATGACCAAAGTAGATATTTCATAGCCCCTGGATGAAAATGATAACAATAGCAAGGACCTGGGAACTTGGAACTTGACTGCCCATTTGTCTGACTGTTGGATTAGATCCAAATTTGTGTTCTGAGAAAAATCTTAACCCTACCTCTGGCTACTCCAGTAATATATAAAGATGACTGAGATAGAGGTAGGCAGGCAGGCAGGTAGGTAGAGAGACATAGACACACAAATACAATCTGACCTCACCTTGTAAGGCAGCTCCAAGTGGCTATGGGAAGAACTGCCAAAGTTAGAATAAGGTGGGCTCAATGGCCTTGAAGCCAGCTTTGCACGTAGATGAATAACAATGTGCCCTGAACTTGCTGTGCGCTAGACACTGGGCCAAGTGCATTATATTCAGACCGCAATTAACCCTCACACAACCCTCTGAAGTAGGTACTATGGACTATTCCCACTATACAGAGGTTTAAGAATAACAGCAAGCACAAATGTCTTTTAAAATAAACTGGATTATATCACTTTCCTGCCGAAAGTGCCTTCTGCACTTAGAAGAGACTCTAAAGTCCCCATCAGAGCCCACACAACTTCATGTTATAGGACTCCGACCTGGCTCCTGGCTTCAGCTCCTCCCCAGACATCCTGTTTCACAGGCTCCAGCTGCACTGAGCCTCCTTCACTTCCTTGGGTGCTCCCAGTTCATTCCCTCCTCAGTCCCTTTGCATAGGCTGTTCTTGGTTCTCATATTGAATGCTCTGCTCCTGTTGCTGAAGGCCAGCCTTCTCATCTTCTATCAGCTCGATGGTCACCTCCTAGAGGCCTCCCCTGACCAACGTGGGTCCACCTGCATCCCCTGCCTTTTTCCTCTCTTAGGCCCTTGTTTGTTTTCTTTGCAGCATTCCACCATGTGTGCAGGTGTATATGTATGTCTCACTCCCACTAGGACATGAGTCCCCTGAATGTAGGAAGTATATCTGACTTGGTCCTCTTCCCAGCTCACCCCAGCATCACTTTTTCAGCCCCTCAGTGTCCTTTGAAATCTTTATCAAAATTTGCCATTCTTTTCTTTTCTTGCTACTTATTCTTAGACTGTTTCCCTGCAAGAACCAAAGTTCCTTTGTTCACCACCCTATCCTCAGCACTGGAAATTCTCCCTGGCAAGTTGATAGTGAAATATGCCCAAGGTCTTGGGATCACTGAATGAGCAGGATCTGCACCCAGGTCCTCTTTCTCCAGAGCCCTCCCCTGCTTCAGCTCAGGAGACTATGTTCATGAGACTTCCTCACCCTGCAGGGAAGCAGGATACAAATGTCAGGTAGTCTGCCCATGTGGCCTGCCCCTATGGATGAGGAACAACAGTCACACTTCTATCTCCAGTGTCCCCCAGCCGAGTTGGTTGAACTAACTAAAAAGGCACTGAGCCAAAAAAAGGAAAACCCTGCACCTTCTCTTCAACCCCAGCTATTCTAAGCTGCATGGAAACTGGTTATGTTTCTCCATTAGGCAGAAGGGGTGGCTCCTGTCAGCATTAAAAAGGCACAGACAGAGGCAGCATCATTACCCCAAGGTATCAGGCTCTGGTCTTCCTTCAGCTTTCCCTCCTTCCCAACATCATTAATTTTTTTCAGTTTAATCACAAGAAGAAACAGGATGTATGAAGCCCCAAACAGCATTGTCTCCTTCTCCTGGGGAATATATCACCATTTCATTTGTATAATGTACTGAGGCTTTCACGTACATCCTTCCTCTGGTGCTGCCTTCTGCTTTTCTCTGCGTTTCTAACTCCTCCACCACTTTCTTTCTGCCAGGGAATTTGTTCAGTGTAAGCACATGCACACGTGTCTTTTAAAGCACAACTCTGGCTGCATTCCTAGCAAAGGAGGAAGAAGCCTTTGTGGCCCAACTAATTCAACAGGATTCAATTACACATGGAATATTTATTAAGTGGGAAGAAAGCAGTGGTCCAACCATTTGTTATTAATCCCATGATCTGTCACCACAGACGTCACTTTATCCTCAAATGCAGGAGTGGTTAATAAGCAAAACTTGGAAACTGTTTTACAAAGGAGTCATAGACACACATCATTTATGCCTCATGATACAGATAGAAAATAGGCTTTGTGGGAGGGGGAAGATGACAAGCAGAGAAGTAGCACAGGGCACATAGTTCCCTGAGCCCTCATCCCAAAAGCTTTGGCCAGGCGTATGTAAGTCCCAAGCCCATGGTCAACTGTTTTGCCTTCTTTTATGAAATGTTCAGCCAGGTCCCCACCACAAGAGGAGACAGAGGAGAGGCTCAGGAAAACAAAGTGCATTATACTCACAGGTCTTAGAGACAGGAGCTACAGCAGGCCACTCAGGGCCACAAGGAAAGACACCTGGGTGGTCAGGAAGCAGAAGATAGAAGCAAGTAAATGGTTTATGCTAGAGTCTTTATTGAAGTTTCCATAGGAAAGACAAACTAGGATTGGCTAGTTTGAATAATTTCAGCAAGCTGTAAGCTATAAGCATGTCCCTAGTTGCCTGGTAGCTGGCCCTGGGATGATTAAGGCAGAGGAATATTGCTTCCTGGGGTGCATGGACCAGATAGAGGAGATATGGCCCTGGATTGGGCAGTTGGGATACCTAGGGCACACTCCCAGTTGAGCCCTTTGCTGTATCCCAGAATTGGCCAGCAATGGGAGGGGCAGTCTATCCTAAGATGGAAACATGTTTTTGTCTTTTTGGTCTTTTGTTTTTCAAGATGGAGTCTTGCTCTGTCGCCCAGGTTAGAGCACAGTGGCGTGATCTCGGCTCACTGCAACATCTGCCTCCTGGGTTCAAGCAATTCTTCTGCCTCAATCTCCTGAGTAACTGAGATTACAGGTGCATGCCACCACTCCTGGCTAATCTTTGGATTTTTAGTAGAGATGGGGTTTCACCATGTTGGCCAGGCTGGTCTCGAACACCTGACCTCATGATCCACCCACCTTGGCCTCCCAAAGTGCTGGGATTATAGGCATAAGCCACTGTGCCCAGCTGGAAACATTTTTTAAGATGCCAAAACAATTAGCATGTAGAAATTTTAAATATATATACAATACATGTGATGCTTAATTTTATGTGTCAATGTGCCTGGGCCATGGAATGCCCAGATTGCTGGTTAAACTTTTTTTTTTTTTTTTAGATGAAGTCTCTCTCTGTTGCCCAGCCTGGAGTGCAGTGGTGTGATCTGGGCTCACTGCAACGTCCACCTCCCAGGTTTAAGCGATTCTTCTGCCTCAGCCCCTCAAGTAGCTGGGACTACAGGCACGCTCCACCACATCTGGCTAATTTTTGTATTTTTAGTAGAGACAGGGTTTTGCCAAGTTGGCCAAGCTGGTCTCAAACTCCTGACCTCAAACGATCCACCCGCCTGCCTCCGCCTCCCATAGTGTTGGAATTACAAGCAGGAGCCACCACACCCAGCCTGATTAAACATTATTTCTAACTGTGTCTATGACAGTGTTTCTGGAAGAGATGAGCATTTGAATTGGTGGAATGAGGAAAGCAGATGGCCCTCCCCAATGTGGGTGGGCATGGTGCTATCTGTAGAGGGACCAAATAGAAGAAAAAGGCAGAGGAAGGTCCCATTCACTCTCTGTCTGACTGCTTGAGCTGGAATATTGATCTTCTCTGCCCTTGCCACTCTTTGTTCTCAGGTCTTCAGACCCAGACTGGAATCTACACCACCAGCTCTTCAGCTCTCAAACATTAGGACTACACCAACAGCTTTCCTGGGTCTTCCGTTTGCAGTCCCATGGCAGATCGTGGGACTTCTCAGCCTCCATAATTATATGAGCCAAGACCATAAAATAAATTTCTTCCTAGATATAGATGTAGATATATGGGATATAGATACATATCCTATTGGTTCTGTTTCTCTGAAGAACCCTGATCAATGCAATACATTGGTGTTCTGGTAGAACAGAGCTCACCAGCATCAAGCTCCAAACATTTTTGGGGACAAGGACAGGAAATATCTTTATAGCTATAATATTGGATGCTGTCTTGTCAAGGAAGTGTCCTTATTGGAAATGGAGCCTCTGGAGCCCAGGGCTGGAATCAACCTGTTCTTTAATCAAGCTAATGCAGACCCACTGAGCCAGCTGACTGCTAAGTTACTGAAAGATCAAAAGAAATGAACCCCTAGGGCGATCACATTTTTCTTTCCTCAGAGGTGGAATGGTAATCTCCTGGAAAACAGGTCCTGAAGCTATTGAGTGCACTGGAGAAGCAACCAAACGAGAATGAACCATCCACCAGCTTTTCAATCTCAGAACACAGTCACTGCTTGGTTTGGGATTACTGGTATTTGGGGTTTGGCCTGAATCCCCAGGCTGATTGCAGAAACTTGGGAAACTTAATCCACATGAATGAAGGATTGAATCCATGCAAGGGGCTACGATCTGGGACTCCTGAAAAGGGTGACAGAGAAATCTACCTAGCACTTGAACTAGGCCTTTATTAGTACAGAGGATTCAAAGACCGAACTGGAGATGCAGAGCTGGGAATGGGAAGGAGGCAGGAGGATGGGAAGGAAGAACACCTTTCAGGCAGTGCACATGGTATGAAGATGAAGAGGCAAAAAGGAGTCCTGGTACTCGGTCATCAGAAAAGCCATTTCTTTCCTCCAACCCTTTTGTAGATTAAATATTTAATATGTGCAAACAGAATATTAAAACAAATGTCTGAGGTAAAATGAAACACCCCCCACTACCTCCACCATGTTAAATGAAGTGACACCTCTACAATGGCCAGCACCATGACTGCATGCAGCAATGCCCACTAGAGATCAGCTTCTGCCTCGCCCCTTCTCCTTCTTCCCTTCCCTGATTCTCCCCTGCCCCTGCCCTCACATCCACCTCTATCCACACCAAACCTCTTGTTAATCAGCCAGTACCATTCTTAGTGATGCAGAATCTCCTGTTATGGATTGAATGTTTGGGTTCCGCTAAAAGTCATATGTTGAAGCCCTAACCCCTAGTGTGATGGTATTTCACATGGAGCCTTTGGGAGGCCATTTGGTTGAGATGAGATCATGAGGATTAAATTCTCATGATGGGATTAATGTCCTTATAAGAAGAGAAAGAGATGGGAACTCACTCCCTCTCTGCCATGTGGGAACACAGCAAGAAGGTGGCTGTAGAAGGAGGCTATCTGCAAGCCAGGAAGAGAGCCCTTGCCAAAATCCAACCATGTTGGCACCCTGATCTCAGATTTCCACTCTTCAGAGCTGTGAGAAATACATGTCTATTATCTAAGCCACTGCATTCATGGCCTTTTGTTATGGCAGCTGAGCTGATTAAGACACCCTCAAACTTCCTGCAAGAACAAAACCCTTAACTCCAAAATGGAGGAAAATGTACCTTTGATAAAATTTTCCTGAGCCACAAAGATTAGCAATATGTGTCTCCTTTAATTAATTAAACCAGACTATCTAAAACTCACATATCCCAGAACACCAGGATCTCTGTAAATTTACGATCTGAGAGGTCGAGACCCTCACCCACACAGACTGCCTAGGCACAGGGTACCAATATTTCTCAAAATGCTGCTCCTTGACCACCTTTATCAGAAATTACTCAGAGTGCCTGCTATAAAAATCAGACATCTGTTACTGTATACCTGTATACTGTATACCTGTTACATTTAAAGTGATTGTCAGGATCCTAGAAGTCTGTATTTTACCAAGCTCCAAAAGGGCATTCTTATGAGCAGTAGTATATGAAAACCACTGACAGATATACTGGTCACTACCACCCCCACTGAAACCACCTTTGCAAAATTATGATAGTAAGAGAAATCTGACATAGCTGACTCCATCTTGCTTCTAATCTCTGGGCTGTCCTTATTCATTCCTGCGCATAGGCCAAGCTAACTTTGGAAGGAATTTAGTTTATGGTTTACCTTAAAGCAAGGATGACAATAGCTGTTCCCAAAACTATCCCCTTCTTTTTGGGAACAGAAACTGCCTGTGTAAAACTAAAGGAAGGCCACAAGATGGCCTGAACTCTGCTAAAAGTGGGCATAGTGAAACAATAACCAGCCATTGCAAGAAGTCACAATATTTGTAACTTCCCTAATTGCCCCTATAGATAACATCACTAGAGTATTACCTAAGATGGGTCTTTTGATTTTTTTTTTCAGACCTTTGCATTCTGGTGACCAGCTGACTCTACCTGGACTGGTGACTCATGACTCAACCGGTCCTGAGGCCTCCACCCAGAAGCTGACTCAGTGCAAGAGGACCATTTTCCACACCTCTATGATTTCATCCCCAACCAATCAGCATTTTCCATTCCCTCTCCCTCTTCCTGCCAAACTATCTTTGAAAAACCCTAGCCTCTGACCTTTTAGGGAAGCTGTTCTGAGTAATAGACTCCCATCCTTCTGGTTTGGCTAGGTCTGCATTTATTAAGCTCTTTCTCCACTGCAATAGCACTGTCTCAGTGAATAGGCTCTATCTGTACAGCAGGCAAGAAGAACTCATTGGGCAATTACACTATCCCTTCCTGAATATCCTGCTACAAACTGGGACTCAGATAGCCATAGAGAACTTTCTCTAAATCTTTGCACTGAAAACCTGGTCTGTGCAGTGCAGCACTGCATCACTAGGGACCTTGTTAGAAATGTAGAATTTCAGGCCCTAGCCCAGACCTCCTGCCTCACAGTGCATTTTTCCATTAGAGTTTGAAAGCAGTGCTCTTCTCCTGGGAACCTAGGCTGCCTCCAAGAGTCTAGTGAACACTTTCAGGCTCTGCCAAGATGTTCCTACTGTCAGGATTTCAAAATCGAGTTAAAACTGAGAGAAAAACCAAGGTGAGTGTAGAGTGATTCCCTTTGGTGCCTGCTTTCAAACGAGAAGCTAACAATGAACAGTTAGAAAGGAAAGTAATGTTTTCATGGTCAGGGTGACAAGCCTTGTCTTTAAACCTCTTAGATGCCCGTTTTACCCTCATGGTAGAGACTGCAAGTTGTCCCCTTCTAACCAAACTCCTCTGCTTTCTTCATAATAGAATCCCTTGTATTTCACTAGTGCTTAATGTCCAAAATAGAGACCACATTACTAGTCTTCCCTGAAAGTAGGATATCTATGTGTAAGTTTTAGCCAACACTATAAAAGCAAAGGTGCTTCTTGCAACTTCTAGGAAGTGTCCTTGTAAGAATAGAATATGGCTGGGCGTGGTGGCTCACACCTATAATCCCAGCACTTTAGGTGGCCAAAACAGGCAGATTGCTTGAGCTCAGGAGTTCAAGACCAGCCTAGGCAACATGTCGAAACCCATCGCTACTAAAAATACGAAAATTAGCCAGGCATGGTGGCACATGCCTGTAGTCCCAGCTACTCAGGAGGCTGAGGTGGGAGGTCACCTGAGCCCAGGAGAGGTCAAGACTGCAGTGAGTCGTGATTATGGCACGGCACTCCAGCCTGGGTAACAGAGCAAGGCCCTGTCTCAAAAAAAAAAAAAATGAAATATACCTTTCTTTCCTCCTTGCTAGAATGTAGACATGATGGCTGGAGCTCAAGCAACCACCTTGGACCATGAGGTAGAGAAGCCACAAGGTGAAAGAGTGGCTCCTGACAATGTCATGAACAGGATACTTTCCTCTGAACTTCTTCAATTTCTATTTTGTTTATGCCATTTTATTTGGGGTTTGCCTTCATTCTCAGCTAAACCAATCCCTAACTGATATGTATCCTTTTTATACCATAACACAATTCAGGCAACATCAGCTGCGTGATGCTTGTGTCCTCAAAAAGACTGAGCATCTTGACCAAAAGAAAGAGTTCCATCATTCCGGGAGATTTAGTATAATTCTAGGTGGCTGTGTCTCCCACAAAGTAGTAAATGAAAAGGCACGCAGGAAAGGGGTAAGGAGCAGATTTTAAAGATCTGGCCAGGCACGGTGTTCATGCCTGTAATCCCAGCACTTTGGGAGCCTGAGGCGGGTGGATCACCTGAGGTCAGGAGTTCAAGACCAGCCTGGGCAACATGGTGAAACACCATCTCTACTCAAAATACAAAAAATTAGCTGGGCATGGTGGTGCATGCCTGTAATCCCAGCTACTTGGGAGGCTGAGGCAGGAAAATCACTTGAACCTGGGAGGCGGAGGTTGCAGTGAGCCAAGATTGCACCATTGCACTCCAGCCTGGGCAACAAGAGCGAAACTCTGCCTCAAAAAAAAAGATCTACCCTATTCTTCTACATAGTACACAGGGCCATGTTTAGCCTTTCTGTTGCCATAGATACTCCAGAAAGAACTTCATTAACCCTCTTGAAGCTCTTACCAAGATTTATTTCTGCTTGCAGCTGGGAATTCTAACCTATTTCCTCTTATTGCAATTCAGACAAGTCTCTCTTCATCATCTTCAAGTGGAAAAAGAAGTATAGGAATTGTCTGCTACAAACAACATTTCAATATAAAATCCTCTGTTCATCCATTACGCAAACTCTTATTTCAGGCCATACTATGTGCAAGTCACTGTGGTAGGCTTGGGGTAGAGTGACATCTTTCTGAAAGCTGTTTTTGATTATTGTTTTTGCCTCTAAAAGCCGAAGCCCTGACTCCAGGCAACAGGCCAATTATTCCAAAGCCAGGGTTTGGACCTGAACCTTAAAAACATTACTCAGGGATTAGACCTTCTGTAAATCAGAAAAATGTGATTGTTGGGTTTAGGGTTTTGGGATACATAATTACATCTCTTCTGTTGCCCCTCAAACTCCTAAATGACTTCATGAAACTCTTATAAATTACCCTTCTTTAATAATGCAAGACAAATTCTCCAAATGGATCTATTCATATTCTCTCTCTCTCTCTCCCTCACCCCCCACCCCACTCTCTCTCCTCCCAAGATAAGGATACACAGTAAAGAACTTAGTGCATTTCCTGGCTCATTGTAGATCTTCAATAAATTGTACCCTAATCCGACTTCCTTCAGTTTTATGCTTTATATTCTGTATTCTCTCTTGCACCTTACCATTTAAGAAATATTTTTAAGAGTAGGAATTATTACTCTTTTGTTACTTTTTGTAATTTTTTGTTACTTTTTCTATTTGATTTCCTAATATTACTGCAAATTACCAATTATACACATTGATCTTCAGGAGGTTTGTCCAGAAAGCACCATAATTCAAAATACAAGGCAATCCTTATATGATGAACATTTATCATTGCTATACGTTCCTATGGTTACATTTGAATGTGGACGTGCCTCTTCTGAAACTGTTGCAAGAAATCACTTCAACTAAGTCAGACCATGAAGCCATGAATATCTACACCAGAAGCAACTGGAAGGCTGGCCAGCTTCCCTAGGGTTGTGGTTTGGGTTAAAAGGGAGAAATCCAACTGACACCCTGTTAATGGGGTGTGAAACTGGGATGCTTGTGCTAACCAGGAGTCAACCTCCTTCCCAGACGCAAGCAAATGGAGCTGCCTTTTACACAGCTTGCCTCACCAATTCCCTGGCAGCTAATGAAATATTTTTATTTAAAAGAGCTTTTACAGAGCCAATAGATGTGGTTGCTGTCAAGCATCCACAGGATAATAGGAAATAGCAGTAACTAAGTGGGGTACCCTGCGTTCAGCGAATCCAAAATTATTCCCCAGGGCCAGGCCCACCTCCTGCTTTCTGGGTGGACTGGCTTGGAGTAGATCAGCTCTTACACCTGAAACTTGACCCCCCTACTTTTCAGCCTGGGACAGCTAGGCACATAAGCTACTAACAAAAGAAGTCTCCATTAAAATCCTGAAGGTAGAATTTCAGTGCATGTCCCCATAACTAAAAGGAACAACTGGGGTGATTTTCTGAAGGCAACCCTTTGTATAAACAATTTAGACACACTTAACAGCACGTTCACTTATGAGAAATTCTCTTACTCGTTCCCTTTTTACAGTTCTGAAGTTACATGCATAAAAAGAAACAGAGCTTTTTCCATTCATCTGGTTTGATGTATTAATTTTTTCTTATTCATTCTCACAACATCCTGTTGGGCCTACGCTGCTAAGAAAGTCTCTTACATATTTGGGGTGTGTGGGGAGGGGGCAGGACACTGGAAAGGGAGGATGTAGAGAAGCTTGTGATGAATTTTAACAGGAAATGTCTTTAACAAATGAAACCTCTCTTCCCTTGCCTAGTTCTGAAATGCCTCTGGCTTGAAAATTCCCCATATGCTCGTTATTTATGTACACCACGCAAAGTCTAAACAAAGAGCTCCATTCTTGATCCCCCTACACAGCCTGGAGCAGCTAGGAAATTTTCCACCAGAGAGATATAGGGGGATCCGGAGCAGAACCACACCAAGGGTCACTGTACAAACCGTTACTGGCAAAAGCCAAATATAAGTCCGTAGGGACAATGTGGAGTAGATCCACCTCCCAGGGAAAAGTTTGTTTATTTCCAATAAGTCCAAACCTTCAAGTTGGTGCCTGTATTAGTTTGCGATGGCTGCTGTAACAAAGTACCACAAAGTGGTGGATTAAAACAGCAGGCATTCCTCGTTTCACAGTTCTGGAGTTCTGGAGGTTAGAAGGCGGTGAGGAAGAATTTGTTCTCTCTCCTAGCTTCTGGTGGTGTGTTGGCAGTCCTTGGTATCTCTTAACTTGTAGAAGCATCGCCCTGATCTCTGCCTTCATCTGCACGTGGCATTCTCCCTGTGTGTATGTGTCTGCATTCAAATTTCGCCCCCATGCCCGCCTTTTTTTTTTTTTGAGACAGAGTCTTGCTCTGTGACCCAGGTTGGAGTGCAGTGGTGCAATCTCAGCTCACTGCAAGCTCCACCTCCCAGGTTCACGCAATTCTCCTGCCTCAGCCTCCAGAGTAGCTCGGATTACACGCGCCCGCCACCACGCCCAGCTAAATTTTTTTGTATTTTTCAGTAGAGACAGGGTTTCACTTTGTTAGCCAGGATGGTCTCGATCTTCTGACCTCATGAGCCGCCCACCTCGGCCTCCCAAAGTGCTGGGATTACAGTCATGAGCTACCACGCCTGGTCCAAATTCCCCCTTTTTTTAAGGATACCAGTCACGGCAGATGAGGGCTTGCCTTAAAGACTTCATGTTAACTAATAACATCTGCAAAAATCCTATTTCCAAATAAGGTTACCTTCACTGCTGCTAAGGGTTAGGGCTTCAACACATAAATTGTAGGGGACACAACTCAACCTATAAGTGTCCAACATAAAACATCCTGACAACAAAGCTGACAACCCTCCCAGGGCAGCCAGTGGGAGGGTCACAGATTGCCCTTTCCAAAAAAAAAAATGGCCAGGCACAGTGGCTCACACCTGTAATCCCAGCACTTTGGGAGGCCGAGGCAGGTGGATCACCTGAGGTCAGGAGTTCAAAACCAGCCTGTCCAACATGGTGAAACCCCGTCTCTACTAAAAATACAAAAATTAGCCAGGCGTGGTGATGCATGCCTGTAGTTGCAGCTGCTCGGGAGGCTGAGGCAGGAGAATTGCTTGCAACCAGGAGGCAGAGGTTGCAATGAGCTGAGATGGCGCCACTTCACTCCAGCCTGCTGGGCAACAGAGCTAGACTCCGTCTCAAAAAATTAAAGAAAAAAAAAAAAGGTGGCCACCCTGGGCTTCAAAGGGCAGGTTTCTGAGCTGCAGAAATTCTCAAGGAAGAGCTAACCCCTGAAAGATTCTCTTTGAGAATGAGGAATGAGACCATTCAAGACAGAGTGGCCCTGCCTGAGCCCTCTGGTTCTTCGTTTTCCTGCTTTTCTTTCAGCAAACAGCTGGGCAAAAATCTCGCTAAATCTGATGACAGCAGCGGGACTGCTCTGCCTTTGCTTCCCCTACTCAGAACCGACCTTTTCTGTTGCTTCCCCTTAGACATTAATGGAAGGAGAGAAGTAAGAGATGGAGCATTCATCGCCAGCCTTCAACCACCAGTCTTAATTCAACTTTGCTCCCCCTTGAAATATTTCCTTCCTGTTTCCCTTCTCCCTCTCTCTCTTCCACCCAAAAACCAAGAATACCATCCATGGGAAATTTTAAGGAAAATGGTAAAGTGAAAAAGTGAAACTTCTTTTTTATGGCTGCACAGTCCTTTGTAGGGACATGGACAAAGCTGGAAACCATCATTCTCAGCAAACTATCGCAAGGACAAAAAAACAAACACCGCAGGTTCTCACTCATAGGTGAGAATTGAACAATGAGAACACTTGGACACAAGAAGGGGAACATCACACACCGGGGCCTGTTGTGGGATGGGGGGAGCGGGGAGGGATAGCATTAGGAGATATACCTAATGTTAAATGACGAGTTAATGGGTGCAGCACACCAACATGGCACATGTATACATATGTAACTAACTTGCACATTGTGCACATGTTCCCTAAAACTTAAAGTATAATAAATAAATAAATAAAAGAAAAAGTGAAACTTCTGCAGTCAGCAACGTGTTTGACATCCACGAGTCCTCTCTCTCTCTTGGATTCCAAAGCCCATGAGCCCCTGCCTGTGGTGGCCAGTACTGGCATTCTTTAATTCTGGTTTTGATTGAACTTTCTCGGGCCTCAAGAGAGTAGGCAAGAATTGCTGTGTATAATTGTTTTCCAATCATTTGTCTGTGTGTTGGTTGTGTATTATTTGCTCCCTTCAAAGTATCTGTGCCATCCCTCTGCTACACAGTGGAAAAGGAGGTTCCAGGGAGAGCAGGTGGATGAGCCACTGCCAGAGCTGAGACAGGTGCTGGACTTTTCCTTCTGCGGCCATGCCCAATTCAGCTTTCATCATTGAATCGGGCTGTTGGTTTGGTCTCTCCCATCATTACTGCCCCTAAGGACAGTCCTGGCCTGCAGCTTATACCTGTTTCCGATTCTGCCCCTCCTGTGCCATTTTAACCACACCCTTAGTCCAGACTGTCACCTCCTGACTGAATTGCTATTATCACCTCCACGTCAGAGGGATTGCTGGTTTATTCTGTGGTGTCCCAGCCCCCTGCTCTGGTAAAACTTCTATTTTACCCAACTTACAGTTAGCACCTACCCAACGAATAAGAAGGTAGATGATTGGTCAGTGCCAAGTTTATGAAAACCATCTGACACTTTTTCCAGGCCGTCGTATACCTTCAGCATGTGCAGGCCCTGGGAGGGTGGAATCCTTTGCAATAGCAGTTAAAAATCAGCCCTGGAGACATTGAGGGCTGTTTGGTAAATGCATGTTCGTTTTTAGGATACCTGTTCCCTGTTATGATTTAGCTCCAGACTCCAAAGTCTGTTTAGTTGCAGTCTAATGTGTAAATTTAGAGATTCCAGCTTAAGATGGCAGGCATTATTTTTATTTATTTACCAAATATAGTATTCACCATTCACCTAAACTGTTCTATGTGCTTTACAAATATTAAATCACTTAAGTCAGCACAACTGTATGAGGTGGGTACAAGCATTATCATTCTTATTTTAAAGGTGAAGAACAGGACACACAAAAAGGTTTAGTAACTTGCTGGGATTCAAACTTTGCTAGTCTAATCTAGAGTCTGAACTGTTAACCACTGCATTGAGGACGAACTATAACTCTACTATGTCAATGGAGCAAAAAACGAGAGGAAATTAAGTTGCAGCTGAAAGGGGAACCACCTGGATGAAAACTCACTTGTTTCCCTTTGAGGCATTTACTGCACTTAAACACAACCTTTCTCTAGCTCAACTGGGCTGGCCAGAGATTAGACAAAACAGTAAATTTTGGCACTGAGGGATAGTTATAGTTATCAAAAAGGGATGCATCCGCTCGATTAGTGGTACTCGAGATAGTACCGGATCTCTGAGTGCTGCTGGGCTAGACTATATTTCCTCTTACTACTAAGAACCTTCATTCTTTCCCTGGTCTTCTGTAGATGGGAATTCTAATATGACAAACTCACACAAAAAAAAAGCTTGTACAATTTTTATTAAAGAGTATTATTTTAACTATGGGAAGAAAAATAATATCCAAATCTTCCACATTTTATTGTTTAATTTGTAATTATTTTATTGTATATATTTATGGAGTACAATGTTTTCCAATCATTTGTTTGTGTGTTGGTTCTGTATTATTTGTTCCCTTCAAAGTGTCTGTGCCATCCTTCTGCTATACGGTGGAAAAGGAGGCAATGTGATGTTTTGATCTATGCATATGTTATAGAAAGATACAATCAAACTAGTTAACGTATGCATTGCCTCACTAATTTATCATTTTTTTGTGATGAGAACATTAAAACTCTATTTTAGCAATGTTGAAATATGCAATACATTATTGGCCAGCCGTGGTGGCTCACGTCTGTAATCCCAGCACTTTGGGAGGCCAAGGTGGTAGGATCACTTGAGTCCAGGAGTTCAAGACCAGCCTGGACAACATAGTGTGACCCCGACTTTACAAAAAAAAAAAAAGATTAAAGAATAAAACGAAATAAATACAATGGGCTGACTCTGTACACGTGAGCTGCAGCATGGCAGCCCACCACTCCAGCCCACTCAAGATGCAGAATAAAGCTCATAAAAGTGGGCAGCATCGGGGTCGGGGATCTGCACAGCAGGATGGCAAGGGCCATCTAGCACTGAAAACCCTAAGCAAGAAGGTGAGAAAAGAACTCAGCAGAGTAGACCAGAGGCATTCCGCCAGTCAGCTCCAAAAGCAGAAGAAGGAGGTGGTTCTGGCGGAGAAGAGACAGCTGGGTAGCAAGGATGGCTCTCCTCATTAGCACTAGCTGTCCAGGGATTATCTGGCCTCCCACTGAAGAAACAAATAGATGCCAGAAAGAAGCTAAGTAAAGCAGTGGAGAAGCACTTTCTGGATGACAAACTCCTCTTGTTAGACACTCAACAGGAGGCAGGGATGCTGCTTAGGCAGTTGGCTAACCAGAAGCAATGGCATCTTGCTTTTCGAGATCAGCAGGCCTACCTATTTGCCCATACTGCTGATTTTGTTCCTAGTGAAGAGAATAATTTGGTGGGCACCTTGGAAATTTCAGGCTATGTTCGTGGGCAGACTCTGAATGTAAATAGGTTGCTGCATATCACTGGACGTGGTGATTTCCAGATGAAACACATAGATGACCCCATGGACCCTTTCCCTTTAAATCCTACAGTAATTAAATCCCAAAAGGACCCAG
The DNA here is from genome assembly GCF_000001405.40 of Homo sapiens. Classification (NCBI taxonomy): domain Eukaryota; kingdom Metazoa; phylum Chordata; class Mammalia; order Primates; family Hominidae; genus Homo; species Homo sapiens. Next base: position 57,319,357 of record NC_000005.10, on the reverse strand, counting down.
ACATGGCAATAGAGATTTGTGCTATGGATACTGTCGATGATATGGAAGAAGACCTTAAAGTCCTAATGAAGGCAGATCCTGCTAGACAGGAATCCTGACAAACAGAGGTTATCCCAGATCTAACGCAGGGGGAGCAAACCTGGCCCAATGAGGAGGAGTTGAGTGAGACAAAGGATTTCTTGAAGGGAGATTCTAAGGTGGTAAAGAATATGATGATACAGAACATGAGGATTTTATGAAGGAGGAATCTCAGCATGAAAGTGTGAAGATGAAGAAGAGGAGGAATGTGAAACTATGACTACAAGGGAGTCTGTGCATGATGATCTCTCTGATGAGAAAGTGGATGAAGAAGCTGAGGCAAAAATGTTGGAGAAATGTAAACAAGAAAGACTGGAAGAGATGTTTCCAGGTGAAGTGGGTGGACACCCCCTGTGATGTGGCTGCCAGAAATTCAGTTTCAGAAATACAAAGGCCTCAAGAGCTTCCAGACATCTCCATAGGATCCTAAGGAAAAATATTGCTCAAGATTGTGCTTGAATATTTCAGTTTCAGAACTTTACTAGTACTAGGAAAAGCATATTTAAAGAGATTGAAGAAAAAGAGGTTGAAGGAGCTGATGTTGGCCAGTATGTCACACTTCATGTCTCTAATGTCCCTGTCTCAGTGGTTGAGTGATTCAGGCAAGGAGCACCCTTGATTGCATTTTCTTCACTACCTCATGAACAGAAGATGTCAGTATTGAATATGGTGGTGAGGCATGACCCTGGCAGCACTGAATCTGCGAAAGCCAAGGAGGAGCTCATATTCCGCTGTAGATCCAGGCACTTCCGAGCCTCACCTTTATTCTCTCAGCATGCTGCAGCAGACAAACATAAATTTCAGAGATTCCTGACTGCTGATATGGCCCTGGCGGTGACAGTATACGCACCAACCACTTTTCCTCCTTCATCTTTGCTGCTTTTCAAGCAGAAAAGCAATGGAATGCACAATCTCATTGCTACAGGCCATCTTTTGCTGGTGGATCCAAACAGAATGGTCATCAAGAGAGTTGTCCTGAGTGATCCTCCTTTCAAAATTTGTACTAAGATGGCAGTGGTATGTTACATGTTCTTCAATAGAGAGGATGTGCAGTGGTTTAAACCAGTAGAACTGAGAACAAAGTGGAGCCGCAGAGGACACATCCAGGAGCCTTCAGGTACCCATGGCCGCATGAAGTGCAGCTTTGATAGGAAGCTAAAATCTCAGAACACAGAACTGATGAACCTTTACAAATGAGTTTTCCCCAAATGGACTTATGATCCAAGTGTACCAGAACCAGCACCTTGGGTGAACAGTGAGATTTCTTCAACAGTGCCTCAGGTGGGCATGGAGTAATGGATTTAAAGCGATTCTGTCTTACTGAGGCCAGTCAGCACTCCAAGGATGGGAGTCACAAGTTGTGATTGGGCAAAGTTTATTTTCTATGTCAGCTTGTCAGTCGGCTGCACCATTTTGCAAGAATTTTTTTGGCCTTGATAAAATGTCTCAGTTAAGTATGGAAGTTTTTCTACTGCTTAATCCAAAAAGCTATTAAATCTTACTGAAATAAAAATAAATGCATAAATACAATGCATTATTAATAACTGTGGTCACCATGCTGTACAATAGATCGCTAAAGGATATTCCTCCAGGGTCATTGAAACTTTGTACCCTTTGACCACATTTCCTTTCAACTTAGTCACTGACTTGCTGATGTTCGGCTTTGACAGAAATGCGTTTCCAGAATGCCTTTCCATTCCTCCCTCAGAGCAGGGAGGGCAGTTAGGCTTGCTTCTTTCACTTTTAAGTTGATTCTTTCCTCTGAGGGATGGAGTCTGTCATCCTTACATTCATCATCCGCTGGGGTAGCACTCCAAAGTCACCCTCACCATTTGGCAAATCCACCATTTGGCAAATCCAGCTTCTGTCAGATGTGCCCACATGTTTGTTTCTTCTCCACAAATGGAAGAACTACGGTGATTACTGCTGCTCACTAAATTAAACTTAACAATCTAGTTTATTCCAGCAGGTTCCTGGTAAACAGCACTGCAGCTGAAAAGGCTTATCCTGTTTATGTTAACATGAAATATCCTGGGTTGAGGCTCCCAGAGCAGGGCAGAGGCTGCCCTCCCTGAATGTCAGCTGTTTGAAGGGCTTTCTGTTTTGACAAATGGTGTTTAGATAAGAAAGCCACTGTTGATGTGATGTTTTGTATCAACTTTGAGCTTTTGACGTAGATGGAGGTTGTTCTATTTCAGTATATGCCAGGCCTTCTTAAAGAGGAGAATCATCACTCTATGTAATGGCTGGAAGTCCCCCATTGGCTAACCCTCCATACACAGCGTGACCTTCTTGAGCTGCTGTCTCTGCATCAGGTTTCTCAAGCTCAGCACTATTACCACAAGACTGAGTCATGCTTTGTTGTGGGCCGTCCAGTGTATTGTAGGATGTTTAGCAGCAAACTGACCTCTACCCACTAAATGCCAGTAGCACCCTCCCACAAGTCCTGACAACCAAAACTGCCTACAGACATTGCCAAATGTCCTCTGGGGAGGGGACAAAACCACCTCCGACCCACCCACCTGCATTGAGAACCACTACTCAAAGTTAAAAAGAACATTCTTTTTATGAAGGCCAGGAAGGGACAGGACCATTTGTAGAACATTCGGGAACTCTCAAAGCATCCTCAGATTGGTCTCTTCTTTCATTCATGTCCACAGGGAATCTGACTGGTCCAGCTTATTGAAACTAGAAAACCAAATATTTAAAAGACATTATGAGAAAAATTAAAGTCATCCAATGAGTATTCAGTAAGTGTTCTTTATGTGCCCCCAACGTGGTCTGCTCTCTAGATTCTTTAAAAGCTTTCTGTCCCATCACCCTTAAAAAGGAGGGAGGCCAGTCACGGTGGCTCATGTCTGTAATCCCAACACTTTGGGAAGCCAAGATGGGAGGATCACTTGATCCCAGGAGTTCGAGACTGGCCTGGGCAATATAGTGAGACCTTGTCACTACAAAAAATCAAAAAATTAATCAAGTGTGGTGGTGCACACCTGTAGTCCCAGCTACTCGGGAGGCTGAGTTGGGAGGATGGCTTGACCCTGAGAGGTGGAGGTTGCATGAGCCGTGATCATGCCACTGCATTCCAGCCTGGAAAAAAAGCAAGGCCCTGTCTGGAAATAAATAAATAAATAAATAAATAAATAAATAAATAAATAGGAAAGAAATCATGTCGCATGCTACACTATGGATGAACCTTGAGGACATTATGCTAAGTAAATGCCAGGAAGAAAAAGACAAATACTGTGTGATTCCACTTACATAAAGTCCCTAGAGTATTCAAATTCAGAGAGATAAGAATAGAATGGTGGTTCCCAGGAGCTGAGGGAAGAGGAACTTGGGGAGTTGTTGTTTAATGGGCACAGAGTTCTAGTTTTGCAAGATGAAAAGAGTTCTAGAGATTGGTTGCATGACAATGTGAATGTAACCAACACTACTGAACTATACATTCAGAAATGGTTAAGATGGTAAATTTTAACTTATGTGTTTTTACCACAATAAAAAAACTGATAATAATGAAGAAAAATAGCACCAGCCTGGGGCCTTGATGACAGGGCAGTCGTTTATGACAGGACATGGAGTGTTCTGATGATGGTAGGTGGTAGTTCAGAAAATAGAATTAAGAATTAAGCATGGTTTGGAAAAGGTGTCATAATTCAGAAAAGAGATTCTCCCATTAAAACTTTGGTTAAATTTGGATCATTTGAACTGATCCTATTCCCAAAAGTCCAAAAGCTACTGTGAAATGTATAGATCATTCTTTGAGACTTTCAGCATTACATATCACGCTCATCAGTACTTTTACCAGGACCCTAGAGAGGGGTGTGTGTGTGTGTGTGTGTGTGTGTGTGTGTGTGTAACAGAGAGAGAGAGAGAAGTAGCTGTAGTGCGGTAGCATCAACTTATGATTTCTCACAACCACTTTTTAAGGAAAGGAAGGCAGGATTGGAGAGGGAGAACTGCAGCTCAGTGAGGATAAATGTGGCCCCCAGCAAACTCTAAAAGCCTCACGGAGGCCATGCTGAGGAAATGAGTAGAGGGCAGCCCCCTGGGCCACAACCTCTACCCCAACCAGAGCAACTCCACACCCTGAGCTCTACACGTGGGCTTCCACCTAAGATTCCAATGAGGAAAGGATTCTGCGTCTAAACTTTGAAAACCGCTAGATTAGGAACAACTCTAGGTTCCTTTACCACTTAAACATTCTGTGATCCCAGTCGAGCTTGCTTATTATTCATTTGATCATTTTGGCAGCCAATTGCCCCCAGAAAAAACTGGGGTGCCCAGACATAATCCAGGCATGGCACTATGAAGTAACAACAAAAAAAAGTAATGCAGGCCTTATTCTCAAGAAACTCATGGTGTAGTGGGATCCAGCTGCATGTAAACCAAAATACTGCCCAATATTCTAAGAGAGGGAATTATAAGGTGAGAAGGAAGCAGCAAAAAAAACAACAAAAAAAAAGCCTTTATCACAAGAAGAAATTCTAACTAAGTAGAAATGAAATGCAGTGAATCTTATAGCTGAGAGGAATCCTGCAGTAGTTCACAAGATGGAGGTCAGAACTGCAGGAACTGGGACCTGGGAATGAGACCCAGAGATTCGGAAGCATGAGGCTTCCATGACAAAGTCACCTCAGGCAGGCCCTCTCCACTTCAGAAAAACATACACATGGCTGCCTGCAGTCCCAGCTTAGCAGTACCAGTGGGAAGAAAGCGCTTTCTCTCCCAGTGCCTCTCCATCCATTCCAGGAAGAACCGTTTGGGCTCCGTTTGGGTTCCGTGCCACTGCTGTCAGAGGATGCAACACATCCATTAGCCAAGCCAGGGTCCTGAGCACCCTGCCTATCCCCACACTCATCATTAAAGGGGCTGAAACCAAGAAGAAGGGGGATGGAAAATCTACTGAGCATAACAGTCACCACTACAGGAGGCTCCGAACTACCAGGCAGATGGATCTGCATGTGTGAAGGGTGGCTGTCCACCTTCCTATCCAGCCCTGTTGCTATCTGCTCATATTATACTAGTCCTCTCTTATCTGCAGGAGACACATTCTAAGAATCCCAGTGGATGCCTGAAACCACAAATCATACCAAGCCCTATATATGCTATGTTTTATTCTATACAGTACATATATAATACACCTACGATAAAGTTTAGTTTATATATTAGGCAGAGTAACAATAATAACACAGAACAATTATAACAATATGCCAGCATCACTGCTCCTGTGCTTTGGGGTCATTATGAAGTAAAATAAGGGTGACTTGAACACAAGCTCTATGAAACCATGGCAGTCACTCTGATAACCGAGATGGCTCCTAGGTGGCTAACCTACAGGGAACATAGGCAGCGCTGACACACTGCACAAAGGTATGATTCATGTCCCCGCAGGACTCAGTGGGTACAGTGCCAGATTTCAGCACACTATTCAGAATGGTACTGAATTTAAAACTTATTTGAATTGCCTATTTTTGGAATTATTCCCTTTAATATTTTTAGGCTGCTGTTGACCATAGGTTAACTTAAGCTGTGAAAAGTGAAACTGCAGATAAGCAGGGACTGCTGTACACCACCCAGGTCACCTGGAACCATTTCTGTGAATGAGGCATCCAGAGGGGGAACCATGGGCCCAGACTTCATTAGCCATTAGATTCCTAGGGCTGCAGGAAGAAAGTACCATAAACTGGGTGGCTTTAAACAGAGAAATGTATTTTCTCACAGTTCTGGGGGCTAGAAGTCTCAGAGGAAGGTGTTGGCAGAGCCATACTCTTTCTGAAACCTGGAGGGAAATCCTTCTTGTCTCTTCCTAGCTTCTTCTGGTGGTTGCCAGCAGTCTTCGGCATTCCTTGGCTTGTAGTTGCACCATCTCCCATCTTCATGGCATTCTCCCTGTGTGTCTGTGTCTTCACATAACCAGCTTCATATAAGGACACCAGTCATATTGGATAAGGAGCCCGGTCCACTCCAGTATTACGTCTTAACTAATTACAACTTCAATCAACCTGTTTCCAAATAAGGTCACATTCTGAGGTTCTGGGGGCCAAGTCTTCAATGTATCCTTTTCCAGGACACAATTCAACCCATAATAGCCAAACACTGGACTTTTATGCAAAACCTCTGAAAGGAAAACCTGAAGCCTTTTCCGTTTTGCTTGTACCCAGAAACATCAACAAGGTCAAAGACAGTAGTAGACTAAGATATAACCCAACAAAGAAAACAAGTAGAGCCCAATCCTTGTAAGAGCAAAAGATGTTAAAAATACATAATACAGGCAGGGCACTGTGGCTCACGCCTGTAATCCCAGCACTTTGGGAGGCCGAGGCGGGCGGATCACAAGGTCAGGAAATCAAGACCATCCTGGCTAACAGGGTGAAACCCCGTCTCTACTAAAAGTACAAAAAATTAGCCGGGCGTGGTGGAGGGCGCCTGTAGTCCCAGCTAATCGGGAGGCTGAGGCAGGAGAATGGCGTTTACCCGGGAGGCGGAGCTTGCAGTGAGCCGAGATCGTGCCACTGCACTCCAGCCTGGGCGACAGAGCAAGACTCTGTGTCAAAAAACAACAACCAAAAAAATACATAATGCAAAAAGTTTGTATTAACTTGAAACTATAAGTTAGAAGTCACGGTCTGTGCCTCTGAAACCCACAGATTTGACTGCTCATAAACATCAGTATTCTGCAATTTGCCTCATTATTCAAGACCATGCAGTACTTTATGGAAACATAAAATTGGCAACTCAGTCCTTAAACCATATGTTTTAATAAGTAGCAGCTAATCAGGCAAAGCGTTTGCATGTCTGTTATTTTGGGACTGTTTCAACATCTCTCAGGGACCGTAAATGTCCTTATTTGCAGCAAACAGTACCCAAGGTAGTAGCAAAATATAAGCCACAGCTATGCAATTATGCTACTGTGAGAATATGTTCTCAGCAGGTGAGAAAGTAAATGCAGGCAAGGTAATTAGGAAAGAAATCTAGCAATGAAGGGAAAGCTTGGGGCAGAGACTAGCTGACGAAATACAGACTTCAAGGACATACCATTGAGCTCTAATGCAGACTTTAGCTTTGTTTAAATATTGAGAGCTGTCTTACAATGAGATTAGTTGTCTCCAACCTGGGACTGACCATGTTACAACCTTGGCCCAAAGATCAGCTTTACTGACTTTGTGTACTAAAAGAGAGAGACAGAGAGAGAAGGTTAGAGAGGTATGACAGGGTTGAGGAGGAATGAGTAAATTGCTTCTCTTTTTTTTCTAAGAGTTCTGAGTGAATCAACTGAACTTTCGTTTTTCTGAAATGAGGAATCGTGAACTACCAAGTGATTTTTGCTCCCTCTACACATGATAAATGTTTATTAAGAACATAAGGTCTATCATTGATCACTCAAAGTAGTATGATTTGGAAATGTTCTCCTTTTGCACTCCCAGGGATCATAACACCTTAAATTACACCAGTAGAGTCATTTGGGGAAAACACTGCTTCTTTTCAGGGGGTCTTGCTTTAAAATGCAAAAGTTCAGGCTCAAGACTCAACTCAAGCACAATATCCACTAAGTAGTGTTCTACAATTCTGCTCTAAGCCCCCACCCACAACCTACTGGCTAGGCTGAGCTGTACTAAATAGCCCCTTCTCGTTGCTCCCACAGGCCCTGAAAAGATAGCATGACCCTGCATCCTCCTTTCCATTGATCCACTATAATTTTTTAGCATCCTCTTTCACTTTCTAAAATTTCTCAATTTTGATTAAAAAGTTCATGGTCAACTTACTTACTCATTCTTGCCCTCTGCCTGCCCCTGCCATAGTGCTTTGCATCTCCCATTAGAATGAAAAGGACAGAGACTGTGTTGCATTTCTTTTTTTACTTCCAGTGGCTAAAAATGCCTGGAATGTGGCAGCTAACCAGTAATTTGTTGAACTTAGCTAAATTAAATAGAAATGTTCTTCAGTCATTAACACTATACCGTCCAATCACTTACCAGCTTACCAGAAAGGAGGGACCTCTAATATGAGAACACTGGGGCAATAGAGGATGGACAAGCCCACCAAAAAAAGACCAGCAAGTGCCAAAGAAAGACTTTACCTATTTCACCCCCACCTTAGCCTATTTTCTGTTGCTATAACAGAATATCTGAGACTGGGTAATTTTGGTTTTTGTTTGTTTGTTTGTTTTGTTTTGCTTTGTTTTGTTTTGAGACAGTGTCTCACTCTGTGGCCTAGGCTGGAGTGCAGTGGCATGATCACTGCAGCCTCAACCTCCCAGGCTCAAGCAATCCTCCCTCCTCAGCCCCCCAAGTAGCAGAAACCACAGACGTGCACTACCACACCTGGCTATTTTTTTCATTTTTTGCAGAGACATGGTCTCACTATGTTGCCCAGACTGGTCTCAAACTCCTGGGCTCAAGCAATCCTCCTACCTCAGCCTCCCAAAGTGTTGGGATTACAGGCATGAGCCACTGTACCCAGCCTGAGTAAGTTATTTAAAAAATAAATGTATTCCTTATAGTTCTGGAGGCTGGGAAGTCCAAGATCAGGGAGCTGCATCTATTCAGCTTACTGTGAGGGCCTCATGCTATGTCATAACATGACAGAAGGCATCACATGGTGGGAGCACATGTGAGTGCAGCACCGGGCACAGGCACAAGAGAGGGGACAAAGGAGGAGGCCAACCTGTTTTATTACAACCAACTCTTCATGACTATGAAACCATCTCCATGAGAACTAATGCAGTCTTGCAAGGAAGACATTAATCCCTCTGAATGACCCCATCACCTTTTAAGTGTCCCACCTCCAAACACCATTACATTGGTAATTGCATTTCAACCTGAGCATGGTGGGGACAAACCACATCCAAACCATAGCACCACTTCTACCCCACCAGGCGGTTCTTTTCCACCCACCAGCAGGGAGGATAGTAAACACCAAGGCCTTCCTACAGGAATCTTTATCTCAGATACACTCAGGCAGCACCCAGGGGTCATATGGTGGCCACCTGCTCAGGCTCTGAAGGTTCTTTCTTTATCTCTTTTTTAGACTATTTATCTTCCCACATATTTTGCTTCTCTTCCTGGCTCCACACGCTTTTGTCTCTGTAATCAAATTAAATTCAACCACCCCTGATTTTTAGCAATCATAGCCTGCCACAACTAGCATTTGTTCATAAAAAAGAGTATGTGCATTTCTCAAAGCAAAGTGAAGAATTGTCCTCAATGGGAAAGTTCCTCAACAACAGTTATTGATCCTAATGCTGCCTCTCTCCACAACTGGAGTGGGGAAAACCTACAAGTCAAGGGTCCTGTGATTCTTGCTATAGACAGCAGAGTTACCATGAAACCTCTAGTACACCCTAGGAAATTCCATATAAAAACATACAAAAACAACAACAACCCAAAGAAAACCCCTGAATTATTCAGTCAATGATTATATATTAGTTCGTTTTCATGCTACTAATAAAGACATACCTGAGACTGGGAAGAAAAAGAGGTCTCACATCCAAGTCACACTGCTGCAAGAGGTAGGTTCCCATGGCCTTGGACAGCTCTGCCCCTGTGGCTTTGCAGGGTACAGACTCCCTCCCAGCTGCTTTCATGGGCTGGTGTTGAGTGTCTGCGGCTTTTCCAGGCACACAGTGCAAGTTGTAGGTGGATCTACCATTCTGGGGTCTGGAGGATGGTGGCCCTCTTCTCACAGCTCCACTACACAGTGCCCCAGTAGGGACTCTGTGTAGGGGCTCCAACCCCACATTTCCCTTCTGCATTGTCCTAGCAGAGGTTCTCCACGGTGTCCCTGCCCCTGCAGCAAACTTCTCTCTGGGCATCCAGGCATTTCCATACATCTTCTGAAATCTAGGTGGAGGTTCCCAAACCCCAATTCTTGACTTCTTTGCACCCCCAGGCTCAACACCATGTGGAAGCTGCCAAGGGTTGGGGCTTTCACCCTCTGAAACCATGGCCCAAGCTCTATATTGGCCCCTTTCAGCCATAGCTGGAGCAGCTGAGACACAGGACATCAAATCCCTAGACTGCATGCAGCATGGGGATCCTGGGACCTGCCCACAAAACCATTTTTTCCTCCTAGACCTCTGGGTCTGTGATGGGAGAGGCTGCCACAGAGATCTCTGACATGCCCTGGAGACATTTTACCCTGATTAACATTCAGCTCCTTGTTACTTATGCAAATATCTGCAGCCAGTTTGAATTTCTCCTCAGAAAATGGGATTTTATTTTCTATCACATTGTCAGGCTTCAAATTTTCCAAACTTTCATGCTCTGCTTCCCTATTAAAACTGAATGCCTTTAATAGCACCCAAGTCACCTCTTGAATGCTTTGCTGCTTAGAAATTTCTTCTGCCAAATACCCTAAATCATCTCTCTCAAGTTCAAGTTCCACAAATCTCTATGATAGGGGCAAAATGTCTCTTTGCTAAAACATAGCAAGAGTCACCTTTGCTCCAGCTCCCAACAAGTTTCTCATTTCCATCTGAGACCAACTCAGCCTGGATTTCATTCTCCATATCATTATCAGTATTTTTGTCAAAGCCATTCAACAAGTCTCTAGGAAGTTCCAAACTTTCCCACATTTTCCTGTCTTCTTCTGAACCCTCTAAACTGTCCCAACCTCTGTCTGTTGCCCAGTTCCAAACTCGCTTCCAAATTTTCGGGTATCTTTTCAGCAACACCCCACTCTACTGGTACCAATTTACTGTATTAGTCTGTTTTCACACTGCTGATAAAGGCATACCCAAGACTGGGAAGAAAAAGAGGTTTAATTGGACTTACAGTTCCACATGGCTGGGGAGGCCTCAGAATCATAGTGGGAGGTGAAAGGCACTTCTTACATGGTGGTGGCAAGAGAAAATGAGGAAGATGTAAAAGCAGAAATCCCTGATAAAACCATCAGATTTCGTGAGACCTATTCACTACCATGAGAACAGTATGGGGGAAACTGCCCCCATGATTCAAATTATCTCCCACCCTCTCACAACATGTGGGAATTATGGGAATACAATTCAAGGTGAAATTTGGGTGAGGTCACAGAGCCAAACCATATCAGATTATTACATTAAAAGGTCCTACATGGGTCATAGTACTGAGTTAGCTGGTAAGAGAGACCAAGGAGGATGAGTTACAGTCCCTACCTGAGTCTTATAGTCCAAAGAATGGAGTAGACATGATTCTCAGTTTGGTTTCTCAATTCTCAAAATGTGGTTTTCAAACCAGCCGCATCACATGGAATCTTGGGAGAGATACAAATTTGCAGACTCTAGGCGAGACTTACTGAATTGAAAACTCAGGGTATAGTCAGCAATCTGTGCTGTAACAAGCTCTCCTAAAACTCTCATACATGCTAAATTTTGAAAGCTAGTGCAGCCGACATTTGAAAAAAATTGAGGAACTATCATACAAATGCACAGTCTATATTACAAGGCAGTGCAAAAGTAGGTACTTGCTTTGCCTGAGCTACAGCTCAGGTCTGCAGAGCATGGTTTTGTTGTTTTATCTTAGCCACCAGGTGCTTTCCTCACATTCCACAAGCTTGGGATGTTGGCAACAGAGTGAGAATGTAATGGCTAAGAGTGTACAAGACTCATGCAAGTTTTATTTTGCCTGGCTATGTGATATAAAACCACAGGACTGCAGGACCTCAGGCAATTTGCTTTCTTTGTTGCACCAGAGGGCTCCGGTGGGCTCAGAGCTGACTTCTGATGGGCTTTGAAGCAGAGAGCAAGCAGCTGGAAATTTTTCTCTTTGGAGACAGGCACTAGCCAGCCTTTATAGATCTGCTCCCCCATTATATTTCCATTAAAGATAGACTGGATAATTCAAACCAACTCTTCTCCTGAATTGAATTTTTAAAAGCCAGATGAAATATACAAAAAAAAATTGTAAAAGGATCAAATAGCTAACAAGAGAGTGAGGAATTATTTGGCCATGATCTAGTAAAAAATAAAAATTCAGAGAAAGGGACCCACACCTGGGCTGCCTTTGTCCTGAAGAGACAGATAAAAGGAGAGCAGGACTTTTGACACCTTATGAGAATAGCAGGGGGAAAGGCAGCATCTAGACCCTGTTAAAAGGGGACTCCAGTGCTTGGGGTTGGTATGCTGAGGGCTGCATCCTAGAAATAAATGCAAACTGTAATTAAACCTGCTCTCACTTACAGTCTGACTGCATGTCATTTGTGTGGCCCACAAAGTCTCAAGCCCTGCAATTAAATTGATGTGATCCTGGATTGTACTTCCAGATACCTCCAACACCTAGCAGAAGCAAAAGAAAATTCTCCTTGGGAAAAAATATATTCTAGGCCTCAAATTATTTCTACAAGAAATGTTTTCAAAGACAATGGTCCAACACCCAATAAAATATAACCAGTCCTCAAAGAGACAGGGCAACATGAACAACAACCAGCACAAATGGCAGCAGAATTGTACACACAGGTAGTCCAGATAGTGAAATTATGAGACATAAACTATAAAACTACTATAATTAATGTGCTCAAAAAGATCAAAACAAAAACTAAATGATTTCAGCAAAGAACTGGAAAAGGTAGAAAGTTACATTGCAGATTTGAAAAGGAAACAAGTTGAAATTCAGGAACTAAACAATACAATAACCAAAATTTGAAACAATGTACTGAGTTATCAGCAGAATAGGGGAAGCTGAAGAAAGAATTAGTGAACTGGAAGATATGTCACAAGAAATAGAATGAAACACAGAGAGTAAAAGGAATGGTATGTAGAAAGGAGGATAAGAGACATAAAGGCCACAGTGAGAAGATCAAACGTAGGTTAAATTGGAGACCCAGAAAAGAGGAGAGACAATGGGCCAGAGCAGATATGCTCAGGTGACTTCCCTTTTCTGTCAGACAAGATGATCACTTTCATGGGGCTCTTGGAAGTGATTCCACGCTCTACCACTTAGTGGCAGACATTGTGCCTGAAGGAGTTAGAGAGGGACCAATAGCATTTATCCATTTCAAATAAATATTTCTTCAATCAATACAATTGAAATGCTTCAAAAACTTACATTATTTTCTAATGACTACTTCAAATAATAAATTTGACATCAGTGGTTAGTTACCACATTATCCAAAAAGAAACACTCTAATTAAATGTATCATGCAGGGCCAGACACAGTAGCTTACACCTGTAATTCCAGCACTTTGGGAGGCCAAGGTGGGAGGATCACTTGAACCCAGGAGTTTGAGACCAGCCTGAGCAACATAGTAAGACCTCATCTCTACAAAAAATACATAAAATTAGCCAGGTGTGGGAGTGGACACCCATGGTCCAAGCTACTGTGGAGGCTAAGGTGGAAGGATCATTTGAGCCCTGGAGGTCGAGGCTGCAGTGAGCTGATATATATATAATATAATATATATTATTATATATTATATAAAATAATATATATATAAATTCATCATGTATATTTATATACTATGTCTGAACAAATCCAGAAGACTGGGAGAAGGGCTTTGCAAGACTTGATTTGAATGGGTATTATCAGCTGAATGAGTACAGTTAAGGAATCTTTCGGTGGCAGTGACTGAAGGGAAAGACAAAGGAGGAGCCAACAGCACAGTCTGTCCACTGTCCTCACAATCAGGTACCCAGGACTCAGGACTGGACTCCATCCTGAGATGGCCTTCTGGGAGAAGCTATAGGAACTGCAGACTGCTTTGCTACACACGAGACAGAGGATAGTTCAGAGTTGGCAGTTGGCAGCCCCCAGTTCATCAAGGAACACAGCTTGGCAATTGTTCAGTCAAGATTTTAAGGAATGAAGCAATCAGTCAGCAACTCAGGAAGAGCAAGCAAAGAACCCTGGGCACACCTTCTAGAGGAGAGCCTGCAACAGAGGCAGGAGCCATTGTGAAGCAGGTGTCCATTGGCACTTGAAGTGGATACCCAACCCTGTGAGTAGTGAATTATTATTGTCCATTTAGCTTCTTTATAACTCATAAGCAGGTGAGTCCTAGTAACACACACGTGAGATATTTAGGAATCACCATAGAAAACTGAGATCCCTGGGAATGTTGTTACTGTAGTGTATTTACTCTGCACAGAGACACAAAGATCAATTGTTCATCTGACCAACTTTTCCCTCCAGAATTGAATGTGACATTAAAACACAGAAATACTGCACAGCCTTTATTTTGTGCTCAAAACACTGTCAAAGGCAACTCCTAAACAAAACAGAAGCCTGTGGAGAAATAGGATTCACAATGTAAGTAGAAATTTCTCACTCGTTTTTTTTTGTTGTTGTTGTATTTTAGAAAAAGTCTAATGCAAACATGAGGCCAAGTTCTGGTAAAATACAGTAAAACAGTCATTTTAGCATGTTTATGCTATAGATTTCAGTTTTAGGCCAATGACTTGATAAGAATGATTTAGTTGTTTAAAACATGGCACTAATGTGTTCTGCCTTTAGGGCATGTCAAAACCTAAAACATCACCAGAAATAAGATGTTCTATACTAATTAAAAGGAATAGTGCTCTTAGTCTAAAAGAAAATTTGTGATTTCCAAAGGAAAAGGTACATGGATTAAACGAGTTCTTGCTGTTTTTTAGTTTTGACAAAACAGTTTATTTTAGATCTAAACATCCCACTGTCATACTATGAGTCTAAAAATTTTTGTATATTTTAACTAGAAAGAGAAACTAACCAAAAATAAAGAAGATAAACAGATTCACTCAATAAAGTCTCATTTTCCAAGCAAAAATACAGGCAAACTGTAAAAAAAAAAAAAAAGCAGAAAAAGCAAAAGCCTAAAATGTTTGCAGTTCCAACAGTTTCAATGTACCTAAATGAGTATTTGTAAGAAAAGGAAAGTCTTGCTATCCAACGAGAAGAGCACAAGTCAGGTGGCTCCAAAATTCAGGTGGCTCAGCTCCTATCCCAGTGATACAAACAGCATCCAGCCTAAGGAGCTGATTGTAAATGAAGACTGATCACATTTGGCTCACACCTGAGCACAGTAGCCGTGTTCTATTCTAAGAGGCACACGTACTAACCCATTTCATCTTCACAACAACTCTATGAGGGAGGCAGTGTCGTGACCCCTGTTCTACAGGTAAGGAAGCCAAGGCACAGGGAGTGTGCCCCCTGCCTGTCACATAGTGGTGGGCCCCAGACAGGAGCCTGTAGGCTCTCTAAGTCCTCCAGAGCAGGGCTTCCCAAAGTTTGGTCAATGCACCTGCCCCAGGGAGGAAAACCATTTGTTACTGAATTGTTTCTTGTAGTAATGCAGTCTCTTTTTTTCAAAGCAGGAGTGAAAGTTTATTTAAAAGCTTTAGAACAGTAAGGAAAGAAAAAAAGAAAAGAAAAGTACAACTTGGAAGAGGGCCAAGTGGGTGGCTTGAGAAACCAAGTGTGCCAGTAATAGAAAGTCTTCTAAAGCTTTGATAGCAATTTGACAGATTATTATACCTGTTAAAATCAAATAATTTTTTAAGTGGCGCTTGTATTGGATTTTTTCATTTCATTTTTTACAAAGGCAAAAATTTGTTTTTATACAAATATCAGTCTGTGATGGATTGGGAATTTTGTTAAAGCTGTTCGTCCACCACTGAGAGTGTGAGGAGCCCTGATCCCAAAGCTCAGAGACTGCCCAAGTTCAGTGCTGATGAGAAGGACCCGACATCCCAACTGTCTTCAGTAGGAACCACTGCCAATGGCAAAGCATGTGTCCCGGGACAGAGCCACTGCCCCACAGAGAAGGTATAGGGGCTACAGGAGTTAGTGGTGCAGGGTACAAGGATGGCCATCTTCTAAGTCCTCTTTGGTGATCCTAAAATTTCCCCCACTAGTGTGTGTGGAAAGTTAGAAATAAATTGTGCTTCAGCTGCTTGAAGAGCGCTCATTAGAGCATGAATACTAAGAGTGACCCTGACAAGGTCATCTAATGCTTCCCCTTTCCCTTGAGAAGGAGAAACATGAGAAGACAAGGCACCACATTCCCCAGGAACCGTAGCATCCTGCAGTGTGCACCTCCAGACCCATTGCATTAGTCTCTCTGATCCCAAAATGCCTCTCTCAGTAAATATGCTGTTTGTATTCATCCCTCTTGTAAGGCAGAACACAAATGCACCAACCCTTCTCCTCAATCCAGAAAGGAAGGGGGAGTATGATGAGGACCCTCAACATATGAAGCAGGAAAGTCTTAATTTGAGGCCCAAAATGGGGCTGCAAAAGTCCCCCACACCTCAGGGAAGGGATAAGGAGGACAAAGCACAGACACACTGAAGCCAGCATCTCTCCCACTCTGCTTTGTTTTCCTAGAAAGCCAGTCCCAAATAAACTATGATGCAGCTTTTGTATCTCCATGGCCACAGCTCACCACAAAGCCTTACATTTACAGAACCATAGTGGAAAAGGTTTCAGCTGAGGCACTGGGGACCACAGGGGGCATTTTTTAGTGGATGAGGCAGGAGGAAGCTTTGGAGAGGAGTCAGCTAAGGCCAATAATGCAAAGACATGGGTTGTTATGGTTCATGGAAAGTGACAGAGAAAACCCAGAGAGATTATTCACCACTTACAAACTAAAACCAAGATCATCTATTGCTACCTTTAAGAGTCATAGCCTGAAAGGAAAATACCACTGCCCCTGCTTGATAGAGTAGTGATAGCAATAAGGCAAGATTAATATTAAGGCTTATAGCTCTTTACAATTCACAAAGAGTTTTTGCACACATTATCTCATTAATCCTAATATTCATCCCAAAAAAACAAGCAATGAGTTTGATTAATCCTCTTTGAAAAGTAATAATTAGTAAAGAGGAGAAAACTTAAGGCATTTTGTCAACTGTCTTGACCAAGATCACACTGTCAGTAGGTGGCAGAGTGGCAGCTGGCACTAGGACGTCAGATTCTCTTTCCAGGGCAGTTTATGAGTCAGCTATTGATGTGGTTTGGCTGCATTCCCACCCAAATCTCATCTTGAACTGTAGTTTCTATAATCCCCACGTGTCATGGGAGGTACCTGAAGGGAGGTAATTGAATTGAATGGGGGCGATTACCTCCATGCTGTTCTCGTGATAGTGAGAGAGTTCTCACGAGATCTGATTGTTTTATAAGGGGCTTTTCCCCCACTTTGCTCTGCACTTCTCCTTGCTGCCGCCATGTGAAGGATTTGTTTGCTTCGCCTTCTGCCATGATTGTAAGTTTCCTGAGGCCTCCCCAGCCATGCTGAACTGTGAGTCAATTAAATCTCTTTCCTTTATAAATTACCCAGTCTCAAGTATGTCTTTATTAGCAGAGTGAGAATGGAGTAATACAGCTACTTAATTCAATTTTACTCATTTCTTGGCTTATGTGTCCTAGGACATCTCATTTTGTCAACTACTGTGAAGTCACTCTGACTTGGAAAATAAATAATGATATTAATGTAACCTAACCAAGTACCTATTACCATACTAATTGGAACACACCAAAAATTGTGTGTGTGTGCATGTGTGTGTCTGTGTAGGTCTGCTTGGCATAGTCTGTATAATCTATCTGGCAACTTTTTACTGGATCAGAATTCAAAACTGACTCATAAAGACCTTTATATCAACATATTTTTGATGAATATCTGATGAACAAATGAATGAATGTCAGAAGGAATACTAGCAATGATCTAGCCTGGATGTTCACATCCTGGGGAGCAAACCAGAATTACCTGGGGGTCCCCCCACTATTACCACCACCACCACATGCAAATGCACACTGGGGGCCCACGACTGGAGATCGTGAAACTACCTTTGCAAAAGTTACAACATTGAGAAAATCATGACAGTGAAAGAGACCTGACCTAACCAACTCCATCTTGCCTTTAACCTCCAAACAGCCCTTGGTCATTCCTGGGCATGGGCCGAACTACCTTTGGGAGAAATTTAGTTTATAGTTCAAATGATAATAGCGCTTCCCAAAATTAAACTACGTTTTTGTTAAACTAATAAAAGGCCACAAGTTTAGGATTATGAGAGGCGCTTAAATTCTGCTAAATGTAGGCATAGTTAAATGATTACCAGTCATTGTTCCAAAGGACACAAGAATTGCAGTTTCCCCAATTATTAGAACCTAAGATTGGCCTTTTAAGATGTCTTTTCAGCCTCTTGCATGTCTGACAACTGGATGACTCCACTTGGACCAGCACCTCCTCTGTGGCCCCCACCCAGAAGTGGACTCAGTGCATGAGAACTGATTTCCCCACTCCCCTGATTGCATCCCCAACAAATCAGCACAGCTCACCCTGCTCACCAAACTATCCTTGAAAAACCCTAGCCTCCAAATTTTCAGGAAGGCTAATTCTGGTCTCCCGTTTAGCTGGCTCTACGTGTATTAAACTCTCTCTGTCATAATTATCCTGTCTTAGTAAATCAACACATCTGCGCAGTGAGCAAGAAGAACCCATTGATCAGTGTAATTAGTCAGGGCTCTCCGGAGAGACAGGACTAATAGGATAGTTGTATATATGAAAGAGAGCTTATTAAGGAATATTGACTCACACAATCACAAGATCAAGTCCCACAATAGGCTGTCTGCAAGCTGGGGAGCAAGGAAGCCAGTCCAAGTCCCAAAACCTCAAAACTAGGGAAGCTGACAGTGCAGCCTTCACTGTGTGGCCCAAGGCCCAAGAGCCCCTGGCAAACCACTGATGTAAGTCAAACAGTCCAAAAGTTGAAGAACTTGGAGTCCGACGTTCGAGGGCAGGAAGCATCCAGCATTGGAGAAAGATGAAGACTGGAAGACTCTGCCAGTCTAGTCCTTCCACATTCTTCCTGCTTTAATCTAGCCACGCTGGCAGCTGATTAGATTGTGGCCACCCAGACTGAGAGTGGGCCTGCCTCTCCCGGTCCACTGACTCAAATGTTCATCTCCTTTGGCATAGACACAGCCAGGAACAATACTTTGCATCCTTTAATCCAGTCAAGTTGACACTCAATATTAACCATCACAGGCAGTTACAAATGTGATCCCGTAAAAGAATATGGAGCATGGTGATCTACTTGCTTCAAATCAGATCCAGAGATGCACTTCTGGGCTCACTTCCAGGCTCACTTCTTCATTTTACAAATGAGGAAACAGAGGTTACATGGTCTGTTCAAGGCCACACAGCTCATGGCTAAATGACACCATAACCCAATACTCTGGGCTCTGATGGCACCTCAGCAGCACTTACCAGAAAGCATCACGTGGTACCAAGGCCCATATGAGTCCTAGCTGATATATATATCTCCCGGGTACTAATTCCCAGAGTCAGCAGAGGAAATAGGCTTAGGTGATTTAGAATAAAATATCTAGCCAAACAAAATTTAGCCTTTGCCTATATGGAACGTCCCTCAGGACAGTGCAAGGTCACCCCTGTGAACACGCTTACTTGAATAGGACCCCTAGAGTTCTCCTATCACCTGGAGGGCAGGAGGAGGTCTTGGCAGAATCTGTATTAACTTAGAGACTGATACGGTTTGGCAGTGTCACCACCCAAATCTCATCTTGAATTATAGCTTCCATAATTCCCACATGTTGTGGGAGGGACCCAGTGGGAGATAATTGGATCATGGGGACAGTTTCCCCCGTGCTGTTCTCGCGGTAGTGACTAAGTCTCGGGAGATATGTTGGTTTTATAAGAGGAAATCCCTTTTGCTTGATTCTCTTTTCTCTCTTGTGTGCCTTTCACCTTCCGCCATGATTGTGAGGCCTCCCCAGCCACGTGGAACTGTGAGTCCATTAAACCTCTTTTTCTTTATAAATTACCCACTCTCGGATATGTCTTTATAAGCAGTGTGAAAACAGACTAATACAGAGACCCAGCGGGTGGAGACCTCCAGCTCCTCATCCCTCAAGATACAGGAAGTGAGCTGTTCAGGCCGCCTGTTCCCCGACGAGGTGCGTGGTTTTGGAGATTAATGTTAGCGGTCTTTGTGGGAGGCACTAGGAGGGCTCCCTTTAAGAAGCCCAGAGTGCGGAAACACTGATTGTGACATGTGAATGTGCTCCATGAGAAGATGGCAGGTATCGGAACGTGTGGAGGAAACTGAAAAGTAAAGACCGCCTAAAGATTGAAACTACCATTCAGGTAAAAGCAGCCTGACAGCAGACATCCCTTTTTAGAGGATGTTTAACAAACACATCACGTGTTCAGGAAAACAATCTTTCGGCCTTACTAAATTTTGTGCAGACGCTCCTCCGAACAGTGGTTTGCTGCCCCCTAGTGTTCGTTTTTTATTAAAAAAGTTTAACACACCCTGATTAGTCTCTTTCCTTTTCTTCTCAGCCTCTCCAAAGAGAATCATCTCTTGACTGTCACTGCAATAGCCAAATTAAACCACAAATTATGTGAAATTAAAAGCATGGGTGTTTTTATCAACACAGAGCCCCTGTATGACAGTTGTTTAGAACAGAAACATGCTCTTTTTGCCTCTCCTCCAGCCACCACCCACTCCACTACCATGATCAGTAAGGTGGGAAGGAATCCAAAGGGCCATAGGACAAAGCCAGAACCACAAAAGTCACCCTTTCTGTCCCTCCAGCAGGGACTTTTTAAGGAGAGGGCAACTCCCTATCTGAGGGAAGCCATTAGCTATCCCGGAGGTTTCCAAACTGGTTACTGGGGGAACAGTGTCTAAAACACATAGTTCTGAGTCTTAGCCCCAGCGCTGTCTTTTAAAACATTTTATGTTTTTATATACAAAAAGCCTTCTTGTATTCTTTGTATTTGCATTTTAACAATGTGCATATGTCATTCCATATATACGTTAAAATTACTTATTTAAGAAAATGACTGCTATGGCATTTCTTGTTGGACACCAAATTTAAACATTTTTTATATGCTGCACTATTAGGCAAAGGTGATACCGATGCTTTCTCTGACGCCAGGGAGTTTCCAAACCGTGGAAAGCTCTTTGGCCCCCTCTGCTGGTGAGTGATACACTTGTAAAAGAATATCAAAGTCCACTACTGGTGCCTTAGCCAAGAACCTCACCTAAGCTGACAAACATTTGTTGAGGAGTTTCATTTCTGTGAAAGATCCCATTAAGCTCTCCGGGTGTGTTCTACATTCACTGCCTAAGTCAGAGGAAGAGCCATTTCCACTTCATGTTTCTGTAAATTCTAAAGGCCTTTTCTTTCTTCAGCCAATATTTTCATATGCTCAACCAAAATCTTTTCTGAAACTCAGAGATGCCTTTCTCTCATGCTGGAACTATAAATAAAACACCAAATACAGGTTGAGCATCCTTTAGTCGAAATTCTTGGGACTGCTTGGGACCAGAAGTATTTGGCATTTCAAAACGTTTTGGGTTTTGGAATTCTTACATTACACTAGCTAAGCATCCCCAGTAGGAAAATCTGAAATGCCCCAAGGAGCATTTATTTTATGCTGGCCAGCATTCAAAAAGTTTTAGATTTTGGGCCTTTTGGATTTCAGATTTTGAGACTAGGCATACTCAATATGTAGTAAATTTGTAACTTTTTCTTGCTTATCAGGTAAGTTCCAGGGGACAGAAACAAGCTCTCTGAAGACTCTCATTAATCTTTGCTGTCCGAAGCTACCTTCTCCATCTCCTGCTCACCTGGGAGGACTCCCTGGAGGAAGCCAGGAAAGGTGAAAATCCATGTATCTCTTCACATTTGGAGAACAAAGGGAATTCAAGAACAATTTTATGGATTTTCTTTGTTTTTTATTAATTAAGACATGCCTGTTTTAAATTAGACAATAATTTTTTAAATATCCTTCAGATTATAAAATGTAAATTGTCATGGCCTCTTTTAAAGGCAATTCTACAGAATATACTGTAGTCTCTTTTTTTTTTTTTTTTTTTAAGTTTTTTGTAGAAGTGAACTCTCACTATGTTGCCCAGGCTCATCACAAACTCCTGGCCTTAGCAATCCTCCTGCCTCGCCCTCCTAAAGTGCCGGGATTACAGGCGAGAGACACCACACTGGGCCTGAATCTACTTTAAAAATATTTTTCAAATGTCATACACTATTACCCAGCAATTTTACTAGTGGTGTCTCTCCTAGAGAAACATAAACATGCGTTCAAGGAGGCTTGTACACGAGTGGCCCCTGTGGCACTGTTTCTAATAGCTAAAAAATAGAAAGAGTCTTAACTGCCCGTCAGTAGAGGAATGGCTAAATAGATGGTTATTTGCTAAGGCATCCTATGCAGCAATTAAAAAGGGATTAGAGAGTTTACATTTACTAACATGGACACATAACAAAAAAAAGAACCACTGTGGAGTGAAAAGGTATATTATAGAAAGATCCGTACAACGTGGTAGCATGTATTTTAAAAAATTCTGAATTCTCCCCAAGTACATATATAACCATGCAAATACACAGAAAATCTCAGGAAAACCACATATAACGCGGGAAGAGGGCCAGGAGTGGTATTTAATAGGGCCGGCCTTGGCTCTAAAGTTTTGTTTTCAAATGTAATGTCTTTGTTAATTACTTGAGTAATTTAAAAAGGTAACAACCTCTCCACCCTCATCCAATCACACCTTCCCAAAAGTAATCACTTTTAAGAGGCTTTCATAACTTTCTCTATGCTCACACAAAGATACACAAACACAGATGTGTTAGCAGCAGTGAACCCATATGGGTCTGCAGCAACTCAATTCTTGCCTCCTCAGAGCAAAGAATACATCCAAGGAGCATAATGCAAGTTTTTTGAGCAGGAGTGAGAGTCTATTATAAAAGTTTTAGAGCAGGAATGAAAGGAAGTAAAATACACTTGGAAGAGGGCCAAATGGGCATCTTGAAAGATCCAAGTGCCCCGTTTGACCTTTGACATGGGGTTTTATATATTGTCATGCTTCTGGGGTTTTGTGTCTCTCCTCCTTTGATTTTTCCTTGGGCTGGGCTGTCTGCCTGTGCAATGGCCTGCCAGCATTTGGGAGGGGCTGCATGTGCAGTGCACTTACTGAAGTTGTACACATGTTCATTTGAGGCATTTTTCCCTTACCAGTCAATTGTTCCTAGAGGAAGGTCATATACCAGTTAAACTCTGCCATTTTGCCTCTTAGTGCACATGCTTGAGCCCACTCTTCCAAATCCCAAGATCTTATTAGGAAGCTGCTGATCACTAGCTTCAGGTATTTTCTATCTGTTGGAGACTGCCTTCCCCTGGCACCGCTGTGATCAATTATTATTGTAGAAAGACAGTTTAACAACCACCTGGCCATCATCTGATGGTCGCCTGACGTTCCTTTTGGGGGGCTCTCCTGCCCTGCTCATGTCTGCCTAGCTACCTACCCTAACATATGCACATATACTTTTTTCTCTTGTTTTTTAATTTTCTAAAATAGGATCAGACTATACATAATATTCTATAATTTTCTTTTTTTACCTAATAAAATTTCAAAGATTTCTCTTCAAGTAATGTATAGACATATTGGATTCTTCTGTTTTTTGTGTTTTGTTTTTGAGACGGAGTCTCCCTCTATCGCCCAGGCTGGAGTACAGTAACATGATCTCAGCTCACTGCATCCCCTGCCTCCCAGGCTCAAGTGATTCTCCTGCCTCAGCCCCCCAAGTAGCCGGGACTACAGGCACAAGCCACCACGCCCAGCTAATTTTTGTATTTTTAGTAGAGACGGGGTTTCACCACATTGACCAAGGTGGTCTCAAATTCCTGACCTCAAGTGATCCGCCCCCCACGGCCTCCCAGAGTACTGGGATTACAGGTGTGAGCCACTGCGCCCAGCCGGATATATCATAATTTATTCTAAATTTCCTTATTTTTGAAACTTTCCATTGTAGAAACAACTGAAGAAACAAGTGATTTTTTTGCTACCATGATACATGTATATGATATATAGACATGTGTCTTTTTTTCTTTTTTTCTTTTTTGAGATGGGGTCTCACTTTGTCACCCAGGCTAGAGTGCCATGGCATGGCTCACTGCAGCCTTGAGCTCCCTGGCTCAAGTGATCTGCCCACTTCAGCCCCTCAACTAGCTGGGACCACAAGCACATGCTACCATGCCCAGCTAATTTTTTTTAAAAAAGACAGAGTCTCACTCTGTTGCCCAGGTCGAATTCCTGGGCTCAAATGATCCTCCTTACTCAGCCTCCCAAAGTGCTGGGATTGCAGAGGTGAGCTACTGTGACATACATGTGTCATATATACATAATATGGCTGCAAAGATTCAGATGTATATATAGAAATATATACTCATATGAAATAGCAAAAAGAAAAAATAGAACTACTTATCTTTATATTCTGGCACTTTTTTCTGGGGGTGCTGGATCAAAGTGTTCAAATTTATGATTTTATTAGATAATGAGGCTATATTCCCAAAAGATGCATATTCCCACCAACAGTGCACGAAGTCCTCATTCTACCACCCACTCACCAGCTTTGGATGCTACCCATCTATTACCAAATTTGAGATTTGGAAGGGAGTCTAAGCAAGATTGCCCATTACAACTTCCTTGTTTTGCAAGTGGGAAAGCTAAGACCTAAAAAGATTAAGTTATTTACCTAAATCATGCAGCTACCTAAATAATTGAATTGGGAACTAGCCTGCAGGTTCACCTGCCTAGAATCTGATCCCCCTTCACTAGTAACAGCTCCCTGATTTAAGGGATGTGGAAGGCAGAATCATGACCCCCCAAAGATGCCCACTTCCAAATGGCCGGAATCTGAATATGCCACCTTACATGACAAAAGGACTTTTCAGATGTGATTAAGTTAAGGGTATTGGAATAGGGAGATTATCCAGGTGAGCTCAATGTAATCACAAAGATCCTAATAAGTGAAAGAGGAGGAGGAGAGTCAGGGGGAGGAGAGGTGAGGACAGAAGCAAAGATTGGAGCAAAGCGACTGCTGGCTTCCCAGGGAGAAGAAAGCCATGAGCCAAGAAATGCAAGTGGCCTCTAGAAGCCACAGAAGGCAAAGAAACAGACTGTCCTGAGAGCCTCCTGAAAGAACACAGCCCTGCCAACACCTTGATTTTTGTCCAGTAGAACCCATTTCAGATTTCCGACCTCCAGAACTGTAAGATTAACAAATCTGTGTTGTTTTAAGCCACTCAGTTTGTGGTAAATAGTTACAGCAGCAATAAGAAACTAACATGGGAGGAAACACCACTGCCTACTCCCATCTCTGTAGCTTGGATGGGACCTAAAGAAAAGTCAGCCTAGGGCAAATGGCCCAGGCTCTGGTGATCAGCATATACACCATCTCAGGCCTCTGTGATTGGAAGATCTTCAGTATTGACCCATGAAAGTCAGACTCAAAACTTGTATTGGAACTAACTGGAAAACAGAATTTCTATTTTTCACTGGGCTTTACTGGCAAAAAATGTAAGCTTGGGGCTGCCTGGGGCCACCATGAGTGGACAATCTGTCTGAGAACAGAGTGATACAGAAAGGGACAGAGCTGAGAAAAGGCAGAAACAAGTCCCTCCCCTACATGTTATTTTAGAATTTGATCCATCTGAATGTGAAGACAATTTCAGCTTGTTTTTTATCATTTGTAGCCTAAAAAATGTTTAATTCAACAAATTCCCAGTCATGTGCTTTCATCATTATGATTCTTTCTGAAGATCATTTTAAGTTTTGTTTCGTTTTGAGATGGAGTCCTGCTGTGTCACCCAGGCTGGAGTGCAGTGGTGTGATCTCAGCTCACTGCAACCTCCACTTGCCAGGTTCAGGTGATTCTCTTGCCTCAGCCTCCTGAGTAGCTGGGATTACAGGCGCCCGCCACCACGCCCAGCTAATTTTTGTATTTTAGTAGAGATGGGGTTTCCCTATGTTGGCCAGGCAGGTCTCGAACTCCTGACCTCAGGTGATCCGCCCACCTCAGCATCCCAAAGTGCTGGGATTACAGGCATGAGCCACCATGCCCGGCCTTGTTTTGTTTTTTTTGAGACAGTTTCTCACTCTGTTGCTCAGGCTGGAGGGCAATGGTATGATCACGGCTCACTGCAGCCTCAACCTCCCCAGCTTAAGTGATCCTCCCACCTCAGCCTCCCAAGTAGCTGGCATGATAGGTACATACCACCACACCTGGCTTTTTTTTTTTTTTTTTTTTTTTTTTTTTTTTGTAGAGACCAGGTCTCTTATATTGCCCAGGCTGTTTTTTGAATTCCTGGGCTCAAACAATCACCTCACTTTGGCCTCCCAAAGCACTGGGATTACAGACATGAGCCCCCACACCTGGCCAGTTGTTTTTAAAGACATTGATATGCTAGAAAACTATACAAAACAGAGAACTAACTACCTGAAAGCATAAAAGAAGTAACTATTTGATAAAGTAGTACCCAGGCTCCCAGGCTACTGGACTCCTTTCCATGAGTAGAATAAGAAGGATCACGTTTCAGTTAAAAGCAGAATGAATTTAAGTTTGACAGAAAAAAAAATTGAATGCATAGTTGGTAAGATATAAGCATATTCTAAAAGTACAATGTTCTGCAGAAAATTTCAAGATTATGCAGGTCATGTAGAGACAAATGTATACCCGAATGAATAGTACCTCTGGCTCTTTGTTCTGACCCTGGAAAGAAAGTTCGTATTATGGCTGTGCATGGTGGTTCATGCCTGTAATCCTGGCATTGGAAGGCCGAGGATCACCTTGAGGTCAGGAGTTCAAGACCAGTTTGGCCAACATGGTGAAACCCCATCTCTACTAAAATACAAAATTAGCCAGGCGTTGTGGTGGATCCCTGTAATCCCAGCTACTTTGGAGGCTGAGCCAACTGGCTGGTTCATAACATGAACCAGTTACCAGCCTGGTGATCCACAGCAAGGGGGACCACTTGTTTTTGTAAATAAAGTTTTATTCGAGCGTGTCCATACCTACTTGTTTATATATTGCCTATGGCTGCTTTCTCACTACAAAGGTAGAGTCGACTCACTGCAACAGAGATCAAACGGCCCACAAAGCCAGAAATATTTATTATTTGGCCCTTTATAGAAAAAGTTTGACAACCCTTGCTCTAGAGGGTTTCCTCATTCTGGGTCAGGCTAGAGAATACCGACTTCACCAGAAGTATAGTTAGGCCAGCGTTGAGGCCCATACAGATATCCTCACATCAAACCAAACACGCCATAATGCTTGCATGGAGTGGACTCCCTTAATATACAAATAGAGCGTTAGTACCCACTATGTGCAGGCACTATACCAAGTGCTGGAAGTGTAAAGATGAAGAGTTTCTAGTCCCTGACATCTGCGAGCTCTCTGTCTCTTGGGAGAGAGATCAACAAACACAGCATAACATAAGGGACTGGAGAGTTATCTATTTAAATGAAACAATGAATGCTTGGCACATGAAACAGCCACAGGCACTTTTGAAACCTGGTGAAGGAGAAGTTGAATCAGGGACACATTTAGTTTGGGTTTAGGTTTTAGTGGGACATAGTTATGTTAGTTTGGGTTTAATGGGACATATTCATGTTATTCACTGCCAGTTATGTATATACGAAAGTTACTGCTAGCAAGTTACTCTTGCTGCCATAGTGACAGGGTCAGGATTCAGACCAGAGTTTTTCCAACTCTGCTGTTAATGACCTTAATATTTCCGTGATATTCTTCAACTGGTTAGGAATCCGTCTCAGGCCTTTGGGTTCTTTAACTTAAAATATGATCTCTCTTCAGCACAAATAGCACCTGGCTCCAATATACTTTTTTGGTCTCATTACCCACCTGCTGCCCTGCAGGTTCACTCTTCTCAGGCCCTCTGCACCCCCTGCTTTTGCCAGCCCACCCTCTGCATAGGCTCCTCCTCTGCCCGATCCCATGTATACATTTCTTGTTAATTTATTGCTGACTTTTTAAATGAAATACCTACTTAAAGAAAATACATAATTTATAACATTTTCCTACAAGAACTGTGGCAATAAACTGGTTAATAAGTGTCATCATTTCAAAGATTATTTAATATTACTTACTGAACAAGAAAACTTGAAATGCCTAAGACCTAACAGCTCACTTATATGTAAAACACACTTGATAGAGGGTTTCTCAAAGTTAACAATTCTGAAAGTTTACAACTCATTAAACTGAAACTTTTCTTAACGATCAATAATTAAAGAGGGAAGAGTGGATTATCTTTTTAGTCTCTCTATTTAAAAAACACTAGGTTTTATTCATTCTCTCTGTTTTTTAATACCCATTAACCATCCCACTCCCCTCCCCCATCCCACTACCCTTCCCAGCCCCTGGTAACCATCCTTCTGCTCTCTAGCTCCATGAGTTCAATTGTTTTGATTTTTAGATGCCACAAATAAGTGAGAACATGTGATGTTTGTCTTTCTGTGCCTGGTTTACTTTACTTAGCATAATGACCCCCAGTCCCATCCATGTTGTTGCAAATGACAGACTCTCATTCTTTTTTGTGGCTGCATAGTACTTCATTGTATGTAAGCACTACCACATTTTCTTTATTCATCTGATGATGGACACTTAGGTTGCTTCCAAATTTTGGCTATTGTGCTGCAACAATCATGGGAGTGCAGATGTCTCTTTGATACACTGATTTCTTTTCTTTGGCGTATATACCCAGCAGTAGAATTGCTGGATCATATGATAGTTCTATTTTTAGGTTTTGTTTGTTTGTTTGTTTGTTTGTTTGTTTTATGAGATGGAGTTTTGCTCTTGTTGCCCAGGCTGGAGTCCAATGGCGCAATCTCGGCTCACTGCAACCTCTGCCTCCTGGATTCAAGCGATTCTCCTGCCTCAGCCTCCCAAGTAGCTGGGATTATAGGTGTGCACCACCACCACCAGTTAATTTTTGTACTATTAGTAGAGACAGGGTTTCAGCATGTTGACCAGGCTGGTCTCGAACTCCTGACCTTAGGTGATCTGCCTGCCTCAGCCTCCCAAAGTGCTGGGATTACAGGCATGAGCCACCGTGCCTGGCCCTATGTTTAGTTTTTTGAGGAACCTCTGAACTCTTCTCCATAGTGATTGTACTAATTTACATTCTCACCAACAGTTTACAGGGGTTCCCTTTTCTCCACATCCTTGCCAGCGTTTGTTATTGCCTGTCTTTTGGATATAAACCATTTTAATTGGGATGAGATGATATTATAGTTTTGATTTGCATTTCTCTGATGATCAGTGATGTTGAAGACCTTTTCATATGCCTGTTTGCCATTTGTATATCTTTTGAGAAATTCAGACCTTTTGCCCATTTTTAAATCAGATTATTAGATTTTTTTCTATAGAATTGTTTGAACTCCTTATATATTCTGGTTATTAATCCCTTGTCAGATGGGTAGTTTGCAAACATTTTCTCCCATTCTGTGGGTTGTTTCTTCACTTTGTTGATTGTTACCTTTAGTGTGCAGAAGCCTTTTAATTTGTTGTGATCCCATTTGTCCATTTTTGGTTTGATTGCCTGTGCTTGTGAGATATTGCTCAAGAAATTTTTGGAGAGTTTCCACAATTTTTTTTGTAATAGTTTCACAGTATGAGGTTTTAGATTTAGGTCTTTAATCTATTTGGATTTGATTTTTGTATATGGTGATAGAGGACTAGTTTCATTCTTCTGCATATGGATATCCAGTTTTCCCAACACTATGTATTGAAGAGACTGTCTTTTCCCCAGCATGTGTTATTAGCACCTTTGTTGAAAATTAGTTCACTGAAGCTGTGTGTATTTGTTTCTGGGTTCCCTATTCTGTTCCATTGGTCTATGCTTTTATGCCAGTACTGTGCTGTTTTGGTGAGTATAGCTCTGTAATATAATTTGATGTTAGGTAATGTGATTCCTCCAATTTTGTTCTTTTTGCTTAGGATAGCTTTGGCTATTCTGGGGCTTTTGTTGATCCATATAAACTTTAGGATTTTTTTTTATTTCTGTGAAGAATGTCATCAGTATTTTTATAAGAATTGCATTGAATCTGTAGATTTCTATGGATAATATGAACATTTTAACAATGTTGATTCTTCCAATCCATGAACGTGGAATAGCTTTTCCTTTCTTCATGTATTCTTCAATTTCTTTTATTAGTAGTAGTGTTTTATAGTTTTCATTATAGTGCTCTTTCACTTCTTTGATTAATTTCTAGGTATAGAATTTTATTTATGGCTACTGTAAATGAGACTACTTCTTTTTTAATGCTACTGATTTTTGTATGTTGATTTTGTATCCTGCAACTTTACTGAATTCATTTTTTAGTAGTGTTTAGGTTTCCCCAAATATAAGATCATATCATCTGCAAACCAGAATAATTTGACTTCTTCTTTTCTAATTTGGATATACTTTATTTCTTTCCCCTTTCTGATTTCTCTAGCTAGGACTTCCAGTACTGTTGAATAACAGTGGTGAAAATGGGCATCCTTGTCATGTTCCAGATCTTAAAGGAAAGGCTTTCAGTTTTTTCCCATTCAGTATGATACTAACTGTGGGTCTGTCATATATGGCTTTTATTATGTTAAGATATGTTTAGTCTATACTCAGTTTTTTGAGGATTTAAATTTTGAGGATTTAAAAGGATGTTGAATTTTATCAAATGCTTTTTTTTAGCATCTATTGAAATGGTCATATGCTTTTGTTCTTTATTCTGTTGATATGATGTATTGCATTGATTGATGTGTGTATGTTTAACCATTCTTGCATTCCAGAGATAAACCCCACTTGGTCATAATAAATGATCTTTTAAATGTATTATTAAATTCAGTTTTCTAGTACTTTGTTGAGGATCTTTATATCAATATTCATCAAAGATATCAGCCTGTAGTTTTGTTGTTGTTGTTGTTGTTTTTATGTCTTTGTCTGGGTTTGGTATCAGGGTAACACTGGCCTTGTAGAACGAGTTTGGAAGTGTTCCTTCCTCCTCTGATTTTCAGAATAGTTTGAGTAGGATTAGTATTATTTTTTATCTAAATGTTTGGTGAAACTCAGCAGTGAAGCCATCAGGTTCCAGGCTTTTCTTTACTGGGAGACTTTTTTTTACAGCTTCAATCTTGTTACTTGTTATTGGTCTGTCCAGCTTTTGGATTTCTTCATGGTTCAATCTTGGTAGGTCGTATGTGTCTAGAAATTTGTCCATTTCTTCTAGATTTTCCAATTTATTGGCATATAGTTGCTCATGGTAGCCAATAACCATCCTTTGAATTTCTGCACTATTGGTTGTAATGTCTCCTTTTTCATCTCTGACTTTATTTATTTGGATCTTCTCTCTTTTTTTTCTTAGTTAGTTGGGCTAAAATTTGTCAGTTTTGTTTAACTTTTCAAAAAACCAACTGTTGCATTGATCTTTTGTATTTTCTTCATTTCAATTTCATTTATCTCTGCTCTATTCTTTATTACTTCTTTTCTTCTACTAATTTGGAGTTTTGTTTGTTCTTGCTTTTTAGTTCTTTAAGGTGCATTGTTAGATTGTTTATTTGAAGTTTTTCTTCTTTTTTGATGTAGGTACTTAAATAGCTATAAACGGCCCCCTTAGTACCTTCTTAGCACTGCTTCTGCCGTGCTATACATCCTATAAATATTGGCCTGTTGTGTTTCCATTATCATTTGTTTCAAGACATTTTCCAATTTCCTTCTTAATTTATTACTTGACCCACTGGTCATTAGGAGCATATTGTTTAATTTCCATGTGTTTGTATAGTTTTCAAAACTCCTCTTGTTAATTTCTAGTTTTATTCCATTGTGGTCAGAGAAAATGCTTAAAATTAGTTTAATTTTGGCTGGGCACAGTGGCTCATGCCTGTAATCGCAGCACTTTGGGAGGTCGAGGTGGGCGGATTGCCTGAGGTCAGGAGATCGAGACCAGCCTGGCCAACACGGTGAAACCATGCCTGTACAAAAAATACAAAAAATTAGCTGGGTGTGGTGGCAGGCACCTGTAATCCCAGTTACTTGGGAGGCTGAGGCAGGGAGAATCACTTGAACCAGGGAGGTAGAGGTTGCAGTGAGCTGAGATCACACCATTGCACTCCAGCCTGGGCAACAGAGCAAGACTCTGTCTAAAAAAAAAAAAAAAAAAATTAGTTTAATTTCCTTGGATGTTTTAAGACTTGTTTTGTGCCAGTCACAGTGGCTCATGCCTGTAATCCTAACACTTTGGGAGGCTGAGGCAGGCAGATCACTTGAGGTCAGGAGTTTGAGACCAGCCTGGCCAACATGGTGAAACCCCATCTCTACTAAAAGTACAAAAATTAGCCGAGCATGGTGGCACATGTCTGTAGTCCCAGCTACTTGGGAGGCTGAGGCAGGAGAATTGCTTGAACCCAGGAGGTGGAGGTTGCAGTGAGCTGAGATCACACCACTGCACTCCAAACTCGGTGACAGAGTGAGACTCTGTCTCAAAAAAAAAAAAAAACTTGTTTTGTGGCCTAATATATGGTCTATCCTTGGGAATGATTCCAGTGCTTAGGAAAAGAAAGTGTATTCTGCAGCCATTGGATGAAATATTCTGTAAATAACTATTAGATCCATGTGGTCTGTAGTGCAGATTAAGTCCAATGTTTGTTTGTTGATTTTCTGTCTGGGAGATGTATCCAATACTGAAAGTGGGGAGTTGAAGTCTCCAGCTATTACTGTAATGGGGCCTATCTCTGTCTTTAGCTCTAATAATATTTGCTTTATATATCTGGGTGCTCCAGCATTCAGTGCATATAGATTTAAAATTGTTATATCCTCTTGCTAAATTGACCTCTTTATCATTATATAGTGACCTTCTTTGTCTCTTCTTCTAATTTTGCCTTAAAATCTATTTTATCTGATATAAGTATAGCTACTCTTTCTCTTTTTTGATTTCCATTGGCATGGAATATCTTTTTACATTCCTTTATTTCAGGCTATTTGTGTCTTTATAGGTAAAGTGTGTTTCTTGTAGGCAAGAGATCACTGGGTCTTTTTTTTTTTTTTATCAATTCAGCTATTCTATGTCCTTTAATTGTTGAGTTTAGTCCATTTACATTCAATGTTATTATTGATAAGTAAGGACTTACTCCTGCCATTTTGTTATTTGTCTTCTGGTTGTTTTGCAGTCTTCTCTTCCTTTTTTCTTTCCTTTCTGTCTTCCTTTTAGTGAAGGTGATTTTCTCTGGTGATATGATTTAGTTTCCTGCTTTTTATTTTTTGTGTCTCCATTGTATGTTTTTTGGCTTAAGGTTACCAAGAGGCTTGCAAATACTATCTTATAAACAATTGTTTTAAGCTAACGACTTAACACTGTTTGCATAAACAAACAAGCAAGCAAAAAAGAAAACTAATAAAGACTGATGCCTTAACTTCATTATCCCACCTTTTTTTTTGTTGTTTGTATTTACATCTTATGAACAATCGCTGTAGTTATTTTTGGTTGGTTCATTGTTCAGTCTTTCTACCTAAGTGTAGTTTATACACCACAATTACAGTGTTATAATATTTTGTGTTTTTCTGTGTAGTCACAATTACCAGTGAGTTTAGTACCTTCAGAGAATTTCTTATTGATCATTAGCATGTCTTTCTTTCTGATTGAAGTACTCCATTTAGCATTTCTTTTAGGACAGGTCTGGTGTTGATCAAATCTCTCAGCTTTTGTTTATCTGAGAAAGTCTTTATTTCTCCTTCATGTTTGAAGGATATTTTCCCCAGATATAATATTCTAGGATAACAGGTTTTTTTCCTTCAGCACTTTGAATGTGTCATGCCACTCTCTCCTGGCCTGTAAGGTTTCCACTGAAAAGTCTGCCATCAGACATATTGGAGTTTGATTTTATGTTATTTGTTTCTTTTCCCGTGCTGCTTTTAGAATCCTTTCTTTATCCTTGACCTTTGGGGGTTTCATTTTTAAATGAAGGTAGTCTTCCTTGTGTTAAATCTGTTTGGTGTTCTATAACCTTCTTGTACTTGGATATTGATATTTTTCTCTAGGTTTGGAAGGTTCTCTGTTATTATAGTTTTAAATAAACTTTCTACCCCTATCTCTTTATCTACCTCCTCTTTAAAGTCAGTAACTCTTAGATTTGCCCTTTTGAGGCTATTTTTTAGATCCTGTAGCCACGCTTCTTTTTTTTATTCTTTTTTCTTTCATCTCCTCTGACTGTGTATTTTCAAATAGCCTGTCTTCAAGCTCACTAATTCCTTCTTCTGCTTGATCAGTTCTGCTGTTAAGATACTCTGATGCATTCTTCAGTATGCCAATTGCATTTTTCAGCTCCAGAATTTTTGTTTGATTATTATTAATTTTTATTTTTTGAGACGGAGTTTCACGCTTGTTGCCCAGGCTGTAGTGCAATGGCATGATCTCAGCTCACCGCAACTTCCGTCTCTCGGGTTCAAGCAATTCTTCTGCCTCAGCCTCCCGAGAAGCTGGGATTACAGGCATGTGCCACCATGCCCAGCTAATTTTGTATTTTTAGTAGAGATGGGATTTCTCCATGTTGGTCAGGCTGGTCTCAAACTCCAGACCTCAAGTGATCCACCCACCTCGGCCTCCCAAAGTGCTGGAATTACAGGCGTGAGCCACCGCTCCCAGCCAATTATTTTTAATTAGTTCAATGTCTTTGTTAAGTTTATCTGATAACATTCTAAATTAATTCCTTCTCTGTGTTATCTTGAATTTGTTTGAGTTTCCTCAATACAGCTATTTTGAATTCTCTGCCTGAAAGGTCACATATCTCTGTTTCTCCAGGATTGCTCCCTGGTAACTTATTTAATTCACTTGGTGAGGGGGTCATATTTTCCTGGATGGTATTGATGCTGGTAGATGTTCTTCAGTGTCTTGGCATTGAAGAGTTAGGTATTTATTGTAGTCTTTGCAGTCTGGGCTTGTTTGTACCTGTCCTTCTTGGGAAGGCTCTCCAGGTATTCTAAAGGACTTGAGTGTTGTGATCTAAGCTGTATCTGCTTTAGGGGACACCCCAAGCCCAGTAACACAGTGGTTCTTGCAGACTCATAGAGGTACTGCCTTGATGGTCTTGGATAAGATCCAGAAGAATTATCTGGATTACCAAACAGAGACTCTTATTCTGTTCTCTTGCTTTCTTCCAAATGAATAGAATATCTTTCTTTTTGCTCCGAGCCACCTGCAGCTGGGGGTGATGTGACACAACACCCCTGTAGCCACCACCACTAGTACTTCACTGGGTCAGACCTAAAGACAGCTAGGTCTCACCCAAGGCCTGCTGCAACCACTCCCTGCCTATGGCCTATGTTCAAGGCCCTGGAGCTCAAGGTCCTGGGGCTCTACAATCAGCAGATGGCAAAGCCAGACAGGCCTATGCTCTCCTTAAGGCAGCGAATTCCCTCAGGCCCCAGGTAGGTCCAGAGATCCCATCCGGGAGCCAGGGACTAAAGTCAAAAACTTTAGGTGTCTACCTGGTGGTATTTTACTGTACTGTGGCTGAGCTGGCACTCAAACCACAAGATGCAGTTCTTTCTAGTCTTCCCTCCCCTTTCCAAAGATAAGGGAGCCTCCCCCAATGATTACCACCAACACTGGCCCAAAGGGAGTACTGCCAGGCTACCACCAATGTCCCCTTAAGGTCCAAGTGCCTTTCAGTCAGCTTGTGGTGAATGCTGCCTGGCCTGGGACTCACCTTGATGGCAATGGCTCCTCTCTGGTCCAGGGCAGTTCCAGAAATCCCATCCAAGAGTCAAGTCCTGGAATCAAAGACCTCCAAGAGCTCATTTGTGTTCTACTCCCCCGTGGCTGAGCTGGTATGTAAGGTGCAAGACAAAATCCCCTTTGCTTTTCCCTACACTTTTCTCAAGTGGAAGGATCTTGCCCTGTAGCAACCATAGCTAGGAGTGTTGCTCATTCTTGCCTGAAGCCAGCAAGTCTCAGAGGCTCACCCAAGGCCCTTGACGTAGTATCTGGGTATTGCTGCTGGTAATTCAGGGCCCAAGAGCTCTTCAGTTAGCAGGTGATAAATCCTTCCAGGACTAGGTCCTCCTCTTCAAGGCAACAGGTTCCCTTCTAGCCCAGGATGTGTCTAGAAATGTCATCCAGGAACTAAGGTCTGGAAGGGAGACCTCACAACTCTGACTGGTACCCTATCCTGCTGAGCTGGTATCCAAGATGCAAGACAAACTCTTCCCCATTCTTCCCTCTCCTTTCCTCAAGTGGAGGGAAGTGGTCTCTTTTGGAAGTGCAAACTGTGCAGCCTGGGGTTAGGGGAGGGGTGATGCCAACACTCCCTTGGCTGCCCAGGTTGGGGTCTCAGTAGATCACATGCTCCCTTAGTCCACTGTCTCAGCCCAATTCAGCACTAGAACTCACCTAGGAGTTTCAGTCCTTGTGGCCTAGACTGCCTTTCAAGTTTACTTAGGGCCCCAGAACACTTTAGACCACAGTGGTGAGGCTTGCAGGAACTCAAATTTGGACCACTGGGATCAGCAATTCCCCTAATCAGATCAGGTTAGGTCTGATTTAAATTCTGCCTCTGTGGTGGGCATCAGCTGAGTTTGGTCCAGTTTTGTTTTCTGTTATAATAGGGCAGCACTGAGTTCAATGCCTCACAAATGCTGCAGTCTCCCTCTCCCAAGAACATCAAAATACTTGCCACACTGTGCCACCACTGCCAGGGGTTGGGAGAGGAGTGGCTGTATTAGTCCATTCTTGCACTGCTATGAAGAACTACCTGAGACTGGGTAATTTATAAAGAAAAAAGGTTTAATTGACTTAAAAGGTTCTGCAGGCTGTACAGGAAGCATGGTTGGGGAGGCCTCAGGAACTTACAATCATGGTGGAAGGAAAAGGGGAAGCAGGCACATTTTACATGCCAGAAGAGGAGGAAGAGAGTGAAGGGGGAGGTACTACACACTTTTTTTTTTTTTTTTTGAGATGGAGTTTTGCTCTTCTTGCCCAGGCTGGAGTACAATGGCACAATCTCAGCTCACCACAACCTCAGCCTCCCAGGTTCAAGCGATTCTCCTGCCTCAGCCTCCTGAGTAGCTGGGATTACAGGCATGCGCCTCTATGCCGGCTAATTTTGTATTTTTAGTAAAGACGGGGTTTCTCTGTGTTGGTCAGGCTGGTCTCAAACTCCCAACCTCAGATGATCTGCCTGCCTCGGCCTCCCGAAGTGCTGGAATTACAGGCATGAGCCACCGCGCCTGGTGTGCTACTCACTTTTAAACAACCAAATACCATGAGAACTCTATCCGAAACAGCACTAGTGGAATGATGCTAAACCATTAGAAACCACCCCATGATCTAATCGCCTCCCACCAGGCCCCACCTCCAACACTGGGGATTACAATTCAACATGAGATTTGGGTGGGCACACAGATGCCACTAATATCAGTGGCATTAATGATTCAAGATCATTTTTCCTATGTCTTCAGTGCCTCTTTCAGTGATAAGAAGTTAAAACCAGGTATTGTGAGTGCTCACCTGATTTTTTGTTCTTATGAAGGTGTTTTTTTTACATAGATAGTTGTTAAACTGGTGCCCTTGTTGGGGGAATGATAGGTGGAGCCATCTGTTCTGCCTTCTTGCCTGTCATCTTCTTAAATTTTGCAGTTTTTTGTGATCTTTCTCATTCTAAATATTCTCTTTCTTTTGTGATTTTGAATTTTCCTTAAAGAGAGACCCCCAAAATGCATACATTTTAGGCTCCACGAAACACATATCATCCCAACAAAACTGGGATGGCATATTCATTTTATATAGTTGCTTTAACAAACTACCACAAATTTAGAGGCTTAAACAATACATATTTATTATCTCATAGTTGTGTAGGTCAGAAGTCCGACATGGGTCTCACTAGGCTAAAATTAGTGACAGGGCTGCATTCCTTCTGGAGGCTCTAGGGGAAAATTGGTTTCCTTGCTTTTTCCAGATTCTAGAGGTTTCCCCCATTCCTTGGCTCATGGCCCCTTTCTCCATCTTCAAAGCCAGCCACAGCAGTTGAGTCCTCACATCATATCACTCTGGCCTTCTGTGGTCATATTTCCCTCTGACTCTCTCCTGCCTCCCTCTTCTGCTTCTAAGGACCCTAATGATAACATTGAGCCAACCTAGATAATTCAGGATAATCTCTCTATTTTAAAATCAGTTGATTAGCCATTTTAATTTCATCTGCAGTCTTAGTTCCCTTTTGCTGAGTAAGGAAACATATTTACAGGTTTCTGAGATTAAGATATTAGCTTATTTGGGGGCTTTTCTTCTGCCTATCATTGAGGGTGTAATCCTGGATCAGGCATCTCCACACCCACACCCACAGCTCTACCCACACCCATTCCCAAAGGAGGAGGCCATCAACGGAAGTGAAGGATAAACTTCAGGAGATAAGGCAAGGTGTGACTGGGTGAGAGAGAGAGACCTGATGACAGAGATCCTGACTCCACCTCCTGTTCTACCTTGCTGTTGATCAACTTCCTTGGCCACTTGAGCAAGCTCGAGTTCAGTTCCTGTCACTTGCTACTAGCAGAGTCCTGATTAATACAGCAGTCATTTATTGAGAGTCAGCTATGTGGCAAGACTGTGTGAAATATCTTACAAGTACTTGTTTTTACTGCTCATAACTACTCTGAAAAATATTATTTTTTGCATTTTAAAAATTAAGAAACCAAGGGTGAAGTACCTTGCCCCAGGTCATCCACTAAGGCTCAAATCTAAGTCTTCCCAATGGATGTTTGCAGAGTTTATACTCTATATCCTTGGGTTCTGCATCTGCTAACTCAACCAACCATGATTCAAAAATATTATTTAAAAACCAGTGAAGGAACAATAAAAAATAATATAAGTTAAAAATATAACATTACAACTATTTACATAGCATTTATATTGTATTAAGTATTATAAGTAATCCAGAGGTGATTAAAGCATATGGGAGGATGTATATATGTTATATGCAAATCCTATGCCATTTTACATTGTTACTTGAGCATCTTTGGATCTTGGTATCCGTGGGGGTCCTGGAACCAATCTCCCATGGATATCAAGGAAGGATATTGAAAATGAACCTCCTCCTCTGTAGGTTTCTTATTTCTGGAGGTCCTCCACTAGCGTTCCAGCAACTGTGGTTGCCTCAAGGTCTGTCCTGTGCTTCTTTAAGCCAAAAAGATTGCAGGTTTTCTATTGGGGTTTTAGCTGTTCCTGATTAAGGCTTGACTTAGAGGCCATGAAAACAGGAAACTCAGCCAATGCCATTCATTTCTTCTAGGGCCAACTCCCCACCTGATTTTGCTGGGTGGTCTCTCTCCAGTACACCACTTTGGACTTCTCAAACTGTATGACAAACTGCAATTTGAATGTCTTAAATTCAACATCCAAAGCTAAACTCTTTTCCCCTGCCCCCAAAAATACACTCTTCTTTCTGAATTCTTATCATAATGGATGGCACAACCATATAAGCCAAGTACAGCACAGACATCCTTAACATCTTCACCCCTTTACCAACCAAACCCTATTGATCTGTCTCCTTAACATCTCAACTTACTCCCACTACAATGGCCTTACTTCTTTTTCATTTCTTTCTAGTAGTATTGCAACATTTTAACTGCCTCCCTATTTCTTAGTTTACCCCCTCCAGTCTTTTCCTTTTTTAATTTTTTAATTTTTAAAAATAATAGAGATGGAGTCTCACTATGTTGGCCAGGTTGGTCTTGAACTCTTGGCCTCAAGCAATCCTCCCACCTTGGCCTCCCAAAGTGCTAGGAGTACATGTGTTAGCCACTGTGCCCAGCCCAGTCTTTTCTTTATTCTGTGGCCAAAGTGTAACCTTCAGTAGTTCCTCGGCCTCCAGGAAAGCATTCAGATATTTAGTTAGAGTCTCAAGATCTCTACCTGCCTTTCTACCTTTTTTTTTTATTCTATTTTTTTTGTTTTGTTTTGTTTTTTGAGACAGAGTCTTGCTCTGTCACCCAGGCTAGAGTGCAGGGGTGCAATCTCAGCTCACTGCAACCTCCGCCCCAGGGTTCAATTCTTATGCCTCAGCCTCCTGAGTAGCTGGGGCTACAGGCATGTGCCACCACACCTAGCTAATAATTGTATTTTTAGTAGAGATGGGATTTCGCCATGTTGGCCAGGCTGGTCTTGAACTCCTGGCCTCAAGTGATTCTCTCACCTCGGCCTCCCAAAGTGTTAGGATTACAGGTGTGAGCCAATGCAGCCAGACTTTCTAGCCTTTATCTATTCCTCCACATACACTCCTCCAGTGCCGTTCACACACTAGCCCCTCTATTGAAACACCCTATCTTCCACCAAACAGCTAACACCTAATTGTTCTTCAAAACAAGGATCAGATTATTTTCTTTCCTTTTTTTTTTCTTTTTTTGAGACAGGGTCTCACTCTATTACCCAGGTTGGAGTGCAGTGGTGCAATCATAGCTTACTGTAGCCTCTAACTCAAGCAATCCTCTCACCTCAGCCTCCTAAGTAGCTGAGACTACCAGTGAATGCCACTGTACCAGCTTGAATCAGATTCTTCTATTGACTTGCTTTTATGCGTTTCATAGTGCTCATGATGCTGCCTAATTAACTTTGCTGTCTCCTTACTAGATGAAGAGCTTTGTGAAGGATGGGCCTCCTTTTTCAATATCTGTGTTCCCAAATACGAAAATATTCCCAGATACACAACAGCTGAAATTACATATTAGAGTCCATAAATATTTGTTGAGCAAATGAATGAAACAAAACATTTAAATAGTGGAAGAGTGGCCATATTGTAAATGTAAATGTACTTCCTTGGTGGATGTCTCCACCCCAGACTTTTCCTTGGTTACAGAATTTTAGTTCTCCCAACCTTCACTTTGATGAACCTCCAAAATATATACATATATGTGTGTGTGTGTGTGCATATATGTGTATATATATGTGTGTATATATATACATATGTATGTATATATATGTGTGTGTATATATATATACACACATGTATTTATGTGTGTGTGTATGTATGTGTATATATATATATATATATATATACACACACACACATTTATACACACACACACACACATATATATATATCTCCAGGTTCTTCACATACCCTTGAACCTGAATCAAACATCCCTAAAGCAAGTATCTCACTCACGGTTCATTCCAATATAGTGGCCATTGATTAAATGATCTGAAATACTTTTTTTTTGTTGTTTGTTTGAGACAGAGTCTTACTCTGTCACCCAGGCCGGACTGCAGTGGGACAATCTTGGCTCACTGCAACCTCCGCCTACCAGGTTCAAAGGATTCTCCTGCCTCAGCTTCCCAAGTACCTGGGATTACAGGCACCCACCACCACGGCTAATTTTTGTAATTTTAGTAGAAA
The DNA here is from genome assembly GCF_000001405.40 of Homo sapiens. Classification (NCBI taxonomy): domain Eukaryota; kingdom Metazoa; phylum Chordata; class Mammalia; order Primates; family Hominidae; genus Homo; species Homo sapiens. The sequence continues at coordinate 57,278,138 of NC_000005.10, read as the reverse complement.
CGGGGTTTCACCATGATGGCCACGCTGGTCTCAAACTCCTGACTTCAAGTGATCTGCCTTTCTCGGCCTCCCAAAGTGCTGGAATTACAGGCATGAGCCACCGTGCCCAGCCTGAAAGACTTTTAACAGTTTGGAGAGTAAAAGGAACTCAATACATCTGCAGTATGTCATCCAATTTGCCAAATTCCTAATCATAATTTGGAAGAGCACCCACATTTTTCATATATCTCAGAGTTCCCTTTGAATATGGCCACCTTCACTCTTTTGATTACAAGTACATGCACCTATAAATTCACAAAGTAAGAAAAAAATGCATATATTTTGGAAGAGGCATAACAAGAAAAAAATAGTAAAACTAAATGAAAATAGAAAATACAAAAATATGCTTGACATTCCTAATACAAAATAAGTATCTGCTCTCAAAAGAAATGCAGATCCATAAGGAAGTAAAGTATGTAAAGACTTGAGTTAAAGGTTGGAGATAGCTTAAGAACCCTGCCAGGTATATAACTCATTTCTCTTATCTAAAAACTAACTAATAATGAGAAGCACTCAACATTTTATGGCAATGGGAAAGAAATGAAAGACTATGATAGATTGGTCAGCTCAATGAATCTAGTGAAAAATTATATAATGAATAGAATAATTTCAACCTGTATCAAAATAAAATAGGAGATGGAGATGGAATTCATCCAAATAATTTGTTTGACATGTGCAAGATAATTTGAATCAGAAGAAAAGTATTTTTAATACAAAATGGCAACCAAAATCCAAACTGGGCTCAAGGTTCTAAACTAACACATGCAGTATTTTTTCCTAAGTTACTTTGCGATATAATGCCACCTGAGGGCACCAAAGCATTAAAAATCTTTTTGTCATATTTTCTGCTGAAATAAAAAGTTCAAATTCTTTCAATGAACATTTATTAAGCAGTTATATGTTTTTTTGGTTTTGTAGAAACAAGGTCTTGCTATATTGCCCAGACTGGTCATGAACTCCTGACCTCAAGTAATCCTCCTGCCTCAGCTTCCCAAAAAGCTGGGATTAAAGGCATGAGACACCACACCCAGCCACTGTTATGGACAAGCATCTGTAATAAGGACACAGAGATAAATGAAACATAATCACTGGCCTTGGTCAGTGAGGTCAAGATGTGAAGGGGGTGGCCTTAGTGCTACAGAGGAGAATGTCATGGTTTGAGTTACTTATTGTCATCAGGTATAAGCACATCCAATCTCATTGACAGTGGTTCTCTGAGTAGGGCCCAGACTCCTAGGAGTCCCTGAGATCCTCTTGGGGTTGATTAAGGTAAAAAAAAAATTCATTATAATAGTAAAATGTTTTTGCTTTCATTTTTTTAATGCATGTAGAGTGGTATTTTCCAAAGGCTATATAACATGTGACAATGTGGTTGCTATGCTGATGATATGGTTTGGCTTTTTGTCCCCACCCAAATCTCATCTTAAATTGTAATCTTGTAATCCCCACGTATCATGGGAGGGACCTGGTGGGAGATAATTGAATCATGGGGGCAGCTCCCCCCTCCCCCGTGCTGTTCTTGTGACAGTGAGTAAGTTCTCATGAGAGCTGATGATTTTATAAGGGGCTTCCCCCTTTGCTGGGCACTGATTCTCCTGCTGCCCTGTGAAAAGATGCCTTCTGCCATGATTGTAAGTTTCCTGAGGCTTCCCCAGACATGCGGAACTGTGAGTCAATTAAACCTCTTTTATTTTTAAATTACCCGGTCGGGTATTTCTTCACAGCAGCATGAGAACAGACTAATACAGCTGACTAATGGAATGTATGCTTCTAAATTGTGTTTTTAAAGAAATCTCCAAGAGAGTAAGTTTAGGATATAAATTTGTGCACTTTCAGAGATTAATTTAGTTTGTTTTCTGTACTCCCATAGGGCTTTTACAAACTATCTTCAGGAATATCACTGTGATCTCTATAACCTTTTTGTCCAACAAATTGTTATTTTGAAACTCAGAAATTTTTCTGAGTTTCTGTAGAAATAACACTATTTAATACACGTTGATGTCTTATTTTGCAATATTTTAAAATTCTTAAAACTTTTCTAATTTTTTAATTTTTACCTAAAATATTTCAGTTTAATATTTTATACTAAAATTAGCAATCAGGCACAGTGGCTCATACCTGTAATCCCAGCACTTTGGGAGGCCAAGGCAGGCGGATCACTTGAGGTCAGGTGTTTGGGACTAGCCTGGCCAACATGATGAAACCTGTCTCTGTTAAAAATACAAAACTTAGCCGGGCATGGTGGTACGTACCTGTAGTCCCAGCTACTCAGGAGGCTAAGGCAGGAGAATCACTTGAACCTGGGAGGTGGAGGTTGCAGTGAGCCAAGATTGTGCCACTGCACTCCAGCCTGGGTGACAGAACAAGACTCCATCTCAAAAAAGAAAAAAATAAAAAGTTAAATTAGCAAAAATAGATTTTTATTTTTATTATAGTTAAGAAGATAAGTTGGCTAAAAATAAAGATTAGAAGAAGAGGCCAGACACAGTGGCTCACGCCTGTAATCCCAGCACTTTGGGAGACCGAGGTGGGTGGATCACCTGAGGTTGGGAGTTCAAGACCACACTGACCAACATGGAGAAACCCCATCTTTACTAAAAATACAAAATTGGGCGTGGTGGTGCAGGCCTGTAATCCCAGCTACTCAGGAGGCTGAGGCAGGACAATTGCTTGAACTCGGGAGGCAGAGTTTGCAATAAGCTGAGATCACACCATTGCACTCCAGCCTGGGCAACAAGAGCAAAACTCCATGTCAAAAAAAAGAAGAAGAAGAAGACTTGTTTTCTCAATCAACGGCTGCACCATCAATATCTAAAAATGTTCAAAGAATGAAATTGACACCACAGCGTTTTCTAACTCATGAAAAAAGGGAATTTACTTCAAATAAACTGGGCAAAACTATAAATAAACAAAAAGTATGAGGAAAGCTATTGTGATGGTTAATTTTAGATAACTTGTCAAATTAAAAATTTAGTTGCAAACATGAAGACTCAGTTAATAGCTTATCTGCAGAATTGTACTTGCTTTACAAATGGGCAAATCTACATATGTGGCTGAACTTGCTGTTTTACTTGTATTCATGTGATGTCAGCACCAAGCAATTATCAAAGAATATCTTCTTTTATGTAAATACTTGTCAACAAACATAAGTGATGCTGAAATAGTCAAAGCACTAAATAACCTTTTTGAATCACAGGGTGTTTTACTGAAACAATTGTGTCAAACATTTGCACTGATGGTGCACAGGAAGTGGATAAAACTGCTGGTGTCTTAACATGAATCAAAAGTATTCATGATGGCACCAAAGAATATTAGTAGTCATTGTATTTCTTAGCGCCCAGGTATTTAATAGTAAAGGGGAAAAATGCCAGCTTCACTTACAGATGTTCTGTATAAAACAGTAAAAATTATTACTTTTATTAAGTTTCAAATCTTGAGAACATCTTTTTCATATTCTGTGTGATGCAATGGGACATACACCTAAAGCTAAATATTCTAGGTCATATTACTCATATTTTGCTATTTAGAAAGCATGAAGCAAATAAATTACACTAGAACATCTAAGGGAGTAGTTTACATGACTTGTGACATTTTGATGAGTTGCAATAAAAAAATGACAATCTTAAAAGTATGAGTGAACATGGCCAGGCACAGTCTCTCACACCTGTAATCCCAGCACTTTGGGAGGCCGAGGTAGGCGGATCACCTGAGGCCAGGAGTTGGAGACCAGCCTGGCCAATGTGGTGAGACCCCATCCCTACTAAAAATACATACAAATTAGCTGGGTGTGGTGGCACACACCTGTAATCCCAGCTACTCAGGAGGCTGAAGCACGAGGATTGCTTGAACCCAGGAGGTGGAGGTTGCAGTGAGCTGAGATCATGCCACTGCACTCCAGCCTGGGCAACAGGCAAGACCCTGTCTCAAAAAAAAAAAAGTACGAGTCAACAAATTTCGTGTACTTAAAACTATAAAACCAAAATTTAAAAGGCCATTACAGTCATCTTGGTCAAGATTTTCCCAAATGCAAGATCCTCCACAATATGTAGGAAGATTGGTCACACATCTCCTGCTCAAACACCACTACTACTCATTCCCTTTTAAGAAAATCATTTTTTTAAAGAATTCTAGTAGAAAGATTATTTTTCCCTCAGTGAAGTGGAATCTGCATCCTTTCAACATGCTTGAATCAGCCCTCGTTGCATTCCTCTTCAATGCAACCCAGCCTGCTTTGAGAGATATGCAGAAAATGTAACTTCTCCCTATAACAACCTCCAAGTCAAAACTTCTTGATTTGATATAGTGGAAAGAACATTGCTATAGAACATTGCTATATTTAGAAGCAGAGCGTCTGAGAGGTGATTAGGTGACTAATCACTCTGAGAGGGATTAGTGCCTTTTTAATAAAGGAGACTTTGGAGTCTTCCCTCACCCTTCCATTATGTGAGCAAGTGAGTCTCCTTCAGAGGCTAAATCTGCTGGCGTCTTGATATTAGATTTTCCAGCCTCCAGAACTGTGAGAAATAAAGTTCTGTTGTTTATAAGACATAGATGTTACAGAATTTTTGTTATAGCAGACTGAATGGACTAAGACAAAGAATTGGGAAATTAGACCTCCTTCAAGTTACAGTGCACTCACACCTGCAAAGTGACTTTGAGCAAATTACTAACTTCCTTGAGTTTCCGTTTATGAAAATGGAGAATAATAATTCTTTCAACCACACCCCAGCAGTTGGTGCAAAGATCACTGGAGATTATGTTTAAAACTTCTTGGTAAACATAAAAATAGTGTTCATCCATGCAACATACATTTATTTAGAAAGACACCTTGCTAGATTTCTTTCCATGGAGCCATACAGAATTTTAAAAAGCTACTATTGCTGAGCATTGACTATGTGCCAATGTCTCATTCATGGTTTCACCCATGTTATAAAAAATTCTTTCCAACAATTTAATGGCATAGCTCAAACAGTATTCCATTTTATACCTAAGGAAATTGAAGCACATACAAGCCAGGTAACAACCCAAGTCACACAAAAACTACCTAGTTAGTTCCTCTTTTCCTAACAGCCCTTCAAATACTGGAAGACAGCTTTCCTACCTACTGACTACTTGCTTTATCTTTGGGGACCCCTGCACACACATTTGTCTTTTGCTCAGAAGAGCCTGGCCAGAGGCATGGCTCAGAATCCTGGAGTCAATTGGTCACTGGACCTTTTGAGACCCAAGGATGCCTCTGCTAATCAGGTTCAGCAAGACAAACATCTGTGAAGTAAATGCAACCCAGCCTGCATTGAGAAATATGCTAGGATAATGCAACCTCTCTTTATAACTACCTCCAAGTCAAAAAGAAAGGCTTGAAAATTTGTCAAAGTTAGCAACTGCGATTTCAGCAGAACATTTGTACACCAAATAGCTAAATCCCAAGGCTAAAAACCAGTGTTACTCTTTTTTTTTTTTTTTTTGATTTGGAGTCTCACCCTGTCACCCAGGCTGAAATGTAGTGGCACAATCTTAGCTCACTGCAACCTTCGCCTCCCAGGTTCAAGTGATTCTCCTGCCTCAGCCTCCCAAGTAGGTGGGACTACAGGCACCCGCCACCACATCCAGCTAATTTTTGTATTTTTAGTAGAGACAGAGTTTCACTCTGTTGGCCAGGCTGGTCTCAAACTGCTGACCTCAGGTGATCCACCCGCCTCGACTTCCCAAAGTCCCGGGATTACAGGTGTGAGCCACCACACCCAGCCTCAGTGTTAGAGTGTTTATTTCTCACTAATGTCACATCGCAATAAACAAAAGTGATTTTTATTTTTTCACACACTAAAACTGGATCATCCAAACGACTATTGGATGACTACCTTCATAGTAGTCACTTTGATGGGCTCTGCATTTATTTAATAACACTCATCATAGTACCAGGCACACAGAAGGCATTCAGTCAATGTAGGAATGGTTCTGGTAATGCTGCCATTGCTTAGAGCATTTTTGGAATTATTCTTCTGATCTGTCTTCTGAAGTCAAAACATATTTTAAGTATCTTGTCTGTTGTTTTTTTAGTTTATTATTTTTTCTTGTTATATCTTAAATATCTTTAATAGTAGCAGTTCTTGGCCTTAGAGGACATGGCTTAGCAAATTGTAAAATTAATTATTTCTCCCATTGTGAAACAAACCACAGAAAACTACATTAAACATATAAATTCATTGCATTTTTAGAAATGGCAAAAGCACCTATTCAAAAAGAAGTATTTTGTTTTTCTGGACACAAATTTTCAGGTACTGAGAATGTGCCTAGCTATACAGAAAATCCAAGGCTTGTCTTCCCTGGACTTAGTTATATATGGAAACAGATGTAGATAAAATAGAGGATGTTTCTTGAGGCAGGACCACACTTTTTACATCTTTGGGTCTCTTCATCCACCAGCACTACATTTTGTTTATAGTAATTGCTCAATAATTACTCAATTAATTTTCAGTATAAATTACTTTGGACAGGGAATAGAGAATAGGCTTATTAAAAGAGATAGAAATTACTTATTAGAACCTCATCTTTATTTGTGAGGTCTAAAATTATGTGACAGCGTATTACTCAGGGACTGCCGTAGGCAATTTCTCTACTTCAGGTCAGATCCTTGTTCAACCTTTCCCCCATCCCAACATGCCAGGAAGTTTGCCTCTTTCATTACTAACATATACTCCTCTAGATGACTTGTCACTTAAAGTGACACCTGAAGTATTCACAAGTTTTCCCTCCTCCCTTACCCTGCAGTTTTAAGCAATCATATATATGGATCTTAGTGTTACTTAAGGACTGATATTCCAGTTTTAACATCTTTGATGGCTCCCCACTGCTTGCAGGATAAAATCAAAATTTGGTCAAAATGGTAGAGGGTCCTTCATGACCTGGCTCCTGCTGTGTCACCAGCCTCATTTCCCTTTCCTCCCCTTACACCTATACTGAACTCCAAAAGGTTTCCTGAACCCAATGGGCTATAGCGTGCCTATTGTTAATCAATCATTGAAACGATGACATCCTCTGGAAAGCTTTCCCTGAGCTGTCCTACTATGCTCTATGCTCTGTACACAGCACATACTGAAAAACTCATTTGCAGTAGTCTGTCCTACAAGGTTGTGATCAATTTCAGCACAAGGGTTATCTTTATTCTTTGTACCCTCAGTACAAGGCCTAGCCTAGCAGGCCCTTATTTACTGACTTTGTTGCTTTAATTTGGTAAAAGGAGAAAGATTCATACAATCTAAAGAGAAGGCAGAATATTGTTTTAATCTAGAAAGTTGCAGTTACAGAAATATTTGCTACCAAAGAAATCATTGATCACATTTTAATGTAACTAGTGAAGGCCTTCTCTATTTACTCATCATCATGGATCAGATCCCTTCTCATGGAGGTTGGACTGACTGGGCTATTTGAACTTTGTTTAGCCCTGCCTCTAGCTAGGTCTAGGAGGGTTCTCAGTGCTTCCTGCAGCAACTTGTTCTTTATTCTTTTCTATGGATTTAGATATCATGTGGTACCTCTGGAGTGGTTTCACTGGCTGAGGACAATTTCCTAATTCCTAGATTTCAGGTCCAGTACGCTGACTTCACATCTTTGCCCCATCACAGAAATCTTTCCTTCATCCCCACCCTAGAATTTGAGTATTGCCCTCTGTGCCTAGTTGTTAGTCTGAAGCATGTGTTACTGATAAGATACTAACTTCATCACCTATGGCTTTCTATCTGCGCTATTATGTCTCACCAGCATCTACTCAACTTTAGTACAAACCCCAAAATTATGGCAACCTGATGCCTTATCACGGCAACTTCAATACCAAACCTTGACCTCTTGTTTCAAAGCTCTTATCCTGTTTTATTATTTCCTGTTGCTGATAAAGTGATGCCTCTAGTTCTCAATTCATGTTCATAACAAAGTGATGAAATGCTCTTCGCCAACGTCTCCACTTTGGAGAAAAATAAGCTATAATTTCCACCAAAGGCAGGCAAGGGTCTTCTGTTAAAATAAATGGTCCTTATTGTTGTTGGCACAATCCAATCGAGGAAAAAAGACAGTTTTTATCCTCATAAATACTCAAAGCAGAGAATGCTGGCAGAGTGACAGAAGAAATTACCTCACTTTTGGAGGAGAAAGGGAAGCAGGTCTATCCTTTGAAAACTATCTCCATGTTTCACAAGTTTTCCCACTTTCTCTGTAAAAGTCTCTATATTGCACTGATAAATTTGTACTTCTTTCCTTGTGATTTAGGACACACTATATTTTATCCTGTGTGGACACATTACAATCATGTTTTACAAACGGGAAACAATTGTCTTAAAAGTTAAGCTTCCTTACATTCAGAATGTCTGTATTAAAAGAAAAAAAAAAGTTAGGCTTTCAAATATTGCCCCAGAACTGGGCAGGACAGGGGGAAGCATTTTGCAAGACTGAAAAATCACACAGGTAATGGTATAAAGATCAAATATGACAACCCAACTTTCACTTTCCTTGAGTTTCCAAAGGCCTAGTTTTTAATGTTTATAATGAGGATCAGCAAACTACTGTCCCTACCCAGCTTGTTTTATTGGAAAAGACACACCTACCTGTTTACTGTCTGCGGCTGCATTGGTACTATTAATTGAGTAATTGGAACAAAAATCACATGGTCCAAAATATTTACCATCTAGCCCTTTACAGAAAAAGTTTGCCAACATTCGGTTTAGAAAATAATCTTCAAAAAAGAAATTTCAGACATCTTAATAGATGGCATGAGTCTCTATGTCTCTATGTGGGGATACAGAATTGCCTAGACTCACTTTCTCAGTAGCCAGGTTCTTCTCATTCTGTCAAATGACTCACTCTAATAGTCAATAAACCAAAATAACTTTTCAAAAGCTAAACAATGTCAGGACATTAAGTCCAAATTTGAGGGAGAAAATATCTCTTCACCTCACCAAGTCAACTTCTCGTAACGCAACTGTACCTGCTTATTACAGTATACAGATTGACATTTCATTGTTTTCCCTTCTGCTAGTTTTTGCTTCTCTCCAGCCATTAAAGAAAATCACATTAGGGTCGGGCGGAGTAGCTCACGTCTGTAATCTTAGCATTTTGGGAGGCTGAGGTGGACAGATCACTTGAGGCCAGGAGTTCGAGACCAGCCTGGCCAACATGGCAATACCCCCATTTCTATTAAAAATACAAAAATTAGCCAGGTGTGGTGGCACATGCCTGTAATCCCAGCTACTCGGGAGGCTGAGGAGTAAGAATCACCTGAACCCGGGAGGCGGAGATTGCAGTGAGCCACGTTCATGCCACTGTGCTCCATCCTGAGCAACAGAGTGAAACTGTCTCAAAAAAAAAAAAAAATTCAAATGGCATTAAGGCTACAACAAAATTATATTCCCTAGTGAGGAAAGGTACATTCTGGCATCTAAGTAAAAATTACATACATAATAATACACAAAAGCTGACACAAACATACAATCTCATTTTCTCAAGATATTAATGTCTACCAGACAACTAGTTTTAGCATATCAAGTGCCCAATTTTAAAAAGGTTAAGTAACTGAAGTAAGGCAAAAGAGTTATATACTCTTGCCAGACACGGTGGCTCATGCCTGTAATCCCAGCATTTTTGGATGCTGAGACAGGAGAATTGCTTGAGCCCAGGACCGTTTGAGACCAGCCTGGGCAATGTAGCAAGACCCTGTCTCTTTAATAAAATTAAAAAGTGAGGGGAAAAAGTTATATACTGTTGTCACAATTCTCCAGCCCATTATCTTTGTTCACCTTTAGCATTCCAGAAAATGAGGGAAAACCTTGAGAGAAATGGAGTATGAGTATCAAGTTAAACTCTTGCCTAATAATGTGCTTAACTACCTTATTTCCACAAAAAGCATAAAGTGATGAGACTAGCAAAGGCAATTCTATTTTGAAAGATTTGAAAGCATGGAAACCCATTCTTGCAATTAGTTCACAGGACTATAATTTACCATTAAAGTTCAATGATTACATTTCAGATCTCTGATAAAACTCATTTTAACAGCTGAATAAAATCAAGCTTAGGTCATAACTGAGCGTAATGCCAAACAAAGCAGACGTAAAACAGTTGTAATTTACTGTGAGAACTCAAACAGATGTTTCACACTATTTACAACCACTTAGAATAGTACCTATTTAACAACAGCTAATTTTTTAAAAATAGGTACTGCCTGCTACTGGGAAAGGTCCAGTTGAATTGTCACTAGTAGCAAATTAGCTAAATTTATGGAACACCTACTGTGAACCAGGATTTACACCAGGTGCTTTTCATTATTGTTTTCATCCTCACAATAACACTATCGAATAGATATTAAGTTGCCTATCTGGATTAAAGTCACAGCTAAAGCTGTGCGCAGCAGCTCACGCCTGTAATCCCAGCACTTTGGGAGGCCAAGGTGGGCGGATCACGTGAGGCCAAGTTTGAGACCAACCTGGCCAACATGGCAAAACCCTGTCTCTACTAAAAGTACAAAACTTAGCTGGGCATGGTGGTCACTCCTATAATCCCAACTACTTGAAAGGCTGAAGCATGAGAATTGCTTGAACCTACAAAGCAGAAGTTGCATTGAGGAGACATCATGCCACTGCACTCTAGCCTGGGTGACAGAGCAAAACTCTGTCTTCAAAAAATAAAAAATAAAAAAAGGCACAAATAAAAAGGGGGAAAAAAAATGTAGTTTCAAACCCAGGTGTGACTACTTCCACCATACTGTATGTTAATACATTATAACTGGTTGCTGGACGCGGTGTCTCATGCCTGTAAATCCCAGCACTATGGGAGGCATAGGCAGGAGGATCACTTGAGGTCAGGAGTTCGAGACCAACCTGTCCAACGTGGCGAAATTCCATCTCTAAAAATATGAAATTTAGCCGGGCATGGTGGTGCGCACCTGTAACCCCAGCTACTTGGGAGGCTGAGACATGAGAATCACTCAAACCCAGGAGACAGAGGTTGCACTGAGCCAAGATCACGCCACTTACACTCCAACCTGGGTGACAGAGTAAGGCTCTGTCTCAAAAAATAAAAAAAAAGAATGGGTTTTGGGGGCAGGATTTTTAAATATTCTAAAGCCCAGGCCACGCCCCAGTCTAATTAAACCACAATCTGGGGTGTTGGTGGGGGATGGTGGACACATTGGGGAAGCTCCCCAATGATACCAATGGTGTAGATAAGTTTGGGCCCCACCACTACACATGCTCTTACATATTGCAAGTTAGGACACTGCTGCATGGAACATGCTTCAGCAGTGTCCTTCAACCAGACCTAATGATATAATACATTGTACCTTCAATCACTATGCCAGAGTAGTTCTACAAAACGAATCCATATGGGTAGGCAGAATGAACTTAAAGTTAACTGTACAACTGAACAAAAATTCACAATTACAAAACCTCTTAATTACAACACATTCTCAAGTCCTAAACTACGAATGTTTCAGGTCCACGTGTCCCATAACTATATATATATAGTTTTATATATATATAGTCTTATATATAGTTTTACATAGTTTTATAGTTTTTATATAGTTATATATGTAGTTATATAGTTATATATATATAGTTATACAGTTATATATATCAAGAGTCTCGCTGTCACCCAGGCTGGAGTGCAGTGGTACAATCATGGCTTATGGCCTCCGCCTCCCAGGTTCAAGCAATTCTCCTGTCTCAGCCTCCCAAGTAGCTGGGATCAGAGGCATGCACCACCACACCCAGCTAATTTTTGTATTTTTAGTACAGACTGGGTCAGATGGGGTTTCACCATGTTGGCCAGGGTGGTCTTGAACTCCTGACCTCAGGTGATCCTCCCGCCTCAGCCTCCCAAAGTGCTGGGATTACAGGCGTGAGCCACCATGCCCAGCCCCATAGTTAAATATTAAAACAATCACAGCTGTCCTCTGAGTCCCATCGTTTTAAGTGCAAGCATTCAGCCCTGCCTAAAGAAAGGAAATATTAAGTAGCAAAACAAAAACCAGAATCTGAAGCATCTCTGCGGCATCTGGAGGCTTTCACGGATTTTTCTATTGCTTGATATGTCCTGTCGTTCCCCTAACAGCCAAATAACTTTTATAACCTCAGGAAACTTAACTATCTAAAAGTTAAAATATCCAACTCTTAGTGATAATCATTTAAAAGCCCTAGTAACACATCCCTTATTGTGTAAGCCAAAATAAAAATCTCACTTTATAGAAATATTTCACAAGTGTGTATCCTTTCTACCCTAGTTATCATTTTTTTTTTATTTTGAGACGTAGTCTCACTCTGTTGCCCAGGCTGGAGCACAATGGCACGATCTCAACTCACTGCAACCTCCGACTCCTGGGTTCAAGCGATTCTCCTGCCTCAATATCCTATGAGTAGCTGGAATTACAGGTGTATGCCCCCACGCCCGGCTAATTTTTGTATTTTTTTTTTTTTAAGTAGAGACAGGGTTTCACCACGTTGGCCCAGGCTGGTCTCTAACTCCTGACCTCAGGTGATCTGCTGACCTTGGCCTCCCAAAGTCCTGGGATTACAGGTATGAGCTACCGCACCCAGTCTACCCTCATCATCTAGATTCAACTTAGTTTGCATGATTATGGAGCATGTATTTAGACTCCAGTATCAGATTAGGGATGATGACGGATGGGGTGTTAAAACAAGTTATTTAACAGATTCCTAAATTTAAAAGGTTTATATAACCACATTCTAACAGTATACATAAACACTAGCAAAAAAGGACAAAGTATTTTGGGGGAACCAGATCCTTTAACATACTGAATTCTGTTAATATAAATCTGATTAAGTCAAGCTGATTTTAGATTAACAATTTCAATAGAAATTATCTGCAGAAATATTCTAATCCTTATACTAAAATCAAGCAAATAGTTTTTGAAATGCTATTTTAAGTCATTACCTTAAGAATTTTGCTCATTAATTACATTTTATACCAAAATAAAATGAGAGGGGGGTGGAGAATTAGTGACAGGGACTTAAAAGGAACCAAGAAATTCGGGGGAATAATAGATTATGTTCACTTAGTTGTAGGTCAAAACACTGTAAACTGTATGTTTTACCTGTGTGTTCAAGTCAATTTATACCTCAATAAAGTGTTAAAAATAAAAAAGCTGCCAAAAAAATGAGTTTGAAACAGCCATATTTGCTTTTCAGACTTCCATGGCCTAGTTCTGAGTTCAGCAATTCCACATTAGATCTATAACTAGTTTCTGTGCTTGTAGGCTCTCTTTAAAACAATATGGTCCAAGCTGTTTTATCAGCTGCCCATTATTTAGACACCAAGCTAAAACTATGTTACACTTTTAACTGTTCTCTTAAATTACATGTATGGCTCCAACCCCTCATAACCAAGCTTATTAATGTCATTAACTTAATGCATAGAATAACCATACCACTGTACTTTACCATATTTATAAGGAGTAAATTACTAAACACATTCCATATCACAATGCATGAAAGCACAATAAACATGAGTTAACTGCTGGTAAATGGGAATTAAGGCAGAAAAAACTGAGTATAAGAAAGATGCCAAAAACCAAAACTACAGAATCTTTTCTGAAAGTAGAAAACACAGTAAGGTGGATCTCAAATGTAAACCACATTCCTCAGGTTCCTTCTAGCTTGTTTTTGGAAATACAGGTTGTATCTGATAAATTTCATTAATCTATTAAGCAAATAGTACAATCTAAGAGTCTCAAAGACATTCAATATGTGTTACCGATAGCTTCGTCAAAGCATGCTTTACATTCTCCTGTGGCTAATTCTAACTACATTTAACTTTAGCTGATTAGATTGAATTGTGACAAATTATATAGTGAAACCTTATTTTAAGTATAAGGTCTATTTAATATTTTATTACCATTCTAACTCTTCCTCAAGTTTTGTGGGAGTGTGCTAGTGTGTTGTTTTTAATTTCCCCATCACCATCAGTCTCAGTGGGAACAACAACAAAAAAAAATAACAGTTTCTGGTGAAAACTGGGGAGTCCAGGTAGGGTATTTATGCAGAAATAGCAAAAACACTGCAGCCATCTGAGAAAACACTTTTTAAAAAACAACAAACACTTAAGATTAGATCTGACATAAAACCTCAAGTATTTTTGCTCTAAGATTATGCTCTTTACATAAGTTAGAATATATTTAAACATAAGGGGGAGCTAAAAGCAAATGGGGGTAAACAAACCAGAAAAATCAAAATACAAATATACACAGAGCCAAAATAGTATTTCCGTCAGCAGCAAAACAGAAACAATTCCAAAATTAATGTGCAAATGAAAATAAAGTAGTTAACAGTCATTCATTTAATAAGCTTGTGTATTTGATAATGAAAACGCTTAGCTTTCCTTTTCTGACCTCGGAAAAGTAATCACCATCTTTAGTAAGGTATTACTTTTAAAAGTATGACTTTAACAAGTGAATAAAGCATGTTTAGAGTATGTTTATGTTTAGAAACAATACCTTGAACACTACAGAAAACAACAATATTCTGAAAATCCAGTTTATTTTCCATGTCGTGGACAGATCCAGTCAGTGTGATCAGTTTTTCTGCGTGTGTAATAATTTATCAAAATAAGTTTTCTCACAAGACTCTTTTCCATCAACTCTGAAAACCCTGGTCTGACAACATACCCCAATAAAGCTTTTGAAAATCACCTCTTAAAATTTGGAAGAAAATGTGCCAAGTCTTTTCCTGTAACATTTACTGCACTACAAATGGCTAAAGAGCAATTTATGGTTTAAAAGGTGAATAGTACAACAGGTGAGTTCAGGAAATTGTTTTAGTGCACTTTGCTCCAGTTTTAGCCAACATGCTACATTTTCCTTTTTGGTTTTTGTTTTGTTGTTGTTGTTTTTTGGGGGAAGGAGAGGGAGACCGCACAAAGTGGACTTGAGGATTTCCATTGTACGAAAAAGATATGACTCTGCAAGCAAAACAGTGTAAGCTGCCTTTTTTCTTAAGACCTGGACATTTTAAGACAGAAGCTTTGCAAAACATTACACAATTTTTTATTATTAAATGAGAAAATCTCATTTGTTACATCGTCACATTGCTAGTCAGAGAAATGTTGCAGTGATGAAGAAAGTCAATGTTGGACCAACCCAAGTCCTCATTCCTACAACATTCATTTACAAAGAAATAATGTTCAACACAGCCCAACAAAACATTCTTGGTTTTCTTCATATTGAAGTCCCCCAAAAAATCCTCTTCTAATGGGGTATTTCACTACATAAATTATAGTTCTTCATTTTTACAATTCACCCCAAACTGTATGAGAGATGTATCACACTAAGATTTCTAAAGCTGTTAGGAAATCCTTCACACATCGTCGTCATCTGATGTATCACTGCTACTTGTCTCTGTGTCATCATTCTCAGTTGTGGGTTTGAAAGTGCTGTTCTTCCACGGTCCAAACTTGAAGTCACAGATCAAGCCATTTTTCAAAATACCATTTTTTCTCAGACCATTCTTCTGTAACTAAAATGTTAACAGCAAAATAAATAAATTATCCCTCAAGAGTTACAAACCTACTGTAATAATATAAGCATGAATATAATAAAATTGTATCCTAACCCAAAAACTACACAAGTAATGATATTTCTGAAAAAATTCTGGATCCAGACAAAGTAGATGTGAGTAATAATTGTCACACTGATTAAGGTACTAAACTTTCCCACATTTTTATTGCCTCAAGTGACAACTGTAATAAATACCTTCAGGGACTTACCAGAATATAATCAGAAACCATTAAGCTGTATCTGTTATTTTTATTATTCTGACCTAAATTAATACACCCCCCAATCTGCTTTGTTCATAGTTTGTAAAGTAGAATGAGGTATATAAAGTTACAAAATTGTCTCGTTTAACCGGAGATGAAGATACTAGAAAAAATACAGTTCTCTATTTCTGAAAATGAGAAATCATAACTAAAAGGTTGGTAATAAATAAGAATTGAGTCAAAACATCATCAAAGAAGAAAAAAGATAGTTGGCCCAAATTAGAAACAATTTAAAGACAGAAAATAAGCCCAGTGTAGTGGCACAAGCCAGTAGCCCCAGCTGCTCAGGAAGCTGAGGCAAGAGTATTGCTTGAGCCCAGAAATTTGGGGATGCAGTGAGCTATGACCAGCCACTGCACTCCAGCCTAGATGACAGAGTGAGACCCCAACTCTTTAAATAAACAAATAATCGATTTGAAAAAAAGCATCTCAACTTCCTGATGCTCTAACAAAAATTCCCTAATACTCTTTCAGAAAGGTAACTAGGGAGACATTAAGCAAGATGTTTTAGAATATGAAATACTCTTGTGCAAGAAAAGGATAAAAGATGAAGTTACTTAGGAAGCTACTAACACTCTCTACTTCTTATCACTCTTGCTCCTCCCCCAGAAAAGCCAAAAACAAAAACAAAAAACAAAACAAAAAAGGTCTGGAAAATGACTAATCCATAGACATCACTTACACTAATTCCTAACTATTGCACACCCAATAGTTTAAATAAGTCACTATTGCAGACTTCTATAAAGTCAATTCAACCAGGTGCAGTGGTTCCTGCCTGTAGTCCCAGTTACTCCAGAGGCTAAGGTTGGAGGATCACCTGGCACCCAGGAGTTCTAGAGGCCAGCTGGACACCATAGCAAAAGCCTGTCCTCCCTCTTTTTTTTTTTAAAAGCAATTCTGACCTATCGTGATAAATTCCTAAATCTCCCCCACTCCATGCTTACATATAATTATATTGTTCTAAATAAGGGCAGTTTAAAAGTGAAGTTGTATGATTCAGGTTTTCTTACCTGTTCACTAATAACTTGGAATTCTCTCATTTCATCCTCAGTTAAGGGAGCACATGTTTCATCATTTTCACTGTCTTCCTGCCAGCCCATTTCCTTTAACAATCTGAAAAGGAGAGGAAATTAAGTTTAATGTAAAGCTTACCCTGAGTAGGACAGTATCATTTACATTATGTATAAGAAAACATGATCCACCAGGATCCATTATACAAAGACCCCAAGACACATCAAAAGGATTTTTGAGCTCAGGCTTTGAGTATCTTTCTGAAAATGAATAAACAGGTAAGATTAATAAACTGATATTAAAATTAGAATGAACTCCTTGACTGCTTAATCCTTGGTGTCAAAGGCTCTTCAGGCTGGAAACTTTTAACAGATGTGAAGCAAATCTGCTAAATTCTTATACTAAAAGTAACAGCAATATCACTCCTCTTTTTCTTCAGTACCACCATATTTCTGACTACTCATTAGGTTTTCTACTTGGGCAGTCATGAACACTGCATCAATAGCTACTTCATTTGATCAGGAAACCTCCAAGCTTGTTTCTTATATGGCCACATATCTTGTATTGATATGAAAGGGTTTGTTTTTAAAAAATGAAACCCCTAAGTACTTCTGTTACTCCTACAAGGAGTCTTCAAAAAGTTCATAAAAAATGTGTATCATGGAAAAACTATGCAAGAATTTCAAGAAAAAAATTCTGCACCAAAATAAACTTGTGCTAACTTGTGATAACATGTTTCAACAGAATCTTGTTTAAGGCACCACAAAGGTAAGACATCAGTTTGCGAAAAGCCCCTATCAGATCAACATGAATTCTGCTAAAATCGAAGCAAGAACAAATACCAAATTTATGGTGAAACTTGGGTGGAAGAATAATGAAATCACTGATGCTTTACGAAAAGTTTATGGGGACAATACCCCAAGGAAACAAGAAATTTCAAATAGATAACTCATTTTAAGAAAAGATGAGGTGATTCTGAAGATGAAGCCCTCACAGAAGCAGCAGCAGATCATCCCCATCAATTGACAAGGAAAAAATTAATCTTGTTAGTGCCCTAACTGAAGAGGACTGACGATTAACAACAGAAATAGCCAATACCACAGACAAGACATCTCACTTGGTTCAGCTTACATGATTCTGAATGAAAAATTAAAGTTGAATAATTTCCACTCAATGTGTGCCCACATCATCTGCAGACAAAAATAGAGCTTTCAATGGAAAGTTTAAACAAGTGGGATCAAGATTCTGAAGCATTTCTTCAAAGAACTGCACATGGCTTTACCAGTATGATCCAGAAGACAAATCACAATCAAAGCACTAGCTACCAAGAAGTGGAAGGGATCCACTCAAAGCAAAAGAGGACCAGTCAAGAGCAAAGGTCATGGCAACAGTTGTTTGGAAGGGATAAAGAACAGTAACATCTGCTTATTATGAGAGTGTTTTGAGAAGGAAAGCTAAAGCTTTAGCAGAAAAATGCCTGGGAAAGCTTTAGCAGAAAAATGCCTGGGAAAGCTTCACCAGAGAGTCCTTAACCACAATACTCCTGCTCATTCCTCTCATCAAACAAGGGCACCTTTGCAAAGTTTCAATGGGAAATCATTAGGCATCCACCTTTCAGTCCTGATTTGGCTCCTTCTGACTTCATTTCCTAATCTTAAATTTTAGAGGGGGCCCATTTTTCTTCAGTTAATGTAAAAAAGACAGCACTGACACGGTTAAACTGCCAGGGCCCTCAGTTCTTCAGGGATGGTCTAAATGACTGCTATCATTGCTTACAAAAGGGTCTTGAACTTGATGGAGTTATGTTGAAAAACAGAGTTAATAGTTTTTATCATTTAATTACATTGTTCCACAAACGTTTAAGTCCCCTCTTATTTACACCTACTCATCTTTTAACTTGCACCTGCTACACAATAGCTGCTTATAGACTTTTAGACCTTTTTTCAGAGTCTCACAGAATATCTGAGACCTTGAATAAAACATAACATGATATCCACATTTTACACATGAACAATCAAGATCATATAAGTAAAATAACTTGCTTACTTGATGGCAAAGACAAATAGAATTTTGGTTTTCTGTCTCCCAAATTAGTATGTATTGCACAGCACCTTGTTGCTTCTGAACAAAAATGTCACAGTCAGCATTAATCATTTCTTCTTTCATTCCTTTTAGCCACGACTTCTTCCAATGCACTATCTTTACTCTTTAATCTGGATGGCCTCCTTTTGGAATAGCATTTCCATTCACTTTTACCATTCAATGACACCTAATACAGAGACTATTAAATCTAGACTAGCAAAACAATCTAACTGCTCTTTTGCTGGATCCAAACTTTTATCTGTTTTACTTTTAAAAACTGAATCGTAACTAAGCAATAATGCAGATGGAAAAAATTATCAACTATTATGAAAGAGAATATAACAGAAGGCAAGTATTTCTACTTCTCCACCAGAGGCTGTAGCTTTTAACTGTTCCTGAAATAGCTTTCAAAATAATCTAGCCGAGCATGGTGGCTCATGCCTGTAATTCCAGCACTTTGAGAGACCGAGGTGGGAGGATCACTTGAGCCCAGGAGTTAAGACCAGCCTGGGCAACAAAGTGAGACTCCATTTCTACAAAAAGAAAAATAAGAAAAAATAAAAACAATCTGTGTTTCCCTTTCCCCCCTAAACATACAAACATGTGCCACGTAACTATATTTTGGTCAGACAACCGCACATATGATGCATAATCCCATGAGACTGTAATACCATTTTCTTACTGTACCTTTGTATATGTTTAGATATGCTTAGATATACAAATACATACCACTGTATTATGATTACAAATACTATACAATATTCAGTACAGTAACATGCTATACAGGTTTGTAGCCTAGAAATAACAGTCTATACCATATAGCCTAGGTAGGTAGTGGGCTATACTATCTAGTTTGTGTAAGTACACTCTATGAGTTTCACGCCATGACAAAATCACCTAACGACACGTTTCTCAGAATATATCCCTGTCATTAAGCAATGCATGACTGACTATATTACTGTAACCCTTATCTGTACTTTGCTTTTTCATTTCAATTATTCCTTCCCACTCTCCTTCAAACTATTGCCAAATCATCCTGATACCAGTTTCACAACTACCATCCTCTGATAAATATTTTCGGTGGCTTCTCACTTTCTAAAGAACAAACTCCTTAACTGTGTTTGTGCCATGGTCACAAATTCAAATTCCTCAGTAGAGAAAATCTAGGATTAGAAGTTAGAAGACCTGGGTCACAGTTCCTACTCTATCACAAACCAAGTATAAGACATCTCTAAAGTCCTGCCTTTTCAATATGATCTTTAACTTCAGTGAGTAAATTGCCTGCTTGTGTCAAAATATCCCACTCAACACCCTTAAAACAAACTAGGTATATACACCATTCTAACCATGTCTTTACATCCTTTCTTTTTCTAGCACGCTTGCCCTTATTTACGTCTAACCCTTTCAAGATTTAATTTAGGTCCCAATTAAATCTTTCTGACTAGGGCCAGGTGTGATGGTTCATGCCTGTAATCCCAGCAATTCAAGAGGCCAGGGCATGAGGATTACTTGAGGCTAGGAGTTCAAGACCAGCCTGAGATACAGTGAGACCATGTCTCTAAAAAATAAATATTTATACAATTAACTATTTTAAAAGGAAAGAAAGAAAGAAACCTCTGACTGGTACCCAAGTCATAATGATCTCTATCCCCAAACCCTCTGAATTTCTTTAGCATTTACTTCCACTAATTTGGTGTCTGCTTAAACAAGTTGACAACTGTATCCCTTTGATGTTGAGGCTACCTCGATACCCTGATAAAGTGGCTAAAACTTGACAATAAAACTAAGAATGATCTATGTGCCTTAGTATTGAATATTTCATATTTTAATATTTGAAAAGCATTATCCTTAAAAAACCTATCACTGGCCAGGCGCAGTGGCTCACGCCTGTAATCCCAGCACTTTGGGAGGCCAAGGCGGTGGATCACCTGAGGTCAGGAGTTCGAGACCAGCCTGGCCAACATGGTGAAACCTCGTCTCTATTAAAAATACAAAAAATTAGCCAGGTGTTGTGGCGGGTGCCTGTAATCCCAGCTATTCCGGGAGGCCGAGGCAGGAGAATCACTTGAACCCGGGAGGTGGAGGTTGCAGTGAGCAGAGGTCACACCACGGTACTCCAGCCTGTGTGACAAGAGTGAAACTCCATCTCAAAAAAAAAACAAAAACAAAAACTATCACTGCCCCATATTATTGAATTCAACTAATATGAGTATTTATATGTATATAACTTAAGAAGTCACAAAGTTTACAGAAAATATGAAGCAATGGAAAAGAAGTAACATTCCATTTTGACAGGGAAAAAAACCCCTAAAATCTAAAAGCCATTAACTCTCTTAGCTTAAGAGTGGGGAAAAAGGTATTGATATACGTCTTTGAAACATTTACAAACACATATTCTACTTAAACAGTCAAGGAAACTCAAACTAAGAAATTTAAATAAAAACAGTTTCATATCAACTAGCCCCTTTACTTGTCTTAGGATCTTTTTCAGCAAGTGCAACATTTCTATAAAACTATCCCTCTATTCCAACTAGCGGCTACCAAATCTGAAATCTTGAATCCACAATTTTATTCTATTCTTGGCAAATAACAAAATGTTCTTATTGTTTGCCCCCTTCATCTTCATGTCCACACTAGATAATGGTATTCGTATGCATAACTCTCTCTTTTTATAGTTTAAACTATATGGTTTAAGGGAAAAAAACTTGGTTAAAACTTTTAAAGTAACCTAAATATAAAAGAAAAGTATCCACTGTTTTAAAAAGACGAAAACAATGTAATCTATAAAGTCTCAAAAAAAATTAAAACATATATACTAAAATAATCATTCAAGTAGGTCATCACTGATACTATCTCTTCATGCAGTATGGGGTGTTTTTTTTTCCCCCTCCCTCTAGAGCTTACTCCAATTTAGGATGTTTTTGTCTTTTATTTTTTATTTTTTGAGAATGGAGTCTTGCTCTGCCGTCCAGGCTAGAGTTCAGTGGTGCGATCTCAGCTCACTGCCACCTCACCTCCTAGGTTCCAGAGATTCTTGTGCTTCAGCCTCCTCAGTAGTTGAGAATACAGGAACACGCCACCACGCCTAGCTAATTTTTGTATTTTTAGTAGAGATGGGGTTTCACCATGTTGGCCAGGCTGGTCTCAAACTCCTGGCCTAAGTGACCCACCTGCCTCAGCCTCCCAAAGTGCTGGGATTATAGGCGTGAGTCATTGTCCCCAGCCGGATGTTTTCATCTTGATTTGCCTTAGTTTCTAAATCTCATCCTCTCCATTTTCTCCTGTTAGTAGTCACAGAGAACCAAATTCTGTCAAGTTATGAAACTAAAGTCTCTCTTCCACAAGTCTTCCTAAATGAAAGAAGAACCATCAAAATGCTTCCTGCACTAAACATCTGCTCTGCAGATTAAAAAAATATAATTAAACATTAGATATGTCTATTAGGGGTTATAAGAAACATTTTCTAAAGGTATGGGCCAACTGTTTTTTTGCTACTAAGTACTGAAGGGAAATCAGAAGACAAGATATTAGGTGACAACTTTCTCACTATGGCCTTAATGAATAGATTCTAGGAGTTAAAAAAATCTTTTATCTGTATTCTTTTACTGCCTATGCTCTATCTCCTTAAGAGGTAACATTCATCTTTTACTATCATTAGAATATCTGATATGTTTGTGTTTTATTCTCCTTTCTACACACAGGCCTTTTCCCTTTCTACCAATTGTGTGACTAGAAATATTTCAATGATCATTGGTGAGAGTGCAAATTATCAGAATGTTTTTGGGTAACATGGCAGTAGCTGATTATTTTAAATATGTATGCCATCTGACCAATCAAATTCACTCCTAGTAATCTGTTACCTACACATTTACACAAATATTCAAGAATATAAATACAAGGATGCTGATAACAGCATTATTTGGAATAAGAGGGGGAAGAGGAAAGGAAAGAGAGGAAGAGGGGAGGAGAGGAAAGGGGAGAGAAAGGGAAAGAGAAGGGGAGAGAAGAGAGAGAGGACGTGAACACACATAAATCTTGATCACAGGAAAACAGTTTCACAATTTATATCCATACTATAGAATAGTGGCTTCAAATGGCAGAGGGGGAAAAACAAGGTGATTCATTAGAATGATCAAAAAAATTCTGAAATATCTGTTTATGTTAATCTTTTTAAAAAAGAATTCATGTTTGCTAAATTTTTTCTGTATTTGACATTTCAGCCATCACTCAAGCCTGTTAGTCACAAGTCATAAACTGTATTATGTGGTAGCATGAAGTTCCACAATTTGGGAGGCAATAAAAATAGTGTGGTTATTTATTCATCTGTTCACATTAAATGTACAATAAATTATACTTTGTCTAAACAAGTGAATTTATAGATATCTGATTAAGTTAGTTATAAATTAATCTAGCTAAATTAATTCTCAAATGCAATTATCATCAGCCCAATAAATTATTTTAGGAGAAAGGTCCAAATACAAAACTTACTCTTTTTTTTTTTTTTTTTGAGACAGTCTCACTCTGTCATCCAGGCTGGAGTGCAATGGCACGATCTCGGCTCACTGCAACCTCTGCCTCCCAGATTCAAGTGATTCTCATGCCTCAGCCATCTGAATAGCTCGGATTACACGCATGCACCACCATGCCCAGCTAATTTTTGTATTTTCAGTAGAGACAGGGTTTCACCATGTTGGCCAGGCTGGTCTTGAATTCCTGACCTCAAGTGACCCACCCACCTTAGCCTTCCAAAGTGCTGGGATTACAGGTGTGAGCCACAACGCCCAGCCTACAAAATTAAATGCCTACACATTCACATACAATAGTTACAGCCACATTTAAGAAGCAAAACAGGACATGATTTGGAGAAGGGAAACAAAAGTAACCACGAAGATAAAGTAATAATATATGATTAAAGACAGAAAGATAAAGATTTATTCTGAAGGAGCAATCTAAGGGAAAAAAAGCGAGGGGCGTGGGGAAGGGCTGGGCATGGTGGCTGTAATCCCAGCACTCTGGGAGGCCAAGGCAGGAGGATCGCTTGAGCCCAAGAGTTTGAGACCAGCCTGGGCAACATGGCGAAACCCCATCTCTACAAAAAATACAGAAGTTAGCCAGGCATGGTGGTACACACCTGTAATCCCAGCTGTTCCAATGGCTGAGGCAGGAGCATCATTTGAGTGGTATCAGTGAACCATCACTGTGCCACTGCACTCCAGGCTGGACAATGGAATAAGACCCTGCCTCAAAAAAAGAAAGAAAAGAACGAAAGAAGATCTAGCCAGGTGTCGTGGCTCACGCCTCTACTCCCAGCCCTCTGGGAGGCTGAGGCAGGAGTATCACTTGAGTCCAGGAGTTTTTGAGATCAGCCTGGGAAACACAGTGACACAGTGAGAGCTCATCTCTATGTTTTTTTTGTTTTTTGTTTTTAAGGGGGCAGCCATAACCCTTGGCAGGAGAAATATAAACTATTAAAACATTTGAAAAAATTAGAAATAAAAAGTAAAATTAAAATATTCCTCAAAAAAACTACAGATTTACATAACAGGTAGAAAAATACTGCAATATTTACTTCCCTCATTCATTTAACAAATTTAAGCAAAGTAATGTGCCAAGCACCATTCTAGGTGCTAGATATAGTGAACAAGATGGACAAAATGTTTGGCCTCATGTAGCTTATGTTCTTAATTAAAATAGAAGTTGAAATTATAAATAAATTCCACAAAAGTTATCCAAGAGGAGATATAACCCAGTTTTCCACTGTCTTAGAATTAAATGAGGTTCTAGAACTGGCAAAAAGTCAAGTCAATCAACTGGGCTGTTAATAAATGTAACTTAGCCCTAAGCTTGCTCTTAGAAGATGTAAGACTTTTTAAGTTAAAAAAAAATCAGTTTATACAAAGCAATTACAGAATAATAATATGATAATCTAAGGGTATAAACTATTAACTTTCTTTGCTTTCGTAGTTTTCAACATCTTTTAGTTATGCCGAACCATGTGGTTATTTAAGGAATACAGTAAGGGTATGTCATTTCTGCAAAAATACCTGCTTTTAACTACAAAAAAACAAAAATAAATTCTAGATATGAATACTCTTCAATTCTAAGACTAAACCACTTAAGAGATCACTATTTTTTAAAACGCTTTAGACTATACTGATGGAAGCAAAAAGTGCTGTTAAAAGTTTACAGCAGGCTGGGAGTGGTGGCTCACACCTGTAATCCTAGCACTTTGGGAGGCTGAGGCAGGTGGATCACTTGAGGTCAGGAATTCGAGAACAGCCTGGCCAACATGATGAAATCCCATCTCTACTAAAAGACAAAAATTAGCCAGGCATGGTGGCGTGTGCCTGTATTCTCAACTACTGAGGAGGCTGAAGCACAAGAATCTCTGGAACCCAGGAGGTGAGGTGGCAGTGAGCCAAGATCCTGCCACTGAACTCCAGCCTGGGCAACAGAGCAAGACCTGTCAAAAAAAAAAAAAAAATTTACAATAAAAACTAAATGACTGGCTGGGCACTGTGGCTCATGCCTGTACTCCTAGCACTTTGGGAGGGCGAGACGGGAGGATCGCTTCAGCTCAGGAGTTTGAGACTAGCCTACGCAACATAGTGAAACCCTCATCACTACAAAAAAATACAAAAATTAGCTGGGTATGGTGGTGCACACCTGTGGTCCCAGCTACTTGGTAGGCTGAGGTGGGGGGATCACTTGACCCTGGGAGACAGAGGTTACAGTGAGCTAATACCGCACCACTGCACTCCGGCCTGGGTGACAGAGTGAGACACTGTCTCGAAAAATAAATCACATATTGGGACAATTCGCTGTCCACGTGGGAAAGGATGAGTCTGAACTCCTACCTCACATCATCCAGGAAACCTGCATAAACCATACAAGGAAAAAAATGAACTACATCAAAATTAAAACTTTCTGCCCTTCAATAGGTACCACTGAAGCCGTGCATGGTGGTGCAAGCCTGTAATCCCAGCTACTCAGGAGGATCACTTGAGACC
This sequence comes from Homo sapiens, assembly GCF_000001405.40. Taxonomy (NCBI): domain Eukaryota; kingdom Metazoa; phylum Chordata; class Mammalia; order Primates; family Hominidae; genus Homo; species Homo sapiens. The sequence goes on along the minus strand of NC_000005.10, from coordinate 57,252,189 downwards.
AGTCTGGGCAACACAGAAAGACCTCATCTCAAAAGGTGCCTGTGGGGGTGGGGGTGGGGGTGGGTGGGAGGTGATTGCACTACTGAGAGAATGAAAAAACTCACAGAATGGGAGAAATTATCTGCCAATCATATATGAGACTTATACACAAATATATAAAGAACTCTTACAACTTAGTAAGAAAATGTAATTTTTAAATGAGCGAAGTATTTATACAGTTATTTCTCTCCTAAGAGGATAAATGGCCAATAAGCACATAAAAAGATACTCAACACTATTAGTCATTAGGGAAATCATACTTCACACCCACTAGAATGACTGTAATCAAAGATAGATGGTACCATGTGTTGGTAAGAATGTGGAGAAACTAGAACCTTCTATATTGCTGATAAGGAAGTAAAATGACATAGTCATTTTGGAAAATAGTTTGTCAGTTTCTAAAAATGTGAAACACAACTATCATATGTCCCAGCAATTCAACTCCTAGGTATCTATCCAACAGAAATAAAAACATATCCACACAAGAACTTATATATGAATGTTCACAGCAGCATTATCCAAAACAGTCAAAAAGTAGATTGGACTAGAGCCTACTGTTAAAAAAAAAAAAAAAAGAGGTGGAAACAACTAATATTCATCAACTGATGAACAAAAAAGCAGTATAGTCATATAGTGTACTATTCAGCAATAAAAAGGAACAAAGTACTGACGTGCTTACAATGCAAATAAAACTTGAAAATATTATACTTAGTGAAAGAAGCTAGACATCAAAAATCACATACTATATTATTCCACTTATATAAGATACATACACAAGGCAAATCTATAGAAAGAATAGTAGCTGCCTAGGACAGAGTGCAAATGAAAAGTAAATGCGAGTGAACAAAGGGCTACTTTGAATATATTAAAAACCATCTGTATATCATAATGGGTGAAATTTATGGCGTAAGTTGTATTCCAATAAACCTGTTAAATCACGTAAAAACTCTATAATATTGAAATCTCGAATACAGAAAATGCTGAGCAAAAAGTACAAACAAATACTAGCCTGTGTTCTGCCTCAAGTGAACTTGAAAGAACATCAGTTTGTGGGAAGGTTGAAGACCGAATGATCTGCTGGGAAATCACTGAGGCATTGCCATTCTCTTGAGGAATTTCATTTTCATCGAAGTTTCGGTTTATATCCCTTTCTTGGTGAGTACTATTGCTGTTATGTAAATTAAATGAGTCGTCATCCTGATTTTTAGAGAGTTAAAAAAAAAAAAAAGAATGAGTTCTACAGAATACAGTTATTAAAAACTTTTAATAGATCCTAACTAAGCTTCCATTGAAAATACATAAATGCGGCCAGGCGCAGTGGCTCACCCCTGTAATCCCAGCACTTTGGAAGGCCAAGGCGGGTGGATCATCTGAGGTCAGGAGTTTGCGACGAGCCTGGCCAAAATGGTGAAACCCCATCTCTACTAAAAATACAAAAAAATTAGCTGGGCGTGGTGATACACGCCTGTAGTCCTAGCTGCTTGGGAGGCTGTGGCAGGAGAATTGCTTGAACCTAGGAGGTGGAGGTTGCAGTGAGCCAAGATCATGCCATTGTACACTATACTCCAGACAAGAGCAAAACTCTAAAAAAAAAAAAAAAAACCAACAACCATAAACGTAATACTTATAATTGTTAAATTTAGGAATGAAAAATTAAGCCAGGATGGATATCCAAAGCTTTCTTACCCTAAGTATTCATATCTATACAACAAATGCAAAATTAAAAGCATGAAGGCAGGCAAGATGGGACAAGCAAAAGAGAGCAGATATAAACAAGAATGCTTTTTAAATGTATTTTTCCACAGAAACTATAGAATGAAGCAAATCTACTTTAGAAATGAAGTCATGGCCAGGTACAGTGGCTCACGCCTGTAATCCCAACACTTTGGGAGGCCAAGGCAGGCGGATCACCTGAAGTCAGGAGTTCAAGACCAGTCTGGCCAACGTGGTGAAACCCCGTCTCTACAAAAAATGAAAAAATTAGCCAAACGTACAAAAAACACAAAAATTAGCCAGGTGTGGTGGCACATAAATATAGTCCCAGCTACCAGGAAGGCTGAGGAACAAGAATTGCTTGAACCTGGGAAGTGGAGTCTGCTGCAGCCCAAGATGATGCCCTTACACTCCGCTTGGGTGATAGAGTGAGACTTTGTCTCAAACGAGGAGGAGGGGGAGGGGGAAGGGGGAAGGAGGGGAGGGGGAAGGGGGAAAGGGGAAGGAGGGAAGGGGGAAAGGGGAAGGAGGGAAGGGGGAAAGGGGAAGGAGGGAAGGGGGAAAGGGGAAGGAGGGAAGGGGGAAAGGGGAAGGAGGGAAGGGGAGGGGGAAGGACGGGAAGGGGAGGGGGAAGGACGGGGAGGGGGGAAGGAGGGGAAGGGGAGAGGGGAAGGGGGAGGGGGAAGGGGGGAGGCGAGAAAAGGAGAGAGGAGGGGAGAAGCCAAGTCATTATTTATGCAAATGGCTTTCCAAGTTTCTTTCCAAGGAAATGATTCAAATGTATTCCAAGGTCCTAATACATGCTCAAATATTTCAATGACATATCAATGTCAAATCAAGTATTGCTATAAATTCAATTACCTTCTCTGAGCCAGCACGGCTTTCATCTTCATGTTCCTCTTCTACTCTGTCTCTTTTCAATGCTTTCAAAAATTCACTCTTCTTATCAGTGCGCATTCGTGTCAGTTTGGTTAGACGAGGCTGCTGATTAAGTTTGTCAACAGGAGAAGAGGAATTTGAGCGATTACACTAAGAGGAAATTCAGAAATACTGATAAATATGTAGCCAAGGAATCAATGTCAACATAAAATTCACTACTACCACAGCTTCCTATTTTACCTTTACTCACAAAATAAAATTGATTATAATGTCTATGTTACAGTCTAGTTCTATCCCTGTTTTTTCCCCTACTGAATGAGTCAACAAAATAATTTTCTTATCCCACAAACAATGAAGGTCTGATAATACTCAGAACTATGATTCTAAATTAGGTGTCTATTATTTTATAAATGCATCCTAGAATTGTTTAAACTTTTCTATAATACACAGAAGAGCAGCTTTTCAAACTGTGTTACACAGAGTTCTAGAGTTCAGTAACAGCTCCAATAAAATGTATTTTATAATTATTTATACACATACATAGGGTTTATAAGAGTGGATTTCACCTGGTAAAATGTTTGTGAGATGGCAGGGAGGAGAGGAGAAAGAATCCTTTTGTTTTTGGTTCTTTGGTGTTTTGACAGTGGAACACAAAACAGAATGTTAAAACTCTGTGTCATATGGATTATTAGTCACGGAAACAAACCATAATAATGCTTACTTGTTGGCATTAATGTATGTATATTATAACTAATCTTAGCAGAATTAAGCAGCTAGGAATGCTAGTCCTTCCCTCAAAGCTCAAAAATTCTGTCTGAGATCATAAATAAAAAATAGTGGCTCACGCCTGTAATCCCAGCACTTTGGGAGGCCGAGGCGGGCGGATCACGAGGTCAGGAGATCGAGACCATCCCGGCTAAAACGGTGAAACCCCGTCTCTACTAAAAATACAAAAAAATTAGCCAGGCGTAGTGGCTACATGCCCAGCCTGTAGTCCCAGCTACTTGGGAGGCTGAGGCAGGAGAATGGCGTGAACCCGGGAGGCGGAGCTTGCAGTGAGCCGAGATCCCGCCACTGCACTCCAGCCTGGGCGACAGAGCGAGACTCCGTCTCAAAAAAAAAAAAAAAAAAAAAAAAAATAGTATATGAGGGGTTCCAATACAGTACCCAAAGCAATTTCAGGTATAATAATATAAGTGCTATGGGTGTCCTTTGACACTAGACTGGTCAGAGAACTCCCTGTTCTGGGAGTTTCAAAACCTTGATCAAATGAGAAAGAAAATACCTGAACTACCAGGTACTCACAGTCAGTACAGTAACAATACATACCTTTCTCTCTTGTTCCTCCTTTCCCCCCAATCAGTGTTAATAGTAATAAAATGTCCATCATCCCCAAAAGAAGACATTATACAATACAAATCCTCATTAGTTAATTTCAATCCTACAAGGTAACTATCACAAGTATCAAATTAAGAAAATTGCAATTTTCTTAATTGTTTTCTTAAAAATTACTCTTGGTCCAGGTGTGGTGGATCATGCCTGTAATCCCAGGAACTGGGAAGCTGAGGAGAGAGGATCACTTGACACCAGGAGTTTGAGACCAGCCTGGACAACATAGCAAGATCCTCGTCTCTACAAAAAGTAAAAAATTAGCTGGCCCAGTGGCAAGCACCTGTAGTCCTAGACAATCAGGAGACTAAGATGGGAGGACTGCTTGAGCCCAGGAGGTCAAGGCACCAGTGAGCCACAAACGAGCCACTGTACTCCAGCCTGAGCAACAGAGACTCTGTCCCTCCTACCACCCCCCAAAAAATTATTCTTTGTTTATTAGGATGTTTGGAATTCCCCCCCATCCCCACTCTGCCACCACTTTTGAGACAGGGTCTCACTCTGTTGCCCAGGTTTGAGTACAGTGGCACAATCACAGCTTGCTGCAGCCTTGACATTCCCAGGCTCAGGTGTTCCTCCCACAACAGCCTCCCAAGATCTGGGACCACAGGCACATACCACCATGCCCAGCTATTTTTTTTTAAGTAGAGACAGGGTTTCACCATATTGCCGAGGCTGGTCTGAAATTCCTGGGCTCAAGTGATCCTCCTGTCCCACTTCCCAAAATGTTGGGATTATAGGAATGAGCTGGGAATTTTCATTTAAAATATTTTAAATGATTCCTACTTTCCCAAAGTGCAAAATTGGTTAACAAATGAAGTAAATGAATCCAGTTTTCTGAAGGAATGAAACTCATTTTAATGTATTCATTTAATGAATTTCTACCTTTTATTCACTGTTAAACTATCATAATTAAAATGTTACATTCCTCAAGTGTGATTTTTAATGTCATACCTCTTTCACTGAATTTGTAGATGGACTAAAGTTCTTGGCAGTTGATTTAAAAGCATTAAAGTTGCCAACGCCAAATGTGGACTCATGAGGGAAAGAAGTTCCAACTTTATTTTCTTTTGTTTGGCTTTTCCATTGTGTAGGCTAAAGAAAAACACACAAACATTAATGGCTATCAAAAACAGGTTACAGGAGAAAGACAAAAACAGTGAATATTATAAAACAAAAATGACTACGCTAGGCTCATGGAAACAATTATTTTTGTATCACACTGCATTATTCCTACATAGTTCTCTGTCCCTTTCTTTTTCAACAAATAAAATAAAAACTGAACATTTAGGTATCTAACTAAATTGCTATTTTTCCAAAGCTACATAAAGTTGGGTTTCTTTCACTTGAGAATAAGAAAAAACATGTGAGTTTCCAAAACCTAAAACTGAGCACCAGGTAAAACAGCATTATATATTATCATTAAGCAAATATATCACAACTACATCTAGCAAAAAAAAAAAATTTTTAAGTTTCACTTACTACTGCTAAAACAATAAAACCACACACACGCACACACCACATCAAAGATAATTAAGAGCACATATGGGTCAACTCTTGCCACCTAGAACTCAGCACCCCACGAAGTACCTCCATACACACTTTAAATTCTTTAACATTTCCCCCCATAGGACATAAATTGGTTATCAACTCAAAATTTACATTTGTGGTAATTTAGAACTTACTTTTGTAGGTGGAGCAGCAGGTTTAGGGACTAAACCTTTATAAACACTTGGACCAGTTCCATTCTTAACTGGCTGTGACGGAAGATTTCCTACTACTGGGAATCCAGATAGCTGTAAGTCTTTTGTATTACCTTTCTTAATGACCAGCATCCTTGGAGCTCTAGATTTAGGATTCGGAGGATATTCTGCATAAATAAAGCATGACCAAGAGTCACTCACAATTTCAAGTTTTAGTATAGAATAAAACCACCAAAAGAACAGTATATTCCAAATTTTTTTTTTTTTTTAACTAACAGCTGCCTCCTGGGTAAAATAACTAAACTAAAAAAGTACAAACTATATTCCAATTGAACAAGTAAAGCTAAAACATTATCCCACAGAATATAGGAAGAATTGGGCAATGTCAAGTAATACAGATAAATTCTGCTACACAGTGGCTCAGAATGTTAAAACCAAGACAAATTATATTTTAACATGCCTTGCATTAACTATAAAAAATTGCAAACATCAACCTAATGACTCTTAAGATTTAGAATATAAAATACATTTCTATTTTCCCTTCCCCATTTGAAGAGAATTAAAATTTCAATTTTTTCATTCTTTTTACTCCACTTACAAAGTTATTACCAATAAGCAAGAAATTACATTCCTTTTATTTCTAAATACTTCAGTTATGACTGAGAATTCTATTTCACAATATCAATTCATTCATGTATTTATTGACCATTTATCTACATTCAAAGCATTATATGAATGCAGACCAACCAACTCAATCCTGATTTCTGAAGATAAATACTACGAATAATTGCTAAAGGCAGACTTTTCTCAAGACTACTGCAGTTGCCAAAAATACCTATTATTCCTATAATTTAATCAATGTGTGTGTGTAATCAAACAGACATTGCAGTGAAGTCTTTCTTTCTTCCCTTACAAAAACTTTTAAAAGCATCAGTTTCACAGCTGGAAAGTTTAGAATAAATTAAGTTCTCCACATTAAATAAGATCATGTGAATTAGTGAGCTGGGTAGATATCTGTAATGATTCCCTCCTCAAAAACTAAATCAAGCTTCCTCATGGATCATCTCAAAACCCAAAACTAAATATGGACTCCTAGGGAAACCCGGAGGGACTCTCCAGTTCATGGGAGGATTCAAGCTCTCCAAAAGATAAAGCCGGTATGGTGCTTCACCTATTGAAATGCTAAAGGATAAAAAGAACAAGGGCTTAAAATAATCTGAGAAAAGGTTCATCTTTCCAAAAATTAAACACATGTTGACTTACTAGGGTAAAGATTGAAACTTCCTGACGGTCTAAAAAAAGCCCAATATAAAGGGCTAAAAAAGACAACTTCTGGCACACAAAAACACACAAAGTATTACTACCAAAGTATAGCTTTTCTGATATTACACAACAAAGTTAACAAAACAAAAATGAATAAAGATCTCAAACAGGCTGCGCGTGATGGCTTAAGCCTGTAATCCCTGCACTTTGGGAGATGAGGCGGGCAGACCATGAGGTCCGGAGCTCAAGAACAGCCTGGCCAACATGGTGAAACCCCGTCTCTACTAAAAATACAAAAAGGAATTAGCGGGGCGTGTTGGCATGTGCCTATAATCCCAGCTACTCGGGAGGCTGAGGCAGGAGAATCACTTGAACCTGGGAGGCAGAAGTTGCAGTAAGCCGAGATCACGCCACTGCACTCCAGCCTGGGCGACAGAGCAAGACTCCATCTCAAAAAAAAAAAAAAAAAAAAAAAATCTCAAACAAAGAATAGTAAATAATATTAGGATTGTACTCAACAATGTAAGATTTCCAATTATTTTTGGTAAACAGATGATAATGGCATGGATGAAGTATAAAAAAAATTCTTGACATTAATAAAATGTGAGAGAAAATCTTAGCATGTAACTCAAAATCTAAATTGAGTAAAGCCCAGGAATCTGAGGAATGATCAGTGCTACAAAATGTGAAAGGTAATCTCATCTGAGAGGAATCCAGGTGTTAAAGCAGGGGGCAGTTCTATCACTATACTACAACTAAGTAAGTTTAAACATGGCTAACAGAGACTTCTAGTTCAATGTGGCTAAGCACACAAGTTTATCTTCTTCTAGATTCTTATATTAAAATTACTGTAAGGGAGGAAACCAAACACAACTATATAAAATAGGAGTAGAGTCATCAGCAAGAAAATGATTTCAACACACAGTTCTAGAGAAGTAAATAAAAAGTTTCAATTTAGAGTGTACACAAAGGAACCTAACAGCTGAGGAGGACCTAATCTACCACATAGAGCCTCAAAGGGATCAGGACTTGAAAATGCCAGATATGGTAGAAGGCAGAAATGCAACTTTGATAAAAATAGAATAATTCAAAAGATCCTTACTAATTCTAAAGAATGTACTTTAGGCAGAAGGAAAATGATCCAATGTGGAAAGCTGAAGATATAAGAAGAAATAAAAATTTTTATAAATATGAAGGTATCAGATCCAGGAAGTAGGCTGGGTGTGGTGGCTCATGCCTGTAATCCCAGCACTTTGGGAGACCAGGGTGGGAGGACCGCTTGAGTCCAGGAGTCCAAGACCAGCCTGGGCAATATAGTGAAACTTTGTCTCTACAAAAAAAAATTTTTTCAATTAGCCAGACACAGTGATGTGCACCTGTAGTCTTAGCTACTTGGGGGGCTGACATAGGAGAATCCCTTGAGCCCAGGTTGAGGCTGTAGTGAGCTGTGATGGCACAACTGTACTCCAGTCTGGGCCACAGAGTGGGACCCTGTCTCAAAACAAAAACAAGGAAGCAGAAGACATGAAAACTAGATAGGCAAGTAGATATACTATCTTTAAGCCTCAATATAGTTTCTGAGTACAAATTTCACCTTTCCTAAAGCTGGATTCCTAGATGCCTAGGAGTAAGAAATATTCTGGCTAGTTCCTCAATGAGGTCTTCAGTACAAAGAATGATGAAATATTCTATAAAGAAGGAAAGTGAAACCTAAGAAATCATTCACAGAAGAGTAGGTAGCAGAGTAAGAGATGACAAAAGTCCCTGAAGAAAGAGGATAGGGACTGAGAGGAAAGGGGAGGGATATACCGTTATTGTGCTTATTAAGAATTCGTATTAGGCCAGGCACGGTGCCTCATGCCTATAATCCCAGCACTTTGGGAAGCCGAGGCAGGTGGATCACGAGGTCAGGAGTTCAAGACCAGCCTGGCCAATATGGTGAAACCCCATCTCTACTAAAAATACAAAAATTAGCCAGGTATGGTGGCAGGCGCCTGTAATCCCAGCTACTCGGGAGACTGAGGCAGAGAACTGCTTGAACCCGGGAGGTGGAGGTTGCAGTGAGCCAAGATCACACCACCGCACTCCAGCCTGGGCGACAGAGTGACACTCCATCTCAAAAAAAAGAAAAAAACAAAAAAAGTAATTCATATTAGGCCGGGCGCAGTGGCTCACGCCTGTAATCCCAACACTTTGGGAGGCTGAGGCGGACGGATCACAAGGTTAGGAGTTTGAGACCAGCCTGGCCAACATGGTGAAACCCTGTCTTTACTAAAAATACAAAAAGTTAGCCAGGTGTGGTGGCAGGCCTCTCTAATCCCGGCTACTCGGGAGGCCGAGGCAGAAGAATCACTTGAACCCGGGAGGCAGAGGTTGCAGTGAGATGAGATCACACCACTGCACTCCAGCCAGGGCGACAGTGTGAGACTCCATTTAAAATAATAATAATTCATATTTAGGCCAGGCATGGTGGCTCAAACCTGTAATTCCAGCACTTTCGGAGGCCAAGGTGGGATGGATCACTTGAGCCCAGGAGTTCAAGACCAGGCTGGGCAACATAATGAGACATCATCTCCATGAAAAATTTAAAAATGAGGCAGGAAGATCGCTTGAGCCTAGGAGGCTGGGGCTGCAATGAGCCATGATCGCACCACTGCACTCATGCCTGGGGGAGAGGGCAAGACTCTGACTCAAAAACTGCAAAAAGAATTCACATTTAAATATTACAGAAGAATGTGTACTTTTGTACCAGATTTATCAGAATTTGAATACTAGCTCCAACCTTACCAGTTGTATAATCTTATATAAGTTACTTAATCTCTCACCTATAAAATGAAAAACAATAGCTCTTGTCTGGGATTTACTGTGGAATGTTTCATATTCAAATAATTATTAGAAAACAATACAGAAAAGCCATACACTGTCACTAGCATAGGATTCCAATTACAATTCAAATTAAAGGTGTCCTTTTGCAAGAATTTCAGGTTGCTTAACCTGCAATTAGATATCAGAGGGAAAAAAGAATTTTAGGTTGACTGGTAAGAGTAAGAAAAAGAAAAACTTTAAGATAGACATGATAAAACCAATCTATGTCCTGTGTAACAACTCTGAATAATCGACATAAACCTGCTCATTTAAGAAAAAGAAGTGTTCTTAATGGTAACAATAACCTGTAAGTAATGGAAGAAGGGATGTGGGACTAAAAGGCAAGAATTAATTTGCATCATGTATCCCCATTTTATATTATTTAAAAATTGGCTCATCTATTCACAGATTTTCTCCACAAATTCTCCTAGGAAAACCTTGCCAAGTATTTAAGCTCTTAGAGTCAAACATTATCCAATGTTTACTTTCTGACTTGGTTAATTATATGAAGAAGACCCCAAATGTTTACATTTTAAAAGAGAAAACTTATATATTGATGACAGACCTTAATACCTATATAAAATGAGAAAGTAAGTGACTATCTTCTATAAGTTTCATGTGCTTATTACATCAACCTCACCTACACAGGTATTCTCATGTTCAAATTTCAGAACAACTGAAGGCAAATGTGACCTTTGGATTTTCTTAACATTATTTCCCTCTATCCTCGCAAATAAATGTAGCCTGACAATAACTGACCTTTTTATTTTTATTTTTGTAGAGACAAGGTTCACTATGCTGCCCAGGCTGGTCTCAAACTCTTGGCTTCAACTGATCTTCCCACCTCGGCCTCCCAAAGTGCTAGGATTACAGGCCTGGACCACCAATCCTGGCCCTATAATTGACTTTAAATATTAAATATCACTTTTATTGTCTTGTTATTCATGCTCTTCCCATACCTATGAATGTAAGAATTAGTTTTCTTCTATAAATGCAGTGATGACGGGGAACTGGCCCAATTCTCAGGAAGACAAATTAGAACAAAAATACTGCCACATATAATACAAAGTAAATTGGCCACACAGATAATTCAGAGTTGACATTTCAATTCCTCACCTCTTTCCTTTCACTACACTCTCCATATAGCTACCTTCTACATACATGAAGTTTCTGACTCAATCACTACATTTAACTACTTCATTCTTTGGCCCACTACCTAGAAATTCATTTTTGCCTTCTAACAAAGCTACAACTAGAATCTCCTTCATTTATTGGATTTGAACAACATAATTAGCTGACATTTATTAAACACCTGTGACATGACCAAATATTTTTACATAGTAGACAATTTAACCTTAACAATGCCTTTTTTTTTTTTTTAAATGGGAGACAGAGTTTCGCTCTTGTTGCCCAGGCTGGAGTGCAATGGCGCGATTTCAGCTCACCACAACCTCCGCCTGCCTCAGCCTCCCGAGTAGCTGGAATTACAGGCATGTGCCACCACACCCAGCTAAATTTGTATTTTTAGTAGTGACAGGGTTTCTCCATGTTGGTCAGGCTGGTCTTGAACTCCCAACCTCAGGTGATCCACCTGCCTCAGCCTCCCAAAGTGCTGGGATTACAGGTGTGAGAGCCACCACTCCCGGCCCAACAGTGCTTTTCTCATTATAATTTTTGTGGTCATCCTCACCTCACAGATGAATAAATTCACTCAGATTAAGCAATGTGCCCAAAATCTAAATAATCAATAAGCAAAAGATCTAATGTTAGCCACATCTGATTCTGAACTCAATATTCTTCCACCATTATATTAATGAAGAAAATGGAAATTGTTCCTGTGGCAGATATTTCAAAATGTTTACCATTCCAACTCCACTAGTAAACCTACACTGAATGGTTGGGGTAAGAGGCTTATAAGTGTGCACTATACCAAGTGACGTCAAGAGTCATCATCACATTGATGCCAGTTACTAATTTAGTTTCCTATTATTTTGACAGAAGAGGTAAATTTAATGTATCAACAAAAGCATGTAGCCAAGTGAAGGGTAATCAGTATCTGAATTAATCAAGTTTTCATTTCTTTCTTTGGAGAAAGAGTCTTGCTCTGTTGCCCAGGCTGGAGTGCAGCGGCACAATCGTAGCTCACTGCAACCTGGAAATCATGGGCTCAAGCAGTCCTCCCACCTCAGCCTCGCAAGTAGCTAAGACTACAGACACACACAACCACGTCCAGTTAATTTTTTATTTTTTATTTTTGTAGAGACAAGGGTCTCCCTATGAGAGCTCCTGGCCCCAAGTGATACCCCCATCCTGTGCTCCAAAAATGCTGGGATTACAGGCATGAGCCACTGCACCCAGCAAGCTTTCCAATTAATTTGAAGAGAAAACTTATCACTAAGACAATAGTACATACACAGACCAAATGCAAAGACTCTATAAGGCAGCAATTTAAACAAATTTCTATTGTGAACACTAGTTTTAATACCAAAAAAAATGTTTAAGATCATTTTTACAACAATTGGTGCTGTTTGAATGTTGTTGGTTTCTAATGTTTGTTCGGAGATGGAGTGTCTCTTTGTCGCCCAGGCTGGAGTGCAGTGGCGCGATCTTGGCTCACTGCAAACTCTGCCTCCCCGGTTCAAGCGATTTTCATGCCTCAGCCTCCCAAGTGGCTGGGATTACAGGCACACAGTACCACGCCCAGCTAATTTTTGTATTTTTAGTAGAAACGGGTTTCACCATTTTGGCCAGGCTGGTCTTGAACTCCTGACCTCTGATGATCAGCCCACCTTGGCCTCCCAGAGTGCTGGGATTACAGGCATGAGCAACCACGCCCAGCTGGTTTTTAACGTCTTTATTTTATTAACAAATCTATTTTGGTTTACAATACTGTGAGTTTTAGTCAAATGAGTTTCACTAACTGTTATAATTTATATCAACACCAATCGATATGGTACTTTCCCCCTTTAACGGGGGCTCTCAACGTTATTCATATAAAGAACATGCTTAAAGAAATGCATTTCACAAATATCAACAATTTCCATGGTGAACAAGTAATTCAGACCAAATAAAATGTACTTGGGTCAAGCTGTATCAAGCTGTCTACTCAAATCCTATTAATTTTCCCTTTTCAACCATGAACACGTTGTACTACTTTTTTCTTAAAACACTATAATTTCAACAACTGTTTTCATATAAGACAGATATTAAAAGTCATTTCAACATACAAAGCAATTCATCAACAGAATACTGTCAAAAAAATCCAACGAAGAATTTTCCCTTCCCTTAATTCTGTTTACCAAAGTTCCTATTAATAAAATCAATCCCCATTGGCTTTCATCATAATTTACCTCACTGAATGCAATTATGTCACTCAATCTGTATGCTTGTGGCAAATATTGGAATTCTCTAGAAAACAATCCATTTATATTAACTGGTGACTAATTTGCTTTGATTCAGAATGCTCAACAAACCAAAAGAACTCTGAGCAATGAACCTTTATGTTCTTAAGTAGTATATCAAATATGAGCTAAAATCAAGAAAGCTCATCAAACTACCAAGGAGCTGAAAAAATATATAAATGCTGAGTTGGAAGAAGACCATGCTTAAGCTAATTACTAGTCACTGAAATTTCTGATTTTTTAATATCTTAAGTAAATGTTAAGTTCTGCCAATAGTATGTTGCTGACATGGTCACTGGCACAAAAACAGTACTCCATAGGACTTCTAAAAACACATGATCAGTAGCCACTAATTTATTTATTTATTTATTTATTTTTTGAGACGGAGTTTCACTCTTGTTGCTCAGGCTGGAGTGCAATGGTGCGACCTCGGCTCACCGCAACCTCTGCCTCCCAGGTTCAAGCGATTCTCCTGCCTCAGCCTCCCGAGTAGCTAGGATTACAGGCATGCGCCACCACACCCGGCTAATTCTTTATTTTTAGTAGAGATGGGGTTTCTCCATGTTGGTCAGGCTGGTGTCGACCTCAGGTGATCCACCTGCCCTGGCCTCCCAAAGTGCTGGGATTACAGGCATGAGCCACCATGCCTGGTCGCCACTAATTATTAATGCAACTCAACTCAACTGCACACTAACACTTGAACATACATCACTCTTTCTTCCTCACTCACCAAAGAAATCAATCAAACAATTACATTATTTTTAAATTCTCATAGGCAGCTTGAATTCCTGTTTTAGTTTTAAATTAACAGCGTGGAGATGGACTATTTAATAACCATTAATTTTATGTACCTAATAGCTATGATTCTGGTTAACATAAAAACACTATTGAAGTCACAGATATAAGCTGCATGAGGGTGTTTCCAGTAAAGCCAACTAGGTTCTAAGCAGAATTCAATTTATGTAGCTATATTATAAATCACTTAACTACATTCCCCGCAGGGTATTTCTCAAATTGGGGCATCATGTTTAAGTCTGCCAGTTTTCAATCTACAAAATTATAGTTTCAGGGACAAATTGCTTTTTTTTTTTAATAAATATTATATTTTCGTTAGTAAATTTTTACTTACCTGGAAGGAAGTAGCACTAGAAAAGCTCTATTGAAGTCTTTCCTAAAATTCTCGTCTTCCTCAGGAACATAGCTATTTTAAATGTTGCAATAGGGAAAACAATACTTGGGAACCCAGGGGGGAAAGTGAGAGAGGAATAGTAAAGTGTGATACAATGAGAGTTTCATTGTATTCCTATGGGAAGTACTGGGAATTTAACAATTAACCATTCCACAATTAACCATTTTCTTTTTTTGTTTATGCAGACACATTTCTTAGTTTACCTAAACACAGTAAAGAGTACATCTTCCTTTTGAACATCTTTTCAACTAGTACTCAAAATCCTTAGACCAACCCTGAAACAGTAGAACCAAAATCTTCATATTAATACATTTTACTCTCATTATTTTCAAATATGTCTTTGTCTCTAAATCATTTCTAAGATTATTAAATCAACCCAGGATCAGTACCAATAGTATCTATAGATAGTTTTATATGACAAACGCTCACTGGCATTCTTGATTTTTAAAACTTTCATTCTAATCAAATCCAAATTATTCCTAATTTCTTAGAGATTCTATTTAACACCTTCCAGGTGGTTCTATATTCTTATGCAATCAGTTGTTCCCAGAAAAACTGAATAATAAGGAAACATACCTAAGAGAGGAGCTTGGGAGATTTTTTTGGTTGGGTATGTGTGTGTCTGGGCGTGTAGGCCTGGGGAGAGTGGTAGAAATACTAATTTGCAATACAGAAAAAACAATGCCATTCACATGGTTCTAACAAAAGTGTCTGACCACCCCCACCCCCACCCTCAAAAAGCCCTTAAATAAAGAGGAAGATCAAAAGAAAACAAAATAATTCCCGAGTTTCACCTCATACATACAATATAGCACAGGAAGTGGCAAAGTTTAAAATAATGCCTTTACTGTTAGGACTAGTATGCTGTCAAAAGCCACAATCCTTTTGTTTTAGTGAGTTGATTTTCAATAGAAAAATACAAATGAACATGTGTTTAAGTTCCAACATGGATTGAGCACCTCTGAATTTAGTATCAAATGATTAATTTTATTTTTCAGATGTCAAATCTTAGTATAAAATTTTCCATTATTTTAAACTTCACTTGAATCTTTAAAAAAGCTGTCTAAATTGTACTATATGAGTTCAGTTTAATCTTCTGTAAAATGCTAACAAATTGAACTGTCAGCAGTCTTTTAAAAAAAAATGGGGGCTGGGTTATTTCTAGAAGAACTCTCATTAAGCTTTGAAAATCAGAAATCAGAGACAAATAACTTCAAATATAGACTAGCTCCACAAGCAAATTTATACAATTATCTGTAACAGTCTATACATATATGTGTATATATATATACGTAACCACTTTCATAGGTAAAAATATTAACTTCATGTCACACTATGATCAGAAGTATTTCCAGTTAAAGTTTTCAACTTTGAACAACTAAAAATTAATTTAAACTCAGTTTGTTTCTTTACATTATCCAGCTGCTCTCAAAATGGTATCAATTCATTACACTAACTTATTATCATTTAAGTCATATTCAAGTTGAGTATGTTTAATGATACTAACATGTGCAAATCAACTACTTCAAACTCTTCTATTCCAATCCTCCTTTTTAAAGACGAATGTTACCTTTTTTGTAGCTAAGCACATCAAATACAAATACTTTAAAAAGAAAGTTTTATTCTAGCCTGCTCTCTATTTTAAAAAACACAAAAAGTGAAACCTATAAATATCAACATTTTGTGCCCCTCAAATATAGATAAAAAATTACTTACCCCACACACCTGCAGCTAAAGACTTATTGTGATT
Source organism: Homo sapiens (assembly GCF_000001405.40). NCBI lineage: Eukaryota > Metazoa > Chordata > Mammalia > Primates > Hominidae > Homo > Homo sapiens. The sequence continues at coordinate 57,235,998 of NC_000005.10, read as the reverse complement.
TGGTTCTCTCTCATACTCAGGATTTAAAGACGGCTGGAAGAAAGTTGGAATAAACATTTCACATTTTAAAAATAAATCATTTAAAACCAATCTCAGAATCATACATGTTGTAACTGATGAATCAAATATGACCAACTCTTAGCTACAGGTTGAATAACCCTAATCTGAAAAGCTACAAAATCTGAAACTTTTTGAGTGCCAGTGTCACGCTCTGCCTACTCATTGAAGCACTTGGATTTTGGATTTTCAGAAACAGGATGCTGAAATAATAAACGTAAAATCTGAAAAAAATCCAAAATCCAAAACACTTCTGGTCCCAAGCATTTCAGATAAAGGACATTCAGCCTGTATTAAACATGAATTACTCATAAACCTTACTCTCAGCTTACTTTGCTAACCATTAAACTAGTTACTATCTATACTAATTGCTGGTCAGAGAAAACAAGAGTGTGTTTAAGTTTCCTTATCCATAACTAAGAAAAAAGTCAGGGTTAAAAAACAGGCTACTCTGCCTATGGAGTAGCCATTCTCTTATTCCTTTACTTTCTTAATAAACTTGCTTTCATTTAAAACAAAAAAAAAAAAGAAAAGAAAAACTCAAGAGAATGGAGGTCTTTGCATCAGTCTAAGAAATAATCCCTCCTTAGCATAAGGTCAAGATCAGAGAAGAGGAAAATCAGATTTTTTTTTTTTGAAATGCAGTCTTGCTCTATCACCCAGGTGGAGTGAAGTGGTACGATCTCAGCTCACTGGAACCTCCGCCTCCAGGGTTCAGGTGATTCTCCTGTCTCAGCCTCCCAAGTAGCTGGGATTACAGGTGAGCAGCACCATGCCCAGCTAATTTTTGTATTTTTAGTACAGACGGAGTTTCACCATGTTGGCCAGGCTGATCTCCAACTCCTGGCCTCAAGTGATCCACCTGCCTCTGCCTCCCAAAGTGCTGGGATTACAGGAGTGAGCCACCACACCTGGACTAATAATAATTTTAATTTTTTTTTTCATTATAGCAACACATGTTTATTATCTCATAGCTCTGTAGATCAGAAGTCTGGGTTGGCTTGACTGGTTTCTCTGCTTCAGGTTTCACCAAGCTATAATCTGTGTTGACAGCATGGGTTATAGGAAGATTCACTCAAATTGTGGGCACAATCCAGTTTCTTGTAGCTGTAGGACTGAGGTCTCCATTTCCTTGCTGGCTGTCACCTGGGAATTTCTATTAGCTTTGAGAATTCTCTTTTTAGCTTTGTATCTGGGCAACTGTATCTCAGAGCCAGTGATTGCACATCAAATCCATCTCACACGTGAAAGCTCTTGGATTTCCTTTTCTGCTGCACATCTGACTTTAGCTGGAGAAACTTCTCTGCTTTTAAGGGCTCAAGTGATTAGACTGGCCCCAATAATTTTAATTTTTTAATAAAAACTTTGTAGATAATGGGTCTTGCTATGTTGCCCAGGCTGGTCTCAAATTCGTGGCTTCACTTGAACCTCCCACTTCAGCCTCCCAAGGTGCTGGGAAAACAGGCATGAGCCACTGAACCCAGCCCCAATTCTTAAAGTTGTCATCACTAGTTAACACACGCACTATCAAAGCCAAAGCCAAGTCCAAATCTGTATTTCAACAAGTGATATTCAGGATTATTAAAAACAAAAGTGAGATGAGCATTGAATGAGTGCTCTAAAGCTAATCTTGGTAGATGCGTTTATCCTCCAAAATCCTAAATTTCCAGTATTCTATCAGGTATTTTTCCTAGCACACAAACTGCCTCTTTTAAAGAAGGTACTTAATATATATTAAATAAAATCAATTTTAATATAAACATTTTAATCACCTAAAAAATGATTACTAACATTGTACTGAGATTATTGTAAAGCAAATATACATGCATACCACCATGATTCCTTCAGAGATACAAACTAAACAGAATTAAGATTTTGGCGGTGGTTACATGTGCATAGCATCTTTAAAGTATACTATTAGAAATTATACTCTGCCAAGTCTAGGATTATAATAGCCAATGACAACCACATCTTGAGAATGGGGGTGGGATATGAAAATAACAACAGCAATTAGTTTTTATTGAGTGCTTACTATGTGTCACACACAGTTTTAAGTAATTTAATTGTATTACTAATTTAACCCTCACAACACTATGAGAGTACTATTACCATTCCCAGAGTTTGTTTATACAGTTGAACCTTGAACAACACAAGTTTGAACTATGCAAATCCACTTACATCTAGATTTTCTTCCATCTGTGCCACCTGAGACAGCAAGACCAACCCCTTCTCTTCCTCTTCAGTCAACTCAACATCAAGACAAGAATCAAAGACCTTTATGATGACCCACTTCCACTTAATCAATAGTAAATATATTTCCTCTTAAGACTTTAGTAACAGTTTTTCTCTAGCTTACCTGTAAGAATACAGTATACAATACACATACAAAATATGTGTTAACTGTTTATATTATAATCAAGAGTTTGGTCAGCAGTAGGCTACTAGTAGTTAAGTTTTTGGGGGAGCCAAAAGTTATAAGCAAATTGGACTTCAAGGGGGGATCAGTACCACTAACCTCTGTGTTATTCAAGGGTCAACTATACTGTAAAATTTTAATGTTATGATTATTAAGTGGAAAAAACAGATCACTAACATGAGAATACAGAGTAATTACAAAGTTACTTGATAACAGGACCTAAGAGTAATCTTTTATTTTTCTATTTCCCTCACCACTCCTCGCCCTAAACCCAATCTATCAAATTTTTCCTCTTACTGAAACCTTCCATCCAAAATACTTCCAAATCATATCCAAAAACTATTTATTTTCATTTATCTCAACTACCCAGTTCAAGCCATCATTTTCTCCTGAAGTATTCTCTTTTGCTATAATCCGTTCAAGACCTAAGAACTGTAAAAACTAACAATGCATCACGTGACTCCTCTCTAAACCAGCTTCTCATTCACCTTGTAATTAAACCAAAATTCTGTACTTTGATGACCTGCAAAAATTCCATTCAATTTAAATCCTTTCCTCTCTCTCTAACCTTGTCTAATACTAAACTACTCTTTACTCATACTAGCCTTTTATCCCTTAAACATAACAAGGTTGGCTGGGTATGATGACTCATGCCTATGTTAGAAATGCTTGTTCTTTGGTGCCGTAAATAAATAGCACTTGAACATAAATTTAACTTCCTCGGCAAGGCCATTTTTACTTTCTGCAGAAAGGACACACTCGCCACCAGTTTTGCCATGAGAGTACACCGAACAAAGGAGACAGGGTCATTTATAACTTGACGCATCTACTTTACTGCTGTGTCCAGTTTCTATTGGCTGGAACAGGACTTCACATTCTGTATTTGTCCTGATTGGCTAGCACCTTAGAACTTTTCAAAAAGTTTTTAAACTTTTTAAAAGAGGCAAAGGCAGAGAACAAAGGAAGGAGGAAGTAACTTGTGGAATGCTGATAAAGGTAAAAACACCTCCAAATAAGGAAGAACAGTCTATGACTTAATGCCTGCTTGGATTGGTATAAGCATGCCAAGGCAAATATTTAGGCTTAATTGTAGGAGCTAAGAACATAAAGTACGTTGATTTCTTTATTACAGCTAGCAGATAATTAAGAATGTTAGCATAAGTGTTTGAATAAATACTGCTTCTAAGAAGAGTTACTAATTATTCTTAATTAGACTAGGAAGAAAGTCTCTTTGAAGAACCTCTACTTTACTTTTTACACCTATAATCCCAGCCCTTTGGGAGGCCGAGGTCGGAGGATTGCTTGAGGCCAGAAGTTCAAGACCAACTAGGCCAACATAGTGAGCTAGGTGTAGTGGTGTGCATCTGTAGTCCTAGAGGAGCTACTCAAGAGGCTGAGACAAGAGAGGACTGCCTGAGCCCAGAAGTTTGAAGATGCAGTGAGCTATGAACTCCAGCCTAGGCAAAAGAGTGAGACCCTGTCTCAATTCCACCACCACCCCCCACCCTGATACACACACACAAACATGAAAAAAATAAGATAAACCAAGGATGATCGCATCTTGGCATGAGCTCTCTCTCTCTTCCTTTCAGTCTTAACAAAAGCTCGCTGCTTATCAAGTATGTTCCAAATTAAATGTCACTTCCTGTCTAAATTCACTACAAAATATTACTTGCTTAGAGAACAGAAACTTGGTAAGAGTAAGGGCTTTGCCTATCTCAATCCAGTATGTATTGCGTGTGCCAAGAACACCAGCTGACTCAGAGTCACTCATATATACTGAATAAGAATTGACAATGAATATATAAAAAGAGTGCAAATTCTATCTAGCTTTTAAATTATCAAGAATGAATCGCAAGAACTAGATAAATATGACTGTACACTGGGTCAATTTTTCTGTAATTTAAGAAATACAGTATTTTGGCCGGGTGCAGTAGCTCAGTGTACAGTGGCTCAGTGCGCAGTGGCACAGTGGCTGTAATCCCAGCACTTTGGGAGGCTGAGGTAGGTGGATCACCTGAGGTCAAGAGTTCAAGACCAGCCTGGCCAACCTGGTGAAACCCTGTCTCTACAAAAATATAAAAATTAGGCGGGCCTGGTGGTGGATGCCTGTAATCCCAGATACTGGAGAGGCTGAGGCAGGAGAATCACTTAAAATAGCACTTACAGAAACTTCATTTGTATAAAAGTCATAAAAAACTTACAAAATCCTCAGCTTCAAACTGTTTGCGTTCTCTCTTGTCTTCTTTCCTCCCGGTTTCATTGTCAGGTATGTTGTTTTCATGTAGTCCTTGGCTTTTTCCTGCATGGAAAATACTGCTACGAGAACGGGAACTTCCACCATGGTATCCACCTCGATGATTTATGTTTTCTGTACCATTTCTTCCATGTGTACGCCATCCATTTTTTTCTTTCCTTCCAAAGTTACCTTTATTTGATAATAGCAAAGTAATATAAATTCAAAGAAGAGAAGCTTAAAGATTGAATCACATCAAAACATTCTTTAAAAATCATAAAGAAAATTAGCCATAAACATCATTCCTTAGCAAATTTTACCTCCATTAGGACGCCCAATAGCAGAATCAAAGCCATCTGAAGAGTTGTGTCGTCGACGGTTCACATCATAACGATTCTCTGTCCATGCAAAGTTTTCAGAATGCTTCTCAAAATTCAATGACGACTGAAACAAATTATAAAAATACAGGTATTTATGAAACCTAAATATAACTTTAAAAACTAGTAATACTCCAACTTCACTTATTTCCAAAAATTTTAAATGATTAAGAAAAACATATTGCAGTTATTTTCAAGGTATTTGATAACTGGGTAACTGTATAATGGATTCACCGATGGTCCATTTTCTTCTATCTAATGGAAACAAGCACATGTGCTTAGAGTTCGACATCTTTTTTTCCAAAAAATATAAAGGTAAAATGCCACTGTATGGAAAACAAGTTAAAATACGATGTTTCTCAACAAAATGTTAAGTCTTTATCATACACTACTTGATATAAATTTTCACTACAGCTCAGTTTCCTTCTACATCAGAGAAAAATTGTCAAATGAATCTTCAGTTCTAAGTCCCTTAAATTTATTTCCATATTCCTCTTCCCCAAACCAAGTGTTTTTAAAAAGGTATCAAAATAAAAGAATGTACAATAAGTATTCCAAAAAATTAGAAATACAGAAAAGTTCTAACAATGTATAAAAGTCACTAGCCCCAAATATTAATCTACTAATCTGATAAAACCACAATCAAAACTTCCAACAGTTTTTTTAAAGAATTTAATTTTAGGCCGGGCGCGGTGGCTTACACCTGTAATCCCAGCACTTTCGGAGGCCGAGGCAAGCGGATCACCTGAGATTGGGAGTTCGAGACCAGCTGACCAACATGGAGAAACCCCGTCTCTACTAAAAACACAAAAAAATGAGCCAGGTGTGGTGGCACATGCCTGTAATCCCAGCTACTCGGGAGGCTGAGGCAAGAGAATCGCTTGAACCTGGGAGGCGGGGAGGTTGCAGTGAACCGAGATCACGCCATTGCATGTGAGAAGGGACGGGACGGGACGGGACGGGACGGGACGCGATGCGATGCAACGGGATGGGAAGGGAAGGGAAAATTTTAACAAGTCGTCTCAGTAATCTAAAAAGAAAATGCATGAAAATGATCAATAAATGTTTGAAAAAGGCCAGGCATGGTGGCTCACGCCTGTAATCCCAGCACTTTGGGGTACTGAGGTGGGCAGATCACCTGAGGTCAGGAGTTCGAGACCAGACCAGTCCGGCCAACACAGTGAAACCCCATCTCTACAAAAAATACAAAATTAGCCATGTGTGGTGGCACACGCCTGTAGTTCCAGCTACTCGGGAGGCTGAGACAGGAGAATTGCCTGAACCTGGGAGGCAGGTTGCAGTTGCAGTGAGCCGAGATGACACAACTGTACTCCAGAGCCTGGACGAGACAGAGTAAGACTCCATCAAAAAAAGAAAAGGAAAGGGAAAGGGAAAGAGAAAGAAAAAGGAAAAAGGAAAAGGAAAGGAAAGGAAAATAGAGCTCTATAAATCAATACAAATAAGGACAACCTAATGGGGAAAACATGAGCAAAAAGCCAGTTCTCAAAAATTAAAGAGCCACAAATCACATGAAAACATAGCCAGGTTCTCTTGTAATCAAAATGCAAGATTAGAACAAAGCTGGCACCTCTTGCCCATTGGCCAATATATAATGACAGTAAGGGTTGAGAAGACAGACAACTCCTTTTTTTTTTTTTTTTTTTTTTTTTTTTTTTTTTTTTGAGATGGAGTCTTGTTCTGTCGCCCAGGCTGGGGTGCAGTGGCACGATCTTGGCTCACTGCAACCTTCACCTCCTGGGTTCCAGCGATTCTCCTGCCTCAGCCTCGTGAGCAGCTGGGATTACAGGCACCCACCACCACAACCGGTTAATTTTTATATTTTTAGTAGAAACGGGGTTTGATCATTATTGGCCAGGCTGGTCTTCAACTCCTGACTTCAAGTGATCCACCTGCCTTGGCCTCCCAAAGTGCTGGGATTATAGGAGTGAGCCACTGCACTCAGCCCAGACAATTATTCATTACTGGGTTAGAAAACATACACATACATATATGCTTGCTTACTTCTCTCAGTAGGGAGGGAAATGCACATGTATATCTATACTTATATTTGTCATCTTTTAAGTCTTTATGGTTAGTTTTTTTTTTTCAGTCTTGCATGTATTTCAATAGATTTATCCTAGCACCTTATAGCATTTTAAAAATTTTTTTGTATTATGCCCCAGAACTGAGCAGATGCCATTTATACTGCAAATATTTTTCTACAGCTTATTTTTTTTAATTTCCTTAAAAAAATTTCCCCCGCTGAAATCTGAGTAAAATAAAGAATGGAGGGGATCTTTTTCCCCCTTAGAGACAGATCTATATGCCCAAGCCAGACTTGAACTCCTGGCCTCAAGTGATGCTCCTGCCTCAGCCTCCTGAGCAGCCGGGACTACAGGCATGCACCACTGCACCCAGCTTTGAGATACAGATATAGATGCAGACTTTTTTTTTTTTTGAGACAGAGTCTCGCTCTGTCACCCAGGCTGGAGTGCAATGGTGCAATCTCAGCTCACTGCAACCTCCGTCTCCCAGGTTCAAATGATTCTCCTGCCTCAGCCTCCCAAGTAGCTGGGACTACAGGTGGCCACCACCACACCTGGCTAATTTTTGTACTTTCAGTAGAGATGGGGTTTCACCATATTGGCCAGGCTGGTCTCGAACTCCTGACCTTGTGATCTGCCCGCCTTGGGCTCTCAAAGTGCTGAGATTACACGTGTAAGCCACCACGCCCAGCTAGCTTTGATATTCTAAAAAGACTATATAGGTGGTTTTAATGAAGTATTTAAACATATAAAGAAGTAATTAAACAGGGTACTTGTTACTATTTTAAATATTTTTTAAAGCCTTAAGTCTTTGTTGCACTTACAATTCTATCTTGTATTAGTCTTTTATCTAGCAACTTTATTTCTAGTAACCTTAATTCATACTTTGTAGCATGTCTGTTGGGATTTTTTTATACGGACAGTTACTGTTCATAAATAATACCAGTTTTCTATCTTGCCCTTTAGTCCTGTTACCTGTTATTTCTTACTCATATTTTACTATGCTGGCTATATGTCAGAGTCTTTCAAGAGTCTGGGATGTTACCATCTGTGCAAGCTAACAAGCTAGCCTGGATACTGTTTCATGGATGCTGGCAAAAGACATGAGACAAAGACTTTATTACTCATGGTACAGCAAGCAGCATAAGCGTGATGTTGGCACTGGTTCTGTACAGCCCCCTAAGACCTTTGGGGATTGACAGGGAGGGGCCCAGGTGGATGCTGCCCTTGCACTGAGTTTGGCAAATCAACCACATATATAAAGAGCTTGGTCTTTGTCCCTCAATGTTGCTTACTGCAAACAACCAAGAAACGGCCCATGCAAAGTGTAGTCAAGATTTTGCATTCTTGGCATACAAGCAAGAACGTGTAGGGGACTGGGTGCAGTGTCTCATGGCCATAATCCCGGCAATTTGGGAGGCTGAGGCAGGTGGATCACTTGAGGTCAGGAGCTTGAGACTAGCCTGGTCAATACAGTGAAACTCCATCTCTACAAAAATTAGGCCAGGTGTGGTGGCTCATGCCTGTAATCCCAGTACTCTGGGAGGGTGAGGTGGGCAGATCACCTGAGGTCAGGAGTTTGAGACGAGCCTGGCCAAAATGGTGAAACGGCTCACTAAATACACTAAATTCACTAAAAGTACAAAAATTAGCTGGGTATGGTGGTGGGTGCCTGTAATCCCAGCTATTCAGGAGGCTGAGGTAGGAGAACTGCTTGAACCTGGGAGGTGGAGGTTGCGGTCAGCCAAGATTGCACCACTGCACTCCAGCCTGAGCAACAGAGCGAGACTCCACCTCCAAAAGTTAAAAAATAATTTCAAAAGAATACAGGCCGGGCACGGTGGCTCACGCCTGTAATCCTAGCACTTTGGGAGGCCAAGGCAGGAGGATCACGAGGTCAGGAGATCGAGATCATCCTGGCTAACATGGTGAAACCCCGTCTCTACTAAAAATACAAAAAATTAGTCAGGCGCGGTGGCGGGCACCTGCAGTCCCAGCTACTTGGGAGACTGAGGCAGGAGAATGGCATGAACTCAGGAGGCGGAGCTTGCAGTGAGCAGAGATCGCACCACTGCACTCTAGCCTGGGCAATAGAGCGAAATTCTGTCTCAAAAAAAAAAAAAAAAAAAAAAAAAAAAGAATACAAAAATTAGCCAGGCTTGGTGGCGCACACCTGTAATCCCAGTGACTTGAAGTATGAGAACTGCCTGAACCCAGCAGGCGGAGGCTGCAGTGAGCTGAGATCGCGCCACTGCACTCCAGCCTGAGTGACAGAGCAAGACTCAATCTCAAAAAAAAAAAAAAAAAAAAAAAAGCAAAAATGCTCAGAGCCCAGGATGAATTGCCTCTCTCAATGATCTACCCATCAGCCCTATACATTCTTGGCTGAATTTGAATTTTCCCATTATTATTCCACTGTTAGTAACTCATATTAATCTTCCTGACAGAGACTAGAACAAAATTCATTTAACTGGTCTTATACAGCATTTAATTAAGTCTATTATCAACATCTCAAGTGAGGTCAGGACCCAGCCAACTGAATAAACCCTGGAAGGAGGAACGCTGGTGGAGGTTGGGAACCACCAATAAGTAATTTTGCCAGGATATGGTCTAAGGCCATGATTATCCATTACAGTTCATTAACAGGAATTTAAACCGACCTGACTGTTGGTGTCTTTCATTAACAATTACAAGGGCAACAAATGGGCCAAAAGTTACCCCTCATTGTCAATAGAGAGATGTCCTGTATCTCATTCTCTCACATAAAAACCAACCACCCCAAGGGACACAGGTCACTCCAAGATCTGTTGTTAAACTTGATTTGGATTACTGTTAATAGCTTAGTTCAGAAACATGAACACTGTCTCAAAGTAACTGGAGCCTCAGTTGCTACACATGTCGTTAACTTTCAGGTATCTGGATAAGCATATGAATTGTTATTAATCATAACGAAACAAGGTTGTATGGATCTGAGTGTTCAAATGCAGATTTAGGAGCTGCATTGATGGCATCAGGAGTAGCAGGATAGCTGACTGCCCATGTCCACATCAATTTTTCCAAGTTCAAAGCATGTGGACAGAGGTGACAAATCTAGCAGTGTGTCAGTGTCATCTCCTCCAGCTGCTGTTTGACTCAGGCAGTGATGCTGGTTCAACGGTACAGAGAGGGCATTAATTGTTCACCTTTCTGCACCTCCTGGGGTAATGTGTTTCTCAAGTGTTGGAGTTGTCTGCTCTCCCTCCACAGCCATGAAATTGGTTAGTCTTGTGTCTAGCAATCTTAATTCTTACTTTGTAGAATCTGTCGGAGTTTTTTTTAATATGGACAGTTAATTGTTCACAAATAATACCAGTTTGTTTTTTTTTTTTTTTTTTTTGAGAAGGAATCTTGCTGACTCCCAGGGTGCAGTGCAGTGGCACGATCTTGGCTCACTGCAAGCTCCGCCTCCCGGGTTCATGCCATTCTCCTGCCTCAGCCTCCCGAGTAGCTGGGACTACAGGCGCCCGCCACCACGCCTGGCTAATATTTTGTATTTTTAGTAGAGACGGGGTTTCACCATGTTAGCCAGGTTTTAGTAGAGACGGGGTTTCACCATGTTAGCCAGGATGGTCAAGATCTCCTGACCTCATGATCCGCCCGCCTTGGCCTCCCAAAGTGCTGGGATTACAGGCATGAGCTACCGTGCCCGGCGAAATAATACCAGTTTTCTATCTTCCTTTTTAGTCCTATTGTATTTCTTACTCATATTTTACTGTGCTGGCTATATGTCAGTCTTTAAAGTACAAGAGCTGTGACTTCACTTAAGAAAAAAAGAAAATCTCCTACTTGAACCTAGACTTTTCATCTGGGGAGGTAAGATGTGAATGAGATGGGGGCATTTTTATGTAATTTGCAGTGATCCACTGTGTCCCCTACCTTCGTTCTCAATGGATACTGTAGGGGGAGAGTAGGTGAGCAGTTCACTCAAGCAAATGGTCATTGTCTTCATGATCTAGGATGTCAACCCAAGAGAATCTAATAAGTTAGAATTATTTAGATTCCATTTTGGCCAAGCTATCACCCTGTGGTATGGCCTGGACTTTAATTACTCTTAGGGGAAAGCAACATCATGTCCAGGGATGGTCAGGTCATAATCCCGAATTTTAAAACTATAAACTGGGTACAGTGGCTCACGCCTATAATCCCAGTGCTTTGGGAGGCCAGGAGTTCAAGACCAGCCTTGGCAACATAGCAAGACCCCATCTCTACAAAAAAATTAGCTGGGCATGGTGGTGCGCACCTGTAGTCCCAGCTACTTGAAAGGCTGACTAGAGAGGATCATTTGAGGACAGGCACAGTGGCTCACATCTGTAATCCCAGCACTTTGGGAGGCTGAGGCAGGTGGACTGCCTGAGGTCAGGAGTTCGAGACTAGCCTGAACAATATGGTGAAACCCCGTCTCTACTAAAAATACAAAAATTAGCCGGGCATGGTGGCATCTGCCTGTAGTCCCAGCTACTCGGAAGGATGGAAAAGGAGAAATGCTTGAACCTGGGAGGCAAAGGCTGCAGTGAGCTGAGATTGTGCCACTGCACTCCAGCCTGGGCAACAAGAGAAACTTTGTCTCAAAAAAAAAAAAAAAGAGGATCAGGAGTTCCAGGTTGCACCAAGCTATGATCACGCCACTGTACTCCAGCCTGGGCCATAGTCTGAGACCCTGTCTCTAGAAAAAATTTTAATTAAAAATATAATTTAAGGCCGGGCGCGGTGGCTCATGCCTGTAATCCCAGCACTTTGGTAGGCCGAGGCGGGCGGATCATGAGGTCAGGAGATCGAGACCATCCTGGCTAACATGGTGAAACCCCGTCTCTACTAAAAATACAAAATATTAGCCAGGTGTGGTGGCGGGCGCCTATAGTCCCAGCTACTCGGGAGGCTGAGGCAGGAGAATGGCATGAACCCAGGAGGCAGAGCTTGCAGTGAGCCGAGATAGCATCGCTGCACTCCGGCCTGGGGGAAAGAGCGAGACTCCATCTCAAAAATAAAATAAAATAAAATAAACAAATATATATATTTTTTAAAATTATAAATTTTAAAATTATATATATAATTTTAAAATATATATATAACTAAAATGTCTACATTCTCACAATTTCTCATTTCTTTTATACCAATTATACCCAGAAGCGACTATGAAGACATTTCTTTAGTTATGCTGCATTCATTGACCAAACAGCCTTACGGAGGTGTGAGGAGGTAAGGAAGGTGGAGTTTTAACTTGTTTTGAGCTGAATTTTGAGGCGGCTCTTCTAGTACTACTTCACAATACCAGATGTCTGTGGATGGTAGAGAGCATGGAATGTCCATTGATTATATTGAATATTGATCCTGCAAGGTATTCTTGAAAAAGTTTCAACCATGATAAGGTACCACTGATAGCACCAAGAATTGGAGCTAATCTGACAAACTTCTGGAAAGAGTATAAAGAAAACAGTTATAGAGGCCGGGCACGGTGGCTCATACTTGTAATCCCAGCACTTTGGGAGGCTGAGGTAGGAGGACCAAGGGGTCAGGAGATCAAGACCATCCTGGCTAACACAGTGAAACCTGTCTCTACTAAAAATACAAAAATTAGCTGGGCGTGGTGGCACACGCGTGTAGTCCCGGCTACTCAGGAAGCCGAGGCCAGGAGTTCAAGACCAGCCTGGGTAACACAGTGAGACCCTGTCTCTAAGAGGGAAAAAAAATTAAGGACATTTTTTAAAATATCAAACAAGCTGTAGAAAAACATTTGCAATATAAATGGCATCTGCTCAGTTCTGGGGCGCCATATGAAAAAAAAAATTTTAATAAAAAATATAGTCAAACATAACCCAATATGAAAGGAGCTATAAATCACTAAGAAATACACTACATAAGCAATTCTGAGATAAAATTTCTAACACAAAAATATGCTCCATCGTCATTAAGTGATGCAAATCAAAACGAAATACCATCTTTTCATCTAATTTCACAAAAACGTAAAAATGAAAACATCCAGTGTCGCCAAGACTGAAAACCTGCCCCCCTCCCCATAAAACTGTAATGGGATTATAAGTAGATACGAACATTTTGGAGAGCAGTTAGGCATTATCTACCAAAATGTACAAACCTTCTGATTCAGCAATTCTACTGCTAGAAATTTACCTTACCATTATCAAAGAAATGCCCAGGTATTTCTACAGTTTAGTCCATTAATAGGTAATTAATTACATAATCCACATAGATCCACTCAACAAAAGTTTACACAGCCACTAAAAAGAGATGAATTTCCTATGACTGACTATAGAAAGATACTAGAGATGGTATCCTTGAAAAAAAGGGAAAAAACAGTTATTTCATGTTTCTCCAAACTGCAATAAAAATATATTCTGGTGTATGCATAAAAGTAACTTAGCATTTCACTTCTGAAACCTAGTCTACTATCCTAATAATCAAGAAAAAAAACTTATTAAACTGATGAATTTTAAAGTCTGATACATATGGCTTCCTATTCCAGCTCTAGTATGTCTCAGCAAATTAATCTCTCAAGCTGAGTTCCCTCATCTGTAAATGGTGGGGCAGGGGGAGATAAGAGTGTCTACCATCTTAAGATTTTTGTTACCTTAATATAAGTGTTTTATTACAACAAGTAAGGCAGAGACCATCTCCATCCATTCCCTCTTACACTGCCTTTCTTTCTGGACTGTTTTTAAAAATAGTTTTAAGGCCAGGTACAGTGTCTCAAGCCTATAATCCCAGCACTGATTTCAAGACCAGCCTGGGCAACATAGTGAGACCCTGTCTCTACAAACAAACAAAAAAAACAAAACAAAAAAACAAAACTAAAGTTGAAAAAAAAAGTTTCATTTAAAATTTTCTCTAAAGCCCAGAATACCTAAATAAACAATAAACCAAAAAATCTACACAGTAAACCTTCTCCACAGAAGTTTCAATGAAATCTGGCTATGTACCTTCAGAACAGCAAAAATCAAATTAAAAGTTTCAATGAACTCGACTAGCAGTCTGGCTGAATTTTCTGATCCTTTTAGCCTAAAAGTATAAATAGCCTACATTTTCATCGCAAGCTGACACTGCTTACATTGTCAAAGGAAAGTTTTGGTACAGTAATACTAATCTTTTTAACACTGCCATAAAAGAATCAAAAAATGCTACTATTATACACTACAGAGAAAACTACAGATTATTGAATACAAACATGAAAATGTATTCATCATAGTAAAGTTCCACCACATTTTTTGTTTAAAAAGAAAAAAAATCTCCAACTTTCTATTTTATACCATTCATCTACCCTTTTAATACCACAACCCCGAAATCTTTCATCAAACAATTATGAAGATACAGCATCCTGTTTACAGGGATTATTTTGTCATCCTTCCTAGCATAACAAATGGAATTTGCTAGTTATCTAAATTTTTCAATATCTGTTCAATATTCTTTCAGTAATACTTACTTTCAAACTGCTGGTCAGGACCTATTAACAAATGATAAGATCAGTCACAATTGGCATTATTTAATGGAATTTAAAAAAACTAGAAAATCACAAAAGAAAAAACTAGTGCGCCACAGGTATATAAAATTTGTTACATATACATGAAAATGAAAAGACTGTGTAAAATATCCTTCTCACTACAGGTCACAATCAACAGTTTAAAAGTCACTGCCCTAAATAAGAGATTTATACTCAGCCACATGCAGTTTAAATTTTTACCACATGATGGGGCTAAAGTTCTACACATCTCAAAACTACTGCCATACAGTTCTGAAAACATTTTTACCCTTAATTCAAATCTTCATGTCATCTTTTCAAACAAAAAATAAATACTGCCGTTTAAGTAGAGAATGCAATACTAATTAATGTCTGTTCCAATTACTCAGAACAATATTAAAAAGAGAAACGATGTGGGTAAACAAAAGTCTATGGCAGAAAACAAGAGGTTAATTACAAATAGAATTCATAAATGATGATTCTGAGAAAGAATAAGACAGAAAAGGTACAATAAAAGTATCACTAGAAAGTATTGTGTTTGTCAAAACCACTTTGGGCAAAGAAACAAATCTCAAATACTGCTAGTTAAGAGTTCAAATTGGGCGGGGTGCAGTGGCTCGTGCCTGTAATCCTAGCACTATGAGAGGCCGAGTCAGGTTGATCACCTGAGGTCAGGAGTTCAAGACCAGCCTGGACAATATGATGAAACCCCATCTCTACTAAAAATACAAAAATCAGCTGGGTGTGATAGCAGGAACCTGTAATCCCAACTACTCAGGAGGCTGAGGCAGGAGAATCGTTTGAACCTGGGGGGCAGAGGTTACAGTGAGCAGAGATCACACCACTGCATTCCAGCTTGGGCGACAGAGCGAGACTCCATCTCAAAAAAAAAAAAAAAAAGTTTAAATTGTCAACTATTTTCTAAAGCTAATTTTTAATTAGAAGAATTCAGAATTTAGAACTGGTGTTCCAAATTCTAAGAGTAAAATCATCATCATTATGAGGGCCTATATAAATTAATCAAGAGTCAGGTCCAAAAAGCATTGAGAATTTCAACGCACGTTAACAATTATCAGCCAGGCTCAATGGCTCACATCTGTAATCACACTTTGGGAGGCCAAGGCAGAAGCATCTCCTGAGCTCAGTAGTTCAAGACCAGCCTGGGCAAGATAGTGAGACCCTGTCTCTATTTTTTTTTTAATTTTTTAAATTACCAATCTTAACTTCAAGTTAACATTTAAATGAAGACAAGTATTTACAAGCTTTTTTTAATGTTTTGTGTATCTTTCCAGATTTTTTTTTTTTTTTTGAGACAGGGTCTCACTCTTGTTGCCCAGGCTGAAGTGCAATGACACGATCTCAGCTCACTACAACCTCTGCCTCCCAGGTTCAAGCGATTCTCCTGCTCAGCCTCCCGAGTAGCTAGGATTACAGGCACGCGCCACCAAGCCCAGCTAGTTTTGTACTTTTAGTAGAGACAGGGTTTTTCCACGTTGGTCCAGCTGGTCTCGAACTCCCAACCTCAGGTGATCCCCCTGCTTCGGCCTCCCAAAGTGCTGGGATTACAGGCATGAGCCACCGCACCCGGCCCAGATGCTAATTTTTATTACTGTGCTTTATGTTAGCTATGAAATCACTTAAAAATTACAAGAAGTCTTACATTTATTTCAGAGAAAATGACAAAAGAGGAAAGCAGGAAACCCATATGCATCCAGGCAGGACTGGGGAAAATGCTGACTTAAAAGACAAACAAGAGCAGCTCGGTACAGGGGAATTCCAGGGACCCACACACGAATGAGAAGGTGGCAAAAGTCAATAACAAGAATTGATTTCAGTGGCTTAATCAACAGAGGTCTCCATTCCCCAACAATTTCAAGTACCTTTTTTTTTAAATTTTAATTATTTGTTTTTTGTGTGTGTGGTTTTGTTGTTTTTTTTTTTGTTTGTTTGTTTTTGGTTTTTTTTTTTTTTTTTTTTTTTTTTTTGAGACAGAGTCTCGCTCTGTCACCCAGGCTGGAGTTCAGTGGCGGGATCTGGGCTCACTGCAACCTCTGCCTCCCGGGTTCAAGCAATTCTCCTGCCTCAGCCTCCCGAGTAGCTGGGACCACAGGCATGTGCCACCATACCCGGCTAATTTTTGTATTTTTAGTAGAAACGGGGTTTCACCATGTTGGCCAGGCTGGTCTTGAACTCCTGACCTCAGGTGATCCACCAGCCTTGGCCTCCTAAAGTGCTGGGATTACAGACGTGAGTCACCACGCCCGGCCTCAAATCCCTTTTTTACAGTCTATGAATTTTTACTCATTTTACAGAATTCCAAAATGAGTCCTATGGAAAGATCACAGAATAGGAGATACATCCTGGATTCTAATCTAGGCTCACACTAATCAGCTATGTGAAAACAATTCAGTTAACCTTCCAAAATCTGTATAAGGTTTAGATGATCACTAAGATCCATCTTCAAACCCTAAAATTATATTCTATAGGAGAATTTTATAACTTAAGTGTATCTTTTTCAACACATATGGCCAAAATTTATTAGGACCTGGTAAGTCCTTATGGGAGAACAAAATGCCAAATTATAAAATTGATTCTGGCTCGAGCGTGGTGGCTCACGCCTGTTATCCCAGCACACTGGGAGGTAGAGGCAGGCGGATCACTTGAGGTGAAATCAAGTTATCAAGTCCCTGTGATAACTCAAGTTTATGTTAATAGTCACTTAGACTGGGGCCCCCAACAGTCTCAGCACAGGGCCAGTAACAGGAAAAATCAAGTGATTAGAGGGTATGAACTTTCAGCCCCACCACCCATAGACCAATTGCTGAACACATGAAAGTGCTGGGAGGGTAGTACACCCAGACAGGGCATGGAAGCTCCACACACCACACCACCTCCCCTCACCTAATACCTCACCATTATCAATCTATTCACCTGTATCCTTTATAATAAAATCAGCAAATGTGTTTCCCTGAATTCTTTGAGCCATCCCAACAAATTGTTCAGACCCAATGGGGGTGGTTGCAGAAATCCTGGTTTGTAACCAGTGAGGAGTACTGGTGACTGGGACTGGCTATTGGCATCTGAAGTGAAAGCAGTCTTGTGGGACTGAACATTTAACCTGTGGGATCTGACCCTATCCCAAGCAGACAGTGTCAGAACTGAAATGAATTATAGGATACCCAGGTAGTGTCTGCTGGAGAACTGCTTTGAGGGGGAGAATCCAAATTATGTGGTTATAGAAGTGTTCTGTGTTGAGAGTAGAGAGGAAAAAAAGTGGGGTTTTTTTGTTTTTTTTTCTTTTACACAGGTCTTATAGTCTAGAAAAGTCAAAACACCTATAGGAATTACTTTAAATCAAAATGAACACAGCTTGCCTGAACCAAAAGTATAAATTACTATAAAAAATTTCATAAGTGAAAAGAAATTAACTAGTATTTATGAGAAAGATATTTTTAAATAAACTCTTAATCTGTGTGAAAATTTTCATTTATTTAATTTACTTTTGTAGAGAGGCAGGGTTTCACCATGTTGCCCAGGCTGTTCTCAAACTCCTGGCCTCAAGAGATTCTCCAGCCTCAGCCTCCCATAGTACTGGGATTATAGGTGTGAGCCACCATATCTGACCCAAGAGAGTCAATATGCTTTTTCTGAAAATGGTCATATTCTTAATCATACTGGCTCTTTGCATTCGCATTGTCTCATTATTTAGAGGCAAATATCTAGACAGTTACAGGTAGATCTTTGACCACTTGTAGTTGTGTTTTTTTGTGTTTTTTGTTTGTTTGTTTTGAGACAGTATTTCACTCTTCTTGCCCAGGCTGGAGTGCAATGGCACAATCTCGGCTCACCACAACCTCCACCCTCCCGGTTAAAGCGATTCTCCAGCCTCAGCCTCCCAAGTAGCTGGGATTAAGGTATGCACCACCACACCGGGATAATTTTGTATTTTTAGTAGAGACGGGGTTTCTCCATGTTGGTCAGGCTGGTCTCAAACTCCTGACCTCAGGTGATCCGCCCGCCTCGGCCTCCCAAAGTGCTGGGATTATAGGCGTGAGCCACCGCACCCAGGCAGTAGTTGTTTTATGTTTACACACTAGATCATGCTGGAGGGAAGGCCCATCAAAAAGCTCCCCTAACAAAATAACTTGACCAAAAAAATTGTATTACAACTTTTTATCAGAATACGCCGCTATTTTCCACTTTGCAGACTATTAAAGAAATCACTAGTGGCATATAATCTATCAAAAAAGTCCATTTCTAGCATCTGCTTCAAAAATTTATTCTTAGCACATCTTAAAAATAGACAATTTTAATAATTTGCACTCTCCTTGAATGTCTGTAAATGTACCTGTAAAAAACTATTCTATTTTTATTTATATAAGTTAAATCAACATTCCTTAGTGAGTCCTAATATATAACGATATTGCAAAATTCACATTCCTGAAATTGTAGTCATGAGCCATTCGAGTCTTATTTATATGAAAAAAAAAAAGCGTTCCAGATATATGAAAAGGCTTTGAAAAAATGTTCATAAGGAGAAAGTAAAGCAGGTTATCAGAAGAATAGTACAGAAACACGAAGTTTTCAGATTTTCTTAAATAAATGTTTCTTCATTTGCTATGTGCCCTTAGAATAATTTTCAGACTTTTAGTGTTTTTTGTTTTGTTTTGTTTTTGAGACAGAGTCTCACTCCTTCACCCAGGCTGGACTGCAGTGGCACGATCTCGGCTCCCTGCAACCTCTACCTCCCGGGTTCAAGTGATTCTCATGCCACCGCACCTAGCTAATTTTTGTATTTTTAGTAGAGACGGGGTTTGGGCCATGTTAGCTAGGCTGGTCTCGAATTCTTGACCTCAAGTGATCTGCCCACCTGTGCCTCCCAAAGTGCTGGGATTACAGGTGTGAGCCACCACGCCCGACCACGGTGTTTTGTTTTTTAATCGTTTTCCCCAGTTATACTTGTTCAGACTAAAACTCAATTGCAAGAGTCTGCAGCACTTGAGCTACAACCAGCTACCCTCCCCACATCCAATCTGGGCAGCTGTAATCAAGAAGACAGGTTTCTTCCCCTCTCTCATCTTCTAAACAAGGGGGGTACACCTTACTGGGAGAGGCAGACTGCCAACATTTCTCACCCTCTCCAATTCCAACTGAAGAAGTTAAATTTCTGGTAACTACAGTCGAGAACTCTGGAGCTCCTTTATTCCACCCAACCCCCACTCACAGAATGAAGGCTCTACCCCAGGTTCATCAGCCCAAGAACACTGAGGCCCTAATTGCTCTTGCTCCAGCTATCTAATAGGGCAGTAGTTTCACACTGGAAAAACTCAGATTCAGGCTATTGCTCCACCTAGCGCGTGGAGTAATGACTCAAAGATTTTGCCAAGGGTAAGAAGCAGTCTCTCAAAGGAAATAACTTTATTCAAACACTAACAGCCCTCTCAGAAACAATGGAGATACTGGTAGTGAGAAAATAAGAGGCTCCTCTCCATGAAGAGCAATAAGCTGAATAAGCAATAAGTAGTTTCACACTGGAAAAACTTAGAAGATTCAGGCTATTGCTCCACCTAGCACGTGGAGTAATGACTCAAAGATTTTGCCAAGGGTAAGAAGCAGTCTCTCAAAGGAACTAACTTTATTCAAACACTAACAGCCCTCTCAGAAACAATGGAGATACTGGTAGTAAGAAAATAAGTAGCTCCTCTGCATGAAGAGCAATAAGCTGAATCACAGGCCAGCTAGTTCTGAATGAACCTGAGAAAGAGATACGTAAGGAGAGCCCTACTAGGGTCAGAACCAACCTCAGGAGACTGGGCCTCAAAACTACACCTGCCATAACTAAATTGGATCAGAGCATGGATCAAATTTAGGCCCTTCAGGCATTAATGAAAACAATAGAGCAATCAGCTGGGAATTAATGGAGCCTAACGGATGGGTTTGATATCAAATGAGGCAAACAGCTTTACAGAAAGATGGGGAAAGACACAGAAAACTCAGATAAATCACCCTCATCCCAAAGTGACTGTGCACAAACCCTTTACTCTGCACCTCAATCATTTTACTTTCCCTCATAAAGGAGATCAATATTTAAAATGAGTACAGCAGGGACTAAGAATAATTCTAAATCACCACATTCATGGAATTATGAACAAATTAGATAATGTTCAGCAAAGCACTCTGCAAACTGAAGTACATCATGTATGGTGGATATCATTAACAAGTCAATCCATGTAAGAGTAAAAAACAGTATAGAAAAAGGTAAGATGCTCTGTTCAAAGTATATGACTGGTAAGAATTAAAATTTGTGAAACTCTGATTACTACAAAAGACAACTTTGAAATAAATGGCTTAGTGTACGCTGATGGTGTAATAAAAACTGACTTGTTAACTAATAGAACAGGCTGGGCACGGTGGCGCATGCCTGTAATCCCAGCACTTTGGGAGACTGAGGCGGGCAGATCACTTAACGTCAGGCGTTAGAGACCAGCCTAGCCAACATGGCAAAACCTCACCTCTACTATTAATAAAAATACAAAAATTAGTCAGGCATGGTGACCCACACCTGTAATCCCAAATACTCAGGAGAATGAGGCAGAAGAATCGCTTGAACCCAGGAGGTGTAGGCTACAATAAGCCAAGATCATGCCACTGCAATCCAGCCTAGGCGACAGAGCAAAGCTCTGTCTCAAAAAAAAAATTTTAATAGAGCCAACAAATTAAATAACTTAGATGTTAATATAAATGTTTTGGGTTTTTGTTTTTGTTTTGTTTTGTTTTGAGACAGTTTCGCTCTTGTTGCCCAGGCTGGAGTGCAATGGCGCGACCTCAGCTCACCACAACCTCTGCCTCCCAGATTCAAGTGATTCTCCCACCTCAGCCTCTTGAATAGCTGGGAATACAGGCATGCACCACCACGCCTGGCTAATTTTGTATCTGTAGTAGAGACAGGGTTTCTCCATGTTGGTCAGGCTGGTCTTCAACTCCTGACCTCAGGTGATCCACCCACCTCAGCCTCCCAAAGTGCTGAGATTACAGGGGTGAGCCACCGCGCCCAGCCACAAATGTACTTCTCTGCAAAGATATTATTACTCCTCCATGACTTAATTACATTTGTGTAAAAAATGAATGCAAGAGAAGCAGACAGAAAGAAAGATGCAGAAAGAGTACCTTTGTTGATGATGGTGGAGTAGGGAAATTAAGCCAGGCTGGAGCAAAGTCATGCTGCGCCATTTAGGTCCAGTCTCTCCAACTCAGTGAAACAAGGCTTCAACACCTCATGGCAAGTCCCTGTCACATAAAAATGGAAGGAATTAGACCTGCAGCTCCTGGCCAAAAATTAGCGCCTTTATATTACAATGATCTTACTACTTACTACTATAGGATTCTATTTATAATGAAAATCTAGAAAAGACAAAACTATAGAGATAGAAAATAGATCAACTTGGAAGGGGGATGACTGCAAGAAAGAAGAGGGAATTTTCTGGGTAACTGAGTATTATCTTGATTGCGGTGGTTATTACAACTGTACACATTTGTCAAACCTCAAATTATAAACTTAAAACTGGTTTTTTCATAAAGTATACCTCAGTATAGCTTTTATTAAAAAGTCAAATAGACAACTAGACATCAAATGTTTCCTGATATAACCCAAAATGAAATACAGAGTACCATCTATGATGTAGTCTTGTGCCCACCTAAAATAAAATTTGAAATCTGATTTAACTACCAATTAGCAGTACATTCAAGATGGAGAACAAGTTAAAGGACATCTGGGGGAAGTGATAATCTAAAGGTTAAATGAACTGGTTTCTACGACAAATAGTGGCTTTTAATGGGCAGATGAACTAAGAATCCTTTATGTGAACAAATCAATCTTAAAAAAAAAAAAAGAAAATTATGAAACAATCAGAACTTTGAACATAAGCTGGATATTATTAAATGGCACTAAGGAATAATCACTTTAGATGTGATAATGGTGTGGTGGTTATGATGTTTTAGAAGGAAGACACCGGCCAAGTGCAGTGGCTCATGCCTGTCATCCCAGCACTTTGGGAGGCCGAGGAGGGCAGATCACCTGAAGTCAGGAGTTCGAGACCAGCCTAGCCAACATGGTGAAACCCCATCTCTACTAAAATAAAAAATTAGCTGGGCATGGTGGTGGGTGCCTAAATCCCAGCTACTTGAGAGGCTGAGGCGGGAAAATCACTTGAACCTGGGAGACAGAGGTTGCAGTAAGCCAAGATCACGCCACTGCACTCCAGCCTGGGCAAAAGAGCAAGGCTCCCTCTGAAAAAAATAATAAAAAAAAAGACATATACTCAAATCTTTACAACTAAATTGATGATACATCTGGACTGTTCTAAAATAAACCAGGGAATGGTCCCGGCATTGTGGCTCACGCGTATAATCCCATCACTTTGAGGGAGGGGGCTGAGGCAGACAGGTGGATCACTTGAGGTCAGGAGTTTAAGACCAGCCTGGCCAGCATAGTGAAACCCTGTCTCTACCAAAAATACAAAAAAAATTAGCTAGGTGTGGTGGTGTGCGCCTGTAATCCCAGCTACTCAGGAGGCTGAGGCAAGAGAATTGCTTGAACCCAGGAGATGGAGATTGCAGTGAGCCGAAATAGAGCCACTGCACTCCAGCCTGTGCAACAAGAGCAAAACTCCGTCTCAAAAAAAAAAAAAAGAAAAAAAGAAAAAGAAAAGAAAGGTTAAGAGTAACCAGATATAAAAAACAAATACAACTAGTTAAAACTGGCAATGTAAGTGAAAATGTTTAAATGCTCAATATGGGCTTAGGGAGAAAAACTCTGATACAACTTGAAAACCTTAAGAGGAATTCCAATAAAACACTCATGAAACAAAATACAGGTTTTAAGACTATGTCTAACCAAAATATACTGCACATCACAAAAATTCAGGTATTCAGAGTCCTATTTATTTCTATTGGCATTAAATGTCAAAGTCTTGTGGAGTAACAATGAAAACTAAGGTGTCTGAAAATTTATAAAAGATTTTCATCTTTTAACATGAAGTTAAATACTAAACGGTGCTTTAGTATTTTAGTATTTAGTATTTAGTATTTACACACTTTTCCAACAACTTCCTGGCCAGAAACTTCAGAGAACTTAACCAAAAATGGGCTGGAATCATGTATAATCCCAACACTTTGGGAGGCTGGGGTGGGTGGATCACAAGGTCAGGAGTTCGAGATCGGCCTGGCCAAAATGGTGAAACCCCATAAAAATACAAAAATTAGCAGGGCACGGTGGTGGGCACCTGTAATCCCAGCTTCTCAGGGGGCTGACGCAGGAAAATCGCTTGAACCTGGGAAGTGGAGGTTGCAGTGAGCCGAGATCGCGCCACTGCCCTCTAGCCTGGATGACAGAGGAAGACTCTGTCTCAAAAAAAAAATTTTTTTTTAATTAAAATTGGTAACAAATTTTCAAAAAGGCATATCATACAAAATGGTAAAAAGTTACGTAATGGCCGAGCACGACGGCTCACGCCTGTAATCCCAGCACTTTGGGAGGCCGAGGTGGGCAGATCACCTGAGGTTGGGAGTTTGACCAACAAGGAGAAACCTCGTCTCTACTAAAAATACAAAATTAGCCGGGCGTGGTGGTGCATGCCTGTAATCCCAGCTACTCAGGAGGCTGAGGCAGGAGAATT
The DNA here is from genome assembly GCF_000001405.40 of Homo sapiens. Lineage (NCBI taxonomy): Eukaryota > Metazoa > Chordata > Mammalia > Primates > Hominidae > Homo > Homo sapiens. Next base: position 57,211,686 of record NC_000005.10, on the reverse strand, counting down.
GCTTGAACCCGGGAGGCGGAGGTTGCAGTGAGCAGAGATCGCGCCATTGCACTCCAGCCTGGGCAAGGAGGAAACTCCATCTCCAACAACAACAACAACAACAACAACAAAATCCCCGGAGGCAAACCACTAAAATCACCTATTCATTTCTGCAATGTCTTTATATTAACTTTAATTTAAATCTAGTTCTTAAAGTATGGGCCTGGTGTGGAGGCTCACACCTGTAATCCCAGCACTCTGGGAAGTGAAGTGGGAGGCTCCCTTGAGCCCAGGAGATTGAGGCCGGCCTTGGCAACATGGTAAGACTCCCGTCTCTACAAAAAATTTTAAAAACCGGCTGAGTGTGGTGGTCCATGCCTGTAGTCCCAGCTACTACGGAGACTGAGGGAAGAAGACTGCTTGAGACCAGAAGTTTGAGGCTGCAGTGAGCTATGACGCCACTGTACTCCAGCCCAGGTGACAGAGAAGATCCTATCTCAAAAAAAGAAGTTAACTCATGTTCTGAAAAAAGATTTAAAAAAAAAAAAAGGCAGTATTGTTATGGCTATGGCAGTTACACAAGTATATAAAGGCTAATTAAAGTTTCACAAGTTCCACACCACTCATCTTAACTGCATTGTGCCATCTGATTTTGTCTCTTCTTCCTTTCCCTGTGTATGTTATGGGTTGAACTGTGTCCCCCCAACCAACAAGATTTGTATGTTGAAGTCATAGCCCCCAATACCTCAAATGTAGCAATATTTGAAGATAAGGTCTTTAAAGAAGTGATTAACTGCAAATGAGGCAATTAGAGTGGGTTCTATTCCCATCAGACTGTGCCCTTATAAGAAATTTGGACACATGCACAGATAAAAGGACCATGTGAAGAGGCAGCAAGCAGGCAGTCATTTACAAGCCAAAGAGAGAGGTCTCAGAGGCAACCAACCCTCTGCTGATGCCTCTACCCTGAACTTAGAACCTCCAAAACTGAGAAAATAAATGTCTGTTGTTTAAGCCACCCAGTCTGTGGTATTTGGTTATGGCAGCCCTAGTAAACTACAAACAACTTTAGAAATAGACCAACTAAAATGTTTATGTATTAAATATTTCCTTTACACATACACAACAACCAGGTACATACAGGAGACAACTACCCTCCCCCTCAAAAAAGGCAAATCAACAGTCCTACTAACAACTCAGGAGTCAGGATTCCACAGCTTATTAGAAATCTTCTACTGGCCCCCCAATACTAAATTTGACTGGCTTAAAAAAATTTTTTTTAAGAAATCTACTGGATTCTGTCATATCTGAAGGTCCCATGTGGACATAAAGAGTTTAAGATACACAAATACTGCTAGTATGAAAACCCTAATTTTTTTCTCTGTCACCCAATTTACAATTTATTCACGACATCCATGAAGAATAAAAATTTCCCCGGGAGAAAGCTGGTTCTGAAAAAAATAAAACCTAAGTGTACATCTTTAAGTGCACATGCCTGACTTTTAATTTTTAAAAAAAGATTATTCTTCAGACTGAAAAAGAATACACTTTGGCAAAAAATACAAATAGATGAGACTTTTTTCTCTTTCTTGTTATGTTTTATTTCTGACCCTACCAAATTTGTGCCACGTTTTCAAAGAAAAACTTACTCAAATTGATTTCATCAGAATAACAAACTTACTGTCTTTATAATGATTTCAGAAAACTTTAAAATAAGCTTTAAAATCACAAAGACCATCAAAAACACCCAAAATCAACCAATAGCTAAGGAATTCTAACTACAACCAAAGTACTGAGTAAAAATCCTCAATGAAATACCAGTAAACCAAATCTAGCAGCATATTAAAAGGATTAAACACCATACAAAGTAGTATTTTCCCAGGAATGCAAGAGTGACTCAACATACAAAAATCAATCAATAATACACCACATTAATAACATGAAAGAAAAATACCAAACGATCATCTTAATTGATGCAGAAAAAGCATTTGACAAAATCTAGCACCCTTTAATTATAAAAATACTCAACAAACTAGAAACAAGAAGGAAACTTGCTCAACCTGATAAACAGCATCTATTAAAAAAAACCACAGCACATCATCCTCAATGGTGAAAGACTGAAAGCTTTCCCCTTAAGATCAGGAACAAGACAAGAATGCCCTGCTTTCACAAGCTCTATTCAACACTGTAGTAGACGTTCTAACCATAGCAACTAGGCAAGAAAAGAAATGAAAGGCATCCTGAGCCACCACAGTGCAAAGCACCTGTAGTCCCAGATACTTGGGAGCCTGGGAAGGGAGAAGTGCTAGAGCCCCACAGTTTGAGGCTGTAGAGTGCTATAATGGCACCTGTGAAAAGCACTACACTCCAGCCTGGGGAACATAGTGAGACAGTGTCGTATTTTTTTAAATGGCATCCAAATTGGGAAGGAAAAAGTAAAATTATTCCTATTCACAGATTACATGATCTTACATAAATTCTAAAGAGTCCAGAAAAAATATGTATTAGAGCTAATTAAATTCAGGAACGCTGCCAAGATAGAAGATCAACACACAAAAACAGCTGTTTGTGTATACACTATTAACAATCCAAAAAAGAAATTAGGAAAACAACTCAATTCGCAGTAAAATCCAAAAGCATAAAATACCTATAATAAATAAATATAACCAAGAAAATGTTAAGACTTGCACACCAAAAACTATTAAGACAGTGCTGAAAGAAATGTTAAAAGACCTAAACAGAAAGACATCCCTGGCCCAGCACAGTGGCTCAAGCCTGTAATCCCAGCACTTTGGGAGGCCCAGGCAGGTGGATCACATGAGGTCAAGAGTTTGAGACCAGGCTGGCCAACATGGTGAAACCCCATCTCTGCTAAAATAAAGTATTAGCTGGGCATGGAGGCAGGCACCTGTAATCCCAGCTACTTGGAAGGCTGAGGTAGGAGAATCGCTTGAACCCAGGAGGCAGAGGTTGCAGTGAGCCGAGATCACGCCATTGCACTCCAGCCTGGACGACGGGGTGAGACTCTGTCTCAAAAAAAAAAAAAAAAAAAGAAAAACAAAAGACAGATATCCCTGTGTTTGAGGACTGGGAAACTCAACACTGTTAAGACAACAACACTACCCAAACATGATCTACAGATTCAACGTAATCTCTATTAAAATTCCAACACCCGGCCAGGCTACAGTGGTTCACGCCTATAATCCCAGCACTGTGGGAGGACAAGGTGAGCAGATCACTTGAGCTCAGTGGCTCAGGACCAGCCTGGGCAACATGGTGAACCCCGTCCCTACTAAAAATAAAAAAATCAGCCAGGCATGGTGGCTCGTACCTGTGGTCCCAGCTACTTGGGACACTGAGGCGGAAGGATTGCTTGAGCCCGGGAAGTGGAGGTTGCAGTGAGCCAAGATCACACCACTGCACTCCAGCCTGAGCAACAAAATGAGACTCTATTGATATGGAGGGAGGCAAGGAAGTGCTGGGAAGAAAAGGGCATGGTCCCTGGCTAGGGCTCCAATCCCCTGAGAAAGAGTAAGACCCTACTGATACAGAAGTGTGCAGGCAAGCGCTGGGAAGGGAAGGGCATGGTCCCTCGCGAGGGCTCCATCCCCGGTTCTGTGCCCACGGATCTAGGTGAGGACAGGCATTTCTGTTTTCCTGACCAAATGATGCATTTCCCAAGACCACTCTGCCAGTCACACCCCCATCGTGTGCCTATAAAACCCTCAGAGACTCTAGTAGGCAGAGACACAAGTGGCTGGACGTCATCGAGAGGGACATATCGGCGGAAGAACACACAAATAGCTGGATGTCCAGGGAAGCATGCCAGTGGAATACCACACTGACAGAAAGCAGGCTGGCAGGCCATCGACCAAAGAAGGGCATGAAGTTTGGCTGGGTTTGGCTGGTGCGGTCAGAGGAGAGCCCAGGTCACTGAGCTGCAGGACTCCAGGGGAAAACACCCTCCCACTCCATCTCCCTCCTGGCTTCCCATCCATCTGCTGGAAACTTCCACTCAATAAAACCTTGCACTCGTTCTCCAAGCCCACGTGTGATCTGATTCTTCCCATACACCAAGGCAAAAAAGCCCTCTGTCCTTGCGATAAGGCAGGGCATCTAACTGAGCTAACACAAGCCGCCTATGGATGGCTAGACTAAAAGGGCACCCTGTAACACATGCCCACTGGGGCTTCAGGAGCTGTAAACATTCACCCCTAGGTGCTGCCGTGGGGTCGGAGTCCCACAGCCTGCCCTGTCTGCATGCTCTCCCTAGAGATTTGAGCAGTGGGGTGCCAAAGAAGCAAGGCACACCCCCATCACATGCCCTGCAAAGGGGATAAGAGAACCTTTCACTAAGTTTCACTATTTCAAAAAAGAAAAAAAATCCAACACTCTCTTTTGTACAGAAATAAAAAAGGCTATTCTCAATTTCCTTTGGAAGTGCGAGGGGCCCTAAACATCCAAAAACAATTCAGAAAAAGAATAAAGTTACAGAACTCACACTTCCCTATTTCAAAACTTACTGTAAAGTAACAGTGAGCTGGCCATTTGTAGATCTTCTTAGGAAAAATATTCAAGTCCTTTGCCCATTTTGATTATTTTTCGAGACAAAGTCTCACTCTATCACCCAGGCTGGAGTACAGTGGCACTACCATGACTCAATGCAGCCTCCACCACCTGGGTGCAAACGACCCTACCACCTCATCCTCCCAAGTGGCTGGGAATATAGGCATGCCCCACCACACCAAGCTAATTTTAAAAATATTTTTCGTAGAGATGGGGTCTACGTTGCCCAGGTTGGTCTCAAACTCCTGGAATCAAGCAATCCTCGCACCTTGGCCATAGTGATCAAAACTGTAGTATGGCCTAAGAACAGACATATAAACCAGAAATAAGCCCACACATTTATATCCAAGTTATTTTCAACAAGAGTGCTAAGATGATTCAATACGGAATTGTCTTTTCAAAAAAACAGACTGGACAACTAAATAGCCATTGGACCCCCCTACCCAAACCATATACAAAAATAAACTCAGCTGGGTGCAGTAGCTCACGCCTGTAATTCCAGCACTTTGGGAGGCCAAGGCAGGTGGATCGCTTGAGGTCAGGAGTCCGAGACCAGCCTGGCCAACATGGCAAAACCCAACATGGCATCGTTGTAGGTGCCTGTAATCCCAGTTACTTGGGAGGCTGAGGCAGGACAATAGCTTGAACCCAGGAGGCAGAGGTGGCAGTGAGCCGGGATCGCGCTACTACACTCCAGCCTGGGCAACAGAGCAAGATTCTGTCTCAAAAATAAATAAATAAAATAAACTCAAAATAAATCACAGACCTAAATATAAAAGCAAAAACTATAAAACTCTTAGAAGAAAACAGGGAGATAAAGCTTCCTGACCTTGGATTTGGCAATGAATTCTTAAATATGACACCAAAACCAAGAGTAACAATTAAAAAAAGAAAACAAAAACTGAACTTCATGAAAATTTAAAACATGTGCAAAAAATATTATCTATAAAGTAAAAAGACAACTGACAGAAGAAAATATATGCACCTCATATCTAATAAGGTCTAGTATCCAGAATATATAAAGAACTCTTACAACTCAACAACAAACAGACAACTCAATTTTAAAATGTACAAAGGGCCAAATGCAATGGCTTGTGCCTGTAATCCCAGCACTCTAGGAGGCCAAGGCAGGAGGATCACTTGACCCAGGAGTTTGAGACTAACCTGGGCAACACAGTGAGTCCCTATCTCTACAAAAAAATGTTTAAAACTTAGCCAGGTGTGGTGAGGCACACCTGTATTCCCAGCCACTCAGGAGGCTGAGGTGGGAGGATCGCCTGTGACCAGGAGGTGGGTACTGCAGTGAGCCTTGATAGTGCCAGTGCACTATAGCCTGAGTAGCAGAACAAGATCCTGTCTCAAAAAATATATAAATAAAATAAATAATAAAATAAAAATGGGCAAAGCACTTGAATATTTTCCCAAGAAGATAAACAACTGGCCAATAACCACATAAAATATACTCAGTATCATTAGGGAAATGCAAATCAAAACCACAATGAAATACTACTTCGCTCCCACTAGAATGGCTATAATCAAAATATGAAAAAAAAAAAAAAGAGGAAATAAATGTTAGCAAAGATGTGGAAAAACCAGAACCCTTATATATTGCTGGTGTGAAGGTAAAAGGGTTCAACAACTGTAGAAGTTTGGCAATTCCTTAAAAAGTCAAACACGCAATTACCACATGACTCAGAAATACCATTGCTAGGTATATACACAGAAGAATTGAGAAAGGATGCTCAAATTGTTGTACACCAGTGTTCAAAACAGCACTATTCACAGTAGCCAAAAGGTAGAAACACCCCAAATGTCCATCAATAGACAAAAGAAAATGTGGCATACACAATGAAATCGTAACGATAAAAAGGAATGAATTACTAACACATGCTGAGTATAAACGTCAAAAACAAAGAGAAGCCAGACACAAAAGATCACGTTGTATGCCTCAAGTTATAAGAGGTATTCATAAGAGGTAAATTCATAGAGAAAAAAAGCAAACTGGTGTTACTAGAGACTGTTGGGAGGGTGGAATGCGGGTGACTGCTTAGAGACAGTTTTCTTTTGGGGTGATGAAAACATTCTGGAACTTGATAGAGGTGGAGGCTTGAAAACACTATGAATGTACTAAATGCCAATGAATTGTATGCTTTAAGTGATTAACTTTATGTGATGTTATTTTTACTTTAATAAAAGTAAGTAGAGTACTATATTATAATCTCTTGAATAAATTAAAAAACATAAATCCAGATAAATATAAATAAATGTATGTAAATTTAGGAAACAGGTTATTCTATAATTTCTAAGTACCTCATTCCCCCAAAAAATTAATTGCAGCTTTGCAGTGAAATAGCCTGGCAAATGCACCCTTAATCAACAAATTAAAGTGAACAACATCAGTAACAGGTCAAACTGATATTGTGTGCCTGAACAAAACAAGCACCACTTCTGTAATATTCTAGACCAAAGGTAAATAACCTGAATCTAAACAAGAGAAAAGCCAAACCTGAGAGACACTAACATAACTGACCCAAAATTTTCAGAAGTGTCAGGTTTAAATTCAAGGAAAGTAATTTTTAAAAATCAATCAAGCCAGGCAAAGTGGCTCATGCCTATAATCCCAGCACTTTGGGAGGCCCAGGTCGGGGTATCGCCCGAATCCAGGAGTTTGAGACCAGCCTGGTCAACGTGGCAAAATCCGATCTCTATCAAAAAAATACAAATATTAGCCAGGTGTGGTGGTGCAGGCCTGTTGTCCCAGCTACTCAGGAGGCTGGGGCAAGAGGATGGTTTGGGCCTGGGAGGTGGAGGTTGTAGTAAGCCAAGATTGAGCCACTGTACTCCAGCCTGGGCGACAGAGCCAGACTGACCAAAAAAAAACAAGACAAAACAAAAAAAACAAGCTGTAAAACATGTTTATTCTATTTTTGAGTTACGTGTTTAACTTTTAAAAACTATGACATTTTTATTCCACTGAATTGTTTGCTTCAGTTTTAACATAATTAACGAAACTTTATTAATATTTAGTAGACATCTACTGCATGCTAAGTGATCTACAGACTTCCCTTGTTGATTCTGATTCAATGGTACTTAAGCATTGCATAGAAATCTGTTTTTAAATAAATACTAAGAGTTACGGGTCATCAGATAAGGATGGTAAATGCCCTATTATTCAAAGAAGAAAACACCTGTCTAAGGAACATGGCCTCTAAAGGTAGCAAAAATTCTATTGCTTCCCTATTTTTTAGATGTTTGGTCCAGAAAGAAGTATCCAATGTCTTATCTGTTAGTTACCAAGCTATCTGTTTACAGATCACATGATCTGAAACATGAAACTGCATTCATAAATTTTTAAGAAATCTAGGTTATTAGAAAGTCCCAACATTTGAAAACTTCCATTTTAATGTTCCTCTTATCTGAAATTTGTTAGACTCCATCCTCTTCAGTTTACCTCTTAAGCTGTCAGCACCTTTCTATGCTCTTTTTCTTTTTTCTTTGAGACAGAATCTTGCTCTGTCACCAGGCTGGAAGTACAGTGGTACAATCTTGGGTCACTGGAACATCCCACTCCTGGGTTCAAGCAGTTCTCCTGTCTCAGCCTCCCAAGTAGCTGGGATTACACAGGTGTGTAGCACCACATGGGCCTGGCTAAATTTTTTTGTATTTTTAGTAGAGACAGGGTTTTGCCATGTTGCCCAGGCTGGTCTCAAACTCCTGCCCTCAAGTGATCTGCCCGCCTCGGCCTCCCAAAGTATGAGGAGTATAGGTGTGAGCCACAGCGCCATACCCTTTCTATGCTTTACTTACATTTTTATCATAAAAATCAAAACAGGAAGTTACAAAAATTACTCTATTTGTTAAATTATTCCATATGAAAACTGCTATAAATGTATGTAAGTACATACATACATATACATAAATATGGTACATTCAGCCTCCTAAGAAAAATAAGGTTAAAAAAGCATTATATTCTGAAAACAAATGTTTTTAATTCTCAATTTTTGAGACATATTAAAGATACAACACACAAAATATAATTGAACTTCAAAACTTACAACGAACTTACTTAACTTTCATATAAACTTCACTACAAGAAAATAAGCTTTACTCTCCATAAGGTAAACAAATTTCTACTTATTGAGCTTCTCTTTCCTCACAAACTGAATCTGACTGAGTCATCCCTGAAATTTATTCTAACAGCCTATGGAATCCTTTTTTGTTTTAAAGATTGGCAAGTTTTAATTTAGAAATATATTGCAAACAGTATGAACTCATTGGGATAAAATTTAATTTAAATCAACTCATTTATTGAACAGCTATTAATAATATGAGCAATATGGCCTAAGCAACGGAAGATACAAGGCATAAGAGAGGGCATTCCTGCCTCTAACAGCTTACAATCTAATAGCATTAACAAATAACTGTAATGCAATGTTGCTGCCTCAAATCCTCTTAGAAGTGTAGACAAGCAATTTTTTCTCTGAAATACTTACCAAAAAATGTCATCACTTCGAGGGTTCAAATGATAGATAAGCTTTTTAAAAAAAAAATGCTGCTGGGCACGGTGGCTCATGCCTGCAATCCTAGCACTTTTGGAGGCTGAAACAGGCTGATCACTGCAGGTCAGGAGTTCGAGACCAGCCTGGCCAACATGGTGAAACCCTGAGTCTACTAAAAATACAAAAATTAGCCAAGCGTGGTGGCATGCGCCTATAATTCCAGCTACTCAGGACGCTGAGGCAGGTGAATCACTTCAACCTGGGAGGTGAAGCTTGCAGCGAGCCAAGATCAGGCCATTTGCACTCCAGCCTGGTGACAAGAGTGAAACTCCATCTCAAAAAACAAAAACAATGCTGGAGCCAGGCCCACTGGTTCATGCCTACAATCCTAGCACTTTGGGAGGCCAAGGCAGCCCGACTGCTTGGGCCCAGGAGTTTGAGACCAGCCTGGTCAACATGGTGAAACCTCGCCTCTACAAAAACTAGCCGAGCGTAGTGGCATGCACCCGTAGTCCCAGCTACTAGGAAGGCTGAGGTGGGAGGATCACCTGAACCTGGGAAGTCAAGGCTACAGTGAGCAATGATCGCTCCATTACACTCCAGCCTAGGCAACCAAGTGAGACCCCATCTCAAATTAAAAAACAAAGCCAGACTGACTTAAATTTAAAAAACGCAGAATTATGAAAGATTAAAGTAATTTGCCCCTAAGCTACAAGAGCCAATAAATGACAGAAACTAGGTAATGTGAACCCAGGTACCCCCACCTCAAAAGCCCACTTTTTCACTACAGTATCTCTCTCAAACTTTCCCACAGCAATTACTGAATGTTAACAAACCCATTCTCCTGACCCCTCCAAAGACATTTTTCAGAAAGTAACCAAATAACCCGTCTTCAAGACCTGTTTAACAAGTTAATGAAATTTCTGCATTGCACTACAATATCCATGTGTTTTAATATAAAAAAGAATGTTTACTTACTATCAAGTAAAATAACCTTACAGCAAGAGGCCACCTTAGGTGTCGGCTACCCTAGGTGTTTCTTAAGCAATTTGTATAAAAAAACACTGCTGAACTATGTAAAATCCTAGAGATGGCTTAGTTCAACATGGACAAAAATAAGGCTACATGACTATTATATTATCAAAAAGAACTATCTGGCCAGATGCAGTGGCTCACGCCTATAATTCCAGCACTTAGGAGTTCGAGACCAGCCTGGGTGACACAGTGAAACATCATCCCTACTAAAAATTTTTAAAAATTAGGAGACCAATTTGAGTAATAACTCCATCTCCTGTGTGGCATGGGCAGCAATGCATCAATTAAAGTCTTTCTGTACTGGGAAAAAAAAATTAGCTGCACATGGTAGCACACACTTGTAAGTCCCAGTTTCTCAAGAGGCTGAGGCAGAAGGATCACGAGCCTGGGCAACAGAGCAAGGCCCTGACTCAAAAAAAGAGAGAAATACCTAACAATTACCTCATACGATACAGAATTTAACTTTTTAAAAAACAAGGCTCATGGCCGAGCGCAGTGGCTCATGCCTGTAATCCCAGCATTCTGGGAGGCCGAGGAGGGCAGATTACCCGAGATCAGGAGTTCAAGACCAGCCTGGCCAAGATGGTGAAACCCTCTCTCTACTAAAAATACAAAAATTAGCCAGGCATGGGCCAGGCATGGTGGCTTGCACCTGTAATCCCAGCACTCTGGGAGGCCGAGGTGGGCGAATCACGAGGTCAGCAAATCAAGACCATCCTGGCTAACACGGTGATACCCCATCTCTACTAAAAATATAAACTAGCCGCGCGTGGTGGCTAGCGCCTGTAGTCCCAGCTACTTGTTAGCCTGAGGCAGGAGAATGGCGTGAACCCGGGAGGCGAAGCTTGCAGTGAGCGGAGATCATGCCACTGCACTCCAGCCTGGGCAACGGAGTGTATCCCTTAAGATACAAAAGTAAGTTTTGTTATTTAAAATTTTCAGGCCAGGCGCAGTGGCTGACACCTGTAATCTCAGCATTTTGGGAGGCCGAGGCGGGAGAATCACAAGGTCAGGAGGTCGAGGCCAGCCTGGCCAACTTGGTGAAACCCTGACTCTACTAAAGATACAAAAAATTAGCCAGCCATGGTGGCGCATGCCTGTAATCCCAGCTACTAGGGAGGCTGAGGCAGAAGAATCACTTGAACCCAGGAGGCAGAGGTGGCAGTGAGCCGAGATCGTGCTACTGCACTCCAGGCTGGGAGACAGTATGATACTCCATCTCAAAAAAAAAAAAAAAAAAAAAAAAATTCAAACTTATTTACTCAAGACACAAAAACTACAATGCTTTATGTTTTGTTTTAATTAAACAGAAAATGAAATTACCTTCTCAAGCACTAACATAGAAAGAACATGGAATTTATCACCGTTTCTCCCTGCCTGCATCCATGCCTTGGCCAGCAGCATAATTCTAAAACGAAAGAAAGAAAAGGAAAGAGAGGAAGGAAAGGGAAGGAAGCAGGGGAGGGGAGGGGCGGGGCGGGGACGGGTGAGGCAAGGTGAGGTGAGGCAACAAAGTCACTTTAAGAATGGGCCACAGACAGAGCAAGACTTGTTTCAGAAAAAAAAAAAAAAAAAAAAAAAAAAAAGATTTTCAAGTAAGGGCCAGGCGCAGTGGCTCACGCCTGTAATCCCAGCACTTTGCGGCAGGTAGATCACTTGAAGTCAAGAGTTCCAAAAGAAAAAAAAAAACCACTGTTAAAAATACATCTGAAACCACTAGGTCTAGTCAACCAAACACCACTTAATATATTCCAGGTATACCTAAATTCTAGTAGTATGGGGACAGTAGGGGTTCTTGAACAGCACACAGCAGTATGAGAAATCAGAAGTTAATCCAGCAGGCAAGGGAAGTATTTAGAAGTTTTAAAGTGACGATTACATATCTGGAAGTATGCTTTCAGAAAATAAATCTCAGGGGGAGGGACAGCATTAGGAGATATACCTAATGTAAATGACGAGTTAATGGGTGCAGCACACCAACGTGGCACATGTATACATATGTAACAAACCTGCACGTTGTGCACATGTACCCTAGAACTTAAAGTATAATAAAGATATATATATATATAAAAAGAAAAGAAAAGAAATCTGGTAGCAATGTGTTAAAGGAAGGAGAAGTGTCACCTTTCAATTCTTATCTCCTTCATCCAATTTCCTTTCCAGGGCTAACCCAATACACCACATTACTGGTTTCCCCTGTATCCCTATGGCTGCTCCTCCTCAGTCTCATCAGGTTCCGCCCATCCCTAATGTTCATATATCCCAATGTCTAGTCCCAGTTCTAACACTAATAATATAAAACTGTGAGTCAAAAACTATAAAAAATAGTCAGAAACTAAATAACCACTATGACACAGCTAACTTTTGTTATATCTACAAAACAAGAATATCGCTAGTTTTACTTCACAGGAGTATGATTACGTACAACTATTTTGTATGTTAAAAGAACATAAATATTGTGGAATTGATATAGTAGTATTCTGAAAGAACACAGAAAAGAACTGTACTAAGTGTACCCCGCCATTGTAAATGTACTTCGATTTTGTTTGAGAAATATTTATTGGAGTCCAAATCATGATTAATTCATATTAAATCCTACTTTATCATCATGAGATATAGTAAGATTTTTCCTGTTTAACAGATGCCTATTACCTAAAGAAACAAAATACTTTTAAGCATAAAATTATTGCAACTGCAAAGGCAAACAATATATTCATAACTGGAAAAAAACAAAATGTGAAGCAAATGACACTGAAGTACCAAAAAGAGTTAAATAATTACTAATAAATATTTGAGACAGTCTCACTGTCACCCAGGCTACAACCTCTGCCACCGAGGTTCAAGCAATTCTCCCACCTCAGCCTCCCGAGTAGCTGGATTACAGGCACGCGCCACCATGCTCGGCTAATGTTTGTATTTTTAATAGAGACAAGGTTGTACCATGTTGGCCAGGCTCGTCTCGAACTCTTGACCTCAAGCAATCCGCCAGTCTCAGCCTCCCAAAATGCTGAGATTACAGGTGTGACTGCGCCCGGCCTAATAAATATTTATAAAGAACTATAGAAAACTAAGAAAACTATGATAACCACTACCATAATAGAAATATAAAAATACTCGATTTACACAAGATACTGAACTTGTTTATTCGGTTCATTAGTACCCATTACAAATACAACAGGATTTCAAGTTCATGATGGCATCCTGACTTCAAAGATCCTATTAAAAAAGCAAAACAAAGGAGTTAAAGAATAATAAAGGAATAAAACTGTGATAATGAAAAGGCCATGAGCCACTTCATGAAATTTTTGGAATGACATAAATGAAAGCATAATAACTGATGAAACTAGACAACGAAAGCCAAGGCCTAGAATACATGTGGAAGGTAGAATACAGTGGGAAGCTGATCTGCTCCCTAGAATGCTGAAATGATTTAGGACTGCAAAACTGCAGATACAAAGGAGGGCAGAGTGGGAAATGAGATTGAAAAGAAGTAACTGAAAAATTTGAATGCACAGTTGTCTACATGAATATAAGCAAACACATAAACATAACAACGACACCGAAACAAAAAGGAAAGGTAGATTCTCTCAAACACAAATAAGGAGCTAATATGGGTTCTGGCACCAAAAGATATTTGGCTTTTCAGGGTCCTAGAACATTGACAGCCGTTCAATAAGCACTGCTCACATACACCTAACTCTCAAACAACTTTTTATTGCCTCATTCTTAAATATGAACTAATAATCATCAAACATTTTAAGCAAAGTAGCAAATGAAAGAGATCATTAAAAAAAAACTATGAATAAAAAGGAAACAAAGAATTTAAGAAATAACTAGCAAGATAAATGAATTTTTCAGAACCAAGGACAAAGAACAACTTCTAGAAAGAAAACAACACCTGCCTGGCAAATGAAGAAAAACATGACATCAAGCAAAAAAAATTGAAGCAGGCCAGGCGCAATGGCTCCCGCCTGTAATCCCAGCACTTTGAGAGGCTGACGTGGGTGGATCACCTGAGGTCAGGAGTTCTAGACCAGCCTGGCCAACATGGCAAAACCCCATCTCTACTAAAAATACAAAAACTTAGCTGGGCATGGTGGCAGGCACCTGTAATCCCAGCTACTTGGGAGGCTGAGGCAGGAGAACTGCTTGAACCAGGAGGCGGAGGTTGCAGTGAGCTAAGATCGCACCAATGCACACTCCAGCATGAGCGACGGAGCGAGACTGTCCAAAAAAAAAAAAAAAAAGCAAAATGATATTCTTTTACAATTTTGGGAAGCCTAGGGACTGCTTGAGGAGAGTTCCTGCTCTGAGCATGGAAATAAAGATTCTATAATGATTCTTCTCCTCAAATGGAGGAGGACAATGTGTAGGAAAGCCTTGTAACTGTAAACTACTATATAAATTACTTTTTTAAAAAAAAATGGGCTAGATGTGATGGCCAGGCAGGAGGATCACTTGAGGTCAGGAATTTAAGATCAGCCTGGGCAACATAGTGAAACGCTGTCTCTACTAAAATTCAAAACAGGTCGGGCGTGGTGGCTCACGCCTATATCCCAGCACTGTGGGAGGCTGAGGCAGGCGAATCACTTGAGGCCAGGAGTTCAAGACCAGCCTGGCCAACATGGTGAAATCCCATCTCTACTAAAAATAAAAAAATTAGCCAGGTATGGTGGTGTACTCCTGTAATCCCGGCTACTTGGAAAGCTGAGGCGGGAGAATCGCATGAACCCAGGAGGCAGAGGTTACAGTGAGCCAAGATCGTGCCACTGAACTCCAGCCTGGGCAACACAGCAAGACTCCATCTCAAAAATAATAATAATGATAATAAAATAAAATTCAAAACAATTAGCCAGGCATGGTGGCACACACCTGTGGTCCCAGCTACTTGGGGGGCTGAGGCAGGACAATGGCTTGAGCCCAGCAAGTCGAGGTTGCAGTGAGCCCTGATTGTTCCACTTTATCACTCCAGCCTGGAAGACAGAGCGAGACCTTGTCTCCAAAAATAAATAAATAAATAAATAGATGATGACAATTTTATTTAAATCCTGGTCCTTTTAGCACCATGAAAGCAAATTTGTTCAGTGGTTATTTGCCATTTATAGCATCTGATGCTACACAACACAAAACAGGTGGAAAACAAAGGTGCACTAAGGTAATGCTTATCCTGAAATTACCAAATGTGAAATCCACCAGATTAAATTTCTCTACTATCAATTTGATAACAAATTAATTCCATAACTGGTTACTTGGTGTTGAAACTCCACATCAGTAAAGAACAGTCGAAAGAAGTCTTGACTCTGAGGCCAGGCATGGTGGCTTATACCTGTAATCTCAGCACTTCTGGGGAAGTTAAGACAGGAGGATCACTTGAGGCCAGGACTTCGAGACCAGCCTGGCCAAAAAGAGAGTCCTTGGCTCTACAAAATATTAAGAAAATAAAACAATAAATCTCGACTTTAAAAACTGAAAGTAGGTAGGCAGAGATAGAAAACACTGACAAGAAGTAACCATCATATGGAAAAGGAAATACTGAGAGCCTATGTGCAGATATCATATTGACTTTTACATATCTCAACCCTTGCAAACAAAAAAAAAAAATTTTTTTTTTTTTTTTTTTTTTTTTTGAGATGGAGTTTCACTCTGTCACGATCTCAGCTCACTACAATCTCCGCCTCTCTAGTTCAGGTGATTCTTCTGCCTCAGCCTCCAGAGTAGCTGGGACTACAGGCGCATGCCACCACGCCCAGGTAATTTTTGTATTTTTAGTAGAGACGGGGTTTCATCACATTGGCCAGGAGGGTCATGAACTCCTGACCTCAGGTGATCCGCCTGCCTCAGCCTCCCAAAGTGTTGGGATTACAGGCGCTCACGAGCCACTGCGCCCAGCCGAAAAACGTATTTTAATATTCATTTCGCAAATAAAAAACCTTCGGGCTTAAAGAGGTTGTGCCTAAGTCATCACAGCTAGCTCCTAATGGCTTCAAATACAAGCAAATACATCTTACTCCAGTCTTTTTTCATCTACATTATGGTACAGAATTCAGTTTTAAAACTACAACTTCGCTAACTACAACAAAATAGGCTTTATAATTTGCATGTCCCAGGCTAATCAACTTCCTAGAATTAGAAAGTAATTAATTAAACAAAATGTTAAGAATAAAATTTCTAGGCCAGACGTGGTACACTTTGGGAAGTCAAGGCAGAAAGACCATTTATGCCCAGGACCTGGAGACCAGCCTGGGCAAAATAGGAAGACTCCATCTCCACAAAATATACAAGAAATTAGCCAGGCATGATGTCATGTGCCTCTAGTCCCAGCTACTGAAGAGGCTGACATGGGAGGACCACTTGAGCCCGGGAGATCAAAGCTGCAGTGAGCTGTGATCATGCCACTGCACTCTAGCCTGGGCAATAAACCCTGTCTCAAAAAGAAAAAAGAACTCAATAGAAAAATGGGCAAAGGATATAAACAAAGTTCAAAGACACTGATCTTATACATGGAAAATTTTTATTCTCATTGCAAAAAAAAAACCCATCCTTAAAAACCTAAAATCAGAGCTGCCATATGATCCAGCAAGCCCACTGCTGGGTATATATCCAAAACAAAGGAAATCAGTATATGGAAAAGATATCTGTATTCCTATGTTTACTGCAGTAATATTCACAACAGCCAAGATATGGAATCAACCTTACTGCCAATCAACGAATGAATGGATACAGAAAACATGGTATGTATATGGCTATGGAATATTATTCAGTCATAAAAAAGAACAAAATCCTGTCGTTTGCAACAACAAGGATGGAACCAGAGGACAGTATGTTAAATGAAATAACCCAGGCACAGAAAAACAAATACTGCCACATTCTCTTATGTGGGAGGTCAAAATCAACTCACAGGTAGAGGAGAATAATGGTTACTAGAGGCTGGGGAGTGGGAAGGTTGGGGAGATAAAGAGCGGGAGGTTAGTTGGTACAAAAATAGAAGGAATAAGATCTAGTATTTGGTAGCACAACAGGGCAACTACAGTTAACAATAATTATATATTTCAAGATAACTAAAATGGAGTTGGAATGTTCCTAATATAGAAAATTATGAATGCTTGAAGTGATATTCCCACTACCCTGATTTGATCATTACACACTGTATGCTTTTATCAAAATATGTGCTCCTTAAATATGTGTAACTATTATTCATCCATAAGTAGAAATATATATATATTTTTTACACAAGGCAAAAATGCCAAACAAAAAGGTCTGATACACCTCATTAGCACTAGAAATATACATTGGTACACCTCTATGGAGAACAACTGGGCATTATCTCAAATTACACTCAGAAATTCACTTACAGGAATTTGCCTTATATTTACGAGAACTATTCACTAGCGCTACTCATAATAGCAAAAAAGAAACAAAAACAAGAAACAGGCTAATATACATCAATAGAGGTCTAGTTATACTAGCATGCAGCCAATAAAAAGAATGAGGTAACTTTACACATACTAATATGGAATAATGTTCTAAGTTCATTAAGTAAAAAAAGACTGTAGAGCAGGGTAGACATGATGCTACTACTTGTATTAGAAAGCAAAAGAATGTGGTTTTATATACATCTCTAAAATACATAAGAAACTAACAGTGGTTTCCGCAGAGGGGAACTGCTAAGAAACAGGATTAAAGGGGTGACTTTCCTCTAAACCTCTTGTGGTACACCTTTTGTAATTTGTGTGCATAAATTCAAAACAATTTTAAATCTTTTTTAGTCTGACTCAATTTTACTGTTTCCTGAATAAACTGTTTTGTTTTTTTCAAATCCTTAAACTCTTAATCCATTTTTTTTCTGAAACTGAGTTAGGCTAAAGACCAATCATCCCAAGCACAGGAAACAAGTTCCAACAATTTAATTTTTTAAACACGCCTAATCCTACGAACCAGATAGCACTAACAAAGACAGAATACTTTTCATAGTTTTTTTTTTTTTTTTTTTTTTTGAGACAGGGTCTCATTCTATTGCCCAAGCTTGAGTGCAGTGGCATGATCTTGGCTCACTGCAACCTCCACCTCCTGGGCTCAAGCGATCTTCCCACCTCAGCCCCGCAAGCAGGTGGGACTACAGGCGCAAGTCACCATGCCCAGGTCGTTTTTGTATTTTTTTGTGGAGATGGGGTTTCATCATGTTGCCCAAGCTGGTCTCAAATTCCTGAACTCAAGTGATCTCCTACCTCGACTTCCCAAAGTGCTGGATTACAGGAGTAAGCCACGGCACTCGGCCTAGGCAGTTTCTTTTTGAGATGGAGTTTCACTCTTGTCACCCAGGCGAGAGCACAAGGGCTCGATCTCGGCTCACTGCAACCTCGGCCTCCCAGTTCAAGCAATTCTCCTGCCTCAGCCTCCTGAGTATCTGGGATTACAGGCACCCACCACCATGCCCAGCTAATTTTTGTATTTTTAGTCGAGACAGGGTTTCACCATGTTGGCCAGGCTGGTCTTCAACTCCTGACCTTAGGTGATCCACTCGCCTTGGCGTCCCAAAGTGCTGGGATTACAGACATGAGTCACCGTGCCCGGCCAACAGTTTCTTTAACATTCATCTCATTTAGTCCTCATCCCATCTCCAGGAGGTTGATGTTACCTTCTTTTCAAAACAAGAAAAATAAGTGTTTATATAAACGTGAAGTCCATTTTAAAGTTCCCAAGGTCAAATAGTAGCTGAAACTCTTAACTGCTCTGGATACATATACATACTGTAAGTAACATAGGATACATCAGACAGAGATCTTATCTAACACAAAACATTAGCCTTCGTAATAGACATGTAAGTAACTCCTAATTTTTTTTTTTTTTTTTTTTTGAGACGGAGTTCCGCTCTCGTTGCCCAGACCGGAGTGCAATGGCGTGATCGCAGCTCACCGCAACCTCCGCCTCCCAGGTTCAAGCGATTCTCCTGCCTCAGCCTCCTGAGTAGCTGGGATTACAGCCATTCACCATCACGCCAGGCTAATTTTGTATTTTTAGTAGAGACGGAGTTTCTCCATGTTGGTCAGGCTGGTCTCGAACTCCTGACCTCAGGTGATCCACCTACCTCAGCCTCCCAAAGTGCTGGGATTACAGGCGTGAGCCACCGTGCCCAGCCAACTCCTAAATTTTAAGTTTTACTCAGGCACTGTCTTACACTACTGCTGTGTCAAAAAGTACAAAATACAGGTCTCAATCACCTAGACAGGTAAAAGATGAGCAATTTGAGCTACCACTGCAATCTAGCGCTATCCCCAAACAGACTACTGTCCTCTCAGCAAATTAAGTACTCAGAAGTACTTAACAGGAAGTACTTAATAGAAATGTGAAACTACCAGTCAAGTTAAAAGAAAAAAATTAAGGCACCCAGCTCAGGTAAGTGCATTTTTCAAGTAGTTTTCAACCTAGCCAGTGTTCCAGAAACAATTTCAACACTCTCCTGAGGATACTCACCTGAAACAGCCTCAAGTTTAGCATCCTTCTAAGAGCTTCAGTAAATAACGTCCTTGCAAGGGATCTATATAACATGTTTTTCTTACATAGAAGGAAAACAAGATCACACAGATAAACTTTGTAACACCAAAAATAATTAAAGCTCTGTGGATATTTATCTGCATTAGTATCCTCCTCAAAGACACACTACAAATGAACTATCATGGTCTCATCTCTGAAAAATGATAAGTCTTAAATTCTGCTCATATATTTCAAAGCCACTCCTTAAAACCTAGACAGGCCGGCGTGGTGGCTCACGCCTGTAATCCCAGCACTTTGGGAGGCAGAGGTGGGCGGATCATGAGGTCAAGAGATTGAGACCATCCTGGCCAACACAGTGAAACCTCGTCTCTACTAAAAATACAAAAATTAGCTGGGTGTGGTGATGCGCATCTGTAGTCCCAGCTACTCGGGAGGCTGAGGCAGGAGAATCACTTGAACCCAGGAGGCGGAGGTTGCAGTGAGCTGAGATCGCACCACTGCACTCCAGCCTGGTGATAGAGTGACACTCGGTCTCAAACAAACAAAAAAAAAAAAAACCTAAAGATAAATGTATTTTGTTTCTTTGAACCTGAGAGCAAAAATTACCTAGGTTTCAAGGCTTCTGACTCAACAGTTCAAAATTGGGGAAATTTTTAAAGGCAAGGGTCACAGTAAACAAATCTTTATGAGATGAGGCAGTCCCTTCAAAAAGCTAAGAGCAAGGCCAGGCACGGCGGCTCACACCTGTAATTCAAGCACTTTGGACAGCAGAAGCAGATGGATCACTTAAGGTCCGGAGTTCAAGACCAGCCTGGCCAACATGGCGAAACCTGCCTCTACTAAAAATACAAAAATTAGCTGAATTAGCTGGTCATGATGGCAAGCGCCTGTTAATTCCAGCTACTTGGGAGCTGAGGCACAAGAATCACTTGAACCAAGGAGGCAGAGGTTGCAGTAAGCCAAGGTTGTGCCACTGCACTCCAGCCTGGGTGACGGAGAATGCCTTAAAAAAAAAAGAAAAGAAAAAAACAGCTAAGAGGAGCCAGGCACAATGGCTCACACCTGTAACCCCAGCACTTGGGGAGGCCAAGGCGGGCAGATCACTTGAACCCCAGAGTTCAAGACAATATGTTTTGCCTAGAGTTCAAGACAACATGTTTTACCTAGAGTTCAAGGCAACATGTTTTGCCTAGAGTTCTAGGCAACATGGCAAAACCCCGTCTCTACCAAAAAATACAAAAATTAGCCAGACATGGTGGTATGTACCTGTAGTCCCAGCTACTCAGAAGGCTGAGGCCGGAAGATTGCTTGAGCCCAGGAGGTCAAGGCTGCAGTGAGCTGTGATAATGGAGCACACTCTAGCCTGGGTGACAGAGCAAGACCTTGTCTCAGGAAAAAAAAAAAAAAAAAAAAAAAAAAAAGCTAACAGCAAATCCAAAGCCAGTCTTGAATCTAGCAGACAAAAAGCTCATATAACAATTTATTTAATTCTAGACACATAAAATAGCTTTTTTCTTTTTTTTTTTTTAACTGAGATGGAGTCTTGCTCTGTCACCCAGGCTGGAGTGCAGTGGCGTGATCTCAGCTCACTGCAACCTCCACCTCCTGGGTTCAAGTGGTTCTCCCGCCTCAGCCTCCCAGTAATTGAGATTACAGGTGCGTGCCAACACGCTCGGCTAATTTTTATACTTTTAGTAGAGATGGGGTTTCACCGTGTTGGCCAGGCTGGTCTTGAACTCCTGACCTCAGGTGATCCACCTGCCTCGGCCTCCCAAAGTGCTGGGATTACAGGTATGAGCCACCACGCCCAGCTGATAAAACAGCTTCTAAATGACATGACAACAAATCAACCCTCCTATAATCCAATAACAAATTCCACCTAGTCCCCAAGCAGTTAAAAATAGCTCTATAATAAAAACAACCATATACACCCAATCCCCCCCCTAAAAAAAAGTAAGGCTAAATTATTTATAGATGTTAATAGTTCTTTTACTGTGCAAATAAGTGCACTGAGACTACAACAGTAAACAAATGAGACAAGGTCCCTGCTCTCAAAGAGCTTATGTGATAAAGACGGGCACAGGGTAAACAAGATAATTATAAGCTGTGCTTTAAGTGAAATAATATAGAATAATAAGAGAAATCAAAGTATTGAATAGAGTGGCCCACTTTACACAAAATGGTTAGAGAATCTCAGAGAAAGTTAGGTTTGAGCTAAAATTGAGCTGACAAGGGAAGAACAGAGAAGAGGGAACAAATATAAAGAAAAATGTCTCGTGTTCAGGTAAGAGAAAGAAGGCCAATGGGCCAGTAAGACAGTAAGCAAGGTTCCAGACAAGGAGAGGGAACAAATAAACAATGCAGATCCTTGCAGGCTATAGAGTATGCATGCTATTTTTAGATCCAATGGAAAGACATTAAAGGGTTTTAAGCACAATAATGACACAATCGAATATCATTTTTAAAGGATCACTGCTCTGTGAATAATGAAATAGAGTACACAATGGTACAGGAATAAAGTTAAAAGGCTACCACAGTAGTTCAAGTGAAAAAAAGTGGGCTGAGCGCAGTGGCTCAGGCCTGTAATCCCAGCACTTTGGGAGGCCAAGGTGGGTGGATCACCACAGGCCAGGAGTTCGAGACCTGCCTGTCCAACATAGTAAAACCCTGTCTCTACTAAAAATACAAAATTAGCTGGGCTGGGCATGGTGGCTCACGCCTATAATCCCAACACTTTGGGAGGCCTAGGTGGGCAGATCACCTGAAGTCAGGAGGTCAAGACCAGCCTGGCCAACATGACAAAGCCCCGTCTCTACTAAAAATACAAAAATTAGCTGGGCACGGTGGCAGGCACCTGTAATCCCAGCTACTCAGTAGACTGAGGCATGAGAATGACCTGAACTGGAAAGTGGAAGTTGCAGTGAACTGAGATAGTGGCAATACATTCCAGCCTGGGGGACAGAGCGAGACTGTCTTCCAAAAAAAAAATTAGCCGGGTATGGTGGTGCATGCCTGTAATCCCAGCTACTTGGGAGGCAGAGGTTGCAGTGAGCCAAGATCACACCACTATACTCCAGCCTAGGCAACAAGAGTGAAACTTCGTCGCAAAGAAAGACAGACAGACAGACAGACAGAAAGAGGCTTGTACAAGTCTAGTAGCAGTGGGATATTAATGAATACATTTAGGAGATTTTGAAGGTAGAACACATAATTTGCTAATGGATTAGATGGGGGGAAAGAAGAAAGCCAAAGATGATTCCCACGTGTTTTAGCCTGAATAAATAGGTAGCTGGTGGAGCCATACTGAGATGAGAAAGAATAGAGAGAGTATGGGGCTAGGAAGTAAGACTGTAGCTTGCCTTTTATTTTTTTTGAGACAATGTCTCGCTCTGTCGCCCAGGCTGGAGTGCAGTGCCACGATCTCGGCTCACTACAACCTCTGCCTGACGTGTTTAAGCAATTCTCATGCCTCAGCCTCCCGAGTAGCTGGGATTACAGGCACCCAATACCATGCCCAGCTAATTTCTGCATTTTTTTTTTTTAAGTAGAGACAGGATTTCACCATGCTGCCCAGGCTGGTCGCAAACTCCCGAGCAATCCACCTGCCTCAGCTTTCCAAAATGCTGGGATTACAGGCGTGAGCCTCCATGTCCAGCCTGAGTGTAGCACTGAACGTTAAATTTTACAGGTAGAGAAGTCAAGACGGCAGTTAAGCTATAAGCCTGGAATATGGAGAGAAGATCTGAACTGGAAATTTAAACTTGAGATCATTTGCATAAATATACCTTTTAAAGCTATGGTATCATACCACAAATTACACAAGTATTATCCCAAGAGTGGAATGCATGTGCTTCAACCATTTTTTTTTTTTTGAGACAGTCTCTCATTCTGTCGCCCAGCCTAGAGTGCAGTGGTGCGATCTCAGCTCACTGCAACTTCCACTTCCTGAGATCAAGCGATTCTCTTGCCTTAGCCTCCTGTGTAGCTGGGACTACAGGCGTGCACAATCATGCCCAGTTAATTTTTGTATTTTTTGGTAGAGATGGGGTTTCACTATGTTGACCAGGCTGGTCTCAAACTCCTGACCTCAAGTGATCCACCCACCTCAGCCTCCCAAAGTGCTGAGATTACAGGCATGAGCCACCAAGCCCAGCCTCGATAATTTTAAATGTCATATATACATATATATTATATATACACAAATACATTATACATATATATATATATATCTGGTTTCTGCTTCTTCTGTCCCTTCAATTTATACTTACCTATGTCCTCCAATTCATAATCTCTCCCTCCTGGTTGATCATATGATATGGTCTTCAACCACTATCACCTGTGACCAGCCACAACACCACTGTCTGTATTATTTTACAATTTCAAAGCATTTAGCATTCATTATTTCACTTGACTTTAATAACAACAACTCTGTGAGGCACTATTTTATAGAGCAAGAATTAAGTCATAAAGACTATGTTGGCCAATATCACATAGCTATTATATAATGTAACAGATGGCATGAAACCATAATTCAAATTCAAGGACTCTTTTTATTCTGTATTCATAGAACTTCACAGCAAACTTCACGGACAGAGGAATCTTACATTTTTGCCTTGTTCACTAGAAAATCCCCAGCACCAACGATACCATAGGCACTCAAACATTTCCTGAGGCAAAGGAAATCTCTAGCACATAATTAGCACTCAAGAGAGAAGAGTCCCAAATCCACTGTTGAGATAATATATCATAGTAAATAAGTTGATACTTTTACATCCTACTTTCTCATTTCCAGTATAGAAATGTTGTCATTTTCTAAGTATGCTCAAGTATGAATTAGATATCTAACATTTCAAGCCACTTAAAAGAAGATTGACATACGAATTCAAGATGACGTTATTTTGCAACAGGTCTTACTTCACACACCCACAAAAACAATTTCCCTGTTGCTCCAAATTTCCTATAAAATATTTTAGAAAATGTAAGACATCCAATGTTAAAGCAGAAAAAAAAATCAAATACTATTTTATTTATGGACTAGCATTCCATAGAATTAGCATAATACATACAAACATACATACACACACACACACACACACACACACACACACACACTTCTCTGAGTCCAGAAATAGACACACATAATTTGATTTTCATCACAGAAATTTCAAGGTGATTCAATGGGAAACAATCTTTTCAACAAATGAAACTTGCACAACTGGACATTTACATGGAAAAAAAAAAATAGGGGTGGTCACAGCGGCTCTCGCCTGTAATCCCAATACTTTGGGAGGCCAACGCAGGAGGATCCCATGAGTCCAGTAATTTGAGACCACTCTGGGCAACACAGTGAGACTCTGTTTCCACACAAAAAAATTTAAAAATCAGCCAGGTGTGGTGGCACATACCTGTAGTCTCAACTACTCAAAAGGATTAGGAGGATCATTCCAGCCCAAGAAGTCAAAGCTGCAGAGACCTGTTAATTACGCCACTGCACTCCAGCCTGGGTGACAGAGTGAGACCCTGTGTACCCCACCCCCCAAAAAGTGAACATCTTTTTATCGCACCACATGCAAAAAATTCAAAATGAATCAAAGACCTAAAAGATAAGAACGAAATTACACAACTTCTACAAGACAGGAGAAAACTCTATGACCTTGGGTTAGGCAATGATTTCTTAGGACACAAAAGCACAAACCATGAAAGAAAAAAAAATTTTTTTTTTTTTTTAAAGAGGCAAGGTCCCGCTCTGTCACCCAGACCAGAGTGCAGTGCCACAATCATAGCTCACTACAGCCTTGAACTCCTGGGTTCAAGCAAACCTGCCACCTTGGTCTCTCAAGTAGCTGAGGTATGCCACCATGCCCACTTAATTTAAATTTTTTGGAGAATAGGCGTCTTAGTATGTTGCCCAGGCTGGTCTTGAACTTCCAGCGTAAAAGGATTCTCCAGCCTCAGCCTCCTAAAGTACTGAGATTAAAGGCATGAGCCACCAGGCATTTTATTTCAGTACTTAAAATTTTTGCTCTTCAAAAGACACTGTATCAAGAAAATGAAAACAAACCACAGTCTGAGAGAAATTATTTGCAAAACATGTATCCAAAATACATGAAGAATTCTCACAATTCGTTAAGACAACCCAATTTTTTTGCCTTTTTTTTTTTAAGACAAGGTTCACTCTCATCGTCCAGGCTGCAACCTCTACCTCCTGGGCTCAAGCCTCTGCAGTAGGTGGGACTGCAGGGGGCACGCCACTGTGCCAGGCTTACTTTTATACTTTTTGTAAAGACAGGTTTTCATCATGTTGCCCAGGCTGGTCTCGAACTCCTGGGCTCAAGCGATCTGCCCACCTCGGCCTCCCAAAGTGCTGGCATTACAGACATGAGGCACCGTGCTCAGGCCCCAGTTTTTTTTTTAAACAGGCAAAATATTTGAACAGACACTTCACCAAAACACACGGAAAGATGCTATCATTATTAGGGAAATGCAAATTAAAGACATAATGCTAATTCCAACTATACACAAGGGTTAAAATTTAAAAGACATAACTAGCCAGGCGTAGTGGCTCACGCCTGTAATCCCAGCACTGCAGGAGGCTGAAGGGGGTGGATCATCTGAGGTCAGGAGTTCCAGACCAACCTGACCAATATGATGAAACCCCGTTTCTACTAAAAATACAAAAATTCAAAAATTAGCCGGGCATTGTGGCATGTGCCTGTAATCCCAGCTACTCAGACGCTGAGACAGGAGAATCACTTAAACCCGGTAGGCGGAGGTTGCAGTGAGCCGAGATTGCCCCATTGCACCCCAGCCTGGGCAACAACAGCAAAACTCTGTCTTTAAAAAAAAAAAAAAAAAAAGACCTAACCAAAGATGGTTGCCAAAAACAAATTTTAAAGAGGGCTGGTGATAACAACTAACACCCATTGCTGGTGGGAAGGCACACAATTCACATGACCCGGGCAGTTCTGCTAGGGATTTTCATATGAGAAATGAAAACTTAAGTCCACACCAAGTCCTATGCACAAGTGTTCCTATTCACTTTATTTGCAACAGTCAAAAACTGGAAACAAACAAAATGTCTCTGAACGAGAGAACTGATAAACAAATTGTGGTATAACCACACAAGAGAATACTATTTAGCAATAATAAAAATCAACTAAGATGTCCCCACAGGGAGTTAATAAATAAAATGAAATAAAAACATCAACTATAATACATGAAACAACATGCATGAAAGGCTAATCCACTGTATAATTCCTTTGACATTCCGGAAAATACCCAATAGGAAAGGACATCGATACTAAACAGACTGGGACTTTACAGGGACTGACGATGATGGGTGAGGACACAAGGTAACTTTTTGGGGTGATGAAAATATTCTATATTCTGATTCTGCAGTTACACAACTGTATACACTTTAAAGAATTTTCTTGTCATTGATGCAGTTTGGATGTCTGTCCCATGAGATATCCAATGTGATCCCCAATGTTGAAGGCGGCACCTAGTGCCAGGTGTTGAACTGTGCAAGCGGATCCCTCCTGAAGGGCTTAGCACCAACCCCTTGGTGATGAGTTCTTGCTGATAGTTCACCAGAGAGCTGTTTAAAGAGTGTGTGGCACCTCCCCCCTCACCTCACTCTTGCTCCCTCTTGCCATGTGACATGCCTGCTCCAGTTATGCCATTATTGTAAGCTCCCTGAGGCCTCACCAGAAGCCAAGCAGATGCCACTACCAAGATTCCTACACAGCCTGCTGAACCAAGAGCCAATAAAACCATTTTTCTCTATAAATTATCCAGTCTCAGGTGTTTCTTCAAAGCAACACAAAAACAGACTAACAAAGTTATGTACATTACACCCCAATAAACCTAATTTTTTTTCCCTTTGAGACAGTGTCTCAATCTGTCACCCAGGTTGGACTGCAGTGGCACGATCTCGGCTCACTGCAACCTCCATCTCCCAGGTTCAAGTGATTCTCCTGCCTCAGCCTCCCAAGTAGCTGGGATTACAGGTATGCACCACCACGCCCGGCTAATTTTTGTATTTTTAGTAAAGACAGGGTTTCACCATGTTGGCCAGGCTGGTCTCAAATTCCTGGGTTCAAGCGATCCACCAGCCTCAGCCTACCAAAATTCTGAGACATGGCAGAAGCCCATCTCTACAAAAAATAAAAAATTCGCTGGACATGGCAGCACTCACCTGTGGTCCCAGCTACTTAGAAGGCTGATGTGAAAGAAAGGATCACCTGTGTCTGGGAGGTCGAGGCTGCAGCAAACTGTGATGGCACCACTGCCCTCCAGCCTGGGTGATAGAGTGAGACCCTGTCTCCAAAACAAAAAAAAAAAAAAAAAATTCATATCCCCCCCGTATTAAAAAATATTAGCTATCAACTCTTGAAATGTTAATTTTAATACAAAAACATAGACTAGTATTTCCCTTATACTACACTTTCATCGTAATTCTTTTTTTGAGATGGGGGGGCGGTTCTTGTTTGGTGCATAGGCTACAGTGCAGTGATACAATCATAGCTCACTGACATCTTAAATTCCAGGACTCAAGTGACCCTCCCACCTCAGCCTCCCAAGTAGCTGGGACTACAAGGCGCACTACTGACCTGGGCTAATTTCTAAATTTCCTGTGCTGGATTACAGGCGTGAGCCACAAGCCAAGCCCAGATTCTCAGTTTCGGAGAAAGGATAACTTAAGAGTTGTACATATGTTTGTATGTATGTATGTTTTTATTTATTTAGAGACAGAGTTTTTACTCTTGTCACCCAGGCTGGAGTGCAATGGCATGATCTCGGCTCACTGCAACCTCTGCCTCCTGGGTTCAAGCGACTCTCCTGCCTCAGCCTCTCAAGTAGCTGGGATTACAGGCATGTGCCACCACGCCCAGCTAATTTTTTGTATTTTTATTAGAGACGGGGTTTCGCCATGTTGGTCAGGCTGGTCTTGAACTCCTGACCTCAGGTGATCCACCCGCTTCAGCCTCCCAAAGTGCTGGGATTACAGGCATGAGCCACCATGCCTGGCAACTAAGAGTTTTAAAAACTTATTCTTGCATGAAAAGTGTAGGAAAAAAATTGAAATATGGCTTTAAAATATAATTTGAAAACTGAATTAAGAATTAAAGGGGGCCAGACGCAGTGGCTCATGCCTGTAATCCCAACAGTTTGGGAGGCCAAGGCAGGAGGAACACTTGAGATTAGGAGTTCGAGACTAGCCTGGGAAACATAACAAGACTCTCTCTCTACAAAATAAAAAAAATTAGCCGAGCATGGTGACATGCGCCTATAGTCCCAGCTACTTGGGAGGCTGAGGCAGGAGGACTGCTTGAGCCTAGGAGGTCGAGATGGCAGTGAGCCGTGACTGCACCACTGCACTCCAGCCTGGGTGGCAGAGTGACACTTTGTCTCAAAAATAAATAAATAAGAATTAAAGAGAAGAAGCCGAGTGCGGTGGCTCACGCCTGTAATCCCAGCACTTTGGGAGGCTGAGGCAGGTGGATCACGAGGTCAGGAGTTCAAGACCAGCCTGGCCAACATGGTGAAACCTCATCTCTACTAAAAATACAAAAATTAGCTAAGTATGGTGCCAGGCGCCTATAATCCCAGCTACTCGGGAGGCTGAGGCAGGAGAATCACTTGAACCCGGGAGTTGGAGGTTGCAGTGAACCGAGATCGCACCACTGCACCCCAGCCTGGGCGACAGAGTGAGACTCCATCTCAAAAAAAGGCCAGGCACAGAAGCTCATGGCTATAATCCCAGCACTTTGGGAGGCTGAGGTGGGCAGATCACTTCAGGTCAGGAGTTCAAGACCAGCCTGGTCAACATGGTGAAACCCCATCTCTACTAAAAATACAAAACTTAGCCAGGCCTGATGGCAGGTGCCTGTAATCTCAGCTACTAGGGAGGCTGAGGCAGAAGCAGCACTTGAGCCTGGGAGGTGGAGGTTGCAGTGAGCCAAGATCATGCCACTGCACTCCAGCCTGGGCAAGAGGGAGACTCCGTCTCAAAAAATTTATAAAATAATTAAAGGGAAGAAAATGGAAAGACCAAAAGCACTGCACCCACCAAGCTGTGAACAAAATAATAACTAAAGACCAAGAAACTAAATGACATATCTTGTATATAAAAAGATGCAGAAACTAGCAATTATCTGCAGGGTTATACAGCAAATCTGTTAACTATTGTGATGGGTGGGACAGCTGACAAAATGGGAAAAGCAAGCAGGTAAAAACTGAAAAACAGTCACAACCACAAAACAGTTTACCAGTAACCACTAACATTTTGTTTTTCAACATTTCTGTTGAAGGTAATGGACCTTTCCAGAAAAATGCACTGAAATGCCCACAAAATTATCAATTTCAAAGAATTCTCAGAAACCACTGTCTCGGCCTGGCATGGTGGCTCACACCTGTAATTCCAGCACTTTGGGAGGCCGAGGTGGGTAGAACACCTGAGGTCAGGAGTTTGAAAAGAGATGTATTCCCTGCCCCCGCACCGCCCCCCCACCTTTTTTTTAAATGTTCCCTAGGCTGGTTTCAAACTCCTGGGCTCCAGTGAGCCTCGTGCCTCAGGCTCCCAAAGTATTAGGATAATAGGCATAAGCCACCATGCCCTGCCCCCTCACCCCTTTTTTAAATAGTATTTTGTATGTCAGAGGTTCTTTTTTTTTTTTTTGACACAGTCTTGTCACCCCAAGCTGGAGTGCAGTGTCGCGATCGCAGCGCCAAAAATACCGAGGCATCCGGCCTCATCTCTTTAATTCTTATTCATTTTTGAGGCAGGGTGTCACTCTGCAACCCAGGCTGGAGTGCAGTGGTGCAATCACCGCTCACTGCCATCTCGACTTCCTAGGCTCAAGCAGTCCTCCTGCCTCAGCCTTCCAAGTAGCTAGGACTACAGGCGCATGTCACCATGCTCAGCTAATTTTTTTTATGTTTTGTAGAGAGACAGTCTTGTTATGTTTCTCAGGCTAGTCTCGAACTCCTAATCTCAAGTGTTCCTCCTGCCTTGGCCTCCCAAACTGTTGGGATTACAGGCATGAGCCACTGCACCTGGCCCCCTTTAATTCTTAATTCAGTTTTCAAACTATATTTTAAAGCCATATTTAAATTTGTTGAGGTGGGTGGATCACCTGAGATCAGGAGTTGGAGACCAGCCTGACCAACATGGGGAAACCCCATCTCTACTAAAAATTCAAAAATTAGCTGGGCGTGGTGGTGGGCACCTGTAATCCCAGCTACTTGAGAGGCTGAGGCAGGAAAATCGCTTGGACCTGGGAGGCGGAGGTTGCAATGAACTGAGATTGTGCCATTGCACTCCAGCATGAGTGACAGAGCGAGACTCTGTCTCAAAACAAAAAACCCCAAAAAAATCTTTACATCTGTATTACACTTCACAATTTACAAAAACCCTCCATATATATTTCCATCAGTATAATGAAGAAACTAAGGCCAAAAAAAGTTAGGTGAACATACAGTCACACAGGCATTTTTCTAGATATTCCATATCCTAAACCAAGTTCCCTTCCAAACCCTCAGCCATGACCCTTTTTCTACATCAGTACCTTACCTGGATCTAAACGTTACCTAAACATTGATAGATCTAAACGTTGTTACCTAAACATTTGATAAACATTTTTATCAAAAAAGAAACAGAAAAGATGGTTTGGTTAAACAAAGTTAAATAATCTGACCAGGTGCAGTGGCTCACGCCTATAATCCCAGCACTTTGGGAGGCTGAGGCAGGTGATCATCTGACCTGAGGTCAGGAGTTCGAGACCAGCCTGGCCAACATGACAAAACCCCATCTCTACAAAAAATACAAAAAATTAGCTGGGCATGGCAGCGGGGACCTGTAACCTCAGCTACTTGGGAGGCTGAGGCATAAGAATCACTTGAACCCGGGATGCGGATGTCACAGTGAGCAGAGATTGTGCCACTGCTTTCCAGCCTGGGTGACAGCAAAACTCCGTCTCAGAAAAAAAAGTTAAATAATCTGGCCTGGTTTTAAACTCTATCCTCACTTGCTTATTTTACTTTCAGATTAGAAGTCCTCCTCAATTACCCCTTTCTTGTAACTCTCCCCAGTTTTTTTTTTCCTGCTCACTCTTCCTGTTCTTTCCCCATTACTCCTCCCTTCCTCAATTTTAACATATCAGCAGCTTCAAGCACAAAAATCCATGTAACTATTTCAATTCAAAAACAGAGACAAGGGGCCGGGCCCAGTGGCTCTCACCCATAATCCCAGCATATTGGGAGGCAGAGGTGGACAGACATCTGAAGTTAGGAGTTTGAGAACAGCCTGACCAACGTGGTGAAATCCCGTCTTCTAAAAATACAATATTAGCCAGGCCTGGTGGCACATGCGGGTAATCCCAGCTACTCAAGAGGCTGAAGGGGCAGGAGAATCGCTTGAACCGGGGAGGCAGAGGTTGCAGTGAGCCAAGATCACGCCATTGCACTCCACCCTCAGCAACAACTGCGAAACTCTGTCTCAAAAAAACCCAAAAAAACAACAAAAAAAAGACAAGGTAAAACAAAGCTATGCATTTAGCTCCATGCCTGTGGAAACAGGCTATGGGTGAAAGAAAAATACAAGGCCAGGCACTGTGGTTTAGGCCTGTAATCCCAGCACTTTGAGAGGCCAAGGCAGGAGGAACCCTTAACCCCAGGAGTTCGAGGTTGCCTGAGCTACAATCGTGCCATTACACTCCAATCTGGGTGAGAGAGCGAGACCCTGTCTCAAACACACACACACACACAATTTTAGCTAACCAAAGGTATCACCCAAATAGTTACTGCAAATAGCAAAACAGTAATATCTCTTAGTTTATTTCCAAACTCCATTAGCAGTCTGTAATCAACATCAACCAAAGAGAAGCAGTACATGAAAAGAAAAAAATATCAAAGATAATGTTCAAATAAATGAATTAGTAAAGTAAAATCCCCAAGAAGGCAGTGTAAGTATGGCATAGTGCTGAGTATGTGCTCTGGAGTCAGACTGCTTGAACATTTATTTGGTCAAGATTACAATTCTAACAAAGTAACTTTCTCCCAGTCTCAGCCCCCCTAAATCCTAATTTTCTCATCAGTACCACAGTGACTATAATAGTACTTTCCTCACGGGATTAAGAATTAATTAAAATATGCCACATAAATTACACAGCAAAAAAACCATCATCATCTATAAATGTTAGCCACTATGATTATTATTTTTAGACCTACAGTTTAGAAAGGGACAAAAAAGCAAAATATAAAGAGTAGAAAAGATAAAAGGAAAAGTGGTGTTAACTTCTGGGGAAAAGCAGCGTCCAGCAATAGTTCCAATTACCAACGGATGCAACTATTTATTCCAATCTCCAGAAAAATAAAATACTGAAAATATCTGTCAAAACGTTCAAGTAAATCTGTCCTTGAAGAACTGCTGTACGCAAAGTTGACAAATGTTATAGACTATTCACAGATTAAAGTTAATTGCTAAAAACTCTGATCTCTGGAGTAATCTTTATCCTAACACTACTGCTTAGATTAACAATATCAGTAATGGCAATTTAGAAGAAAACAAGGCTGGACGCAGTGGCTCAGGCCTGTAATCCCAGCACTTTGGGAAGTGGAGGCAGGTGAATCATCTGAGGTCAGGAGTTCAAGGCCAGCCTGACCAACACGGTAAAACCCTGTCCCTACTAAAAATACAAAAAATTAGCTGGGCGTGGTGGCGGGCACCTGTAATCCAAGCTACTGGCGAGGCTGAGGCAGAATCGCTTGAACCCAGGAGGCGGAGGTTGCAGTGAGCCGAGACTGCGCCACTGCACTCTAGCCTGGGCACGCGACAGAGCAAGAGTCCGTCTCAAAAAAAGAAAAAATCACAAATAATAAATATTATGTAGTTTTCTAGAAGAATGATCGTTTGACTCCAGTTCAACTTAATCTTATTTAAGATGCATATTGTTAAGCAACTTGAAAAGTCATTGAATTGAGGAATGAACAAAATACATGCTCTCCCAAGTGAAAGGGTGTGGAATGTTCTCACCGATTTTATAAATCAAGGTAGACACTCAATTAGAATTACTACACACAGGTCTGACAGAGAAAACACATATAACCTAGTCTATTATAACAAAGGGAAACACTGAACTCTCTAATATCAATTTCAGAGAAAAAAAACTCTATTTTACATTTACTACCACTTTCACTCTATGGGAGCTAGCAGGATTCAACAGTTTAAGCAAAAAAAAAATTGGTTCAAAATAAGCAACTGACAAGTTATGATGTTAGGCCATCTTGGTAAAGAGTTCAAAAATTGCAATCTCAGCCGGGCGCGTGGGCTCAGGCCTATAATCCCAGCACTTTGGGAAGCCAAGGCGCAAGGATCACCTGAGGTCAAGAGTTCGAGGCTAGCCTGACCAACAAGGTGAAAACCCAGGTCTCTACTAAAAAAAAAAAAAAAAAAAAAAAAAAAAAAGGCAAAAATTGGCCGAGCGTGGTGGCGGGCACCTGTAATCCCAGCTACTTGGGAGGCTGAAGCAGGAGAATCGCTTGAACCCGGGAGGCGGAGGCTGCAGTGAGCCAAAATCATGCCATTGTACTCCATCCTGGGCAACAAGAGCGAAACTCGGTCTCAAATAAAAATTAGTCTTTCGTCTCAGAAAGACAATTAATTGAAATACCCTCTAATTTTAGTTATACTCGTGTTCACTAATATTAACTGCCTAAAAATTAAATTTTGTCATTAGTCAAAGAGAAAAAAAAATTAAATTTTAGTGTATCTCTTTAAAAAACATTAAATGCCTATGATTCACCGAAAAATTAAATGTAGTAACTAACGGTAACTAAAAACACCGTTTAATCCTGAAAAATACAAACATTAAACGATAACTCTCTCACCTGTCAAAACAATTTCTATTATAGCAATTAATTCACAACTTTTTTTAAAAAAAAGCTTTGCTTACAAACTTAGGCCAGCATAACCTCTTGAGTGGAAAAAAAAATGTATACTCATATTTTCTTAAGTTATTTTAAAGGTTCTTAATTCAGCTTGCTCAGTTCCTCTGAGCTTCTGGTCCTGGTAATACCCTCTTTTTTTGAAAGTAAAGAAATAATTTGAAATACAAAACCATTTCAACAAAACTATTTCAAAAACTTAATTTCTATAACGGATTAATATGTTAGGAACAACTATGCCTTAAACCAAGCTAGTTCATGAAATACATTAAGAACTACTACCTGTAATATAACCAAACTATGTAACTCCAAATGCAACACTAAACTGCATTTGGAATGCAGTCTAAACTCACATTTGCAAAGTCAACTGGCTACCAAGGCACACGCATTTAGAATACAAACTGGCTAGGAAGACACGTGGTGAATTATTTGTTGCATTTTTTCCTACCTTTCTACCACTGTGAATGAATCTTCAAAGCCTAAGGCAATATATACCGGCCATACGAATTTAGCTTTTTACTTAAAAAGCGCAAAAACTTGTAGCTTAGGACTGTTTGAATCTGAAAAGTTCCTAAGCCTTAAACGTTTTTTCTGAATTTCAGTTTACTCAGACAATGGTTAATAGTTGTTTTCAGACTGTCAAGGAAACTGAAACCAAGCAATGTTACTGCAAGAAACTGAAAGGCTTCCGAGAATAACATAGGATAAACTCAACTCTGATTACAGTTTACAAATGAACATTTGATTTGCTCACCATAATAGTACTTACAAATTCCAACAGGACTGCACAGGAAGGTGTTGGTTTTTTCTCTGTAATCTTTATTTTCCAGTTTGTATTTTTATTTTGTATCCTCTGAAATAATATCGAAGTTCTTTGAAGATACTTAACCTACGACTATTTGACATAGAGTTACTTCAAGTCAGCTACCCATACTTCTGTTTTAAAGTTTTCATATGGCTATCTCCCGAATTAGCCAAGTTCTTTAGATTTAAGATCAAAGTCTTCTTTATTATTCCATGTACTTGCCACTGTTGTACTTGTCCACTCCAGATGAAATATCCAATTTACGAGCCAAAAAGCAAAAACAAAAAGAAAATTTCACATCTGAAGAGCATTCCTAAACATCAGCATATACAGAGACACACATAGCTATCTCAATACTACCATGCTGCCGGAAAACTGCAACATCTTAAATTTCCACGTAAATAAAAGATAAAAGGAAAAAAACTCTGTATTCTTTCAATCTCTTCATTCAGAAAAAGTGTCCCATTGTGACATGAAAGAGCTGAAGTCAAAAATTCCTAAAACTTTCAATAAAGGTAAAAATAAACTGCCATGAAACTTCAGCAATACTCAGTCATTTGAAACTGCTGAAACTACTCAGTACACAAATCAACGTCTCTCAGTTTCGGCTGAAGAACCCCAACAACGGGGTGGGGGAAGGGGAGGCAAAAATTACCACCAGCTGAAATACTGTAACCAGTTATATAATCCGTTTGAACCAAAATACTGAAGAAATGCTGCCTGGGTCTCTTTTTAAGTAGCTTGCTGAATTGTTCACTACTATCAATTCACTTCACAGACGATTCTTGCCAATTTTAATAAACTTCTGGGGCAAAATTATCCAAAAACACTGTAAATCCAAAATGGCCACTTAAAATATCCAGGGCCTTTTACACAAAACCTAGATGATGATCTTCATATCTGAGTAATTCAATCACCTGTAAAAGTTATAAAAAAAATTATATACTGAGTTTTGATTTTGAGCTAAAAAAATCAATCCCCAACTTAAAAAGTCAACCTCTGGAGAGAAAATCACTTCTATATAACCCTACAGGAGCCTGGAAAAGGGCTTCTTTACCCAAGCAAGCACCCGATAAAAGTCTACTGAATGAACAAGACATCGGAGTAGAGGGAGGGAAAAACGGTAGGTGACGGTATTATGGAGGGCAAGGGCAGATTTCACCTGGGAAGGGGTGCAGATCCCATACTGGGGAATTATATAAGCAAACCTTCTTATACTTCTTGAATAAATTTTAAAACTATGAAATTGACACATAATCTTACAAAAGATCTCCAACCCTCTTCGATGGACCAAGGAAAGCGAAGACAGGTGTGCTGCCACGGAGTATTAGCGAATGTAACTCAGAGATAAGTGTAAAGAGAAAGAGGCTCCCTCCAAATCAGAACGTCTACTAGAGGAGGCATATTCCCACCCAGTAAGGCCAGAAAGGTGAACTAGAAGTAGGGCAAACCCGCTTCTTAAATTCTCCCGAGGAGACTTCCCCACTTCTGAGGGAGCAAAGGGCTAGAAGGTGTAGGTTTCCACTTCCTCGAATTAAGAAAACAGGTTTCTCCCAAAACTGAGGGGGTGGAAGGTACAGGGCCCTTTTCGTAAACCAAAGAATGGTTCTCTCTCAAAAATGCACATGTCCCCTCAGACCCCACAGGACTCAAAGGAACAAAGTAGCCTTCGCCCCAGTCCACGGCAAGTGCCACGGACCTGGGAGAGGCGGGGAAAGCTGAGGCGCTGCTGAAGAAACCGCCGAAGGCCACAACTCGGCCTCGACTCCCTCAGCCCTGAGAAGGGTAGTGGTGCAAAACCAGGCGGGCGTGTGCAAGAGGCCGGGGGAAGGAAGGCCGAGCACTGAGAGCGTCGGACTCGCTCCCAGCCTCCGCCAAACGCCAAACACCCCCCAACCAAGCCGCCGGGGCTAAACCACCCACCCCCTCCTCACAACCACCACCTCCGCTCCACCCGGGCCGAGTCAATACCTAGAGGGGCCTATCTGCGCCTCTCCCCCCTCTCACTCCTTGCTTCTCGCCGCCCCTCCGTCGGCGGGCAGCCTCACACCTCGCGCCACCAACGCCGCTCCCGACCCCTCAAACCCCAACACGGACACGGGCACTCCCCTCCTCCCCCGGGCTCGGGCGTGGAGCCTAGAGGACGGTGTTACCTTCTGCCCCACCAGAGGTGCCCCTGGCCTGGGGGTGCCGCCGCGCCTGATCCCGGGAGAAGGTTTTCGGTACTTTGAATAATCCCCTTTTGCCGCTTTTCCCTCCCCCACAACCAGTCTCAGTCCCAAAATGGCGCCGACCCGATCCGCAATGTTCTGGGCCAAGTCTCGCGAGATCGTGCACAGTGGCGAGGCGGGGAAGGAACTAGAGGGATTGAGGAGGGAGGGAAGGCGGGGCGAGGAGAAGGAGGGAGAAAGAGTGTGGAAGAAGCGGTGCGAACGAACCTACTGGGCGGGACACCAGGAAGAGCGCCTCCACCAGAGAACCTTCTGGCCCAAGCAACCGCTCACGCCGCGGTCAAAGAAGCTCCGCCCTCTACGTCGGGCGCCTGGGGGGAGGGGGAGAAGGCGTGGCTAAGGCTGGGGGCGGGGCTTCGAGGAGGCCCCGGAGCAGGGGCGCGCGGGGGGCGGTGGCTCCACGCGGTGACGTCAGGAGCAGCTGGAGTCGGGGATTACCCCCTGCTGCTGACGTGAGGACGGTGAACAATCGGGAACGTTCGGTGGAAGGGGGAATTCCCCGCCGCTCCCTGAGGAGCCCCTCCTCCCGCACCTCCCCCCGTCCGGGGCTGCCTCGGAGTCCGGGCTGGTGGGGCTGCGCAGAGGGCGAGAGGGGGGTGCTGCGCCGGGAAGCGGCCGCGCAGGCTCGAGTGGCGCGCGCCGCAGCGTCTTCCCCAGCTCTAAGCTCCCGAAGCTGCGCCGCAGCTCCTCCGAGCTTCAAGCTGCGGAAGACGCTGCGGCGCACGCCCTTCGCCGGGTACCCCGCTTGGGCCTCGCGCTCGGGCCTGGGTGAATCGGCGCTCACACGGCGCCTATGCTCAGCTCTGCGCAGGCGGAACATCTGCCGAGCCGGCGCCGGAGCGGTAGGGCACGCTGAGGGGATGCTCCACCGTGGCATGCGAACGCGGACTGTGTCAGGCATGAGAACGCGGGAGCCCTGCGGCTGAGGAAAGCAGACGTGCGGGGAGCCAAGCCCAGACTCTCAAGAGGGTAGAAATGGCTACTAGGTATAATCATGCTAATTATTTTTCTTTCTACTAAATCTGCAGTAGGTGAATTATTTCAACAGCCAGAGTATCAGAACCACAGAGCCCATTCGAGATTTTTAAAAATCAGTATTACCGTGTTCAAAGTTGTTTCTCTAATTGTGACACCTTTTCGCCTTATAACCGTAGCCTCACTTTAACACCTGGGAAGTTGGCATTCTATGAAAAAGAAAAATCACATTTGTTTAGAGGGAAGGTGGGGAGAGGTTGTCTCAAAGAGGGAAAGTCTGGAAAATAAAGATATTTGGCTGTTCGCCCTCCCCTAAGCCACAAGGACTTCATAACGTAGAAATTTTATGGTAGTTGTACATGCATTATGGGGTTTGTAGTTTAATGGAATGTTTCTAGAAGATACCTGAAAAACGGGTGGAACGTAAACTCACCAAAATTTACCGTCCCCAACCTTCTGTTTTAATCTTTATCGGGAGTTGGCCACTTTAAGCAATTAATAATGCCCCTCTGCGGGGCAGAGGAAAGGGAATTAACACTTGCTGGATGCCTTGCCCGTGCCGGGCATTTTAATGCTTGTATCACCCTCTGGGGTGGGTACTATTTTGCAGATAAGGAAACAGGATGAGATTGACGTGTTTAACGTTACAGAATATGGAAGTTGGGCGCCACAACTTGGCTGTACCACATTTAAACTCAAGTCTATTAGGGGCTTGATCCACTTTCTTTTCTCTACACCACATTGTTTCCGTATAAGCAACTTATGTGTCGGGAGAGGACCTGCTCGTGCTTTTATGTGTAAGCATGATATCAAACCAAGAAAAAATAAAGGAAACAAAAAAAAAAACCCAAGGATAAAACTGATAACTTAGACACACAATTTGTGCCTTTCATGTGACAGAAGACACTATAAAGTCGAACAACTGGTAGTGAAACAGAGAAACAATTGTAGTAAATCACAAGCAAGTTAATATTTATATTCGATTACCATCCTTAGCGTATGTTTTATTTGCATAAGAAAATATAAAGAGCTCTTACAAATTATTAAGAAAAAGATAACACCCACTCTTTTAAAAAGTGAAGGGCGGACCAGTCGCGGTGACTCACGCCTGTAATCCCAACACTTCAGAAGGCTGAGGCTGGAGGATCACCTGAGGTCGGGTGACCAACACAGCGGAAACCCCCTCTCTACTAAAAATACAAATATTAGCTGGGCGTGGTGGCGGGCACCCATAGTCCCAGTTACTAGGGAGGGTGAGGTATGAGAATCGCTTGAACCCAGGAGGGAGAAGTTGCAGTGAGCCAAGATTGCACCACTGCACTCAAGTCTGGGCGACAGAGTGAGACCCTGTCTCAAAAAAAAAAGTTTAGCCCCGGGCGCGGTGGCTCACGCCTGTAATCCCAGCACTTTGGGAGGCCGAGGCGGGCGGATCACCTGAGGTCGCGAGTTCTAGACCAGCCTGAACAACTTGGAGAAACCCCGTCTCTACTAAAAATAACAAAATTAGGCTGGGCGCGGT
The DNA here is from genome assembly GCF_000001405.40 of Homo sapiens. Lineage (NCBI taxonomy): Eukaryota > Metazoa > Chordata > Mammalia > Primates > Hominidae > Homo > Homo sapiens. The sequence goes on along the minus strand of NC_000005.10, from coordinate 57,171,639 downwards.
GGCTCACGCCTGTAATCTCAGTACTTTGGGAGGCTGAGGCGGGCGGATCACGAGGTTAGGAAATCGAGACCATCCTGGCTAACACGGTGAAACCCGTCTCTACTAAAAATACAAAAAAAAATTAGCCGGGCGTGGTGGCGGGCGTCTGTAGTCCCATCTACTCGGGAGGTTGAGGCAGGAGAATGGCGTGAACCCGGGAGGCGGAGCTTGCAGTGAGCCGAGATCTCTCCACTGCACTCCAGCCTGGGCGACAGAGCGAGACTCCGTCTCAAAAAACAAAAACAAAGCAAAAAATATATGTATACAAAATTAGGCCGGGCGTGGTGGCTCTGGCTCACGCCTCTAATCCCAGCACTTTGGGAGGCTGAGGCTGGTGGCTCACCTGAGGTGAGGGGTTCAAGGCTAGCTTGACCAACATGGTGAAACCCCATCGCTAGTAAAAACACAAAAATTAGCCAGGCGTGGTGGTGCGCGCCTGTAATCCCAGCACTTTGGGAGACCCAGGCGGGCGGATCATTTGAGGTTAGGAGTTTGAGACCAGCCTGGCCAGCATGGTGAAACCCCGTCTCTACTAAAAATACAAAAAATTAGGCCGGATGCAGTGGCTCATTCCTGTAATCCCAGCACTTTGGCAGGCCTAGGCGGGTTGATCACTTGAGGTCAGGAGTTCAAGACCAGCCTGCACAACATTGGCGAAACCCCGTCTCTACTAAAAATACAAAATTAGCCAGGCTTGGTGGGGAGCGCCTGTAATCCCAGCTACTTGGGAGGCTGACGGAGGAGAATCACTTGAACCCGGAAGGTGGAGGTTGCCGTGAGCTGAGATCACGCCATTGCACTCCAACCTGGCATTGCACTCCAGCCTGGGCGACAGAGAAAAACAAAATACAAAAAATTAGCTGGGCATGGAGGTGGGCGCCTGTAATCCCAGCTACTTGGGAGGCTGAGGCAGGAGAATTGCTTGAACCTGGGAAGCGAAGGTTGCAGTGAGCCGAGTGCAGCTGCACTCCAGCCTGGGCAGCAGAGCAAGACTCCGTCTCAAAAAAATAAAAAATAAAAAGTCAAGGGCATGAACAAGCTAGCCGGGTGTGTGTGTGTATACATACATAACATATGGGGGGATTTAATAATTATATGAAAAATTATCGCACCTCACTAGAAATCAGAAAAACTTAAACAGTAATATACCACTTTCAAATAGCAGATTGACAAAGATTTTAAAAGACCAAAAACCTGGATGAGGATAAGGAATTGGCCGGGCGCAGTGGCTCACGCCTGTAATCCCAACACTTTGGGGAGGCCAAGGTGGGTGGATCGTTTGAGGTCAGGAGTTCGAGACCATCCTGCCAGCATGGTGAAATTCCGTCTCTACTGAAAATACAAAATTAGCCGGGCATGGTGGCGGGTGCTTGTAATCCCAGCTACTCCGGAGGTTGAAGCAGGAGAATCGCTTGAACCCGGGAGATGGAGATTGCAGTGAGCCGAGATTGGGCCACTGCACTCCAGCCTGGGCAATAGGAGGGAAACCCTGCCTCAAAAAAAAAAAAAGAAAAAGGATATAAGGAATAGGCATTTATTTGCATTAACCATATCAAGAATGAAACTCTTGATATGTGCAAGGCTTTCTGGAAGACAGTTTGGCTTTCATAAAAATGTCAAAGCCTTTAAGACACCCTTTAAGCAGTTGTCTTACTCCTTGGAATTTATTTTAATAAAATAATAGGAGGCCAGGCACTGTGGCTCACGCCTGTAATCCCAGCACTTTGGGAGGCCGAGGCGGGTGGATCACAAGGTCAGGAGTTGGAGACCAGCCTGACCAAGATGGTGAAACCCCATCTCTACTAAAACTGCAAAAATTAGGCTGGGCGTGGTGGCTCACGCCTGTAATACCAGCATTTTGGGAGGCCGAGCCAGGTGGATCAGTTTAGGTCAGGAGTTCAAGACCAGCCTGGCCAACATGGTGAAACCCCGTCTCTACTAAAAATACAAAAAATTAGCCAGGCGTGGTGGTGGGCGCCTGTCATCCCAGCTACTTGGGAGGCTGAGGCAGGAGAATCGCTTGAACCCTGGAGGTGGAGGTTGCGGTGAGCCGAGATCAAGCCATTGCACTCCAGCCTGGGCAACAAGAGTGAGACTCCGTCTCAAAAAAAACAACAATAAAATAAAAATAAATAAAACTACAAAAATTAACCAGGTGTGGTGGTGGGCACCTGTAATCCCAGCTACTTGGGAGGCTGAGGCAGGAGAATCGCTTGAACCCAGGCAGCAGAGGTTGCAGTGAGCCGAGATCACACCATTGCACTCCAACCTGGGCAACAGAGCAAGCCTCCATCTCAAAGAAAAATAAATGATAATAATAATAGGAAAGGTGTCCAACAGTTTATGAAGCTGTTCATTGATAACTTCTTTAAAACCCCACACAAAAAAATAGGATGGTCCGAGTGCAGTGATGTTTTCAACTAATTGATGACAACTGGTTAGAGATTTCTTTGTTCCTTCTCCACTCCCACTGCTTCACTTGACCAGCCTTAAAAAAAAGAAAATGAAAGAAGAAAACCACAAAAAAAAGAGAAACAACCTAAATGTCTATAATAAATTGACAAAGTAAATTATATTACATCCATAGAGTGGAATATGAAGCCATTAACAATGGTATTTATTAAAAGATGGTCACATGAAAAAATGCTCACAGCATACTATTAAGAAAAATGGGCTGGGCGCGGTGGCTCACGCCTGTAATCCCAGCACTTTGGGAGGCCAAGGCAGGCAGATCACAAGGTCAGGAGTTTAAGACCAGCCTAACCAACATGGTGAAACCCCATCTCTACTAAAAATACAAAAATTAGCCGGGTGTGGTGGTGTGCACCTGTAATACCAGCTGCTCAGGAGGCTGTGGCAGGAGAATAGCTTAAACCCGGGAGACAGAGGTTGCAGTGAGCCAAGATTGAGCCACTGCATTCCAGCCTGGGCAACAGAGTGAGACTCAGTCTCAAAAAAAAAAAAAAAAAAGAAAGAAAAAAAGAAAAATGAGAGGTAGATTACAAAACTGTATGTATAATATCCTATTTTTGTCAAATAAAAAAGTATAATCAAAGGAAAAATTTTGACAGACTAGAAACAAAATGTTAACAATGCTTATTCCTAGGTGGCAGACTAATAGAAGATCTTTATTATTCATACCTGCTAAGAGCATATATTACTTTTGTTTGAGATGGAGTCTTGCTATCAGCCAGGCTGGAGTGCAGGGACGCGATCTGGGTTCACTGCAACCTCTGCCTCCTGGATTCAAGCGATTCTCCTGCCTCAGCCTCCCGAGTAGCTGGAATTACAGGCATCTACCACCATGCCTGGCTAATTTTTGTATTTTTGGTAAAGACCGGGTTTTACCATGTTGGCCAGGCTGGTCTCGAACTCCTGACCTCAGGTGATCCACCCATCACGTCCTATCAAAGTGCTGGGATTACAGGCGTGAGCCACCGTTCCTGGCCTACTTTTCTAATTATAGAAAGATAAAAAGCTACATCTGTGCCCACTCTGAGGGGACTACAAAAAATTTTAAGAAAAATTTTAAGAAAAAAAGGTACAGCCAGCTGCATTGGCTCACGCCTGTAATCCCAGCACTTTGGGAGGCGGAGGCGGGTGGATCACAAGGTCAGGAGTTCGAGACCAGCCTGACCAACATGGTGAAACCCCGTCTCTACTAAAAATACAAAAATTAGCCGGGTATGGTGGCGCATGCCTGTAATCCCAGCTACTCAGGAGGCTGAGGCAGGAGAATCACTTGAACCCGAGAGGCGGAGGTTGCAGTGAACCGAGATCATGCCACTGCACTCCAGCCTGGGCAACAGAGGGAGACTTCGTCTAAAAAAACACACAAAAAACAAACAAACCAAAAAAAAACAGGTTGGGGGTGGTGGGTTGGTGTCACCATGTTCAGCTTAGTTTTGAAATTTTTATTTTATTTTTTATTTTTATTTATTTATTATTTTGAGACAGGGTCTTACTCTGTTGCCCAGGCTGGAGTGCAGTCATGTGATTTCAGCTCACTGCAGTCATCACCTCCCAGGCTCAAGGGATCCTCCTTTCTCAGTCTCCTGAATATCTGGGCCTACAGGCACATGCCACCACACTCAGCGAATTTTTTTTGTATTTTTGGTAGAGACGGGTTTTTCCATATTTCCCAGGCTGGTCTCAAACTCCTGAGCTCAAGCAATCCTCCCCGCTCAGCCTCCCAAAGTGCTGGAATTACAGGCATGAGCCACCACACCCGGCCAAATTCTTACTTTCTTTTGGAGATGTAGATCTCTGTTACCTAAGCTGGTCTGAAACTCCTGGCCTCATGCTGTCCTCCTGCCTTGGCCTCCGAAAGGGCTTGGATAATAGGTGTGAGCCACTGCACCCAGCACTTCAGGAGTTTTTATATTAACTGCTGGAGAATTTACTACATGCTTCTTTTTATTTAATTTAATTTATTTTTTCTTTTATTTATTTATTTATTTATTTATTTATTTTTGTAGAGACAGGGTCTTGTTGCCCAGGCTGGTCTCAAACTCCTGAGGTCAAGTAATCCTCCTGCCTCAGCCTCCCAAAGTGCTAGAATTAAAGGCATGACCTACCACACCCAGACTTGCTACATGCTTCTTAATCCAAAGAGATGCATGGGTTGACAAGTATTCCGCCCTGCTCCAGTTTTGGGTGGCCCAGTTTCCCTAATTGGCACTTCCACCTCTGTGCCTCTCCCTCTGTACTAGAAGGTATATGCAAGAACGCACAGCATGATCACAATTACCAGCAAAATTAAAAAAAAATTTTTCCTAATATGTGACTTTCAAAACGCTGCCTCTATAAATGACATTTATTATTTTAAACCTACAGCAAGAATGTAAACATGTAAATTCTTGTAGGTAAGGTGAAGAATATATTTTGTAGTGTTTCAAAAGAGTGCTGTATTTCAGTAGGTTGTATCCTTTGTCTCTAGAAATGGAAAAGAATACAGGGAACCCTGGAGGTGTAGTTGATTCCCTGCATCTTGTTAAAGACTGGGTGACACAAGAAGAAACCCAGTCCAGTGCCGGGCTACTTTGCTCCTTCCTGATCCTATGTAAAATGAACATGTGGGACCATGGTTAGGAGTATTCTGTTTGTTATGTTCTCTAGATATGACAACATACACTGCAACCCCAACTTCCTGTTTCTGTCTAATACACTCTGGAGTGAAAGGAATGAAGTATGGCCAATGAATGATTGAAGAGAAGGGCAAACACACGTGGTGGAATTTCCCTCTTATTTATCCTCTTAGGTTTCTTTCCAAGTTCATTTTTGCATAGCATCTTCCACTTTTAACTCTGGCTACCCATTTTAGGAAAGGAAATCCACCATATTTTTCAGAAACTTGATTGAATCCATAGCTTCCCAGTGTAACTAAGTGGCAACCCTCCCAACCACTCTACTTAAGTGAATTAATATTTCTCATAACATTGAGTCTAATTGTCTAATGAGCATATAGGGATACAGACAAGCTAAATGACATGGTCAAAAGCCAATCAAAGGAAATGGAGATAGAAGTAAAACTAAAGATTTCTCATTTGGGCTGGGCTGGGTGGCTCACACCTACAATCCCAGCACTTTGGGAGGCTGAGGCAGGAGAATCCCTTGAGCCTAGGAGTTTGAGACCAGCCTGGGCAACATAATAAGACCCCGTCTCTATTCTAAGAAACATTTTTTTAAAAAGATTTCTCATTTTGGTGTCTAGTATTGAGCTTTTAAGTTTCAGAACTAGAGTAGTCATAGATCACTTCAACTTTAGTGACACTAGGACATGTTTTCATACTAATCAGCTTTTTAAAAAATTCAGTCCAGGAGTGGTGGCTCATGCCTGTAATCCCAGCACTTTGGGAGGCTGAGGCTGGCGGATGGCTTCAGCTCAGGAGTTCGAGACCAGCCTGGGCAACATGGCAAAACCCTGTCTTTACACAAAATACAAAAATTAACAGGGTGTGGCGGCCTGTGCCTGTAGTCCCAGCTACTTGGGGGACTGGGGGACAGAGGCAGGATTGCTTGAACTTGGGAGGTCAAGGAAGCTGCAGTGAGTGGCAGTGAGTGGAAATCGTACCTCTGCACTCCGGCCTGGGTGACAAAGTGAGACCCTGTCTCAAAAAAAATCCTTGCGATAGTTTGCTGAGAATGATGGTTTCCAGCTTCATCCATGTCCCTACAAAGGACATGAACTCATCCTTTTTTATGGCTGCATAGTATTCCATGGTGTATATGTGCCACATTTTCTTAATCCAGTCTATCATTGTTGGACATTTGGCTTGGTTCCAAGTCTTTGCTATTGTGAATAGTGCCTCAGTAAACATATGTGTGCATGTGTCTTTATAGCAGCATGATTTATAATCCTTTGGGTATATACTCAGTAATGGGATGGCTAGGTCAAATGGTATTTCTAGTTCTAGATCCTTGAGGAATCGCCACACTGTCTTCCACAATGGTCGAACTAGTTTACAGTCCCACCAATAGTGTAAAAGTGTTCCTATTTCTCCACATCCTCTCCAGCACCTGTTGTTTCCTGACTTTGTAATGATCACCATTCTAACTGGTGTGAGATGGTATCTCATTGTGGTTTTGAAATCAAGCAAAAGTATATGTTAGAAGTAAGGTCCTACTGTACTTCAAAATTAAACTTTTTTATTATTGTTATTATTTTGAGACAGGGTCTCACTCTGTTTCCCAGGCTGTGAGTGACTTTTGTATTTTTTATAAAGACTGGGTTTCACCATGTTGCCCAGACTGATCTCGAACTCCTGGGCTCAAGCGACCCACTGCTCAATGAATTAGATATGATCCATGCTACCCTACCGTTTGTCTTAAAATGCTACTATTTTCACTTTAATAGACTCAGATTAATCTGGTTTCCACATAGCAGTGGAAAGAGTGTGGGCTTTGGAGTTAGACAGACCTAGGCTTGAATCCTAGCTCAGTTCATTTTGGATTTATTTCATATTAAGTGTTGTTGCTGTGCTATCTGTTGCGGATACACAAATGATTAGGATATAGTTCCTGCCTCCAAATTCCTACCACCTGAGAGATAAAACTGACAAAATATCTACACTCACTGCTGTACCCTACAGTACCTAGCAATAGTAGCCATTCAATAAATATTTGTCAAGTGAATACATTTCAAGACGTTTTGCTAGGTGCTGTGTTAGAGGCATGTACAGGGTGCTATGGGATGGCTTTTCAAGAAAAAGTTTTAAAAGCTGAGTCTGGTAAATTGAACAGAATTCCAGGGGGCGGGGGCCTTCCAGGTAGATGCTGTTGCACAACTAGAAGCACAAGGATAAAAATAAGCCACAAAGGGGCCGGGTACAGTGGCTCATGCCTGAAATGCCAGCACTTTGGGAGGCCGAGGCAGGCGTATCACCTGACATCAGGAGTCGGAGACCAGCCTGGCCAACATGGCAAAACCCGATCTCCACTAAAAATACAAAAATTAGCTGGGCATGGTGACGCACTCTTGTAATTCCAGCTACTCTGGAGGCTGAGTCAGGAGAATCACTTGAACCCAGGAGGTGGAGGTTACAGCGAGCCAAGATTATGCCACTGCACTCCAGCCTGGGCAACAGAGTGAGAGTCCGTCAAAAAAAAAAAAAAAAAAAAAAAGGCCACAGCAAGGCATTTCCAAAGATGCAAAGAGAAATGACTGTTACCACCCAGGCTGCTGGGAACCCAGAGAGGGTTGAGATCGCATCACAAGGGCCTCAGCACTGTGCTAGGAAGATTAGATGTTTATCCTGGAGGCTTTGGAAAGTCTTTTAAGCAGGAGAAAGACATGATTGGATTCATGCTTTCAAAAGAGCCTTCTTGTGATCCCCTGAAAAAGAGATAAGGAAAATGAGGCTACAGGAAGAGAAAGAAGCTACAAACCTATTGCAGTAATCCAGGTGAAAGATGATGGTGGCTGGGACTCCCCTGGCCTCCTTTTGGTTTCTCCCACACACCATGATTCTCCCTGATGAAAATCATTACGCAAACTGTTTCTTCTGCCTGGAACACATGTACTCTCCCACTTTCTGTCTCCATCTCTTACAAGCTTTTAAGTCACAGCCTAAATGTCACTTTTATAGACAGCTGTATTGACTACCTACCTAGTTCCCCTACTCTCCCTTATTGCACTGATCATACTTATAAATTAAGGTTATTAATAATTTATAAGTTTATTTAGCTGGGCATGGTGGCTCACGCCTGTAACCCAGCACTTTGGGAGGTCAAGGCAGGAGGATTGCTTGAGGCCAGGAGTAGAGACCAGCTTGGCCAACATAGCAACGCTGTGTCTCCAAAAAAAAAAAATTTTTGCCGAGCTCAGTGTCTCACACCTGTAATCCCAGCACTTTGAGAGGCCGAGGCAGGCAGATCACCAGAGGTCAGGAGTTCAAGACCAGCCTGACCAACATGATGAAACCCTGTGTCTACTAAAAATACAAAATTTAGCTGGGTGTGGTTCTGGGTGCCTGTAATCCCAGCTACTCTGGAGACTGAGGCAGGAGAATTGCTTGAACCTGGGAGGCGGATCAAGCCATTGCACTCCAGCCTGGGCAACAAGAGGAAGCTCTGCCTTAAAAAAATAAAAAATAAAAAATAAGATTATTTATTTAATATCTGCCTCACCCACTGCACTCTAGGTTTCATGGGGAATTCAATGAGTGAATAAATGAATGAGCAGAGAGTGGTGGAGCAACATAAACAGATTCAAGAATAGGATATAGAACTCAGAAAATGTGATGTTTCAATGTTTGTGAAGACAAGGCAGAAAAAAGTCAGCGATGACACCCAGTTTCTAATTTAGGCACTTGGTTGGCTGTTAATGGCATTCCCTGAGTTAACTGAGGCCCAAAAACAAGTTAGGTGGAAGATGGAAATCATGAGTTCAGTTTGGGACATTGCGATATTATGAAATACATATTTGGGCCTGGCGCGGTGGCTCACGCCTGTAATCCCAGCACTTTGGGAGGCCAAGGCGGGCGGATCACGAGGTCAGGAGATCGAGACCATCCTGGCTAACACGGTGAAACCCCGTCTCTACAAAAAATACAGAAAAAATTAGCTGGGCGTGGTGGCGGGCACCTGTAGTCCCAGCTTCTCGGGAGGCTGAGGCAGGAGAATGGCGTGAACCTGGGAGGTGGAGCTTGCAGTCAGCCGAGATAGTGCCACTGCACTCCAGCCTGGGCAACAAAGCAAGACTCCATCTCAAAACAAAAAAAAAAAAAAAGGATAATATACCATCTTCGACCGGGCATGTTGGCTCACTCCTGTTATCACAGCACTTTGGGAGGCTGAGGAGGGTGGATCACGAGGTCAAGAGTTCGAGACCAGCCTGGCCAGCATGGTGAAATCCCATCTCTACTAAAAATACAAAAAATTAGCCAGACATGGTGGCACACACCTGTAATCCCAGCTACTCGGGAGGCTGAGGCAGGAGAATTGCTTGAACCGGGGAGGCAGATGTTGCAGTGAGCTGAGATTGCACCACTGCACTCCAGCCTGGGCCACAGAGTAAAACTCCATCTCAAAAAAAAAAAAAGAAAAAAAAGAAAAAATTCCATCTTCATGGCCACAGTGTCAATTTGAGGATGTGACTCAAGCTTGACCAATTATAACCTTGTGTAGGACTTTGCCAGAGATGCTCTCATAAAGACATTCTCTTTCTACTGGGGTTACTAAAACTGAGAGGTTGTAAATGTGGGATCACCAGTCGACAAAATCTGGGATTTCTATTGTCTGCCATGTAGCTCTCAGAAACAAAAATAATCAGAGCATTGACATATTTTTTAGTCTTTGAATGTAGTCCTTCCTTCCTGAAGCAGTGATCATCTCTGAACTTCACAGTAATGGAAGTAAATACATTTTCTTTACTTCTTTACTAGTTTGTATTGGGTTTCTGTCATTTTCATCCTAAGGAGCACCTATGAATTCAGGGCCCTTGTCCTGTAAGTTGACTGATACAATGCAGTGTTTTCTTTCATCCATGATCTCCAAAGTCTATTGAGGAAGACCTTCAGCTTTTGGTAAAGAAACTGGCCATCTGAAACAACCTATAAGGTAAGTGTAACAATTCTGGTGTTTTTCTTTTTGTGTCAACAGCATGGCTAGCCCAAAGAAGAATCAGAATCACTGGCTCTGTCTATAAATAAGTTTCCCTTAAAAGCAGGATCCTTTTTGTGGAATATAATTGAAAAGGAAGCAATTTATCCTATCCAATTTTCCTCTATCACCCAAAGCAGAAGCTCTTTTCACGTCAGCATAATGAAAGGCAATCTGAGGAAGACTCTGGGAAGTCTCCTTGCAGTTAGCATTCTTTTCTACTGCAAAAGGTGAATCCAGCCAAACTTCTAGAAGTGTAAAATGAATGGGTGAAAAAAGACAATTTGAGGAAAAAAAGTTGGTGTATCAAAGGTTAAGAGAAAAGTAGAATTGGAATGAAAAAGTAAAATTGGAGGATGAGAAAAAGAAAATGAAAACAGAAAAATTACTTAAAATTTTCTGTGTTGTTTTTTGCTTTAACTTACAAGCAGAAAACTTAGTTACTAATGGCATAGTAATTCATCCATTAAACAGTTAGTCATATACAACCTACTCTGACTTAGGGACTGGGCTAAATGCTGAGGATGCAACAAGGAGCAAGATACCCATGGCCTCATCTCTGTTTATAGAAGTCAAAATTTGGTTCTAAGTAGGAAATAAATGAATCTCAAACACACACTGTATTAGTGTGGTGATGCTCTCCCCACTAGCCAAATGCCCTGGGCAATGGGCAAGGGGAGGCTAGAGCTTAGCCCCTTCTCAAGCTAAGCCTCCTGTTTATTATTATTATTGTTGTTGTTGTTGTTGTTGTTGTTGTTGTTGTTGTTTTTGAGATGGAGTCTCGCTGTGTCGCCCAGGCTGGAGTGCAGTGGCGCGATCTCGGCTCACTGCAAGCTCCGCCTCCCGGGTTCACGCCATTCTCCTGCCTCAGCCTCCCGAGTAGCTGGGACTATAGGCGCCCGCCACCCCGCCCGGCTAATTTTTTGTATTTTTCGTAGAGACGGGGTTTCACCGTGTTAGCCAGGATGGTCTCGATTTCCTGACCTCGTGATCCTCCCGCCTCGGCCTCCCAAAGTGCTGGGATTACAGGCGTGAGCCACCGTGCCCCGCCAAGCCTCCTGTTTAAAGGGCTTTAGAAGAACAAGTGAGCTAGGTTCACATTTTCCCCTGAAGCTTGGAAGCCACACAGCACCTGACTCAGCAAGGCTGTATTGACCTGCTTTTCTGACAAAAGAGCTAAGAGAGGGGACTGTGTTGGGAACGGTCTGCACCCAGTGGTTGGTGGGGCAGAGGATGCGTGAGTTATTCATAAGCCAAAGCCAAATATGGACTGGGGTAAGGGAGCTGGATTTGCACCAAGAAGACCACTTGTAAGGATGTGGTGACTCCAGCAGAGAGGTGGGTCACTGGAAACTCCTGGAAACCAGGGGCCAAGGGAAGACCACACATGGCCAGCTGGAGGAATCATTGCTTTACATAAAAAACAGTTTTTTTGTTTTTTTGTTTGTTTTTGAGACGGAGTTTTGCTCTTGTTGCCCAGGCTGGAGTGCAATGGCGTGATCTCGACTCACCGCAACCCCTGTCTCCCACGTTCAAGCTATTCTCCTGCCTCAGCCTCCTGAGTAGGTGGGACTACAGGCATGCGCTAGCATGCCCAGCTAATTTTTGTATTTTTAGTAGACATGGGGCTTCACCATGTTGGCCAGGATAGTCTCAATCTCTTGACCTCGTGATCTGCCCACCTTGGGCTCCCAAAGTGCTGGGATTACAGGTAAGCCACTGCGCCGGCCTAAAAAAAGGTTTTTAACATTAGAAATTCTCAAAGTGGTTGGGTGTGGTGTCCTACACCCGGGACACCACAGCTACTTGGGAGGTTGAGGCAGGAATATCCCTTGAGCTCAGGAATTCGAGGCTGTAGAGCACCAGGATCCCATCTATGAATAGCCACTACACTCCAGCCTGGGTAACATAGTGAGACTTTATCTCTACAAAGAAATTCTCAAAGTGGGAGAGTATCTAGAGAAACTCTCTATGGGAAAAAACCAGCATTTAACATCCGTTCAATCTAGAGGACACCAATACCAGATTATAACTGTATAAGACCTTTCTGTTCTTTATTTCTGCTTCCTCCCTTCCAAACAATAAAACATGAAATATATTTGAGCTTGACGGAAGGAGAACTTGAATTGGTGACAGTTTGGAATGTGGACTATTCAACTGGACTGGCCTTTTTCTTGTCTAAAATTGACAGTAAAAAAACTACAAAACATGCTTAAGATTTTGTCCTGGGACAGACAAGAACCATTGTAGAGAAAGGATTTAAATGTACAAACTGAGAAAGAGTGAAATAGTTTTCTGTTATCAAACTATTTACATGCCTTCCTTCATTACCCCATCTTCCAACTATCCCCAAGAGTGGGCTCACTTGCATATAATAAAGCACAGACTGTTTATGCAAAGGTTTCTGCTTACGTGTAGATGGGATTGTTACTAATTTTCATTCTATCCTGAAAGGGGTCTATTGGTCCAAAAGTGAAAAGCTGTTACTCTAGGCCAGTGGGTCTCAACTCTACAGATCTTTTTTTTTGAGACGGAGTCTTGCTCTGTCACCCAGGCTGGAGTGCCGTGGCTCGATCTCAGCTCACTGCAACCTTCACCTCCTGGGTTCAAGCTATTCTCTTGCCTCAGCCTCCCAAGTAGCTGGGATTACAAGTATGCACCACCATGTTGGCTAATTTTTGTATTTTTAGTAGAGACGAGGTTTCACCATGTTGGCCAGGCTGATCTTGAACTCTTGACCTCAAGTGATCTTCCTGTCTCAGCTTCCAAAAGTGCTAGGATTACAGGTGTGAACCACTGGGCCTGGCCAACTCGACAGATCTAACACCTCCCTTTTCTTTCAATAATTAACATTTTGTGTTCATTAATTTACTATAGTAAATAAACTGGAAGTAATTGATAAAACACACAGTTCAATGTGTAAATGTTTAGTCATGGTTTCACTAGAATGCATAATGGGATGGTCATACGTCTGTACACATATGTGGAATCACTGAAAAGCTACAAGTGCAGAAAAGCAGGTATATTGTACTGACTTAGATAAAATTAGCTGACATGTTATTACTGGTATTCTTTTCTTTTTTTTTGAGATGAAGTTTCGCTTTTGTTGCCCAGGCTGAAATGCAGTGGTGCGATCTCAGCTCAGTGCAGCCTCTGCCTCCCAGGTGTAGAAAGTAAAAAGTTTCCTCTTCAAAGTTTCCCTTCTTGTTAAAGAATAAATCATAAGTGTTAGAAATAATAGTTTCTTTTAAAGACTAACTTTCTTCAAGCCTCCTTGCTTTGTGTTAATAACTCTTTGTTAAGCCCTATCCTATGCAGCTGTTGGACATGCTCACAGCCTGTGCCCCTTCTTTATTTGAAATTGTTATTGCTTCTTTAAATCTTTCGTAAGCAACTTCTTCCTTTCCTTTGTTCTCCCTTGCCTTTACCTATTTAAAAAAGTTTTAGGTTGTTAGCAAATCGGTTATCAGTTTAGACTGTGAGGTTGGGCTCCAGCCAACGGATGCAGGACACAGCAATAAGGATAAGCCATATGCGTAAGGGATAAATATGTCTGCTTTTCCTTTGTTCGGTGTACTCTTGTGGCAAGACTGCTGGCAGGTGTACCCTTTCTGCAGAATGTAAAAATTGCCTTGCTGAGAGATCTTTTGTCTCTGTGCTGACTTTTCTTCGCAGCACTCATTATCTATTTCTAACACAGGTTCAAGTGATTCTCCCACCTCAGCCTCCCGAGTAGCTGGGATTACAGGCGCATACCACCATGCCCAGCTAGTTTTTGTATTTTTAGTAAACATGGGATTTCACCAAGTTGGCCAGGCTGGTCTTGAACTCCTGACCTCAGGTGATCCTCCTGCCTCAGCCTACTGGTATTATTTTCTGAAGCTCTGAATGTTTCTTGGTAAAGTTTCCCATAAAAGGACGTACGATTCTTCAGTTTATTCAGTAGTTGCCTTCTTAGAAAATTAGTGTACATTTAAGGCATGCCAGAAACACTTAGTGTTTATATATTAAACAAAGTTGACTAAATTTAGATTCCCTATCTTTGAAACAATCAAAAACACCCTCACAAATTCCCAGATTACCCTCAGGGGAAGATTCTACCGCTCAGCATTGGGTAGGTCTGTGAGGTCATCCATTCCCACTTCTCTCCGGCTGTCTCAGTTCCTGCTTATCCCTTCCCCTTACCTTTCCTCACTTCAGGGGAATTCCTAGGCTGATGAGAACTCTCTTTACAGTATTTTTCTTTTAGAAATGCTAATGAATTGAGAAGATCACTAAATCTGATTATCATCTCATCATAACCAAATCTTGACTGAATTTGGATGTTCTAAAACTCCCTAGTCTGTCACATACTCATTATTATAAATGACTGTTCTCAACCATTTCCTTAATAATGGTTTTGTTTTCAGAGGATTATCTCTCTACATTTGGGGGTTTTTCTATAGAAAAATCCCAGAATCATGCTGATTGGCCTTATTCCACATTTATGATCGCCAATTTCAGTTTTCATGGATATGTGTACTTTTCCTTTCTTTTCTTTTCTTTTTTTTTGAGACGGAATTTCGCTCTTGTTGCCCAGGCTAGAATGCAATGGCACGATCTCGGCTCACCGCAACCTCCGCCTCCCAGGTTCAAGTGATTCTCCTGCCTCAGCCTCCCAAGTAGCTGGGATTACAGGCATGCGTCACCACACCAGGCTAATTTTGTATTTTCAGTAGAGACGGGGTTTCTCCACGTTGGTCAGGCTGGTCTCAAACTCCTGACCTCAGGTGATCTGCCCACCTTGGCCTCTCAGAGTGCTCGGATTACAGGCATGAGCCACCATGCCTGGACCTTTTTTCTTTCTTTCTTTCTTTTTCTTGAGACAGGGTCTCCTTCTGTCACCCAGGCTGGAGTGCAGTGGCATGAACACTGTTCACTGCAGCCTGGATCTCTGAGGCTTAAAAGATGCTCCAGCTCATTTTTAAATTTTTTGGTAGAGACAGGGTCTTTCTTTGTTGCCTAGGCTGGTCTCAAACTCCTGGGCTCAAGGGATCCACCTACTTCGGCCTCCCAAGGTGCTGGGATTACAGGTGTGAGTCACCACGCCTGGACTCTCTCCAGGTATTTGAAGGGACTTGGGTATTACTATCTAAGTTTCTGGTCATTGCAGCTATATCTATATTAGGGGACACCCCAAGCCCAGTAATGCTGTCATCCTTGCAGACTTGTAGAGGTACCCCCTTGGTGATCTTGAATAAGATCTTTGAAAATTCTCTGGATTACCAGGCAGAAACTCTTGTTCTCTCCCCTTACTTTCCCCTGAACAAAGAGTTTCTCTCTCTTTGCTGAGCTGCCTGGAGCTGGGGTTGGGGTAACACAAGCAGCCCTGCAGCCACCACCACTGGGACTGTACTGGGTCAGACCTAAAGCTAGCACAATACTGGGTCTTGCCCAAGGCAGGCTGTAACCACTATCTGGCTACTGGCCGTGTTCGCTCAAGACCCCAGGGCTCTACAATCAGCAGATAGCAAAGCCAGCCAGGCTTGTGTCCTTCACTTCAGGGCAACAAATTGTCCCAGTCCCTGGATGGGTTCAGAGATGCCATCTGGGAGCTAGAGCCTGAAGTTAGAAACTTCAGGAAGGAAGTTTAGGAATCTACCTGATGCTTTGCTCTACTATGGCTGAGCTGGCATCCAAGGCCCAAGAGAAAGTCCTTCCTATGCATCCTTCCTCTTTCCCTAGGCATGGGGGTCTCTTGCCATGTCCATAACTACCACAAGCACAGGGTGAGTACTGCCAGGCTACTGCTAATGTAGAAGTTGGTATTCCTATGGGGAAGAGATCAATGGAAGCTTCTGTTCACCCATCTTGCTCTGCCTCCCAAGAGATAACTTTATTACTAATAAAGTGGGTGAAGAAATAAATTTACAAAAAGTATTCTGCCACCTATACACCTGAAGGAAAAGTTAAATTGTTTAGCGAGTGGGTATTTTATAAAATGAATGGTTTTGTCGATTCAAATGGCAAAATTCTGAAACATATTTGTATGAAATTAAAAGTGTGCTGTATATTATTACTTTTGTGCTGTAATGTTCTGATTTGTTTATAATTTTACTCTTCTGCCTCTGTGCTAAGTATCCCATTGTGACACCTGACTTAATTTGAAGGATCTGATATCGCTTTTTTTCACATGCCCTGTATTAAATAAAACTTAAAGGAAACCATTGGATTGGACTGAGCTTCTGTACTAGGCCCATCAGACCAAATAAAAATGGAGTTACTCATGCTCTAGTTCCATGCCACTAACCCGAAACTAAGTTGTTTATCTGACCTTCTGAGAAATCAGAAAAGAGAGAGAAGAGCTGAATCCCCAAGCAAGCCAGTTTTAGCAAGATAAAGTTATCTCTGCTTTAACTTTTACAAGTAAAGTAACTTTGAAATGGCCTATCTACTTTTTGTTCTGTTTCTCTTTCCTTAAGCACTTTTCTGCTTTTAAGAACAATCTCAGGCGGTGCCGGTGGCTCACGCCTTTAATCCCAGCACTTTGGGAGGCCAAGGCTGGTGGATCACGAGGTCAGGTGTTCGAGACAAGCCTGGCCAACATGGTGAAACCCCATCTCTACTAAAAATACAATAATTAGCTAGGCCCGGTGGCACGCACATGTAATCCCAGCTACTCAGGAGGCTGAGGCAGGAGAATTGCTTGAACCCAGGAGGCAGAGGCTGTAGTGAGCCGAGATCGCACCACTGCACTCCGGCCTGGGTGACAGAGCGAGACTTCATCTCAAAAAAGAAACAAAAACAATCTCCTCGGCTCAGCTCCTCATAATACTCATTCTGTTTTTTAGAATTACAAATAAAAGCCAATGACATCTTTAAACTAAATTTGTTGTAATTTTGTCTTTGGACAAATATTTTCCTGTGCTTTCAGATGCCGCTGTCTCAATCTTCATATAATCTCTGGAAGATCAGTACATTTTCCCTTCAATATTAAGTTGATACTGACATTTTACTATTAATTACCTCCAGGCTGTGAAATTATAGGTGACTGTTTCACTATTTTATGTTTCCCAGATTTTAAATTTATTATTTAAATTTATTACATTTTTAACTTTTTTTAACTTTGAGAGATGTTAAAATACAGAAATGTGCAGAAAAAAACATAAACTAATACCTGTGTCCTGTGTTCCCACAATCCAGAGTTCATCTATAATGTTATAATTAACAAAATAATACAATTTTTTTTTTTTTTTTTGAGATGGAGGAGTCTCTTGCTGGCTGGAGTGCAGTGGCACGATCTTGGCTCACTGCAACCTCCACCTCCACCTCCCAGGTTCAAGTGATTCTTCTGCCTCAGCCTCCCAAGTAGCTGGGATTACAGGCGTGGGCCACCACGCCTGGGTACTTTTTGTATTTTTAGTAGAGACAGGGTTTTGCCATGTTGGCCAGGCTGGTCTTGAACTCCTCACCTCAAGTGATCTGCCTGCCTCAGCCTCCCAAAGTGTTGGGATTACAGGCGTGAGCCACTGCACCTGGCCATTTTTTTTTTTTAAGGAGTTTTTAAGACGGAGTTTCACTTTTGTTGCCCAGGCTGGAGTGCAATGGTGCGATCTCGGCTCACTGCAACCACCACTCCTGGGTTCAAGCGATTCTCCTGCCTCAGCCTCCCAAGTAGCTGGGATTACAGGCGCCTGCCACTACACCCAGCTATCTTTTTTTTTGTATTTTTAGTAGAGATGGAGTTTAGCCATGTTGGCCAGGCTGGTCTTAGACTCCTGACCTCAAGTGATCCACCCACTTTGATCTCCCAAAGTGCTGGGATTATAGGCATGAGCCACCGCGCCCAGCCTCATTTTAATAAATTAATAAATTCTGCTCTCTCTGGAGGTCTAGACCTTTGAGAAGGCTTAAAACAAAAAAGGAGGCCAGGCATGGGGCTCACGCCTGTAATCCCAGCACTTTGGGAGGCCAAGGCACTGCACCCAGCCTCTATAACTTTTGTGCTGCAGATTTTTTTCATTTTTTTTCTGATAATAATATATAAAGTAAAACATTGTCTTGTAGAATGTAAAGAGGTAGACTGATCACAGAGTCTGAAGACAGAGGTCATTATTAAATGTGTAAAAAGTAAAATATTTTCTCAAGTCCAGCTACTTTGGGGAGAGTAAAATCACAAATAAGGGATAATTTTAAATGATAAAGATACCCTTGCTTTGAAAATAATAATATAGAGACCACTGCCTACTATGTGCCACATACTGTTCTAAATATGCTATGAATGTTATCTTCTTCTTTTTTTTTTTTAGTAGAGATGGAGTTTCACCATGTTAGCCAGGATGGTCTCGATCGCCTGACCTTGTGATCCACCCGCTTCGGCCTCCCAACGTCCTGGGATTACAGGCGTGAGCCACCACACCAGGCAATTTTTGTATTTTTAATAGAGACGGGGTTTCACCATGTTGGTCAGGCTGGTCTGGAACTCCTGACCTTGTGATCCGCCTGCCTCAGTCTCCCAAAGTGCTGGGATTACAGGCGTGAGCCACCACGCCCAGCCGGATGTTATCTTCTTTAACCTTGGCAACAATGTGAAATATTATTGTCATTATATCCCTATTTTACAGATGAAGAAACTGAGATATAGAGAGTATAAGTGGCTTGCATACAGTCATACATCTGGAAGGTAGTAGATCTGGGGAGTATTAATCTTGATAGTATAACTCCAGGGTCTATGTGCCTAACCACTATACTGAGCTTTCATAGGTAGAAATGCTAGAACCCCAGAGTCACATCAAGTCTGTCTTTCCCCCAGTAGAATTCAGGGAAGTGTATTAGTTATTTGTTTCCTCATAACGAACCATGCTAAAACTCAGTGGCTTTAAGCAACAATCAGTTACTTGATGCATAAGCCTGCAATCTGAGTAAGTTTCAGCAGGGAAGGCTCACGTCTGTTCCATGTTAGTGTCAACTGGAGGAACTCAGCTGGAAGCTGAAAGATCCACTCCATGATGGCTCACTCACATGGCTGATAACGTGGTGCTAACCATTGCTGAGGACTCAGCCAGGGATGAAGACTGGAAGGACATAATTTCTTTCTATATAGTCCTTTTAACAACTGCTTCAATACGACTGTTAGCAGTGTTATTAGGCCCTAAACTTAGATCATGCTTCCTGACACTTATAACAGTCCTTGTGTTGTAGGACTTTTCTGAACCACTCTTTTAGTTTCTCATGATGTCCCACTTGGAGCCATTATCTTGTAGGCCTGGTCAGAAGACACTGGAAGAAACAGCACACAATACAACCTTAAATATCAAACTGCCCTGCTGACTATCCCCTGTCATTCCTTGCCTCTTCCTGTGCTCTCTAACTCTCCTACATCAGGATGTGTCCCTTTGGCAGCCAGGACACTATGAGGTCTATAAGGTTAAGAGGACCCCCAGGTCCCTGCCCTACCCATCTCCCTATTTTCCTCATTGCTCCTCTCTTTCCTAAAAACACAATTTGTTTGAAAGCTTCCATTCAAGGCAACACAGTCTATATCATTTAGGAGGCCCAGTGCAAAATGAAAGTTGGGATTCCTTTTTCAAAAAGCAAGAAAAACGTATACTTAAAGACACAAAAGTATAATTTTTTTTCTTTTCTTTTACAGTCTTTTTGTTTTTTATTCTATTTTATTTTTTTTATTTTATTTTTTGAGATGGAGTCTTGCCCTGTTGCCCAGATGGGAGTGCAGTGGTGTGATCTTGGCTCATTGCAACCTCTGCCTCATGGGTTCAAGGAATTCTCCGGCCCTCAGCCTCCCAAGTAGCTGAGACTACAGGTGCATGCCACCATACCCAGCTAATTTTTGTATTTTTAGCAGAGATGGGGTTTCACCATGTTGGCCAGGCTGGTCTGGAACTCCTGACCTCAAGTGATCCGCCAGCCTTGGCCTCCCAAAGTGTTGGGATTACAGGCATGAGCCACCACACCCGGCCTTAAAGTCTCTTTCTTGACTTCTCTTGGTATTTTGTTGTTCTAAGTAAAGAACAATAGGTCAGGCATGTCACAGTGGAAAAGCAAACTGGGCTGCATTCAGCTGACATCCACAGAGAGAGCATTTAGACAAGTCCTAGCCAGAGGGGTATCACCCACCCCAGCAGCTGGAACCTGAGTTTTAGCAAGTGTCACCGTCACGGAGTAAAGTGCTCTGGGGCCCTAAATAAACTTGAGGGGCAGTCTAGGCCATGAGGACTGCCACTCCTAGGCAAGTCCTAGTGTTGCGCTGGGCCCAGATCCAGTGGACTTAAGGGGAATGCAACCCACTGAGATACCAGCAGAAGTGGCTAAGGGGTTGTGCCACCCCTCCCCCAACCCCGGGCAGCATAGCTCATGCCTCTGAAAGACATCTTTTCCTTTCATGTGAGGAGAGGAAATAAAGAGGAAAGAGGACTTTGTCTTTCAACTTGGATACCAGCTAAGCCACAGTAGGACAGGGCATCAGCAAAGTCTTGAGGCCCCCTTTCCAAATCCTAGCTTCCAGACAAGATTTCTAGACACACACTGGGCCAGAAGGGAAACCACTGCCCTGAAGGGATGGATCAAGCGGGAGCCATCTCCTGCTAAGTAAAGAGCCCTTGGGCCCTGAATAACCAGCAGCAATACCCAGGTCATATGCCATGGGTCTTAGGTAACACTCTGAGATGTGCTGGCTTCAGGTGTGACCCAGCATATTTCCAGCTGTGGTGGCTATGGTGAGAGACTACTTCTGCTCAAGAAAAGAAGAGGGAAGAGTAAAAGGAACTTTCTCAGCTGGGCATGGTTGCTCACGCCTCTAATACTAATACTCTGGGAGGCTGAGGTGGGCAGATCACCTGAGCCCAGGAGTTCAAGACCAGCCTGGGCAACATGGTGAAACCTTGTCTCTACAAAAAAAAAAAAAAAAAAAAAAAAAAAAAGCTAGACATGGTGGTGTGCACCTGTGGTCCCAGCTACTCAGGAGGCTGAGGCAGGAGGATCACTTGAACCCAGGTGGTCAAGGCTGCAGTGAGCCATGATTGCACCACTACACTCCAATCTGGGTGTTGGAGTGAGACCCTATCTCAAAACAAGCAAACAAACAAAAGGTTTGGGGAGGGGAAGAACTTTATCTTCCCCTCCCAGTGAGGTAAAGCACCAAGCGAGCTCTTGGGGTCCCCAGTTCCAGGTTTTGGCTCTTGGATGGTATTTCTGGATCTGCCCTGGGCCAGAGGGGAGCCCACTGCCCTGAATGATGGATACCAGTCCTGGCAGCATTCACCACAAGCTGACTGAAGAGCCCTTGGGCCTTAAGTAAACATCGGCAGTAGTACTCCCCACAGGCCTGTGGTGGTGGTGGCCATGGGGTGAGGCTCCCCAAGAAGGGACAAGTGGGAAGAACTGTGTCTCATTGTTTGAGTGCCAGCTCAGCCACAGAAGACCAGGTAGATCCCTAAGGTTTTTGACTCTGGTCCCTAATTCCTGGATGGCATCTCTGGACCCACCCAGGGCCTGGGACAACTCACCACCCTGAAGGGAAAAACACAAGCCTGGCTGGCTTTGCTATCTGCTGATTGTAGATCCCTAGAGTCTTGAGTGAACATAGCCAGTAGCCAGGCAGTGGTTGCAGCGTGCCTTGGGCAAGACCCATTTCTGTGCTAGCTTTAGGTCTGACCCAGTGCAGTCCCAGTGGTGGTGGTTGCAGGGCTGCTTGTGTCACCATACCCCCAGATCCAGACAGCTCAACACAGAAAAACTCTTTTTTGTTTGTTTTGTTTTGTTTTGTTTTGTGACGAAGTCTCACTCTGTTGCCCAGGCTGGAGTGCAATGGCCCAATCTCAGCTCACTGCAGCCCCCACCTCCCGGGTTCAAGTGATTCTCCTGCCTCAGCCTCCTGAGTAGCTGGGAATACAGGTGCCCATCACTATGCCTGGCTAATTGTTGTATCTTTAGTAGAGACGGGGTTTCACCATGTTGGCCAGGCTGGTCTGGAACTCCTGTCCTCAAGTGATCCACCTGCCTCAGCTTCCCAAAGTGCTGGGATTATAGGAGGCCACTGCACCCAGCTGAAACTTTTTTTGTTTGGGAGAACATAAGAGAACAAGAGCCTTTGCCTAGTAATCTGAAGAATTCTTCTGGATCTTATTCAAGACCACTGTATTAGTCAATTCTTGCATTGCTATAAAGAAATATCAGAGACTCGGTAATTTATAATGAAAAGAGTTCTTTTTTTTGTTTGTTTGTTTTTGACGGAGTCTTGCTCTATCACTCAGGCTGGAGTGCAGTGGCAGGATCTTAGCTCACTGCAACCTCTCCCTCCGGGGTTCAAGCAATTCTTCCGCCTCAGCCTCCTGAGTAGCTGGGAATACAGGTGCCCATCACTACGCCTGGCTAATTATTGTATCTTTAGTAGAGATGGGGTTTCACCATGTTGGCCAGGCTGATCTGGAACTCCTGTCCTCAAGTGATCCACCTGCCTCAGCTTCCCAAAATGCTGGGATTATAGGAGGCCAGTGCACCCAGCTGAAACTTTTTTTGTTTGGGAGATCATAAGGGAAGAGAACAAGAGCCTTTGCCTAGTAATCTGAAGAATTCTTCTGGATCTTATTCAAGACCACTGTATTAGTCAATTCTTGCATTGCTATAAAGAAATAGCAGAGACTCGGTAATTTACAAAGAAAAGAGTTTTTTTTGTTTGTTTGTTTTGTTTTGTTTTTGACAGAGTCTTGCTCTATCGCTCAGGCTGGAGTACAGTGACAGGATCTCAGCTCACTGCAAACTCTACCTCCGGGGTTCAAGTGATTCTCCTGCTTAGCCTCCTGAGTAGCTGGAATTATAGGCACGCACCACCACACCCTATAATTTTTGTATTTTTAGTAGAGATGGGGTTTTACCATGTTGGTCAGGCTGGTCTCAAACTCCTGACCTCATGGTCGGCCTACCTCAGCCTCCCAAAGTGTTGGGATTACAGGTGTGAGCCAACGTGCCCAGCAAGAAAAGAGGTTTAATTGGCTTGTGGTTACACAGGCTGTACAGGAAGCATAGCAACTTCTGGGGAGGCCTCAGAAAACATACAATCATGGTGGAAGGCAGAGGGGGAACCAGCACTTCACATGGTCAGAGGAGAAGGAAGAGAGAGAGAAGGGGGTGGTGCCGCAAACTTTTAAACAACCAGATCTTGTGAGAACTTACTATCATGAGAACAGCACCAACTGGGAAATCTGCCACCATGATCCAATCACCTCCCACTGAGTCCCACTGCTAACACTAGGGACTACAATTTGACATGAGATTTGGGTGGGGACACAAATCCAAACCATATAAACTACCAAGGCAGTACTTCTATGAGTCTGCAAGAAATACAGTGTCACTGAGCTTGGGGTGCCCCTTTATGCAGATAATGCTTAGATCACAACACCAAATTCTTTTCAAATACCTGGAAAGTCTTCTCAAGAAGGATGGGTATGAACAAGCTCACTCTGTGAAGACTGAAATGTATACCTAACTTTCAATGCCCAGACACTGACAAACAAGCATAAGCATCAGTATCATCCAGGAAAACATGACCTCACCAAATAAACTAAATAAGGCACTCAGGGACCAATCCTGGAGAAACTGAAATACGTGACCTTTCAGACACAGAATTCAAAATAGCTGTTTTGAGGAAACAAATTCAAGATAAAACAGGGAAGGAATTCAGAATTCGATCAGATAAATTTAACAAAGAGATTGAAGTAATGTATAAGAATGAAGCAGAAATTCTGGAGCTGAAAAATGCAATTGACATGCTCAAGAACGCATCAGAGTCCTTTGTTTCTGTTTTTGTTTTTCCTTTGAGATGGAGTCCCTCTCTGTCACCCAGGCTGGAGTGCAGTGGCGCAATCTTGGCTCGCAGCCTCAAGCGATTCTCCTGCCTCAGGCTCCGAAAGTAGCTGGGATTACAGGTGCCTGCCACCATGCCTGGCTAATTTTTATATTTTTAGTAGAGATGGGCTTTCATCATGTTGACCAGGCTGGTCTCGAACTCCTGACTTCAGGTGATCCACCCGCCTCGGCCTCCCAAAGTGCTGGGATTACAGGCACGAGCCACCACACCCGGCCTGAAGCTCCCTTTCCAGGACTTCTGTGAGGTCATGTTCTCTCGCGTTCCATCCTACTTCTTTGGCCATTTCATCTCAGTCTTTTTCTAGGAACCTCTTCTGCTGCCTATCTTGGGAATGTAGGTGATCCTCAGGGTTTTGTCTGGCCTTCTTCCCTTCTCTACTGAATGATCTCTACCATGTCTATAAGTAAAAAACAATGAAGCATGCCTATAAGATCTAGAAAATAGCCTTAAAGGTATAAATCTAAGAGTTATTGGCCTTAAAAGAGAAGGTAGAGCCGGGCGCGGTGGCTCATGTCTGTAATCCCAGCATTTTGGGAGCCCGAGGTGGGCAGATCACCTGAGGTCGGAAGTTCGAGACCAGCCTGACCAACATGGTAAAACCGTGTCTCTACTAAAAATACAAAAATTAGCCAAGCATGGTAGCGCATGCCTGTAATCTCAGCTACTTGGGAGGCCGAGGCAGGAGAATTGCTTGAACCCGGGAGGCGGAGGTTGCGGTGAGCCGAGATAGCACCACTGCACTCCAGCCTGGGCAACAAGAGTGAAACTCTGTCTCAAAAAAAAAAAAAAAAAGAAGGTAGAGAGAGAGGGGTAGAAAGTTTATTTGGCCAGGTGTGGCGGCTCATGCCTGTGATCCCAACACTTTGGGAGGCAGAGGCCGAGGCCGGTGAATCACCTGAGGTCAGGAGTTCAAGACTAAAAATACAAAAAATTAGCTGGGTGTGGTGGCAGACGCCTCTAATCCCAGCTACTGGGGAGGCTGAGGCAGGAGAATCACTTGGGTCTGGGAGGCAGAGGCTGCAGCGAGCCAAGATCGTGCCATTGCACTCCAACCTGGGCAACAAGAGCGAAAATCCGCCTCAAAAAATAAAAAAAATTAAAATAAAAAAAGAACGTTTATTCAAAGGAATAACAAAACTTTTCAAACCTAATGAGCAATATCAATATCTAAGTACAAGAAGGTTGTAGAACACCAAGCAAATTTAACCTAAAGAAAACCACTTCAGGGCATTTAATAGTGAAACTCCCAAAGGTCAGGGTTAAAGAAAGAATCCTAAAAGCAGCAAGAAAATAGAAACAAATAACATACAACAGAGTTCCAGTATGTCCAGCAGCGAACTTCTCAGTGGAAACCTTCCATGCCAGGAGAGAGTGCCGTGAGATATTTACAGTACTGAAGGAAAAAAAACTATTACTTAGAATAATATATCCAGTGAAAATATCCTCCAAAGATGAAGAAGTAAAGACTTTCCTGGACAAACAAAAGCTGAGGGATTTTAGTCCTACGAGAAATGCTAAAGGGAGTTCTTCAGTCTGAAAGAAAAGGACATTAACAAGCAATAAGAAATCATCTGGGCTGGGTGCGGTGGCTCACACCTATAATCCCAGCACTTTGGGAGGGTGAGGCGGACGTATCACGAGGTCAGGAGTTCGAGACCAGCCTGGCCAACATAGTGAAACCCCCATCTTTACTAAAAATACAAGAAATTAGCCAGGTGTGGTGGTGTGCGCCTGTAATCCCAGCCACTTGGGAGGCTGAGGCAGGAGAATGGCATGAACCCGGGAGGCAGAGCTTGCAGTAAGCCGAGATCACTGTGCCATTGTACTCCAGCTTGGGTGACAGTGCGAGACTCCATCTCAAAAAAAAAAAAAAAAAAAAAAAGAAATCATCTGAAAGTACAAAACTCACTGGTAATAGTAAGTACACAGAAAAACATATAATATTATAATGGGGTAGCTGTGGTGTGTAAGCTACTTTTTTTTAAGTAGAAAGACTAAAATATTATCCAATCAAAAATAGTAACTATGGGCTGGGTGTGGTGGCCGTAATCCCAGCACTTTGCGAGCCCAAGGCAGGCAGATCACTTGAAGTCAGTGGTTCCAGACCAGCCTGGCCAATATGGTGAAACCCTGTCTCTACTAAAAAATACAAAATATTAGCTGATATGGTGGCTCATGCCTGTAATCCCAGCTACCTGGGTGGCTGAGGCATGAGAATCACTTAAACCTGGGAGGCAGAGGTTGTGGTGAGCCGAAATCACACCACTGCACTCCATCCTGGGTGACAGAGTGAGACTATTTCTCAAATGTAATAATAATAATAACTATGGGCCAGGCATGATGGCTCACGCCTGTAATGCCAGCACTTTGAGAGGCTGAGGTGGGCAGATCACCTGAGGTTGGGAGTTCGAGACCAGCCTGACTAACATGGAGAAACCCCATCTCTACTAAAAATACAAAATTAGCCAGGCTTGATGGCACATGTCTGTAATCCCAGTTACTCAGGAGGCTGAGGCAGGATAATCACTTGACCCCAGGAGGTGGAGGTTGCGGTGAGCCAAGATCACACCATTGCACTCCAGCCTGGGCAACAAGAGTGAAACTCCATCTCAAAAATAAAATAAGAACAATACTAATAACTATAGCTGGGCATGGTGGCTCATGCCTGTAATCCCAGCATTTTTCGGTAGGTTGAGGCAGGCAGATCGCTTGAGCCCAGGAGTTCAAGACCAGCCTGGGCAACATGGAGTAACCCCATCTCTACAAAAAACACAAAAATTAGCTAGATGTGGTGGTGTGCTCCTGTAGTCCCAGCTACTTAGGAGGTTTAGGCAGGAGGATAGCTTGAGCCCGGGAGGCAGAGGTTGCAGTGAGCTGAGATTGCACCAGTGTACTCTAGCCTGGGTGACAGAGTGATAACCTGTCTCAAAAGAAAATTAATAATAATAATGACAACTTTTCAAGACATAGTACAATAAGATATTAATGGGAACAACAAAATGTTAAAAAGCATAGAGATGAAGTAAAGATGTAGAATTTTTTTTAGTTTTCTTTTTGCTTGTTTGTTTGTGTATGCAGGCAGAGTTAAGTTGTTATCAGCTGAAAATAACGGGTGATAAGATAGTATTTGCAACCCTCATGGTAACCTCTAATAAAAAAACATACAATGGACACACAAAAAATAAAAAGCAAAAAATTAAATTATACCACCAGAGAAAAATCCCCTTTACTAAAAGGAAGACAGGAAGGAGGGAAAGAATTGAAGACCACAAAACAACCAGAAAACAAATAACAAAATGAATGGCAGGAGTAGGTCCTTATTAATAATAACATTGAATGTAAATTGAGTAAACTCTCCAATCAAAAGACACAGAGTGGCTGAATTGATTTAAAAACAAAAAGACCCAATGATCTCTTGCCTATGAAAAACACACTGCACCTATAAAAGACACACGTAGAATAAAAATAAAGAGACATAAAAAGATAGTCCAAGCCAATGGAAACCAAAAAAGAGCAAGAGTAGCTATAGTTAGACAAAATAAATTTCAAGATAAAGGCTTTAAGTAGGAACAAAGAAGGTCATGATACAATGATAAAGAGGTCAATTAAGCAAAAGGATAACCATTGTAAATATATATCCACCCAATACTGGAGCACCAAGATACATAAAGCAAATATTAAATCTAAAGAGAGAGATAGACCCCAATATAATGAAAGCTGGAGACTTTAACCCTCCAGTTTCAGCATTGAACAGATCTTCCAGGCAGAAAGCCAACAAAGAAACATTGGACTGAATCTGCACTATTGACCAAATGGATCTACTAGTTATTTACAGAATATTTCATCCGGTGGCTGCAGAACATACTTTCTTTTCCTAAACACATGGATTATTCTCAAGGATAGGCCATATATTGGGTGACAAAACAAGTCTTAAAACATCCAAGAAAATCAAAATTATATCAAGAATTTTCTTGGACCACAATGGAATAAAACTAGAAATTAATAACAAAGAATTTTGGAAACTGTAAAAACACATGGAAATTAAACAATATGCTCCTAATCAGTGGATCAATAAAGAAATTAAGAAGGAAATTGGAAAATTTCTTGAAACAAATGGCAATGGAACCACAACATACCCAAACCTATGGGACATAGTGAAAGCAGTACTAAGAGGGTAGTTTATAGCTTTAAGTGCCTACATCAGAAAAGTAGAAAAATTTCAAGGCTGGGCACAGTGGCTCATGCCTGTAATCCCAGCACTTTGGGAGGCTGAGGTGGGTAGATCACCTGAGGTCAAGGGTTCGAGCCTGGCCAAAATGGCAAAAACCTGTCTTTACTGAAAATACAAAAATTATCCGGGTGTGGTGGTGCATGCCTGTAATCCCAGCTACTACTACATGGGAGGCTGAGGCAGGAGAATCACTTGAACCTGGGAGGCAGAGGTTGCAGTGAGCCAAGATCGTGCCACTGCACTCCAGCCTGGGTGACAGAGCGAGTGCAGTGGCACAAGACAGATCGTCTCAAAAACAAAGAAAAAGAAAAAGAAAACAAAAAAAGTAGAAAAACTTCAAATAAACAACTAACAACTTGATGCATCTTAAAGAACTAGAAAAGCAAGAGCAAACCAAACCCAAAATCAGTAGAAAAAAGTAATAATAAAGATCAGAGCATAAACAAATAAAATTGAAATGAAGAAAACAACACAAAAGATTAACAAAACAAAAAGTTAGTTTTTTTGGTTGGGACAGAGTTTAGCTCTTGTTGCCCAGGCTGGAGTGCAAAGGCACGATGTTGGCTCACTGCAACCTCTGCCTCCAAGGTTCAAGCGATTCTCCTGCCTCAGCCTCCTGAGTAGCTGGGATTATAGGTGCCTGCCACCATGCTTGGCTAATTTTTTGTATTTTTAGTAGAGACATGGTTTCACCATGTTGGCCAGGTTGGTCTTGAACTCCTGGCTTCAGGTAATCCGCCTGCCTCAGCCTCCCAAAGTGCTGGGATTACAGGCGTGAGCTACCGTGCCCGGCCAAAAAGTTAGTTTTTAAAAAGGTAAACAAAATTGACAAATATTTAGCCAGACTAAGGAAAAAAGAGAGGGCTGGGTGCGGTGGCTCACGCCTGTAATCCCAACACTTTGGGAGGCTGTGGCGGGTGGATCACGAGGTCAGGAGTTCAAGATCAGCCTAGCCAAGATGGTGAAGCCCTGTCTCTACTAAAAATACAAAAATTAGCCAGGCCTGCTGGCAGGTGCCTGTAATCCCAGCTACTCAGAAGGCTGAGGCAGGAGAATTGCTTGAACCTGAGCAACAGAGGTTGCAGTGAGCCAAGATCGTGCCACTGCACTACAGCCTGGGTGACAGAGTGAGACTCTGTCTCAAAAAAAAAAAAGAAAGAAAAAAGGAGAGAAAATCTAAATAAAATCAGAGATGAAAAAGGAGACATTCCAACCAATACTGCAGAAATTCAAAGGATCTTTAGAAGCTACTGTGAGCAGCTATAGGCTCATGGACTGGAAAACTCAGAAGAAATGGATAAATTCCTAGACACATGCAACCTACTAAGGTTGAACCGTAAAGAAATCCAAAACTGGAACAGACCAATAAGAACTAATGGGATCAAAGCTGTAATAAAAAGTTTCCCAGGGCGGGGGAAAAAAAAAGCCTGGGACCCAATGGCTTCACTGCTGAATTTTACCAAACATTTAAAAAAGAACTAATACCAATCCTACTCAAACTATTCCAAAAAATAGAGGAGGAGGGAACACTTTAGAACATACTCTATAAGACCAGTATTACCCTGATAGCTAAAGCAGACAAAGACACATTAAAAAAAAAAAAACTACAGGCCATATTACTGATTAATGTTGTTGCAGAAATCCTTTACAAAATGCTAGCAAACCGATTTCAACGACACATTAGAAAGATCATTCATCATAACCAAGTGGGATTTATCTTGGGAATGCAAGGGTGGTTCAACATACTTGGATAAATCAATGTGATACATCATATCAACAGAATAAAGGACAAAAACCATATGATCATTTCAATTGGTTCTGAATAAGCATTTGACACATTTCAATATCCCTTAATAACAAAAACCCTAAAAAAACCTGGGTTCAGAAGGAATATACTTCAACATAATAAAGCCATAAACAGCAGTTCCATAGCTAGTATCATACTGAATTGTGAGGAATTAAAACCTTTCCTCTGAGATCTGGAACATGACAAGAAGTCCCACTTTCAGCACTTTATTACACATAGTACTGGAAGTGTCAGCTGGAGCAATGAGACAGGAGGAAGAAATAAAGGGCATCCAAACTGGAAAGCGCTGGGTGCAGTGGCTCACATCTGAAATCTCAGCACTTTGGGAGGCTGAGGTGGGCAGATTACTTGAGTCCAGGAGTTCAAGACCAGTCTAAGCAACATTGTGAAACTCCATCTCTACAAAACACACACACACACACACACACACACACACACAATTGGCTGGGTATGCAGGTGCGCCCCTGTAGTCCCAGCTACTCAGGAGGCTGAGGTGGGAGGATCATCTGAGCTTGGGAGGTAGAGGCTGCAGTAAGCCATGACCATGCCACTGCAGTGCAGCCTGGGAGACAGAGTGAGACACTGTCTCAAAAACAAGGAAACAAAAACAAAAAACAAATTGGAAAGCAAAGAATCAAATTATCCTTGTTTGCAGATATGATCTTATATTTGGAAAAACCTCAAGACTCCACAAAAAAAAAAAAACGATTAGAACTGATAAACAAATTCACTAAAGTGTAGGATACAAAATCTACATACAAAAAACAGTAGCATTTCTATATGCCAATAGCAAACAATATGAAAAAGAAATCAAGAAAGTAATCCCATTTACAATAGTTACAGATAAAATTGAATACATAGGAGTTAATCAGCCAGGCCCGGTGGCTTACACCTGTAATCCCAGCACTTTGGGAGGCTGAGGCAGGCAGATCACCTGAGGTCAGGAGTTGGAGACCAGCCTGGCCAACATGGTGAAACCCTGTCTCTGCTAAAAATACAAAAAAATTTACCCAGGCATGATGGTGTGTGCCTGTGGCCCCAGCTACTCGGGAGGCTGAGGCAGGAGAATTGCTTGAACCCAGGAGGTGGAGGTTGCAGTCAGCCGAGATCACACCACTGCACTCCAACCTGGGTGACAGAGCGAGACTTTCTCAAAAATAAATAAATAAATAAATAAATAAAAGGAATTAACCAAAACCAAAGAAATGAAAAATCTCTGCAATGAAAACCATAAAACACTGATGCAAGAAATTGAAGAGGACACACAAAAAAGGAAAGATATTCCATGTTCATGGATTGAAAGTAACAATATTGTTATTCCAATATTCTATGTTCATGGATTGGAAGAATCAATATTGTTGCAATCTACAGATTCAATGTAATTCCTATCAAAATACCAGTGACATCCTTCACAGAAATAGAAAAAAAAAAACCCTAAAATTTATATGGAACCACATAAGCCCCAGAATAGCCAAATATACCTTGAGCAAAAAGAACAAAACTGGAAAATCACATTATTGGATGTCAAATCATACTACAGAGCTGTAGTAACCAAAACAGCATAATACTGGCAGAAAAACAAACACATAGATCAGTGGAACAGAATAGAGAATACAGAAATAAATCCATACATCTACAATGAACTTACTTTTGACAAACATGCCAAGAATATACATTGCAGAAAAATCTTCAATAAATGGTGCTGGGAAAACTGGATATCATATGCAGAAGAATGAAACCTGATCAATATCTCTCACTTTGTACAAAAATGAAGTCAGGCCAGGCGAGGTGGTTCACGCCTGTAATCCCAGCACTTTGGGAAGCCGAGGCGGGTGGATTACCTGAGGTCAGGAGTTCAAGACCAGCCTGGACAAAATGGTGGTGAAACTCCATCTCTACTAAAAATACAAAAAATTAGCTGAGCATGGTGGCAGGCAACTGTAATCCCAGCTACTAGGGAGGCTGAGGCAGGAGAATCGCTTGAACCCCGGAGGCAGAGGTTGCAGTGAGCCGAGATCACGTCATTGCACTCCAGCCTGGGTGACAAGAGCAAAACTCCGTCTCAAAAATAAATAAATAAAAATACAAAAACTAGCCAGGCGTGGTGGCGCATGGCTGTAATCCCAGCTAATGGGAGACTGAGGCATGAGAATTGCTTGACCCAGGAGGCAGAGGTTGCAGTGAGCTGAGATCGTGCCACTGCACTCCAGCCTGGGCAACAGAGCAAGACTCTGTCTCAAAAACAAAAAAAAGTAATAATAATATATAGATATGCAGATTTTTTTTCTGAGACACGGTCTCCCTCTGTCACCCAGGGTGAGTGCAGTAGCAAGATCAGGCCTCACTGCAGTCTCGACCTCCCAGACTCAAGTGATCCTCCCACCTCAGCCTCTCAAGTAGCTGGGACTACAGGCATGTGTCACCACACCTGGCTAATTTTTTTTATTTTTTAATTTTTTATAGAGACAGGGTCTTGCTATGTTGCTCAGGCTGGTCTTGAACTCCCAGACTCAAGCAATCTTCCTGCCTCAGCCTTCCAAAGTGCTGGGATTACAGGTCTGAGCCACTGCACCTGGCCAGAAAAAAAAATATTTTTAAAAATTATAAAAGATAAAAATTAGCCATCTCAGAATGATGTGAGCAATTATTATTTTTTAAAAAACACTTCGAGGTATTTATTAGTGGTTATGGCATACAATCTACATGTGACATTTTTAGATAAGATAATTTAATAGACAGTGCCAGATAATGTTATCTGTTTGTATTGAATCTGCCTAAGGTTTTATTATCTGAGAGGCCTCAGGATTTCTTTTTTTCCCCCAAGAAAATCTTCCTTGTTGGTAAAATAGCTAAAACATTTAAAAGACAAAAATATATACGCTGGCTGGGCAGGGTGGCTCATGCTTGTAATCCCAGCACTTTGGGAAGCTGAGGCGGGAGAATCGCTTGAGACCAGGAGTTCAAGACCAGCCTGGGTTAACATAGTGGAACCCATCTCTACACACACACACACACACAAAAAAAAAAAAAAAAAAAAAAAAAAGAAGAAGAAAAGAAAAAAATTAGCTGGGTACATTGGCACATGCGTATAGTCCCAGCTACTTGGGAGGCTGAGGCAGGAAGATAGCTTGAGCCCAATAGGTTGTATTTATAGGTAAAATAGCACTGCTCAGATCCTATAGCAGCAGTAGAAGAAGAAAGTCAAGCTGTACAGCTGTGATGGTCCCACCAGTCCTAGCTCACAGGCAAGATGGGACCTAAAAGGGTTGCTGGTCAACAGGAATGGGTGGCTTGGAGACCTGATCCCAGAAGAGGGCAGCCAAGAGCTGCCTTAACCATTGAGGAAAGAATCAGAGGAGCCCTTCAAGGGTGACTTTAAAAGGGGTTCTGGGCCGGGACAGTGGCTCAAGCCTGTAATCCCAGCACTTTTGGGATCTGCCTCGGGCGGATCACGAGGTCAACAGATCGAGACCATCCTGGCCAATATGGTGAAACCTTGCCTCTACTAAAAAAACAAAAATAGCCGGGCCGGGTGGCGCGCCTGTAGTCCCAGCTACTCGGGAGGAGAATCGCTTGAACCGCGGAGGCGGAAGTTGCAGTGAGCCGAGATCGTGCCACTGCACTCCAGCCTGGGCGACAGAGTGAGACTCCATCACAAAAAAAAAAAAAAAAAAAAGGAAATAGAAAAAAAGTGTGTGTATGTATTTATAATCAAGGTCCACAAAAGGAACTTTTGCCTATTTAAATATACACAATAGTTATGATACACTTGAAAATACAATAAAGGTATGCTCTAATGATGAGTTTGAGGGCACTTTCAGGACTAGAAGCTAGAAGGAAGCTGTGATGTAACATTGTATTATGACTTAAACCTCCCTTGGAGCATTCTTGGAAGTAAGAGCTAAAGCTTAAATGCTACCCAGGTGTTATCTGAAGTCTCCTACCTACGAGATCTAGACAAGATTGGCTTGAATGCTAGTTACTCACTATGAGAAGTCCAAAGCCCTCCCTAAGATTTCTGTGACTCTCTGGGAGGGAGGAGGTAGATGTTGGGGAAGGTATGACGTTCTCATGGTCACCTTTATATGTATAAACAAAGCATTTAGAACAAATCCTGGCATGCCTTGTAAGTATTAGCTATTTTCACCTCTTCATTTTTCTTCCTCCTCCTCCTTCTCCTTGACTTTCTCTGCTTCTGGCTTCCACTAAGCAGGGTCAGTTAATAGATTGTCACCTTATTTCTGACACAGCTGTTCCATTCTGCACCATGCGGATCCATTGGTTAATTTCATTACCTGTTTCAATTGATACATACTTATAATACCACTACTCACTCCACTGCTCACCTCCCACCCCACACCCACCTCCACAGATGTTATTATCTGTTAACATGAAGTTTGTTTTTTTTTTTTTAGACGGAGTCTTGCTGTGTCGCTCAGGCTAGAAGTGCAAATAGCACAATCTCTGCTCACTGCAACCTCTGCCTCCCAGATTCAAGCAATTATCCTGTCTCAGCCTACTGAGTAGCTGGGACTACAGGCGCACATCACCACAAATTTTTGTATTTTTAGTAGAGACGGGGTTTCACCATATTGATCAGGCTGGTCTCAAACTCCTGACCTCATGTGATCCAACCACCTCAGCCTCCCAAAGTGCTGAGATTACAGGCATGAGCCGCTTTGCCCAGCCAACATGAGGTATTTTTGCTTTTGTTTTTTGAGACAGGTTCTTGCTCTGTTGCCCAGGCTGGAGTGCAGTGGCAAGATCATGGCTCACTGCAGCCTCAACTTCTTAGGCTCAATTGATCCTCCCACCTCAGCCTCCCAAGTAGCTGCTACCACAGACACATGCCATCATGCTCAGCTAATTTTTTAACATTTTTTTTTCTAGAGACAAGGTCTCATCATGTTGCCCAAGCTGGTCTTCAACTCCTGGCCTCAAGTGATCCTCCCACCTCAGCCTCCCAAAGTTTGGGGATTTAACAGGTGTGAGCCACTGCACCCAGTACATTTTTGTTTTTTATCAGACTTTGATGAAAATTTTGGGAGTGAAAATGAATGAGGTATGGGTATTCACAGCTCAACAACATGAACCCTTCCACTTGAATACTAGATACTTCTTTTTTTTTTGAGACAGAGTCTTGTCCTGTCACCCAGGCTGGAATGCGGTGGTGCGATCTCAGCTCACTGCAACTTCTGCCTCCCGACTTCAAGCGATTCTCCTGCCTCAGCTTCCTGAGTAGCTGCAACTACAGGCGCGTACCACCACGCCCAGTTAATTTTTGTATTTTTAGTCTGTAGGGTTTCCCCATGTTGGCCAGGCTGGTCTTGAACTCCTGATCTCAGGTGATCTGCCTGCCTCGGCCTCCCAAAGTTCTGGGATTACAGGCATGAGCCACCGCTCCCAGCCAAATACTAGATACTTCTTAAAAGTTCTTTTCCAAGGAATTTTTCTTTTTCTTTTCTTTTCTTTTTTTTTTTTTTTTTTTTTCGAGACGGAGTCTCGCTCTGTCACCCAGGCTGGAGTGCAGTGGCGGAATCTCACAGGTTCACGCCATTCTCCTGCCTCAGCCTCCCGAGTAGCTGGGACTACAGGCACCCGCCACCTCGCCTGGCTAATTTTTTGTATTTTTTAGTAGAGATGGGGTTTCACCGTGTTAGCCAGGATGGTCTCCATCTCCTGACCTCGTGATCCGCCCGCCTCGGCCTCCTAAAGTACTGGGATTACAGGCGTGAGCCACCGTACCCGGCCCCAGGGAATTTTTCTATTGGCTTCTGACTCATATAGGTATTTAGTAACACCCTGGCTAGATTGTTTCTCTTCTCTCCTGGGTCTTGTATCATTTCAGTACCCTCTCCTTCCTGAACTGCAGCCCCCAAATGCAAATTCTTATTCTTTACACAGAACACAGCAGTTCTCACTGCTGTCTACTTCCAGGCTAAGATCTGGCCCCCGTTTTGCATATCCAAACACATCCAAATGTTCAGTAGAACAAAAAGGCTTTTATTTACCAGGCTCTACCCTCCTTTGATGGACATTATGGTTGAAAATTTCATTTTTATCTCATTTTTGCACAGGCAGATAGAGTGAGAGAAATTTAACAGGGACCTCAGAGAGAAGACAAACTGGGAGGGATGTGGAGCTTCCTAGGGAGGGGATTAACATTTGGAGAGCAAGTATCAGCAGTAACAGCAGTTTTAGGCTGGAGACCAAAAACCTGAAATAATCCAGTTCATGGAAAATGAGGCATACTAAGAATTCAGATCTAGCGAATGGAAGAGTAGACACAAGTTCCTGCAAAATGAGGCTTGTCAACCAACTCCATACAATAACTAGGGTACCTGATAAAGGTCCCCCATATTCTGGGCACTTGTATCGTACGGTCTGAAGAATGGGCAAGGAAGAAACCCCCAAGCCTGAAAAATCCATGTGAAAAGGGCCGGGTGTGGCGGCTGACGCCTGTAATCCCAGCACTTTGGGAGGCTGAGGCCGGCAGATCACCTGAGGTCAGGAGTTCAAGACCAGCTTGGCCAACATGGTGAAACCCCGTCTCTACTAAAAATACAAAAATTAGCTGGGCGTGGTGGCGTGCACCTGTAATCCTAGCTACTCTCGAGGCTGAGGCAGGAGAATTGCTTGAACCCGGGAGGCAGAGGTTGCAGTGAACCAAGATCTCACCATTGCACTCCAGCCT
Organism: Homo sapiens; assembly: GCF_000001405.40. Taxonomy (NCBI): domain Eukaryota; kingdom Metazoa; phylum Chordata; class Mammalia; order Primates; family Hominidae; genus Homo; species Homo sapiens. Next base: position 57,134,903 of record NC_000005.10, on the reverse strand, counting down.
GAGGGACAAGAGTGAAACTCTGTCTCGAAAATAAATAAATAAATAAATAAATAATCCATGTGTAAAGGACTTAAGTAGGCAAGCATTCTAGGGGCTTGATACAGATCTGAAGACATTCTGACATGCATGATATGATTAATAATTGTTTTATTCCTGAGAGAAACAAGTGTGATTAAATTAAAACATTTGTTTTGGTTGTTTGGTTGGTTGTTTGTTTCTAGAGACGGGCGTCCTGCTATTTTGCCCAGTCTGGTCTTGAACTCCTGACCTCCAGTGATCCTCCTGCCTCAGCCTCCCAAAGCGTTGGTATTACAGGAGCGAGCCTTGATATTTGATAAAGGTAGCACCACAAAACAATAACAAAAGGATGGATTGTTTCTTAGGTGGCATGATAAACCTGGCTTACAGTTTTACAGAGAAAAATCAAGCTTGAACTCTCTTTTTATCGTGTGTAAAGGGGACTCAAAATGGATTCTACTATCTACTAAAATAATATTAATAGAAAATGCAGGGGACAATGTTTGTGAATCAGGAGGAAAACTTGAGCAAGATCCAAAATACCAACATGAGATTAAAAAAAAAAAAATGAGGGGCTGGGCGAGGTGGCTCATGCCTGTAATCCCAGCACTTTGGGAACTCGAGGCGGGCAGATCACCTGAGGTCAGGAGTTCGAGACCAGTCTGACCAACATGGTGAAACCTGTCTCTACGAAAAATACAAAATTAACCAGGCATGGTGGCGCATGCCTGTAACCCCATATACTCAGGAGGCTGAGGCAGAAGAATTGCTTGAACCTGGGAAGCGGAGGTTGCAGTGAGCTGAAATTGTACACTGCACCCCAGCCAGGGTGACAAGAGTAAAACTCTGTCTCAAATAAATAAATAAATAAATAGAAAAAGAAAAAGAAAAAAAATTGAATGTGACTGCATATAATTTAAAGATTTGTGTTCAATGAAGTACAAACTTATGAGACAGGTGACTGAGTTGGAAAAGATAATAGCAATGGCTAAAACCTTCAGGGCATCAAAACTAGAATATAAATAACTCCAGCAAATCAGCAAGAAAATATTGGAAACTCAACAGAAAAATAGGAAAAAGATATGACTAGGCAATCTGAAGCAAGAGAAGTCCAAAGGGCTAACAAATAATGAAGACATAATCAGCCTCACTAGAAAGCAAACAAAAATTAAAGCAAAGATATTATACCGTTTGACATTCATCAGATTGGCAAAAATGATAAAGAATGCTACATCTCAGTTTGGCAAGTATATGGGAAAGTAGGGTAAACTGATTCAGGTATTCTAGAAAGCATTCTGACAGAATTCGGTGAAAAAAGTTAGTATATACCTCTGACTCAATTATCTCTGGATATATTGTGCATATGCCAGGGAAATTCTTGCACAGGCCTGAAGGACAGTCATACAAGGATATTCTTTCCAGTAGTCCCAGCTACTGGAGAGGCTGAGGTGGGACGGTCCCTTGAACCTAGGAGGTTGAAGCTGCAATGAGCTGTGATCATGCCACTGCATTCTAGCCTGAGTGTCAGAGCAAGACTCTGTCTCAAAAACAAAAACATAATGCTGAAGAGTAAAGAAGTAAGAAATAGAACAAACAAACCTGGGCAACCTAGGGAGACCCCATCTCTATGAAAAACTAAAAAAAATTAGCTGGATGTGGTGGTGCACGCCGGTGGTTCCATCTATTCCAGAGGTTGAGGCAAGAGGATTGCTTGAGCCTGGGAGGTCCAGCCTGAGTGACAGAGACTCTCTCTCTCAAAAAAAAAAGACGAAACAAAGCAAACAAAAAAAAATACCGTATATCATTTATGTAAATTAAAATACATAGAAATGTGTTTATAACCTATATAAAACACATTAGGCTGGGTGCAGTGGCTCACGCCTGTAATCCCAGCACTTTGGGAGGCTGAGGCAGGAGGATTGCTTGAGCTCCGATGTTCAAGAACAGCCTGGGCAGCATAGCAAGACCTCATCTCTACAAAAGAAAAAAACACACACACATTAGAGGCTGGGCATGGTGTCTCACTCCTGTAATCCCAGCACTTTGGGAGGCCAAGGCAGGCGGATCACTTGTGCCTAGGAGTTCAAGACTAGTCTGGGCAACATCTCGAAACTTCATTTCTTTTCTAAAAACAAACAAACAACAACAACAGCAAAAGAACATCAGTGTGAGGAGAAAAAAATGGGATTCAGGATTGGGGCATTCTTTATGCAGAACACAGCAATTCTCACTGGTGTCTACATTGAAGGAAACAAAAATAAATTTTAAAAATGAACCAGGCTGGGTACGGTGGCTCACGCCTGTAATCCCAAAACTTTGGGAGGCTGAGGTGGGCGGATCACCTGAGGTTAGGAGTTCAAAATCAGCCTTACCAACATGGTAAAACCCCATCTCTACTAAAAACACAAAATTAGCCAGGTGTGGTGGCACACGCCTGTAATCCCAGCTACTTGGGAGGCTGAGGCAGGAGAATTGCTTAAACCCCGGAGGTGGAGGTTGCCATGAACTGAGATTGCACCACTGCACTCTAGCCTGGGCAACAAGAGCAAAACTCTGCCTCAAAAACAAAACAAACAAACAAACCCAGTAGTAGGCATTATGTAGCTGACTTTATATTAAGCAATGAATTGAGAGATATGATTAACTGAATTCTCTACAACTGACTTTTTTGTTTGTTTGTTTTTGAGACTGAGTTGTGCTCTTATCCCCCAGGCTGCAATGCAGTGGCCTGATCTTGGCTTACTGCAACCTCCACCTCCCGGGTTCAAACAATTCTCCTGCTTCAGCCTCCTAACTAGCTGGGATTACAGGTGTGTGTCATCACATCCAGCTAATTTTTTGTATTTTTTAGTAGAGATGAGGTTTTCACCATGATGGCCAGGCTGGTCTCGAACTACTGACCTCAGGTGATCTGCTAGTCTCGGCCTCCCGAAGTTTTGGGATTACAGGCGTGAGCCACTGCACCTGGCCCTCTACAACTGACATTTAATATAAAAGGAAAAAAGAGTAAATAAATGATAAAATGTATGCTTATCCACCAGCACTAACCACCTTGAAAATATTATGATAAAAGAAACAGATAATTGCCACTAAAAGGACAAAAAAACCTTGAGAATATACTTAAGGTGCCAAGACAGGCATACTAAAAAACAAAACAAAACAAAAACAAAGAAACAAAAAAACCACAAACAAACAAAAAAAAGCCCAGAATATACTTAAGGAAAGATTGTATTACTGAGGCCAGGCACAGTGGCACACACCTGTAATCTTAGCACTTTGGGAGGCCAAGGTGGGTGGATCACTTGAGGCCAGGAGTTTGAGACCAGCCTGACCAACATGGTCAAACCCTGTCTCTACTAAAAAATACAAAAATTAGCTGGCATGGTGGTGCACACCTGTAGTCCCAGCTACTTGGGAGACTGAGGCACAAGAATCACTTGAACCCGGGAGGCAGAGGTTGCAGTGAGCCTAGATCACGCTGCTGCACTCCAGCGTGGGTGACAGAGTGAGACTCCGTCTCAAAAAAAAAAAAAAAGTAAAAAAGAAAAGGATTGTATTACTGGAAATTTAAAGATGACATGAGCTAAAGGGTTCTGGAAGGAGAAAAAAGAAAAATAATATATTTTCACATAAAGTTTTAACTAAACATCATTCCAATCAAAATACTAATATGATTTTTATTTTTATTTTTTTAGGACTTTGAACAGCATGCTAAGCCAATAAGATTTTTCTTAGAAGTAGATGAAACTGATATAAAGTTCACTGGTCACAGCTATGAGTGAGACAAAACAAAAAGTTCACTAGGCTGGGCACGGTGGCTCACACCTATAACACTAGCAATTTGGGAAGCTGAGGTGGGAGGATCACTTAAAGCCCAGGAGGTGGAGACGAGCCTGGGCAACATAGTGAGACCTTGTCTCTACAAAAAAACAATTTTAAAAAATTAGCCAGGTGTAGTAGCACATGCCTTTAGTCCTAGCTCCTCAGGAGCCTGAGGCAGGAGGATCACTTGAGCCTGGGAGATTGAGGCTGTGGTGAGTTAAGATTGTACCACTGCACTCCAGTCTGGGTGACAGAGTGAGAGTTTGTCTTAAAAAATAAAAAAAATTCACTAAACAGTTTAAGGTATCAAAGAATAGCTTTAAAAACGAGAGTAAAGAGGAGACAGTCGCTGTCAAGATGGTAAATGACATTGTGATGCAACAATGATTTAAATAATAGAAGAAATAAATAGATTCATGGGACTGAAATAGGAACATCAGAAATAGAACCTTATTACAAATGATCATTTAATGTATAACACAAAGACACTACTAAATAAAAGAAAGGATTATTTTATGAATGTTGAGACAACTAGTTAACAGCCTGGAGAAAATTACCTAGAACCATACCTTATATATGTACCACAGTAAGTCTGAAGAATAATTTCTTTTTTTTTTTTTTTTTTTTTTTAGACAGAGTCTCCTCTGTCATCCAGGCTGGAGTGCAGTGGCATGATCTCGGCTCACTGCAACCTCCATCTCCTGGGTTCAAGCAATTCTTCTGCTTCAGTGTCCTGAGTAGCTGGGATTACAGGTGTGTGCCGCCACACCTGGCTAATTTTTGTATTTTTAGTAGAGACGGGGTTTCACCATGTTGGCCAGGCTGGTCTCGAACTCTTGACCTCAGGTAATCCACATGCCTCAGCCTTCCAAAGTGCTAGGATTACAGGCGTGAGCCACTGCGCCCAGCTGAAAAATTTCTTTTTCTTTTTTTTTTTTTCAGACAGAGTTTTGCTCTTATTGCCCAGGCTGGAGTGCGATGGTGCAATCTCGGCTCACCGCAACCTCCACCTCCTGGGTTCAAGCTATTCTCCTGCCTCAGCCTCCGGAGTAGCTGGGATTATAGCCATTCACTACCATGCCTGGCTAATTTTGTATTTTTAGTAGAGATTTTTGTATTTTTTTGTATCCTCCATGTTGGTCAGGCAGGTCTCGAACACCCGACCTCAGGTGATCCACCCGCCTTGGCCTCCCAAAGTGCTGGGATTACAGGCTTGAGCCACCACGCCGGGCTACAAAAAATTTCTTTTTTAAATCAACTTTTCTATGCTTTTTACATGTCACATTTCATTTTATTTTTTTTTTTTCAGATGGAGTCTTGCTCTGTCACCCAGGCTGGAGTGCAGTGGCTTGATCTCAGCTCACTGCAACTTATGCCTCGCGGGTACAAGCAATTCTCCTGCCTCAGCCTCCTGAGTAGCTAGGATTACAGACGTGCACCACCATGCCCGGCTAATTTTTATATTTTTAGAAGAGACGGGGTTTCGCCATGTTGGCCAGGCTGGTATTGAACTCCTGGCCTCAAGGGATCTGCCCGCCTTGGCCTCCCAAAGTGTTAGGATTACATGCGTGAGCCACCACCCCCGGCCTACATGTAATATTTCATTTAACCTTTATAATAATTCTGTGAGGTAGATATACTTGTTACTGCTATTTTGTAGATGAAAAATTGAAGCAGCTGGGCGCAGTGGCTCACGCGTGTAATCCCAGCACTTTGGGAGTCCAAGGTGGGTGGATCACCTGAGGTCAGAAGTTCAAGACCAGCCTGGCCAACATGGCGAAACCACATCTCTACTAAAAATACAAAAATCAGCAGTGCGTGGTGGCACGCGCCTGTAATCCCAGCTACTCGGGAGGCTAAGGCACGAGAATTGCTTGAACTCTGGAGGCAGAGGTTGCAGTGAGTCAAGATCGTGCCACTGCACTCCAGCCTGTGCAACAGAGTGAGACTGCGTCTCAAAAAAAAAAAAAAAAGACCGGGCCCGGTGGCTCATGCCTGTAATCCCAGCACTTTGGGAGGCCAAAGTGGGTGGATCACCTGAAGGCCGGAGTTCAAGACCAGCCTGTCCAACACAGTGAAACCCCGTCTTTACTAAAAATACAAAAAGAAAAAAAAAATTAGCTGAGCATGGTGGTGGGTGCTTGGAATTCCAGCTACTTGGGAGGCTGAGGCAGGAGAATCGCTTGAACCCGGGAGGCAGAGGTTGCAGTGAGCCGAGATCGTGCCATTGCACTCCAGCCTGGGCAACAAGAGTGAAACTCCGTCTCAAAGAAAAAAAAAAAAAAAAAAAGAGGTGGGGTCTATTTACCCTTCCCTTGAATTGCTCTCAAAAAAAAAAAAAAAAAAGGAAAAATAAAGAAATTATTGGTTCGAATGACTAAGTTTTGGAATAATTTGTTACACAGCCATAGATAATGAAAATTCTACTTATTATCCTGTGAGTTAGGAATCATTTTTGTTCCAAGTTTGTAGAGGAGGAACCAAGGTTCAGACTGGTTAAGTAACATGCCCAAGGTCATATGACCAGTCAGTAACTGAGCTGGGATTTGAAACCAGGTGTGTGTGACTTCAGAATGCCTGCTGTCAATCTCATGTCATTCTGTCTCTGAAAAGGGAACTCAACTCACACCTGAGTCATTCGGCTTCCCACTCAGAACTTAATAGTTTGTAGAGAAGAATTCCAGGCCTCTAAATTCCATACTGCTCGGAGGGTCAAGTTCCCAAATTAAACTTCAGGAACATATAGAAATCTGGAGATTTAATAATGGTCAACAGAATCTAAAAAAGGAGGTATATGGGGGTTGAAGAAGTATTTCAATCTCAGATATAGTTCTACTTTTTAAATATATACAGCTCCTCAACTGGAAAGGACAACTTAGGCATCTCCAGTGTAGAAATATGTCCCTTGTAGAATGATGGGCAAGGCTTTGGTTTATTTTCTGTATTTTCTTCTTTTTTTATAGAGACAAGGTCTCACTATGTTTCCCAGGCTGGAACTCCTGGCCTCAAAAGGGCATCCTGTCTCTGCCTCTCAAAGCATTGGAACTACAGGCATGAGCCACTACACCCAGCTGGTTTATTTTCTGCTGCGGAGTATCACTAGCCAGCCTAAAACATTCCAAAGCATCTTTGTTCCTTTGGTTGGTTGAAATTAAAGCCACTCTCTCCCAGAAGTTTTCTTCCTTCTGTGCCCACCTTGTTCAAGGAATTGGTTTCTGCTTTAAGTCAGGACACTAATAATGACTTTATGGATTGACCTGAGGGGGAATTTCCTGAGGAAGAATTGACCTAGGTAAGATTCTTGGGGCCTCCAAGACCTTCATTTGAATCCAACCTTGAATGCAAGTGATATGATGATATGTTGAGCATTTCCTAGGGCTTTTTCCAAGGGAAAACAGGACCACTTGAGGTCCTCCCAGAAATGGAATTTAGTTCTGAAGACTGATTTTGGCAACCAAAGAAATTTGTAGGCCTTTGTTATAACAATTAAAAGTAACAACTGTGTGGTCTCTCATGAGATCTAAAAGCAATGCTCTTTTAATTTTGTTGCTTTATTCTATTTTTCTTAGGCTCCTGTTGTGCTTAAAATCGTTATCTCTTTGTCTAGGTGCTATGTGGGTTGTATTTATCTGTGCCTTGCACAGAATAGATACCACAGAAATATTTTTTCAAAGGAAAAATGACAATCAAAGCACATCACAAGCAGTGGCTCACACCTGTAATCTCAGCATTTCGGGAGGCTGAGGCAGGCAGATCACAAGGTCAGGAGATCGAGACCATCCTGGCCAACACAGGGAAACCCCATCTCTACTAAAATACAAAAAAATTAACTGGGCATGTTGGCGCACACCTGTAGTCTCAGCTACTTGGGAGGCTAAGGCAGGGGAATCCCTTGAACCCAGAAGGTGGAGGTTGCAGTGAGCAGAGATCGAGCTACTAGCCTCCAGCCTGGTGACAGAGCAAGACTCCATCTTGAAAAACAAACAAACAAACAAAAAACACACAAACACATCACAGCTGTATTAGCTCATGGCCTCTGTTTCCCATTGTGGCATTTAACTTTGCATCCAGAAGAAGCAACTGTGTGTATAATTTTAAAATATAGAAAAGTAATAAGTTTAGCCAAGTAGGTATCACTGAAATTGTAAAACTTGAGTATGGCTTTGAAAATTTTCTGTCTGTCTTTCTTTAAGGACAGGAAAATCAAAGTGAAAGCATGTGATTAAAAACTAAACTAAAATAAAAAGAACTGATAAAATAAGACTAGTGAAGGGAAAATCACATGTGCTTGAGGATCACAGCAAGGTATTCCCCAAATTAAAGCTAAGGAGAAATGAAATTAGTTACATTCAAAATGTAATGAATGAGGCTGGGCGTGGTGGCTCACGCCTGTAATCCCAGCACTTTGGGAGGCCCAGGCGGGTGGATCGCCTGAGGTCAGGAGTTTGAGGCCAGCCTGGCCAACATGTTGAAACCCCATCTCTACTAAAAATACAAAAATTAGCTGGGCGTGGTGGTTGGTGCCTGTGATCCCAGCTACTCGGCAGGCTGAGGCAGGAGAATCGCTTGAACCCGGGAGGTGGAGGTTGCAGTGAGCCAAGATCGCACCATTGCACTCCAGCGTGGGTAACAGAGTGAGACTCTGTTTCAAAACAATAACAACAACAACAATAATAGGCTGGCTCACACCTGTAATTCCAGCACTTTGGGTGACTGAGGCAGGTGGCTTGCTTGAGTGACGTAGTTTGAGAACAGCCCAGGCAACCCGTGAAATCTTGTCTCTACAAAAAATAACAAAAATCAGTCAGGTGTGGTGATGTGAGCCTGTAGTCCCAGCTACTCGGGAAGGTGAGGCGGGAAGATTGCTTGAGCCCTAGAAGCAGAGGTTGCAGTGCCACTGAACTCCAGCCTGGGCAACAGAGTGAGACTCGGTCTCAAACCAACAGACAAACAATAACAGTAATATCTGCTGGGGCAGTGGCTCACACCTGTAATCCTAGCACTTTAGGAGGTGGAGGCAGGAAGATGGCTTGAGCTCAGAAGTTTGAGACCAGCCTGGGAAACATGGTGAGACCTCTTCTCTACAAAAACAAAAACAAAAAAAATTAAAAACAGCCAAGTGTGGTGGCTAAAAAAAAAAAGTTTATTTAACAATAGTGTCTGTCACTAGACTTTGGTACAGGAGAGACAATAGGGAGGTCAGTAACATGGTAATCAGATATATGCATTAGCCCATCTAGCTAGTGTCAGAAGGTTCTTAGGTATAGCTAATTGTTGCTGTGTGGAAATGTGGGTCCAGTGCTGTCAAATGCTCTGAAATTTTTTTATATGAAATTTCTTTAAAATTCCTTACACTTAATTATTGATAACTAATATAAATATTTAAAATATCCTGTACAGCGGGTGCAGTGGCTCACACCTGTGATCCCAGCACTTTGGGAGGCCAAGGTGGGCGGATCACCTGAGGTTGGGAGTTTGAGACCAGCCTAACCAACATGGAGAAACCCCATCTCTACTAAAAATACAAAATTAGGCCAGGCGCAGTGGCTCACGCCTGTAATCCCAGCACTTTGGGAGGCTGAGGCAGGCAGATCGCGAGGTCAAGAGATTGAGATGGCCAACAGGATGAAACCCTATCTCTACTAAAAATACAAAAATTAGCTGGGCATGGTGGTGCACACCTGTAGTCCCAGCTACCTGGGAGGCTGAGGCAGGAGAATCGCTTGAACCAGGAGGCGGAGGTTGCAGTGAGTCAAGATCACGCCACTGCCCTCCAGCCTGATGACAGAGTGAGACTCTGTCTCAAAAAAAAAAAAAAAAAAAAAAAAATTAGCCAGTTGCCTGTAATCCCAGCTACTAGTCGGGAGGCTGAGGCAGGAGAATTGTTTGAACCTGGGGGGCAGAGGTTGCAGTGAGCTGAGATCACGCCATTGCACTCCAGCCTGGGCGAAAAGAGTGAAACTCCATCTCAAAAAAAAAAAAAAAAGTCCTGGGCAAAGATCAGTAAAATATTGATAATTATAGAAGTTGGGTGATGGGCACATGGTGGTTCATTTTGTACTCTCCCTCCTTTTCTGTATGTTTGAAATTGTCATAATAAAAAGTTTTTGTCTTAAATCCAACCTATGCTGGCCAAATTAAATTATAATTTCTGTCTTACTTGCTAAGTGCTAAGAATGCACTTACGCCTGTAATCCCAGCACTTCGGGAGGCTGAGGCAGGCGGATCACGAGGTCAAGAGATTGAGACCATCCTGGCCAACATGGTGAAACCTTGTCTCTACTAAAAATACCAAAATTAACTGGGCATGGTGGCACATGCCTGTAGTCCCAGCTACTCAGGAGGCTGAGGCAGGAGAATTGTTTGAACCTGGGAGGCGGAAGTTGCAGTGAGCCGAGATCGTTCCACTGCACTCTAGCCTGATGACAAGCAAGACCCCATCTCAAAAAAAAAAAAGAAAAAAGAAAAAAAAGAACACAAGCTCTATGAGGGAAGAGATCTCTCCCTAGTGCCTTGAATGGTGCTGGGAATGTAGTAGGCATGCAATTAGTATTTGTGGAAATAATAAATACAGGAAGGAAAATGCATCTTTTTTGAGCACTTAGGCATTGTGTTAGGCACTTAATGCTATTGCTGCATAATTGTGCTGTATATTTTTCTGAAGAAAACTTTAACATATTGATATGGTTGGGCTGTGTCCCCACCCAAATCTCATCTTGAATTCCCATGTGTTGTGGGAGGGACAGGGTGGAGAGGTAATTGAATCATGGGGGCAGGTCTTTCCCGTACTGTTCTTGTGATAGTGAGTAAGTCTCACCAGATCTGATGATTATTGTAAGGGGCAGTTTTCCTGCTGCTCTCTTTGCCTGCTGCCATCCATGTAAGACGTGACTTCTTCCTCCTTGCCTTCCGCCATGATTATGAGACTTCCCCAGCCATGTGGAACTGTAAGTCCAATTAAACCTCTTTCTTTTTTGTAAATTGCCCAGTCTCAGCTATGTCTTTATTAGCAGCGTGAAAACGGACTAATACACATATACAGAATGAGGCCAGCCACAGCAACTCATGCTTGTAATCCCAGCACTTTGTGAGGCCTAGGTGGAAGAATTGCTTGAGCCTAGGAGTTCATAGTGAGATCCTTCCTCCACAACAACAAGAAAAAAAACTTAGCTGAACATGGTGGTGTGTGCCTGTAGTCTCAGCTGCTTGGGAGGCTGAGGTGGGAGGATCACTGAAGCCCAGGGAGGTGGAGGGTGCAGTGAGCCATGATCATACTATTGCACTCTAGCCTAGGTAACAGAGCAAGACCCTGTCTCAAAAACAAACAAACAAAGGAACACATAATGGCCAGGCATGGTGGCTCATGCCTGTAATCCCAGCACTTTGAGAGGCCAAGGCAGGAGGATCACTTGAAGCTAGGAGTTCAAGACCAGCCTGGCCAATATAATGAGACTCCATTGCTACAAAAATTAAAACGAACAAACAAACAAAATACATACACAAAATGGTTTGTATCACCTGTATAAAAGTTAAATTCACAAAGAGCTTTTGTGGCTTCTGTAACAAATTACTGTACATTTAGTGGCTTGAAACAACGATGATTTGCCGGGCGTGTTGGCTTCATGCCTGTAATCCCAGCACTTTGGGAGGCTGAGGTGGGTGGATCATGAGGTCAGGAGATCGAGACTATCCTGGCTAACGTGGTGAAACCCCGTCTTTACTAAAAATACAAAAAATTAGCCAGGCATGGTGGCAGGCGCCTGTAGTCCCAGCTACTCGGGAGGCTGAGGCCGGAGAATGGCGTGAACCTGGAAGGCGGAGCTTGCAGTCAGCCGAGATCACGCCACTGCACTATAGCCTGGGTGAGAGAAAAACTCTGTCTCAAAAAAAAAAAAAAAAAAGAAACAACAATGATTTATCATGTTACACTTCTGGAGGTCAGAAGTCCAAAATGAGACTCACTCAGCTGAAATCAAGGTGTTTGGTAGTGCAGCATTCCCTCTGGAGGATCCAGGGAGAATCCATTTCCTTGCCTTTTCTAGCTTCTATAGGCTGCCTGCATTCCTTGGCTTGCAGCCCCATTCTTTATACGTTTTTCTTGCATCACCATATCACTATGACACTGACAGTGAAACTCCTACTTCTTTCTTCCACATTTAAGAATCCTGTGATTACTTTGGATCCCCCCAGATAATCCAGGAAAACCTCTCTTTTAAAGTCAGCTGATTAGCAACCTTAACACTATCTGCTATATTTAAGTCCCCCTTTTCACAGTGTGATAGAATATATTTGTCCATAGTTTCTGTCATGGAGCTCCTGAAACACCTGGCATTTCCTGAGTGATAGGAGTTTCTTTTGTTATTCATTATGAGCCCCATTTGTTTTTTTGTTTTTTAGAATGTAACAACAATAAAACGAATCTTAATTTTATTTGCATTTTATACATCAAATATTATATATTTCAGCCTACCCTATTTCTATCTATTTTTGAAAAATGATTAAACAAACACTTAATATCAAAGGCAGAATCACATTTGTTCAGGTTCATGTTGATAATAACTGGAGCTTGATTTTTGTTGTTGTTGTTGTTGTTTTTGAGACAGAGTCTCACTCTGTCACCCAGGCTAGAGTGCAGTAGCACAATCTTGGTTCACTGCAACCTCTGCCGGGGTTAAAGGGATTCTTGTGCCTCAGCCTCCTAAGTGGCTGGTATTATAGGCACTTGCCACTATGTCTGGCTAATTTTTGGTTTAGTAGAGATAGGGTTTCACCATGTTGGCCAGGCTGGTCTCAAACTCCTGACCTGAAGTGATCCGACCACCTCAGCCTCCCAATGTGCTGGGATTATAGGCATGAGCCACCATGCCTGACCTATAACTTGTTTTGAGTTAATGTAAGTATCTGGGATAGGCCAGCATTAACCAAGACGATGGTGATGGACCTTAATCTAACAACCATCACTGCAATGCAGTACTATTCTTTCAATTTTACCCTCTTTGCAAACTTCAAAGCAGGACAAGAGACCATTGTATTTCCAAACAGGTAGATTTCTTTCTTTTCTTTCTTTCTTTCCTTTTTTTTTTTTTTTTTTTTTTTTTTTTTTGTTGAGATAGAGTTTCACTGTCTCAGGCTAGAGTGCAGTGGCACGATCTCAGCTCACTACAGCCTCTGCCTTCCAGGTTCAAGTGATTCTCCTGCCTCAGCCTCTCGAGTAGCTGGGACTACAGGTGCCCATCACCACGCCAGGGTAATTTTTGTATTTTTAGTAGGGAAGGTGTTTCACCATGTTGGCCAGTCTGGTCTCGAACTCCTGACCTCGTGATCCACCCGCCTCAGCCTCCCAAAGTGCTGGGATTACAGGTGTGAGCCACCACGCCCGGCCCCAAACGGGTAGATTTCTTTTGTTTTTGTTTTTTTTTTTTGAGACAGAGTCTTGCTCTGTTGCCCAGGCTGGAGTGCAGTGGCACAATCTTGGCTCACTGCAAGCTCCGCCTCCGGGGTTCATGCCATTCTCCTGCCTCAGCCTACCGAGTAGCTGGGACTACAGGCACCTGCCACCATGCCCGGCTAATTTTTGTATTTTTAGTAGAGACGAGGTTTCACCGTGTTAGCCAGGATGGTCTCGATCTCCTGACCTCATGATCCGCCCACCTCGGCCTCCCAAAGTGCTGGGATTACAGGCTTGAACCACCGCGCCCGGCCGTGAGTAGATTTCTTATTTGGAATGCTCCATGTGGTATAAGAAGATGTAATGGATGCTTCTTGCTTCCTAACCCACATGGGTTTCCATTGATATTTGTTCCTATAAGCTCCAGTGTTTGTTCTAAAATTAGTGGCACTACACTAATTTCCAAAAGCCCAGGTTCATCAGGATGATGCTTTAGTACCAGGGCAATTTCAAATTCATAATGAACTACAGAGGAATGCCAGCAGTACTGTTTGTTGTTTTTTTCTCCTGGTACTCAACCAAGAATGTGTCCATTTTCATCAGGCGCTGGATTCCCATTTAATTGTTCTATTTCCTTTGCTGGTATCCAGCACTCTGGAGCCTGTTTGAAGTCCTCCTCAAGGTTCCCAAAAAATCCTTTTGTGTTTTCTTTTGAATGTAGAAAAATTTAAAATCTTTTTTGGCTTGTTTGTTGGGTTTTCTATTTAGTTGAGCCCACAGGTATGGCTAATCTGCTGCTCCCTTTTGGCAGAAGCCTCCTCTTTCACCTCCATCACAAACACACATGGTATTTTTTGCTGCATGGAGCCCAGGCACTTCTTGGTGAGCCCAACAAGCAGGGTGAGTGTAGGGTGCACTTTTTTTTTTTTTTGAGACAGAGTCTTGCTCTCTCACCCAGGCTGGAGTGCAGTGGTGTGATCTTGGCTCACTGCAACCTCTGCCTCCTGGACTCAAGTGATTCTCCTGTCTCAGCCTCCCAAGTAGCTGGGATTACAGGTGCATGCCACCATGCCCAGCTAATTTTCGTATTTTTAGTAGAAACGGGGTTTTGCCATGTTGGCCAGGCTGGCCTCAAACTCCTGACCTCAGGTGATCTGCCTGCCTTGGCCTCCCAAAGCATTGGGATTACAGGCGTGAGCCATTGCGCCCAGCCAAGGGTGCGCTTTTAAACGGCACCTGGTCCAGGCAGGGTGAAAGCCCTGCAGCAGTAACTGTGCGCCTCCGTCCCCTTTCTGTTTTTTTGTTTTTTTTTTTTTGATCTCACTCTGTCACCCAGGCTGGAGAGTTCAGTGGCGCAATTTCCATATGAGCTCCCTTTGATCACACCTGAGTTTATGCTAATGAGGTGAGTTGATGTGGGGCCTAGATGGGGGCTGGTCACCAGAAAAAACAAGTGTTTAGAGGATTGGAAGTTTCAGCTCTATTCACCAACCCTCTGGGAGGGAAAGGGGGATTGAGGATTGAGCTTTATATAAACTCTTGAACAACAAGATTCAAAGAGCTTCCAAGTTGATGAACACATTGACTTACTGGGAGGGTCATACTACTGGAGAGGGTTTGGAAGCCCCATACCAACCCCTGCCCAATACCGTGCCCTATGCACCTCTTCCATCTGACTCTTCCTGAGTTGTGTGCTTTATAATAAACCAGTAAAATTAGGAAAAGTTTTTCTGAGTTCTGTGAGCCATTCTAGCAAATTATTAAGATAGACCTAAAGAAGGAGTCATGGGAACCCCTGAGTTGTATCAGCCAGAACTATGCATATGGCATCAGACTTGCAAGTGCAGTCTGAAGTGGGGACAGTCTTGTGGGACTGAACCCTTAAGTCTGAAGCAAGCTAACTCTAGGTAGTTTGTGTCTGAATTAATTGAAATGTTTGACATCCAGCTGATGTTGGAGAATTGCTTGGTGTTAAAAAACACCCCAGACACAGAACCTAACATATTCGTAGGTTTTGGGGATTAGGATGCGGACATCTTTGCTTCCCTAAATACTAAAGTAGGGGCCAGGCACAGTGGCTCACACCTGTAATCCCAGCACCTTGGGAAGCTTGATTGCTCCCACCTTGATTGCTCTTTAAAATTTTTTTTGAAATATTTTAATTTTTAATTAAAAAAATTAGCCAGGCGTAGTAATGTGTGCCTGTAGTCCTAGTGACTTGGGAGGCTGAGGTGGGAAGATGGCTTGAGTCCGGGAGTTTGAGGTTGCAGTGAGCCATGATCATGATGTTGCACTCCAGCCTCGGTGACAGAGACCCAGTCTCAAAAAAAAAAAAAAAAAAAAAAAAAAAAGAAAGAAAGAAAGAAAAGAAGAAAAGAAAAAGAAAACAAACCAAGTTGGTACCATGATGACTCCATATCTGAGCAGTACACTAGCTGCAGAAAGGATCTGTACAGTGCAGATAGGCACGCCTGTCTTTCATAGATGAGTGTATCTTTCTTTCATAGCTAGGTGCACTGTCTTTTTATAACTTGATGACAATAGATATTAAAGCCATTGAGGGAGCTCTCTGAACCTGTCCTGGTTCTGAGGGCTGCCTAATTTAATAAAAAACAAATTAAAAAATAATAAAACCATCTAATTTTATTTGTTCTAATTCCACATTTAGTTAACTTCTGATTTTACCCAAGTACATATTTTTTCAAGATACAGAATACTCTGACTAGACAATATTAATGACTTCTCCATTTGGCAGTTATATTTCTTTCTTTTTTAAAATTTTTTTATTTTTTGAGATGGAGTCTCATTCTGTCGCCCAGGCTGGAGTGCAGTGGTGCAATCTTGGCTCACTGCAACCTCCTTCTCCTGGGTTCAAGTGATTCTCCTGCCTCAGCCTCCTGAGTAGCTGGGACTACAGGTGCTCGCCACCACACCCAGATAATTTCTGTATTTTCAGTAGAGACAGGGTTTCACCATGTTGGCCAGGCTGGTCTCAAACTCCTGACCTCAGGTAATCTGCCTGCCTTGGCCTCCCAAAGTGCTGGGATTACAGGTGTGATTCACCATGCTCTGCCTATTTGGCAGTTATATTTCTCATTGTAAATTAACACCTTGGATACTGGTTTTAATATCTATTGTTATCAAGTTATAAAAAGACAGTACACCTAGCTATGAAAGAAAGATACAATCATCTATGAAAGACAGGCGTGCCTATCTGCACTGTACAGATCCTTTCTGTGGCTAGTGTACATTTCATGGACACTTTTGTACATTTCATGGACAATGAAGAAAGGTGGAGTTTTTGGACCTGAAGACTCAACTCTGGATTGTGGTGAATACAGCAAAGTTCTGCAATTTTGTGTGTCCTTTCCTCAGGTAGCATCTCTCTGTCTCACTGCATATTTCTTTTTGTTTTGTTTTTGAGACAGGGTCTTGCTCTGTTGCCCAGGCAGGAGTGCAGTGGCATGATCATAGCTCACTGCAGCCTCTAACGCCTGGGCTCAAGGGATCCTCCCACCTCAGCCTCCTGAGTAGCTGGGACTACAGAGACACATCAACACCCAGCAAATTAAAAAAAAATTTTTTTTTAGAGACAAGGTCTCACTATGTCAGTCTCAAACTCCTGGCCTCATGTAATCCTCCCTCCTCAGCCTCCCAAAGTGTTAGGATTACAGCATCAGACTGCACCCAGTCCCACTGAAAATTTCTTATAAACGTGGCAAGGATCTTTCATGCATCATAAATGTGAGTTAAATGAGTTAAGACCTTTATACAAAGATGATGTCAAAGGAAAGGAGGAGCCTCCTGCCCATCACAATATCAGGGCAAGAACAAAGGCTTTGTAGGCCAAGAAAGCCACACTACAAGGCAGCCACAGCCTCCTGAGGAAGGCCCATGAGTCACCCTCCAGGGGTGTAGCACACTGAGACTCCAAAGGGCCCTAGAAAATGTGTTTTCAGGAGGAACAAGTGAAACCACAGTGCCATCATTAAGTTCCCCTTGACCTCAAAGAAGGTGGAGAAAACAACAGACTGGTTTTTACTGTAGATGCCAAGGCCAACAAGCCTCAAAACAGGCAGTCTTTGAGAAAAACTGTATGATATTGACATGGTGCGTACCCTGATGGAGGAAAGCCTAATGGAGGCAAGAAGGCATATACTGGACTGGCCCCTGAGTACTGGGACTCGTTACTGCCAACAAAATTGGAATCATCTAAAACTGAATTCAGGCCAGGCGCGGTGGCTCACGTCTGTAATCCTAGCACTTTGTGGGGACAAAGCGGGTAGATTGCTTGAGTCCAAGAGTTCAAGACCGGCCTGAGCAGCATGGTGAAACTCCATCTCTACAAAAAATGCAATAATTATCTGGACATGGTGGCATGCACCTGTAGTCAGGAGGCTGAGGCAGGAGGTTCCCATGAGCCCAGGAAGCAGAGGTTGCAGTGATCCGATTTTGCGTCACTGCACTCCAGCCTGAATGATAGAGTGAGACCTCATCTCAAAAACAAATAAACAGACAAAAAAAAAAAAAAAACCTTGGTAGCCTGAGTGTGACATGACTGTACAGCGCCACGAGACTGGAAGGAGCTATACAGACAGGAACAAGGGCTGACTCCACTGTAGCCTGTGTGCAGAGATGGTCAATGACCAGAGGACCCTACCCCATCCCTGCTCCTCTGACTCTGTGTGAGTTTCCTTTGATGGCACATCCCTAAGTGGGGCCTAAACAATGACTGAGGTTCTTTTTTTTTGGAGACTTTTTTTTCTGTTGCCCAGGCTGGAGTGCAATGGCATGATCTTGGCTCACTGCAACCTCTGCCTCCTGGGTTCAAGCAATTCTTGTGCCTCAGCCTCCCAAGTAGCTGGGACTACTATAGGCATGCATCACCAAAGCCTGGCTACTAATTTTTGTATTTTTAGTAGAGACAGGGTTTCACCATGTTAGCCAGGCTGGTCTCAAACACCTGGCCTCAGGTGATCTGCCTGCCTTGGCCTCCCAAAGTGCTGGGATTACAAGGCATAAGCCACTGCACCCAGCCTGAGGTTCATTTTCTATCAATGCAAGAGGATAGGACTTGAAGAAGAAATTAAATTTATTTATAGGAAATCATAGATTGTGACATATCTTTTAGGTGCGACTTTATGGACTGTTACACAAAGGCGTCTAACACCTCCATTATCAGGCCTGCGTCCTACCTTACACCTTCTTCTCCGCTACTGTCCACCCACAGCCCAACTGGACTTAGTCACTCTGCATTCTTTCATGACAGAGCTCTCAGGGGCAGAACGTAATCTATTCCTATCTGTACCCTCGCATTCCTCTCAGGGCTTGCTTCCTCTTCCCTCCTTGGGAATGCCCTTCTGCACTCTCATTTCTGCCTGTCAAAATTGAATCACCTTTTGAAGAAACCCAATTCAAAGCCCCTTCTGTGGGCTGAATTGTATTCCCTTCAACACAATTCATGTGTTGAAGTTCTAAACCCCAGTACCTCAGAATGCGACTCTATGTGGAGATAGATAGGAAATTGAAAGTGGTAATTATGTTAAAATGAGGTCATGAGGGTAGGCCCTAATCCAATATGACTGGTGTCTTTAGAAGAAGAGGAGATCTGGACACAGACAGATATAGAAAGAAGACCATGGAAAGACCCTGGGAGAAGAGAGGCCTCAGAAGAAACAGATCCTGCCAACATCTTGTTCTCAGGCGTGGCCTCAAGAATTCTGTTGTTTAAATGGCCCAGTCTATGGTACTTTGTTGTGGGGACCCTAGCAAA
This sequence comes from Homo sapiens, assembly GCF_000001405.40. Lineage (NCBI taxonomy): Eukaryota > Metazoa > Chordata > Mammalia > Primates > Hominidae > Homo > Homo sapiens. Next base: position 57,115,902 of record NC_000005.10, on the reverse strand, counting down.
TAGGACCTTCTTCACTTCTGTTCTTCAGACGCGCTTTGCCTTGCCTGTTCTGTTGCTCTTTGTGCAGCAGCCTTGCACGACACTTAGTTGCAAACACAGTCATCCCTTTGGATCTGTGGGCGATTGGTTCCTGAAACCCCCATTGATACCCAAACCCTCAGCTGGCCCTTGGTATCCTTGGGTTCTGATCTGTGGACAGGAGCACCCACTGCCAGCTTCCTTTCAGCTTAGGGATGAGGCTCATCTATGACCTTTGCTTCTGCCATAGTCTCAGGATAATTCAAGATCGGCTGAGAAAATGACTGATACCTTGACTGAAATGATGAAACGTGCTGTGGCTTAGGAGATGCAGTGGTATAACTTTTCTTAGAGTTTGGAAACAAAATGAGTTACAATTAACTTGTTTCTGTGGTGGACTATGTCACGCACCACCTAGATCCCCAGTAGGAATGAAAGACTTATTCCCCTACCTCCCAGGAATGCTGCAGGAAGACAGCACTCAGCTGTCTTTGGTGATCCCCTGGACTTGAAGAACATTGTCTGGTTGATCTAAGATCACCTGTCCTTTCAGGGCTGGCCTGTGGGAGTATAAAGGCTTGGCTTCCTATCCCCAACTCTGAGCAATTCTGAAGAGCCATCAACATGAAGGACAACCCTTTGTGGTCCTGAGGTCTTTGCTGGGCCAGCATGGGAGCTAGACTTCTTCCTAGTCCTGCTTCCTCCCCTCCTTCCTCATGTGTTGATCCTAAGAGCACTGCCTAATAAAGGCCTTGCATGTTAACTTCTGTCAGAGCCCATTTCTGGGAAACCCAACCCAGAAAGGGTTTCATATCAATTAATTAGTATTTTCTTGTAAATTTATGGCTGTTCATACAGACAACAGAAGGTATGTGTCAAATCCATGTTAATTATGTTTATTTTGTAATATAAATTCCATGAAGGAATCAAAGGGAAGAAAAAATGATTGCATAGGGTGGGAAAATAGGTAGTAATTACTTAATTGTAACAGAACATAAATTAATGTTATTAATTTAAAAAGAAGTTTATTGCTATTTCAGCTACATTAAATAACCTGGTGAGCCAGGCGTGCTGGCACACGCCTATAGTTCCAGCTATTCAGGAGGCTAAGGTGGGAGGATCACTTAAGCCCAGAAGGTTGAGGCCAGTATGGGCAACATAGCAAGACCCTGTCTCAGTAAGTAAGTAAGTAAGTAAATAAATAAATACATACATAATTTGGTGTGCTAGCCATTATTTCAATAAATTAACTTTGTGCCAGCAAAGATTTGAAGACTGGTCTCGCTTTTGTGCTGTTTTCTCTCACCTCAATTTACTTTCTTTTTTTTAATTTTTTTTTTGAGACGGAGTCTCGCCCTGTCACCCAGGCTGGAGTACAATGGCATGATCTTGGCTCACTGCAACCTCCGCCTCCCGGGTTCAAGAGATTGTCCTGCTTCAGCCTCCCGAGTAGCTAGGATTACAAGGTGTACGCCACCATGCCCGGCTAATTTGTTGTATCTTTAGTAGAGATGGGGTTTCACCATGTTGGCCAGGCTGGTCTTGAACTGACCTCGTGATCCGCCTACCTTGGCCTCCCGAAAGTGCTGGGACTACAGGCATGAGCCACTGCACCTGGCCCTCACCTCAGTTTTCTTCAGCAGCTCTTTGCCATGAAGGTTTGGGTTTCTGTTTGTTACTAGAAGCATCCAGACCAAACATCTTCCATGAGGGAGAAACAAAAAGCTGAAGTGAATCCCTAAATGTGCTTGATAAAAATAAGACAGTGAGGCACATCTGTATCAAGCAGGTGGACAACCAAGATACTGGCTGACACTTTCATTTTGTTTGCTTTTGACTGTGAGCAGTAACATTCAAGAGAACTGGAAGGTGGCCCCTTAGGCTGCCAGCAAGCAGGGAAGTTTTGCAGGTCAGGACGGGAGGCTGCAGAGATATAGAAGAAGAGGGGAGAGGACAAGAAAGGTAAGTGTGGTCCATTGAAAAGTCAAGAGCACAGATCCTGGATCAGATGCTTGGATTCAAAATCCTTGCTTGCTTTCTAGCTGTGTGTCCTTGAAAAAGTTCACTTAACTATTCTGAACTTCAGTTTTCTCAAGCATAAAATAGGATTAATGATAATTCTTACCCCATAGATTTGTCATGGTGATATTACATGTTAAGCATCTGGAACAATGCCTGACAATACAATTGCTTAATAAATGTTAGGCCTGATCCTCTACACTAGGAATTAAAGGTTGGGCTTTGTGCCCACAAACCAACCCTACCCTCAATGCCAGGAATGGCCACAGTGCATTGGAAGCAGCATTAACAAGAGCAAAAGAAGATAGTCTATCTTTTATTATATTATTTAAGTCAATGGACATTAGTTAGCACCCAGTAAAAAGGTATCTTATAGGGACACAAAGATGATTCAGAGGTCTACGCCCCAAGAGCCTATTGTCAGATACAGACTACATGGTCATCTGGCTCCTGTTGAATGGAGACCCACCCTTTGGGAGTCACAGTGAAGTGTCAGGGTGACACTTCGGTGGCCAGTGGTCACCTTTGCAGAAAGCCCTCACTGCCTGCAGCCTCTGGCACAGGGCAAAGAGCACAAGTTTTAGAGTAAGATCAGCCTGACTTTGAATCCGGGTCTGCTCTGGACAAGTCATTGAGTCCTGCTGAGCCTCTACTACCCTCATCTCTAAAACAGAATGATACTTACCTTATAAGGTTGCTGAAACAATTGAGATGAGGCGGACTAAAATGCTTTGCACAAAGACTCAGCATTAATTCGCTGGACAAATATTTATAGACTACCCACTATGTTTCAGGTACTGTGCCAGGTGGTAGGAAAAACCTGGTTTCTAGTGTCCCTGGAAAGAAAAAATGTTCAGAAAGATGGAACTATATAAGATCTAGTAAGTTGGGTCAGTAGGGTGACTACTTTACAATAATTTATTGTACATTTCAAAATAGCTAGGAGAGAAAAAGTAAAATGGTTCTAGCCTAGGCAGGATGTGGTGGCACATGACTGTAGTTCTAGCTACTCAGGAGGCTGAGGCAGGAGGATTGTTTGAGCCCAGGTTACAGTGAACTATGACTGCACCACTGCATTCTAGCCTGAGTGACAGAGCAAGACCCTGTCTCCAAATAAATAAGTAAATAAAATGGTTCCAGCATAAAGACAAATATTTAAGGTAACGGATATTCCAAGTACACTGCTTTGATATTTACAAACTGTATGAACGTATTAAATTATCACATATACTTTGAAACTATGTATTTGTATTATGCATCAATTAAAAAAAGAAAATAAAGTAGGAAAAAGCAAAAAGAGGAAACTATGTCCAGAAAGTCTTCTTCATAATATTTTTGAGTGCTAGCTGTTGTAAAACACTTGACATATCAAGTTGAATGCTTTATACAGGTTAACTCATTTCATCCTCGTGTGATGGATTAGACACTATTATCCTCTATGCCTCCACTTTACAGGGGGAATAGGCAGACAGGAACTGAGACGGGTAGGCAGTGTTAAGATCACAAGGAACCTCATAACACAGGTCATGCAAAAACTGTGAAGCCTGTCCTGGATAGCTTGTGTTTGCCCCTCCCAGTCCTCTCTCCACCCTGCTCTGCCCTGCTCAAGGCCCCAGGAGGCAGGCCTGTAAGGACTGTATCAAAGGCTGCTGCACCCTGCCTTCCACTGAGGTTCACCCACTGATTATCTCTGCAGAGGTCAGAGGGAGGAACGTGAGGCCAGGGTATTGATTCCCCTGGCTCCCTCTCTGTCAGGTTGCCTGGAGCTGACTGTGTCCCAACTGAAAGCCACTTCCCTTCTACAGGAGGCCAAGTCCACATGACTCTTCCCTCTGGGTTTTAGTTAATTCTCCCTCCCTTCAAATCTTTACACTTGGGAGAGCTAAAATCCAGGCTGCTACCAGCAGTGGATCACTGTAGCATCCCTGTGGGATCCCTACATCTACAACATTAAATAGTACATTTGTGAAAAAACCCATACACTTTTTCTTTTTGTTTATTTATTTTATTATTATTATTTTAAAGATGAGGGTCTCCCTATGTTGCCCAGAGTCATCTCAAACTCCTGGACTCAAGTAATCAACCTGCCTCAGCCTCCCAAAGTGCTGGCATTACAGGCATGAGCGACCGCGCCTGGCCCCTAAACACATACACTTTTTAATCCATTTCCACTGCCATTTCCCCCTCTCAAGCTGTCCTTGGACTAGATGACCGGATAACATTCCAATTTGTTTTTCTGCATCCACTTTTTTTGAGGGGGAAGAGGGCGGACGGAAGGGCATAACATTAAAATGGTTTTATTCTTCTCTATTGCTTTTTTGTTGTCGGTTGTGGGTGATGGCGGTGGGGGTGAAACTTGCTTTTTTTTCCCTCAATATCTTGGGTAGATTTCACAGCTCTACCTTCAGTTATTAAAATTCAGTTAGCATTAATCCCAAATTTTATTTATGTTTTAATAATTTATTAAAAATTCTTTTTATAATGAAAAAATTCAAATATACACATACCAAAGTAGAAACACAATAATATAATAACTTTCTCCCTACACCTAATTACCCTGCTTTGATAATTGTTAAAGTTGTTTTTTTTTTGAGATGGAGTCTCCTCTGTTGCCCCAGCTGGAGTGCAGTGGCATGATCTTGGCTCACTGCAACCTCTGCCTCCCAGGTTCAAGCAATTCTCCTGTCTCAGCCTCCCCAGTAACTGGAACTACAGGCACACACCACCATGCCTGGCTAATTTTTGTATTTTTAGTAGAGATGGGGTTTCACCATATTGGTCAGGCTGGTCCTGAACTCCTGGCCTTAGGTGATCCACCCACCTTGGCCTCCCAAAGTGCTAGTATTACAGGCGTGAGCCACCACACCCAGCCAATTGCTAACTTTTTTATTTTTTTTTCAGACAGGGTCTTGCTCTGTTGCCAAGGCTGGAATGCAGTGGCATGATCACAGCTCACTGCAGCCTTGAGCTGTTGGGCTCAAGCAATCTTCCCACCTTGGCCTCCTAAAGTGCTAGGTTTACAGGCATGAACCACTGCACCCAGCCAATTGTTGACATTTTGCCAGCTATTCTACCTTTCTTTTTCCTTTTCTCTAAATTATTTTAAACCAAATCTCAAATGTCATGTCATTTTACCTGTAAATTCTTCAGTGTGTATGTAACTAACATATAAAGTCAGTGTTTTTTTTTAAAAAAAAAAAAACAAATTCCAGTGCCATTACCACACCTAAGAGAACAATTATTATTATTATTATTGTTATTTTTGAGACAGAGTCTCGTTCTGTCACCCAGGCTGGAGTATAATGGTGCAATCTCGGCTCACTGCAACCTCTGCCTCCCAGGTTCAAGCAATTTTCCTGCCTCAGCCTCCTGAGTAGCTGGGATTACAGGTGTCCACCACTGTGCCCAGCTAATTTTTGTACTTTTAGTAGAGACAGGGTTTCACCTGGCCAGGCTGGTCTCAAACTCCTAACCTCAGGTGATCCATCCGCCTCGGCCTCCCAAAGTGCTGGGATTACAGGCGTGAGTCACCACGCCCGGCCCAAATATTTCTTTTCTTTTTTTCTTTCTTTCTTTTTTTCCTTTGAGACAGAATCTCCCTCTGTCGCCAGGCTAGAGTGCAGTGGTGCGATCGTGGCTCACTGCAACCTCCACCTCCTGGGTTCAAGCGATTCTCCTGCCTCAGCCTCCCGAGTAGCTGGGATTACAGGCACATGCCACCATGCCCGGCTAATTTTTTCTTCCCAGGGACACTAGAAACCAGGTTTTTCCTACCATCTGGCACAGTACCTGAAACATAGTGGCTAGTCAAAAAATATTTGTCCAGTGAATTAACGCTGAGTCTTTGTGCTAAGCATTTTAGTCTGCCTCATCTCAATTGTTATTATTGTTTTTGAGATGGAGCCTCGTTCTGTCACCAAGGCTGGAGTGCAGTGACACAATCTCAGCTCACTGCAACCTCCACCTCCTGGGTTCAAGCAATTCTCCTGTCTCAGCCTCCTGAGTAGCTGGGATTATAGGTGCCCACCTCTGCGCCCAGCTAATTTTTGTGCTTTTAGTAGAGACAGGGTTTCGCCATGTTGGCCAGGCTGGTCTTGAACTCCTGACCTCAGCTGATCCACCTGTCTCAGCCTCCCAAAGTGCTGGGATTACAGGCATGAGACACTGCACCAGCCCGTTATTTCTTTTTCTTTTCTTTTCTTTTTTTTTTTTTTTTTTTGAGATGGAGTCTGTTTCTGTCACCAGGCATGAACCACCGCTCCCAGCCCCAATTCTTTTTCTTTCTTTCTTTCTTTGTTTGTTTCTTTTTCTTTCTTTCTTTCGTTTTCTTTCCTTCCTTCCTTCCTTCCTTCCTTCCTTCCTTCCTTCCTTCCTTCCTTCCTTCTCTCTCTCTTTCTTTCTTTTTTTTTGACAGAGTCTTGCTCTGTTGCCCAGGCTGGAATGCAATGGCGCGATCTCGGCTCACCACAACCTCTGCCTCCTGGGTTCAAGTGATTCTCCTGTCTCAGCCTCTCGAGTAGCTGGGATTACAGGCATGCGCCACCACTCCCGGCTAATTTTGTATTTTTAGTAGAGACTGGGTTCCTCCATGTTAATCAGGCTGGTCTCGAACTCCTGATCTCAGGTGATCCACCCGCCTCGGCCTCCCAAAGTGCTGGGATTACAGGTATGAGACACCACGCCTGGCCTCCAATTATTTCTTAATATCACCTTATACCCAACAGATGTTCACATTTGCCTGATTGTGTCAAAATATCTTTTGCAGTTTGTTTACATCAGGATCCAAATAATATCCAATCACTTCCTTTTTAAACATTCTTCTTCTGGCTAGGTGCAGTGGCATATTTCTGTAATCCCAGCACTTTGGGAAGCCAAAGCTAGAGGATCACTTGAAGCCAAGAATTTGAGACTAGCCTAGATGACCTAGCAAGACCACATCCCTTACAAAAAAATTATTTTTATTCTCCACCCACCAAACTGGATAGATCTTACTATGTTGTGCAGGATGGTCTCAAACTTCTGGGCTCAAACCTCCTGCCTCAGCTTCCCAAGTAGAAGGGACTACAAGTGCATGCTAGAGGGCCTTGCTCTAAAATTCTTCTTCTTCGTCGTCTTCTTTTTTTTTTTTTTTTTTTTTGAGATGGAGTCTTGCTCTGTCACCCAGGCTGAAGTGCAGTGGTACGATCTTGGCTCCCTGCAACCTCTGCCTCCCGGGTTCAAGCAATTTTTCTGCCTCAGCCTCCTGAGTAGCTGGGATTACAGGTGCCCACCACCACACCCAGCTAATTTTTGTATTTTTAGTGGAGATGGGATTTCACCATGTTGGCCAGGCTGGTCTCAAACTCCTGACCTCGTGATCCACCCACCTCAGCCTCCCAAAGTGCTGGGATTACAGGCATGGGCCGCCGCACCTGGCCTAAAATTCTTAATCTCAGTTAGTTTTTGCAGAAACCAGTTCATTCATCCCATTTAATATCTTGTATCCTGGATTTGGCTGATTGTATCTTTGTGGCATTGTTTAACATGTTCCTCTGGCTCCCATATTTCCTATAAACTGGTAGTTAGATTTATTATCTTGATTAGATTCAAGATGCATCTTTTGGCATAGATGGGGCTATATACTTCCTCTCGTTTATCCACTCTTGATAACCTTCAATCTATTCATATAACAGCCTGCGAATTAAAAAGAACAACAACCCTGTATGTAGATGCTGGGCATAGTGGAGTGCACCTGTAGTCCCAGCTACTAGGGAGGCTGAGACCAGAGGATCTTTGAGGTCAGGAGTTCAAGGCTAGAGTGCACTGTGATTATGCCTCTGGATAGCCACTGCACTCTAGCCTGAGTAACATTGTGAGACCCTGTCTCATTAAAGGAAAAAACAACCTGTATACAAGTCTGGTAGTATCACCACTACCTTATCCATCATACTTAAAAGCCCTTAAATGTGTCCTCTGGCTCTAAATCCAAAGATCAGAATCCTTAGCACAGTTTACTATGCTAAAGACAGGAAGCTGTCTTTCCATTTTCATCTTGTACTACATCAGCTCTGTCCACTCACACTGGCCTTCTCTCCATCCCTCTCAATCATCATGCTCCTTCCTCATACAAAGCTCTAGCACTTGCTAGTCTCTTTGACTGGAACACTCCTCCTTCCTCTCTTTGCCAAATTAACTGCTACTTATCTTTCAGAATTCAGATCACCTTAGTTCTTCATGGAAGACTTCCCTGACTGTGCAGATAAATCTCTCAGTCAGGCCGGGCATGGTGGCTCATGCCTGTAATCCCAGCACTTTGGGAAACCGAGGCTGGTGGATCACCTGAGGTCAGCAGTTCGAGACCAGCCTGGCCAACATGGTAAAACCCCATCTCTACTAAAAATACAAAATTAGCCAGGCATGGTGGCACGTGCTTGTAGTTCCAGCTACTCAGGAGGCTAAGGCACGAGAATCGCTTGAATCAGGGAGGCAGAGCTTGCAGTGAGCCCAGATTGTGCCACTGCACTCCAGCCTGGGCAACAAGAGCAAAAGTCTACCTCAAAAAAAAAAAAAAAAGATAAATAAAAAATAAATCTCTCAGTTGGGATGCTTTTCTCTTTTAACTGCAAGTGATTAAAAAAAATTCAATCAACCAACCAAACAATCAGTCAAACTGGCTTAAGCAGAAAGAGGCGAATTAACTGGCTCATATAACCAAAATGTTTATCGGTTGCTGATATGAACCTGGGTGCATGTATTTAATTAATATCTGCGGGGATCTGTATTTCTTGCCTCTCCTCTTCTCTGTTAGCTTCATCCTCAGGTATCCTCTCCTTGTGTCACGGCCACCAGCAGCTCCAAGTGCATTCTATTAGCTTTGCTGCTCAATTGAAGAAGAATATCTCATTCTTAATGGTGCCAGGAAAATCTCTGCATCTTTCTCATTGGCCTGGCTTGAGTCACATGAAACTTTCTTGAACCAATCACTGTGGTCCTAGGGAAGTAGTACTTTCATTAGCCAGGGCTAAGTCATGTGACCTTCAATGAAGTCAGTGGGGAGAGGCTGTGATTAGTGAGTGGGGCCATGTTAGCTCTACCTGAACTGCATTGTCAGAGAATGAGGAAGGGGTGGTTCCCAAAGGAAAACTGAAGTTTTGTGTTTGAGACAGAGTCTTGCTTTGTTGCCCAGGCTGGAGTGCAGTGGTGCAATCTTGGCTCCTGTGACCTCGAACTCTCGGGCTCAAGCAATCCTCCCACCTCAGCCTCCCGAGTAGCTAGGACCACAGGTGCATGCTACCATACCTGGCTAACTTATAATTTCTTTTTTTTTTAGAGGTGGGGTCTCACTATGTTGCTCAGGCTGGTATTGAACTCCTGGGCTCAAGCAATCCTCCCACCTTGGCCTCCCAAAGTGTTGGAATTACAGGTATGAGCCACTATACCTGGCCAGAAGTGAAGTTTTTAGAAGAGGAAATGTTGGATAGGTATATTCTTTTTCTCCTCCTCCTCCTCCTTCTTCTTCTTTCTTCTTCTTTTTTTTTTGTTAAGAGACAGGTCCTTATTCCTTCCCCCAGGCTGGAGTGTAGTGTTGCAATCATATCTCACTGTGCCTTGCACTCCTGGGCTCAAGTGATTCTCCCACCTCAGCATCCCAAGTAGCTAGAATTACTGGAGACAGGGTCTCACTGTATTACCCAGGCTGTTTTCAAACTCCTGACTTCAAGGGATCCTCCCACCTTGGCCTCCTAAAGTGCTGGGATTATAGGTGTAAGCCACTGTACCTGGCCCCATACTAATACATTCTTATAGCACTATGTACTTTTCCTTCATGGTACAAGTCACAGCTGCAATATTGCACTTACTTGCTTGATGATTTGATTGATGCTTATCTCTTCCATGAGGCTGTAAGCTCCACGAGGAGAAGCATGTTTTTGTTTTACCTTATTATTATATTCCCAGTGGGTGCTTGCCTCCAGTGGGTGCACAATAAACATCTGTTAGCTAAATGAATGAACTGTGTTTTGGATATCTTGTAGGTGTTATGTCATGATGATTTTGGAATTAGACACATTTGAATTTCAATATTGACTCAGTGTTGGCTCTGTCACTAATTTGCTGTTAGACCGGTTAATAATTTGGTCTAAGAGCTACTTTCCACATTTGTGAAGTTGGAATAATACATAGTTCATTGGACTGTTTTGAGGATTTGAGTAGATAATGAATGCAAAAGATCTGGAATAGTACAAGAATTAATAACCAACTGAGATTACTCTTTTACTCTACCTATTACCAGGAAAACTGGTTATCCATCTTCCCATGACAGAATTGCTTTATAGTTTACACCCCCACCCAGACACTCCTTCAACTGTAACTAGGACATACATCCATATTTTCCATTCTATAGGGCTCCACACTCCTACCTATTCCTGGGGAAAACTCAGGCTGGACAATACACCTCATGGAACACCTTTCAGGTGACTGTGTGTGTGTGTGTGTGTGTGTGTGTGTGTGAGAGAGAGAGAGAGAGTGTGTGTGTGTGAGAGAGAGAGAGAGAGAGAGAAACAAGGCTAACGCAATAAGTAACATGCAACAGATGGGGCCAGGTGTGGCTCTTGCCTCTTCCCAGTCACTCATTTTTTTGTATCTTCTCAGCAATCAAGCTAATTAACACAATGGCCTTCCACTCCAGTCTCCACTTCTATTTGCATCCCTGCCCTTGTTTCTTCACAGCCTCATCCAACTGAGGGGCTTCCTTCCATACCCAAACTATCCATTCTACCATCATAAGTAGGGAAATGGATGTGTTCCAGACCAACCTGGGCTGTAAGCACCACAGATACGTCATACAATAGCCAGTGAATGGAAAGAAACATCAGGCTGAGTGATCCAGAAAGGAAGTGCACCTCCACTGATGCTCTGGCTACCTGTCAGCATTCTACTGCAAGGTGATGGAGTTAGACCTCTTGTTGCTCCAAGTGTTTAGGGATCAGTAATTAAAAGAGTACACACCTGAATAGGAAGGGAGCAAATTCCATGAAAAAGTTGGGTGTGGGTGTTGAAATTGAAAAGGAGAAGACACTTTGCGGGGCTGGTATTGTATAAGGAGAAACCTGTGCTGACAGGAAAGGAATTGAAATAGTGGACCACAGGAAAAAAAAAAACAATTGCTATGACTCAGTTTTGGCTTTGAAGGAGTTTACATCTAATCAAAAGGACAGACATGAAAACTAATCAAAAATAAAAAGGAAAATAATACAAATTATAATAAAAGTCTGTATAAGGTCTTAATGTGGGAGAACAACCTCTGCTTGGAGAAGTTAGAAAAAAAAGAGTTGCGCCGGGCGCGGTGGCTCATGCCTGTAATCCCAGCACTTTGCGAGGCCGAGGCGGGCAGATCACGAGGTCAGGAGATCGAGACCATCCTGGCTAACAAGGTGAAACCCCATCTCTACTAAAAATACAAAAAAATTAGCCGGGCGTGGTGGCAGGCGCCTGTAGTCCCAGCTACTCGGGAGGCTGAGGCAGGAGAATGGCGTGAACCTGGGAGGCGGAGCTTGCAGTGAGCCGAGATTGCGCCACTGCACTCCAGCCTGGGCGACAGAGCGAGACTCTGTCTCAAAAAAAAAAAAAAAAAAAAGAATTTATTAAAGGTTTGAAAGATAAAAAGAAATTTGGGATAAACTTGACGCAAGATGATGTTTCTTGCATGCCCTGGGGGGTAAGGGTGATCTGAGTAGAAGCAAAACATAAGCAAATATATGGAGGCATAAAGAAGCATTATGGGTTAAGTGAGGGGTAGGTAATTTAGATATAGCTAAAAATTAAGCTACGTTTGAAGGAATAGTATGCATGTAGGTTGGATAAGGGACAAAAGTACAGGGCCAGATTGTATGGGGCATTGATGTGGCAGCAGGACATTTAGGCTAGGAATTTGGGCTTTGGAGAAATACCACACTGGCTTTGAAACTTAGATGCAGTGTCAGTACAACACATTGTCACTCCTTTCCCACATCTCAGGAGGTGACTCTTTGTAGAGGAAGCTGTCAGAGACCTGAAATTCACAAAACAGGTGTTTTTTCCCTAGACCAACCTCGTATACCTGCCTGTTACTTGGTCTCCAATCACCAGTTCAAAGACTCAGAGCCAGTGAGGTCAGCTCTGATACGGTGTCTTTAAGACGTAAAGCCAGTAACCAGGCATGGTGGCTCATACCTGTAATGCCAGCACTTTGGCAGGCTGAGGTCGGCTGATTGCTTGAGCCCAGGAGTCTGAGATTAGCCTGGGAAATACAGTGAAACTCTATTTCTACAAAAAATACAAAACTTGGCCTAGAGTAGTGGCATGTGCCTGTAGTCCCAGCTACTCTGGAGGCTGAGGTGGAAGGATTGCTTCGGCCCAGAAGGTCAAGGTTACAGTGAGCTGTGATCACACCACTGTATACCAGCCTAGGTAACAGAGCCCAATGGTATCTCAAAAAAAAAAGAAAAGAAAAAAGACATAAAGCCAGTTGACCCTGCATTATAGATTTACCTTTTCAAGACTTCATTTCTTAATGTCAGAGATACAAAAAATTTAGAAATTAGAGGGCTGGGTTGCAGTAAAAAGTGGAAAGCAGGGTTGGGACGGACCATCCAGTGCTTTTGTCTTTATTAGAGTCCCTCTAAACTTTACTTTGATAAGCACTTGCTTTGCAAATCCCTTTGTTCTTCCACAAAACTTTGGCTCATAGAACCCCTTAAACTCTGCATTTAGTGGAGAAAGGGGCTTCTGGAATGCTTTTGACTTTACAACTCATGTTGACCTGACACTAGACCTCAGATCTTCATTGCATTTGCCTTGAATGGGACCTTTGAACACACTGCCTGAAACAGACATTTGGGCACTGAGTAGTCAGTGATTAGTTAATGTTTCACCAAAATTGCCAAATACTTACACATATCTAAGATACCTGTTTCATTTTTCATTTTACTTCTTTCTTATTCTTATTTTTAAAACAACTTTTCTTCGTGAAAACATGAAAGTAAGTGGTTGAGATTATGGCCCATCATCTCTATAGCAAATAATCTTAAGAACAAGGACGTTAGGATAATAACTACAGAGTGATAATGTAACTCAATAAATTTAATGCTGATAAAATACTATTGCCTGGGCCAGGTGTGGTGGCTCATGCCTATAATTCCAACACTTTGAGAGGCCAAGGTGGGAGGAATGCTTGAGCCCAAGAGTTTGAGACCAGCCTGGGCACCAATAGCAAGACTGCTTCATTTTATTTTATTTTTTAATTTTTTATTTCCATAGCTTACTGGGGGAATAGGTGGTGTTCGGTTACATGAGTAAGATCTTTAGTGATTTGTGAGATTTTGGTGCACTCATCACCTGAGCAGTATACACTGCACCCTATTTGTAGTCTTTTATCCTTCACCGCCTTCCCACCCTTGCCCTCTGAGTCCCGAAAGTCCATTGTGTCATTGTTAGGTCTTTGTATCCTCATAGCTTAGCTCCTGCTTATGAAAACACACGACGTTTTGTTTTCAGTTCCTGAGTTACTTCACTTAGAATAATAGTCTCCAGTCTCATCCAGGTCACTGTGAATGCCATTAATCCATTCCTTTTTGTGGCCAAGTAGTATTCCATCATATATATATCACAGTTTCTTCTCTTTCCTTTTTTTTCTTTTTTTTTTTTTTGAGACGGAGTCTCATTCATTTGATTGTGGCCATTCTTGCAAGAGTAAGGTGGTATCGCATTGTGGTTTTGATTTGCATTTCCCTGATCATACATTTTTTCATGTTTTTTGGCCACTTGTATATCTTTTGAGAATTGTCTATTCATGTCCTTAGACCACTTTTTGATGGCTTGTTATTGTTGTTGTTGCTGTTTTTGAGATGGAGTTTAGCTCTTGTTGCCCAGGCTGGAGTGCAATGGTGTGATCTTGGCTCACTGCAACATCTGCCTCCCAGGTTCAAGGGATTCTCCGGCCTCAGCCTCCCGAGTAGCTGGGATTACAGGCACCCACCACCATGCCTGGCTAATTTTGTATTTTTAGTAGAGATGGGTTTTCTCCATGTTGGTCAGGCTGGTCTCAAACTCCCGACCTCAGGTGATCCGTCTGCCTTGGCCTCCCAAAGTGCTGGGATTACAGGTGTGAGCCACTACACCCAGCCAAGATAGTTTGTTTTTTTCTTGTTGATTTGTTTGAGTTCATTGTAGATTCTAGATATTGGTCCTTTGTCAGATGTATAGATTGTAAAGATATTTTCCTACTCTGTAGGTTGTCTGTTTACTCTGCTGATTGTTCCTTTTGCCATGCAAAAGCTCTTTAGTTTAATTAAGTCCCAGCAATTTATCTTTGCTTTTATTTTATTTGCTTTTGGGTTCTTGGTCATGAAATCCTTGCCTAAGACAATGTCTAGAAGGGTTTTTCCAACATTATGTTCTAGAATTTCGATAGTTTCAGGTCTTAGATTTAAGTCCTTAATCCATCTTGAGTTGATTTTTGTGTAAGGTGAGAGATGAGGATCCAGTTTCATTCTCCTACATGTAGCTAGCCAATTATTCCAGCACCATTTGTTGAAAAGGGTGTCCTTTCCCCACTTTATGTTTTTTGGCTTTGTCAAAGATCAGTTGGCTGTAAGTATTCGGGTTTATTTCTGGGTTCTCTATTCTGTTCCATCGATCTATGTGCCTATTTTTATACCAGTAACATGCTGTTTTGGTGACTATGGCCTTATAGTATAGTTTGAAATTAGGCAATGTGATGCTTCCAGATTTGTTCTTTTTGCTTAGTCTTGCTTTGGCTATGTGGGCTTTTTTTTGGTTCCATATGATTTTTAGAATTGTTTTTTCTAATTCTGTGAAGAATGATGATGGTATTTTGATGGGAATTGCATTGAATTTGTAGATTGCTTTTGGCAGTATGGTCATTTTCACAATATTGATTCTACCCATCCATGAGCATGGGATGTGTTTCCATTTGTTTGTGTCATCTATGATTTCTTTCAGCAGTGTTTTGTAGTTTTCCTTGTAGAGGTCTTTCACCTTCTTGATTAGGTATATCCCGAAGTATTTTACTTTATTTTTGCAGCTATTTTAAAAGGGGTTGAGTTCTTGATTTGAGTCTCAGCTTGGTTGCTGTTGGTGTATAGAAGAGCTACTGATTTGTGTACATTAATTTTGTATCCAGAAACTTTGCTGAATTCTTCTTCTTCTTCTTCTTCTTCTTTTTTTTTTTTTTTTTTTTGAGATGGAAGCTCGCTTTGTCACTAGGCTGGAGTGCAGTGGCACGATATCGGCTGACTGCAACCTCTGCCTCCTGAGTTCAAGCGATTCTCCTGCCTCGGCCTCCCGAGTAGCTGGGATTACAGGCACGTGCCACCATGCCCGGGTAATTTTTGTATTTTTAGTAGAGATGGGCTTTCGCCACGTTGGCCAGGATGGTCTCCATCTCTTGATCTCGTGATCCACCCACCTTGGCCTCCCAAAGTGCTGGGATTACAGGAGTGAGCCACCACGCCCAGCCTGCTGAATTCTTTTATCAGTTCTAGGAGCTTTCTGGAGGAGTCTTTAGGGTTTTCTAGGTAAACAATCATATCATCAGTAAACAGTAATGGTTTGACTTCATCTTTACCAATTTGGATGCCCTTTATTTCTTTCTCTTGTCTGATTGCTCTGGTTAGGACTTCCAGTAGTATACTGAAGAGGGATAGTGAGAATGGGCATTCTTGTCTTGTTACAGTTCTCAGAGGGAATGCTTTCAACTTTTCCCCATTCAGTATTATGTTGGCTGTGGGTTTGCCATAGATGGCTTTTATTATATTGAGGTATGTCCCTTTTATACTGATTTTGCTGAAAGTTTTAATCATGAAGGGATGCTGGATTTTGTCAAATGCTTTTTCTGCATCCTTCGAGATGATCATGTGAATTTGGCTTTTAATTCTGTTTATGTGGTGTATCACATTTATTGACTTGCATATGTTAAACCATCCCTGCATCCCTCGTATAAAACCCACTTGATCATGGTGAATTATCCTTTTGATATGTTGTTGGATTCAGTTAGCTAGTATTTTGTTAAGGATTTTACCATCTGTGTTCATCAGGGATATTGGTCCGTAGTTTTCTTTTTTGGTTATGTCCTTTCCTGATTTTGGTATTAGGGTGATACTGGCTTCATAGAATGATTCAGGGAGGGTTCCCTTTTTTTTTGTTTTAATCTTGTGGAATAGTGTCAATAGGATTGGTACCAATTCTTCTTTGAAAGTCTCATAGAATTCTGCTGTAAATCCGTCTGATCCCGGACTTTTTCGTGTTGGTAATTTTTTTTTCTTTTTTTTTTTTTGAGAGGGAGTCTCTCTCTGTTGCCCTGGCTGGAGTGCGGTGACATTATCTCAGCTCAGTGCAACCTCTGCCTCCTGGGTTCAAGCAATTCTCCCACCTCAGCACGTGCCTCCATGCCTGGCTAATTTTTGTATTTTTAGTTGAGACACCATGTTGGCTAGGATGGTCTTGAACTCCTGACCTCGGGTGATCCACCTGTCTCAGCCTCCCAAAATGCTGGGATTATAGACATGAGCCATCATGGCTGGCCTGTTGGTAACTTTTTTTTTTTTTTGAGTCAGAGTTTTGCTCGTTGCCCTGGCTGGAGTGCAATTGTGCGATCTCAGCTCACCACAACCTCTGCCTCCTGGGTTCAAGTGATTCTTCTGCCTCAGCCTCCCAAGTAGCTGGGATTACAGGCATGCACCACCATGCCTGGCTAATTTTGTATTTTTAGTAGAGATGAGTTTTCTCCATGTTGGTCAAGCTGGTCTCGAACTCCTGACCTCAGGTGATCTGCCCGCCTTGGCCTCCCAAAGTGCTGGGATTACAGGCACAAGCCACTGCGCTGGGCTGGTAATTTTTAAATTACCATTTCAACCTTGCTGCTTGTTATTGGTCTGTTCAGGGTATCTAATTCTTCCTGATTTAAGCTAGGAGGGTTGTATCTTTCCAAGAATTCATCCATCTCTTCTAGGTTTTCTAATTTATGTGCATAAAGATGTTCACAGTAGCCTTGAATTATCTTTTGTATTTCTGTGATGTCAATTTTAATATCTCCTGTTTCTTTTCTTATTGAGCTTATTTGGATTTTCTCTCTTTTTTCTTGGTTGATCTTGCTAATGGTCTATCAATTTTATTTATCTTTTCAAAGAACCAGCTTTTTGCTTTATTTATCTTTTGTATTTGTTGTTGTTTCAATTTCATTTAGTTCTGCTCTGATTTTGGTTATTTCCTTTCTTCTGCTGGGTTTGGGTTTGGTTTGTTCTTGTTTCTCTAGGTCTTTGAGGTGTGACCTTAGATTGTCTGTTTGTGTTCTTTCAGACTTTTTGATGTAGGCATTTAGGGCTATGAACTTTCCTCTTAGCACTGCCTTTGCTGTGTCCCAGAGGTTTTGATAGGTTGTGTCACTATTGTTGTTCAGTTCGAATAATTTTTAAATTTTCATCTTTATTTCATTTCTGACCCAATGATCATTCAGGAGCAGGGTATTTAATTTCTATGTATTTGCATGGTTTTGGAGGTTCCTTTTGGAGTTGATTTCCAGTTTTATTCCACTGTGGTCTCAGAGAGTGTTTGATGTAATTACAGTTTTTTAAAATTTATTGAGGTTCGTTTTGTGGCCTATCATATGTTCTATCTTGGAGAAAGTTCCATGCGCTATTGAATAGAGTGTATATTCTGTGGTTGTTGGATGGAATGTTCTGTATATATCTGTTAAGTCCATCTGTTCTAGGGTATAGTTTAAATCTTTAAATCTATTGTTTCTTTATTGACTTTCTGTCTTGATGACCTATCTAGTGCTGTCAGTGGAGTATTGAGGTTACCCACTATTATTATTGTCAGAAATAAATTTTGTTGCTGCAGAAGGAATAGCACTCAAACATAAATTTTCTCAGCAAGGCAATTTTACTTCTATAGAGGGGTGTGTCTTGCAGATGGAGCAATGGCGAGAGCACACCTGAACAATGGAGGGGAAGGGGTTCTTATCTTTGATGGAAGTAGTCCCTACTGCTGTGTCAGTCCCCTATTGGCGAGTGTTGAACCACACAGTCTAAGCTAATTCCGACCGACTATTTTAAAGGAGCAGGGGTATGAGCCAGAGTGGCGGGGTGAGCAGTTTCGTCAGTAAAGACAGTTACGGAACAGGTGACTAAAGGTGACTCAGGTCAGAGCAGGTGACCAAGGTTGACTCAGGATGGAGCAGGTGACCAGGGGAACAGATGTGAACTACTGATTGGAACTGGTGGGAAGGTTGTTTACTGAAACTAGGGGCGAGGAGAAGAAGAGAATGAGGAAGTTAAACTTTAAAATGGAGAACAAAGAACTGAACATACTGACATACTGATTCTTTGAAGAGAAACTTAGAACTCACTGTATTTAACATTATGTTGCTGTCTATCTCTTTTCTTAGATTTATTAGTAATTGTTTTATAAATTTGGGAGCTCCAGTGTTAGGTGCATATATGTTTAGGATTATGATATTTTCTTGTTAGGCAAGGCCTTTTATCATTATATAATGTCCCTCTTTGTCTTTTTTAACTGCTGTTGCTTTAAAGTTTGTTTTGTCTAATATAAGAATAGCTATTCCTGCGTGCTTTTTGTATCCATTTGCATGAAATATCTTTTTCCACCCCTTTACGTTAAGTTTGTGTGAGTCCTCATACCCATATAAGATGGTTGGTGAATTCTTATTCATTCTGCAATTCTTTATCTTTTAAGTGGAGCATTTAGACCACTTACATTCAATGTTAGTATTGAGATGTGAGGTACCATTCCATTCATCATGTTATTTGTTGCCTGTATACCTTGATGTTTTTTTTTTAATTGTGTTTTTGTTTTATAGGTCTTGTGTGATTTATGTTCTAAAGAGGTTCTGTTTTGATGTGTTTCCAGGATTTGTGTCAAGATTTAGAGCTCCTTTTAACAGTTCTTGTACTGATGGGTTGGTAGTGGTAAATTCTCTCAGCATTTGTTTGTCTGAAAAAGACTGTATCTTTTCTTCATATATGAAGCTTAATTTTGCTGGATACAAAATTCTTGGCTGATAATTGTTTTGTTTGAGGAGGCTGAAGATATGGCCTCAGTCCCTTCTAGCTTGTAGGTTTTCTGCTGAGAAATCTGCTGTTAATCTGATAGATTTTCCTTTATGTGTTACCTGGTGCTTTTGTCTCTCAGCTGTTAAGATTCTTTCCTTCATCTTAACTTTAGATAACCTGATGACAATGTGTCTAGACGATGATCTTTTTGTGATGAATTTTCCAGGTGTTTTTGTGCTTCTTGCATTTGGATGTCTAGGTCTCTAGCAAGGTTGGGTAAGTTTTCCTCAATTATTCCCCCAAATATGTTTTCCAAACTTTTAAATTTCTCTCCTTTCTCAAGAACAGCAATTATTCTTATATTTGGTCATTTAACATAATCCCAGACTTCTTGGAGGCTTTGTTTATATTTTCTTATTCTTTTTTCTTTGTCTTTATTGGATTGGGTTAATTCAAAGACCTTGTCTTTGAGCTCTGAATTTCTTTCTTCTACTTGTTCAATTCTATTGCTGAGACTTTCCAGGGCATTTTGCATTTCTATAAGTGTGTCCATTGTTTCCAAAAGTTTTGATTGTTTTTTATTTATGCTATCTATTTCCTTGAATATTTCTCTCTTCACTTCTTGTATCATATTTTGGATTTGCTTACACTGGGCTTCACCTTTCTCTGCTGCCTCCCTGATTAGCTTAACAACTAACCACCTGAATTCTTTTTTGGGTAAATCTGGATTTCTTCTTGGTTTGGGTTCATTGCTGGTGAGCTAGTATGATTTTTTTGGGGGGTGTTAAACAACCTTGTTTTGTCATATTACCAGAGTTGGTTTTCTGGTTCCTTCTTATTTTGGTAGTTTCTGTCAGAGGGAAGGTCTAGGGCTGAAGGCTGTTGTTCAGATTCTTTTGTCCCATGGGGTGTTCCCTTGATGTAGTACTCTCCCCCTTTTCCTATGTATGTGGCTTCCTGAGAGCTGAGCTGTAGTGATTATTATAACTCTTCTGGATCTAGCGACCCAGCAAGTCTACCAGGCTCTGGGCCAGTACTGGAGGCTGTCTGCACAGAGTTCAGTGATGTGAACCGTCTGTGGGTCTCTCAGCTGTGGATATCAGCACCTGTTCTAGTGGAGGTGGCAGAGGGGTGAAATGGACTCTATGAGGGTTCTTAGCTTTGATGGTTTAATGCCCTACTTTTATGCTGGTTGCCTCCTGCCAGGAGGTGGCGCTTTCCAGAGAGCATCAGCTGTGGTAGTATGGAGAGGAACAGGCAGTGGGTGGGGCCCTAGAACTCCCAAGAATGTATGCCCTTTGTCTTCAGTTACCAGGGTGGGTAGGGAAGGACCATCAGATGGGGCAGGGCTAGGCGTGTCTGAGCTCAGACTCTCCTTGGGCGGGTCTTGCTGTGGCTGCTGTAGGGGATGGGGCTGAGGTTCCCAGGTCAATGGAGTTGTGTACCTAGGAGGATTATGGCTGCCTCTTTTGTGTCATGCACGTTGTCAGAGAGGTTGGGGAAAGCTGGCAGTCACAGGCCTCACCCAGCTCCCACGCAATCCAAAGGGCTGGTCTCACTCCCACTGTGCAACCCTACAACAGCACCTAGTCTGTTTCCAGGCAGTGGGAGAGCAGAGCTAAAAACTTGCCCCAGGCTACCCGCCTCCTAGCTGTGAAAGCAAATATGCCTTTCCTTCTACCCCAGCCTGTGGAGTCTGCACACTGGATTCACACCCTCCCCTGAGTTCTGGCCAGGAGGCTTCTCTATCAGTTCAAATTGTTACAGAGTTCAGCTGGAGATTTCCTTCTCCCTGTGGCCTTGGCCCAGCACCTCTGGCCGCTCTCCTGGAGGACCCCTGTGAGACCAGGCAGAAACAGGTTGCTAGGGGACCCAGGGAGCTCCCAGGGGTTTTCCTGCTGCTTCCTCTACCCCTGTATTTCACTCAGCTCGCTAAACTGACTCAGTTCCAGATAGGGTCGAAATCTTC
Organism: Homo sapiens; assembly: GCF_000001405.40. NCBI lineage: Eukaryota > Metazoa > Chordata > Mammalia > Primates > Hominidae > Homo > Homo sapiens. Next base: position 57,094,848 of record NC_000005.10, on the reverse strand, counting down.
TCCCATAATCTAGGCCTTCAGTTTCCCCAGTGGGTGTGTTCGGGGTGGACCATCTCCCTTTCCCACTTCCACAGTTTTGGCACTCACAGTATTTGAGGTGTCTCCCTGGTCCTGCAGGAGCAATCTGCTTCCTTCAGGAGGTCTGTGGGTCCTCTCCTGAGAGGACCTGATTTATTCCTGCAGTTGTTCTGGGGCAAAAATTCACGATGTCAGCTTCCATGTGCTGCCTCTACTTTAAAAAAAGAGAAAAAAATACTATCACCTGATACACAGTCCATACTCAGTTTTCACTGATTATTTCAATGTTATCCTTTGTAGCAACACTATCCTGCCAGAACCAAGATTCTATCTTGTCCCTTTAGTCTCCTTTACTCTAGAACACTTACTCAGCCTTTCACTGAAACTAAGACATATTAATTTTTATTAATCAGGAAACATAAGGCCAGGTGCGGTGGCTCACTTCTAACCCCAGCACACTGGGAGGCCGAGGTGGGAAGATCACTTGAGGTCAGGAGTTTGAGACCAGCCTGGCCAACATGGCAAAACCCCATTTCTACTAAAAAATACAAAAAACTAGCTGGGCATGGTGGCACATGCCTATAGTCCCAGCTACTCAGGAGGCTGAGGAGGGAGAACCGCTTGAGCCCAGGAGGCAGAGGTAACAGTGAGCCGAGATAGTGCCACTGCACTCCAGCCTGGGCAATAGAGCGAGACTCTGTCTCCATTAAAAAAAGAAAGAAAGAAAGAAAAAGAAAGAAGAAAGAAAGAAAGAAAGAAAGAAAGAAGAACAAATACATAAATACAAGTAATGAGACATATGCTAGGGGTGAATATTTTAAATATCATTTCATTTTATAACAGGAGGCCTTTGCAATAGTTCATGTGTGAAAAAATGAGAACCATTCTCTTTTCTTTTTTTTTTTTTGAGATGGAGTCTTCCTCTTATCACCCAGGCTAGAGTGCAATAGCATGATCTTGGCTCACCGCAACCTCCGCCTCCCGGGTTCAAGCGATTCTCCTGCCTCAGCCTCCCAAGTAGGTGGGATTACAGGCATGTGTCACAATGCACAGCTAATTTTTGTGTTTTTAGTAGAGACGAGGTTTCACCATATTGGCCAGGCTGGTCCTGAACTCCTGACCTCAGGTGATCCACCCACCTCGGCCTCCCAAATTGCTGGGATTACAGGTGTGAGCCACTATGCCTGGCCGAGAACAATTTTTTTTTTTTTTTTGAGGCAGAGTTATGCTCTTGTTGCCCAGGCTGGAGTGCAATGGCGCAATCTTGGCTCAATGCAACCTCCACCTCCTGGGTTCAAGCAATTCTCCTGCCTCAGCCTCCTGAGTAGCTGGGATTACAGTCAACCCGGCTAATTTTTTTTTTTTTTTTTTTTTTTTTGAGACGAAGTCTCACTCTGTCGTCAGGCTGGAGTGCAGTGGCATGATCTCGCTGGGCATGTTGGCTCATGCCTGTAATCCCAGCACTTTTAGATAGCCCTTTCCCAGCTTTGGCACTGAAAGTCCACCCAGAAACCCTCTATTTCTGGGCAAAATGGGAGAATTAATTACACTATAATCAGTAGACCATTAGTGACATGAATGTGAGGCCCCTAGAATGGTGAAGTTAGAGAGACAGAGACATCTGTGTAAAGGTGATCATTGAAACTTTGGGAGACATTGTCACAACTCAGGGACAAAAATCCAGGTGAGAACGCCTCAAAGGATTAACTAGAAGCTGAGACCCAAAGCACCTCTTTTTGGGCAAGCAATTTTCCTAGCCTAACGATAATAAAGCAAGGATTAACTTACCTACAATGCCTTTTAAGTTTTGTTTTTGTTTTTGTTTTTGTTTTTTGAGACGGAGTCTAGCTCTGTTGCCCAGGCTGGAGTGCAGTAGCACAATCTTGGATCACTGCAACCTCTGCCTCCCAGGTTCCAGGGATTCTCCTGCCTCAGCCTCCCAAGTAGCTGAGATTACAGGTGCACACCACCATGTCCGGGTAATTTTTGTATTTTTAGTAGAGATGGGGTTTCACCATGTTGGCCAGGCTGGCCTCGAACTCCTGAACTTAAGTGATCCACCAACCTCGGCCTCCCAAAGTGCTGGGATTACAGGAGTGAGCCACCACCCCCTGCCTTAAATTATTCTTTATACCACTGTGAGCTGTTCATAAACTTACTGTCTTAGGAACAGAAATGAAATAAAATTCCTTATCCATCTAGGTGGTTGCTATCATTCCTTCAATCTGTGATTTCTTTACTAGACTCGTTATTAATTTGAGATATTTAATTTCTTTTTTAGTGTTACTCATTTTTTTTTTTTTTCTGAGATGGAGTCCTGCTCTGTCACCCAGGCTGGAGTGCAGTGGCACGATCTCAGCTCATTGCAACCTCTGCCTCCTAGGTTCAAGTGATTTTCCTGCCTCAGCCTCCCGAGTAGCTGGGATTACAGATGCCTATCACCATGCCTGGCTAATTTTCGTTTTTTTAATAGAGATGGGGTTTCACCATGTTGGCCAGGCTGGTCTCAAACTCCTGACCTCAGGTGATCCACCCACCTTGGCCTCCCAAAGTGCTGGGATTACAGGTGTGAGGCACTGCGCCTGATCTCATTTTTTTTCATTTAATTATTTACAACCACTTTCCACAGCTGCTTGTGATTATTACCTTTCCATTCTGAATTATTTCCCAGTATAGCCTTTTCTGCAATATGCTCCATTTTCTGCATCATGAGTTTCAGCAGAATAGATCTTTAGATAGATAAAATAGGAATAAATTTAAAAGTTTGTTCAGCTATGGATCTTGTAAAAATCATAGGAACTGTACTTTTTCTATATTATTTCCCCAAAATAAGGAATATACTTAGACTTCAGTTGATGTATAGCATCGTTGTATTAATAAGTTACACACAGTTTTTTTCATCTAATTGTTTGTCCTTGTTTTGTCAAAAATGTTTTAACTTATTAAGTCAAGGATAAGTAATTAGTTTGGCTCAAGGTCTTAATTACAGGTCTTACAGGGACCCGAAGTCATTTTTACTGCACTCCCATCCAGGGCTATTCCTGCTTTTGCTTCTATACTTAGCTTTCCTGATGACAGCAGATGCTAAACTTGACACATCCATATACAGGCATACCTCAGAGATATTGCGAGTTTGGTCCCAGACCATTGCAATAAAGCCAATATTGCAATAAAGTGAGTAACACAAATTTTCTGGTTTTCCAGTGCATATAAAAGTTATGTTTGCACTATACTGTAGTCTATTAAATGTGTAAATCATTATGTTAAAAAAACACTTTAATTTAAAAATACGTTGTTACTTAAAAATGATCATCTGAGCCTCCAACAAGTCATAATCTTTTTGCTCATGGAGGGTCTTATCTCAGTGTTGATGGTTGTTGACTGATAATGTTGGTGGTTGCTGAACGTTGGAATAGCTGTGGTAATTTTTTTTTTTTTTTTTTTGAGACAGAGTCTCACTCTGTTGCCCAAGCTGGAATACAGCAGTGCAGTCATAGTTTATTACAATCTCAAACTGCTGGCCTCTAATGATCCTCCCTCCTTGGCCTTCAAAAGTGCTGGGATTACAAGTGTGAGCCACTGTAACCAGCTGCAATTTCTTAAAATAAGACAACAATGAAGTTTGCCACGTTGATTGACTCTTTTGTAAAAGATTTCTCTGTAGCATACAATGCTGTTTGATAGCATTTTACCCACAGTAAATCTTTCAAAATTGGAGTTTGTCCTTTGAAACTCTGCTGCTGCTTTATCAACTACATTTATGTAATATTCTAAATCTTTTGTTGTCGTTTCAACAATGTTCATGGCATCATCACCAGGAGTGGATTTCATCTCAAGAAACCACATTTTTTTTGCTCATTCATAAGAAGCAACTCCTCATCTGTTCAAGTTCTATCATGAGATTACAGTAATTCAGTCACATCTTCAGGATCAATTTCTAGTTCTAATTCTCTTGCTATCTCCAGCACATCTGCAGTTACTTCCTCTGCTGCAGTTTTAAACCTTTCAAAATTATCCATGAGGATTGGAATCAACTCCTTCCGAATGCCTGTTAATGTTGATATTTTGACTTTTCCCTTGAATAATGAAGATTCTTTTTTTATTTTTACTTTTTTTTTAACCTTATTTACACTGAAGGACTAAAATGTTCCTAATGGCATCTAGAGTGGTGAATCCTTTCCAGCAGATTTTCAATTTACTTTGCCCAGATCCATCAGAAGCATCACTCTGTGGCAACTATAGCATTATGAAATGTACTTTATTTATTTTTTCGAGATGGGGTCTCACTCTGTCACCAAAGTTGGAGTGCAGTGGTGCAATCTCAGCTCACTGCAGTCTCCACCTCCCATGCTCAAGTGGTCCTCCTACCTCAGCCTCCCGAGTGTCTGGGACCACAGGCGCATGCCACACTCAGGTAATTTTTTGTATTTTTGGTTGAGATGGGGTTTTACCATGTTGCTCAGGCTGGGAAATGTACTTTTTTTTTTTTTTTTTTTGAGATGGAGTCTCGCTCTGTCATCCAGGCTGGATTGCAGTGGCACAATCTTGCCTCTGCCTCCCAGGTTCAAGCAATTCTCCTGCCTCAGCCTCCCGAGTAGCTGGGACTACAGGCATGTGCCACCACGCCCGGCTAATTTTTGTATTTTTAGTTGAGAAGGGGTTTCACCATATTGGCCAGGCTGGTCTCGAACTCCTGACCTTGTGATCCACCCACCTCAGCCTCCTAGAGTGCTGGAATTACAGGTATGAGTCACCATGCCTGGCCTGGAAATGTACTTCTTAAGAAATAAGACTTGAAAGTCAAAATTACTGCTGATCCAGGGGTTACAGAATGAATGCTGTGTTGGCAGGCATTAAAACAACATTAATCTCCTGTACATCGTGAAGGAAATAATGTATATGATGGTCCATTTCCAAGACAAAGTGCCTTGAATAGGCTTGGGTCCGCAAACTACAGAAAGACAGAATATACTAGGCCCCTGCTTTAATAGCCAGCACCTACTTGTTGGGGCCCCACTTAGTTGCCCTCATCAGAACCAAAGAAGTTTAATCTAGAATAAAAGTTTACTAGACTGCAAAATAGCTCACTTTATCTATTCCTATCAGCTCGCCTGACTACCTAGGTCATAAGTCAAATACTTGAAAAGCCCCTGAGCTGACTGTGATTGCAATGCATTGTAGGCTGCAACAAAATGCAGTGAGATAACCCTAAATAAGACACCTAAAAGCGCCTACCTAACAACCAATAGGCGACGTCTGGAAAGATTGTGACCCCATAGTACTCAGCCTATGAGGAACCAGGTGAGGGATCTGTATACTAGGGGATAAATGGCTTGTTGTAACCATGCTGTGTGTGTCTGCGCATCAGACACCCGATCTTGCAAGAATGTCATTAAAAATCTTGCTCCCACTATTCCCTGTGTCTCTGAGTCCATTCTTTGGGTTTGGAGAGGTAAGTTTGTTTCTCACGATCTCCATCAGAGCTCTTGGGTGACCAGGTACATTGTCAATGAGCAGTAATATTTTGAAATGAATCATTTTTTCTAAGCAATAGGTCTCAACAGTGGGCTTAAAATATTCAATGAACAATCCTGTAAACAGGTGTGCTATCATACAGGCTCTTTTGTTCCATTTATGGAGCACAGGCAGAGTAGATTTATCATAATTCTTAAGGAACCCAGGATTTTTGGAATGGTAAGTGTGCACCAGCTTCAACTTCAAGTCATCAGCTGCATAAGCCCCTAACAAGAAAGTCAGCATGTCCTTTGAAACTTTGAAGCCAGGCATTGACTTCTCCTGCCTAGCTATGAAAGTCCTAGATGGCATCTTCTTCCAATAGAAGGCTGTTTCATCTACATTGAAAATGTGCTGCTTATAATAGCCAACTTCATCAATGGTCTTAGCTAGATCTTCAGAATAACTTGCAGCTTCTACATCAGCTCTTGTTGCTTCACTTTGCCTTTGATGTTATAAAGATGGCTTCTTTCCTTAAACCTTTGCTAGCATCAAACTTTTCTTCTGCAGCTTCTTCACTTCTCTCAGCCTTCATAGAATTGAAGAGTTAGGGCCTTGTTCTGGATTAGGTTTGGTTTACAGGAATGTTGTGGCTGGTTTGATGTTTAATCTATTAAAACTTTCTCCAAATCAGCAATGTATCTGTTTTGCTTTCTTATCACTCATTTGTTCACTGGAGTAGCACTTTTAATTTTTTTCAAGACCTTTTCAAAAAAAAAAAAAAAAGGACTTTTCCTTTGCATTCACAACTTGGCTGTTTGGCACAAGAGGCCTGGCTTTTTTTTTATATATTCCAAGTTTGTATATTTTATTATTAAAATTTTTTTTTTTAAATTATACTTTAAGTTCTGGGATACATGTGCAGAGTGTGCAGGTTTGTTACATAGGTATACACGTGCCATGGTGGTTTGCTGCACCCATTAACCCATCATCTACATTAGGTATTTCTCCTAATCCTGTTCCTCCCCTAGCCCCCTCACCCCCAACAGGCCCCTGTGTGTGATGTTCCCCTCCCTGTGTCCATGTGTTCTCATTGTTCAATTTCCACTTATGAGTGAGAAGATGTGGTGTTTGGTTTTCTGTTCCTGTGTTAGTTTGCTGAGAATGATGGTTTCCAGCTTCATCCATGTCCCTGCAAAGGACATGAACTCATCCTTTTTTATGGCTGCATAGTATTCCATGGTGTTTACGTGCCACATTTTCTTTACCCAGTCTATCATTGATGGGCATTTGGGTTGGTTGCAAGTCTTTGCTCTTGTGAATAGTGCTTCAATAAACATACATTTGCATGTGTCTTTATAGTAGAATGATCTATAATCCTTTGGGTATATACCCAGTAATGTGATTGCTGGGTCAAATGGTATTTCTGGTTCTAGATCCTTGAGGAATCACCACACTGTCTTCCACAATGGTTGAACTAATTTACACTCCCATAAACAGTGTAAAAGAGTTCCTATTTCTCCACATCCTCTCCAGCACCTGTTGTTTCCTGACTTTTTAATGATTGCCATTCTAACTGGTGTGAGATGGTATATCATTGTGGTTTTGATCTGCATTTGTCTAATGACCAGTGATGATGAGCTTTTTTTCATATGTTTGTTGGAGAGGCCTAGCTTTTGGCCTACCTTGGGTTTTTTGTTTTTTCTTTTTCTTTTTTAAAAACAAAAACAAACACAGTTTCACTCTGTCACCCAGGCTGGAGTGCAATGGTGTGATCTCAGCTCACTGCAACCTCCACCTCCTGGGTTCAAGCAATTCTTGTGCCTCAGCCTCCTGAGTAGCTGGGATTACAGGCATGTGCTACTACACCTGGCTAATTTTTGTATTATTAGTAGAGACGGGGTTTTACCATGTTAGCCAGGCTGGTCTCGAACTCCTGACCTCAGTTGATCCACCTGCCTTGGCCTCCCAAGGTGCTGGTATTACAGGTGTGAGCCACCACACCCAGCCCTGCCTTGGGTTTAGATGTGCCTTCTTCACGAAGCTTAATCATTTCTAGTTTTTGTTTTAATGTGAGAGATGTGTTATTCCTCCTTTCACTTGAACACATGGAGGCCATGGTGGGGTTACTAATTGGCCTAATTTTAATATTGTGTCTCAGAGAATAGGGAGGCTGAGGAGAGGGAAAGAGACAAGAGGAACAGCCAAGTCAGAGGAGCAGTCAGAGGATACACAACATTTATCAAGTTCACTGTCTCATATGAGCGTGGTTCATAGCAGCCCAAAACAGTTACAATGGTAACATCAAAGATCACTGATCACAGATCACCATAACAGGTACAATAATAATAAAAAAGTTGGAAATCTTGTGAGAATTACCAAAATGTGGATGCAGTGACACCAAGTGAGCACGTGCTGTTAAAAATGGTGCCAGTGGACTTGGTCAATCCAGGATTGCCACAAACCTTCAATTTGTAAAAAATACAGTATCTATAATGAAAGCATTGCAAAAGAAAATCCACAAAGTGCAATAAAATGAGGTACGCCTGTAATACTGTGATGCCTTATGTTTCTGCGGCAGTTTTTCATACTTATTTGATTCCTACGGCTGTGAAGTGGATAGTTCAAGTTCTGCTATCATTCTCATTTCAAAAAATGAGGCACCTGAGATGCAAAGTGAGTTGACAAATGTCACAAGATGAATCAATGGAGGTGCTAGCAGAGGAGGCAGAGACAGAATCTCTGACTCCTAAGCTGATAGTCTTACAACATCAGATGCCACTTGATGCTCATATAATGTCACCCAAAGGTATAAAACATACCTGAAATTTGAATATGTGACCTTGCTAGCCACGTTGCCCCCATTTTTGCCCATTATTTTGTTGAATTCTAGCCCATAGTTAAAAATTTAAACCCACAGGGCTGAGCACGGTGGCTCACGTCTGTAATCCCAGCACTTTGGGAGGTCGAGGCAGGTGGATCACTTGAGGTCGGGAGTTCGAGACTAGCCTGGTCAACATGGTGAAACCCCATCTCTACTAAAAATGACAAAAAATTAGCTGGGTGTGGTTGCAGGTGCCTATAATTCCAGCTACTCAGGAGATTGAGGCAGGAGAATCACTTGAACCCCGGAGGCAGAGGCTACAGTGAGCCAAGATTGTGGCACTGCACTCCAGCCTGGGTGACAGAGCGAGACTCCGTCTGAAAAAAAAAAAAATTAAACCCACGGGATAGAAACTGACTTATTACATGTGGAATATAGTGAGAAGAATTTGAGAGAATGAATTTCTTTTGCTCCCTCTCCCCCATGCCCACCACCTATGTATGCTCAAGTCCCCGAAGTGTCTCAGTGGGCTCTGTATACAACTGTGGCAGATTGTATTTTCAAAAGATGGCCACAACAATATCTCCAAGCCCACATGCTCTTCTTATGACGTGCTGTGCCTTTGACTCTTCTGTTATAGAGAGGTGGTATCTATGATCCCTTCCCTTCAATGTGACTGGGTGACACTATGTGACTTCTGAGAATAGACCACAGAAAGTGGTGATGAAGTCTGCCTGGTTCCCTTGGGGCACTTACTTTTGGAACCTGGCCAACATGCTGTGAGGATGCCCAAGATGCCACATGGAGTGTCCATGTGAAGGTATTCCTGTCAATAACTCCAATTAGGTGCTCAGCCAACAGTCAACATTAATGACCGGACATCTAATAAGTGAGTCTTCAGATGACTGCAGTCCCCAGTCTAGATGGACTATCTTGACTCCCTCCTGTCCTGGGCAAACCAAGACAGTCAATTATCCTACCTAGGTGTTGAGTCACATTATCTCCTCTGCCCCTGCCACACTAGCTTTGGAGTCTTCCTAGCTGAGGCCCCAGACCTCATGGAACAGAGACAATTGCTCAAGCTGTGCCCTTTCAAGATTGTTGACCAACAGGATCTGTGAGCATAATATCCTGGTTGCTGTTTTATGCCACTGAACTTGGGATGGTTCAGCAAAAGATAATTGGAACAACTTCTGAGGATTTAGTATCTTTCACCTTTACATGATTCAAAGCTCCAAGCAAAATATCTCCTTCAAAGTGAAACAATTCAAGCACAGCCCAAACCTAGACAAAGGATTTCAGGGGACTGAAATTTCCTCCCCAGCCTAGCAATCTGACACCTAACTTCTATAGTGGAAGATTTAGTCTACAGTCCAATCTAAGCCTGGGGATGTTACTAGTTAAGCTATTGTCTGTCTTTTTATGCACTTGGATGAGTAATTGGAATATATGATCTCTAATAGCACATACAACCCTAGAATTACAGGATTTACATGTTGTATTAGTTCGTTCTCACACTGCTATAAAGAACTACCTGAGACTGGGTAATTCATGAAGAAAAGAGGTTTAATTGACTCATGGTTCCACAGGCTTAACAAGAAGCATGACTGGGAGGCCTCAGGAAACTTACAATCATGGAGGAAAGTGAAGGGGACGCAAGAACCTTCTTCACTTGGTGGCAGAAGAGAGAGAGAGGGGGAGTGCCACACTTCTAAACAATCAGATCTCATGAGAACTCACTCACTACCACGAGAACGGCATGGGGGAAATCCGCCCCCATGAGGCAATCACCTCCCACCTCCCACCTCCCCTGACATGTGAGGATTACAATTCGACATGAGATTTGGGTGGGCACACAGAGCCAAACCATATCACATGTTAATGTAAATGAATTGATCATTTAGTTTAGTGGAAGCAGTTTTTCGTACAGGACCTGGAAGGGCAAATATGAAAACAATGTGTTCCTGAAAATAAGTGATGAGCTTGGTCCGCCCATTGTTGTTTCTCTCCTGTATCATCAGCCTGAGACTGAGGTGTTTTCCACTGCTCAAGGCAGGTGCCTCTGGCCACATTTAAACATATTAAGTCTGTCCAGTACTCCTAGCTCTCTACTGCTTTTCACGACCAAGCTATTTCATTTTTTATTTTGAACCTTAAAAATTAAAATATAAACAAGGAACAAAAAAATATACAAACCATAAAAGTGAAGTTTACTGGATTATCACAAAATACATTCCTTGATCACCTTTCAAGGCAACAAAGTAAATATTGCTAACACACCAGAAACCCCTCTCATGCCCAATCCCAATCATTGCATCCTCCCTTACCCCAAAGGCAATCTCTTGGCTTTAACACCAGAGTTTAGCTATGCTTGTTCAAACTTTATGTAAGTGGAATCATGTAGTATATCGTTAGCATGTGGCTTCTCTTGTTCATCGTTGTGCTTCTCAGATTCATACATGTTGCTCCACATAGCTATTTCTTTCTGTATAGTGTTCCACTATATGTATATACTACAACTTACTTATGTATTCCATTGTTGATGGGCATTTTTGCTATTCTTAGTTTTTGGATATAACAAATGTATTGCAATAAACATTTTGATACATTTCTGTTGGTCTGTTAGATATATATCTAAGACTGGAATTACTGTATCATAGGATATGTGCATATTCACATATTTAGCTTTAGTAGGGAATATCAAATAGTTTCCTTTTTTTTTTTTTAAGAGACATAGTCTCACTCTGTCTCTCAAGCAGTAGTGCAGTGGCTCGATCATGGCTCACTGCAGCCTCGAACTCCTGGACTCAAGTGATCCTTCTACCCCAGCCTCCCGAGTAGCTGGGACCACAGGCACCCACCACTGTGCCTGGTTAATTAAAAAACATTTTTTCTTTTTTGTAGAGACAGGGTCTCACTATACTGCCCAGGCTGCTCTGGAACACCTGAGCTCAAGCAATCCTCCCGCCTCAGCCTCCCAAAGTGCTGAAATTACTGGGGTGAGCCACCATGCCCAGCCAGTTTCCAAACTTACACCAACTTACACTCCCTGCAGCAGTGGATGCAAGCTTTCCTTGCTCCACATCCTCATCAACACTTGGTATTGTTAATTATTTCAATTTAAGCTATATTGAAATGTGTAGTACTGTCTTGTTAAGGCTTTAATTTGGATTTCTCTGTTTATTAATGAGTTTGAGCGTATTTTTATGTCATTAGCCATTTGAATATTATTTTTTTGTGAAATAAAGGGACACTTTAAGCCTCCTGCCCATTTTTTTTTAAAAAGATGTGTCTATTGAATAATGGAAGAAATAATCCATATTTTTTCATTCAGATTTATAGAGTATTTTTTTGTTGTTGTTTTGTTTTTTTTTTGAGACTGAGTCTCGCTCTGTCACCCAGGCTGGAGTGCCATGGCACAATATCGGCTCACCGCAACCTCCGCCTCCCGCCTCCCAGGTTCATGCAATTCTCCTGCCTCGGCCTCCTAGACTAGCTGGGACTACAGGTGTGTGTCACTGTACCTGGCTAATTTTTTGTATTTTTAGTACAGACAGGGTTTCACCGTGTTAGCCAGGATGGTATCGATCTCCTGACCTCGTGATCTGCTCGCCTTGGCCTCCCAAAGTATTGGGATTACAGGTGTGAACCACCACGCCCAGCGGAGATTTTTTTTTAATGAGGACTTCCAGGTTTCAGTTTCATATGTAATGAGCCTAGAAGTTGCCACTTCATCCTAACAATTGAAAAGCTGAATGGACTGAAAAATCAGCAACACTTCTTGGATCTACAAGAGAGTTGGGAACACTGGGAAAACTGCTTCCCCCAAGATTGTAGAGACAGACAGGGTATCCCAGGGAATCATGATTTACCAGAGCAGAGACTCATGAATGGAAATTACTGCCAGGAACCAGTAGGAGTCATAATTTACCACAGCAGAGACTCATGAATGGAAATCACTGCCAGCCAGGATAGGAAAACTTGAACTGAAATTGACAGATTGCTAAAGGCTCAGTACAGACAAGTCTGACAGTTTAAAAAACCTAGGGGGACCTACTCATAACCCATTCCCCCAACTTTTGCGAGTTTTACCTCCAGGAGCTTGACCAGCTTCTCACAGGAAGTATCAGAGAAAAATCTTCTCATGCTTCTGGCAGGAGGAGGGGATAAGGAGGCATTTTGAAATATGCCAGAGCACCCTGTTCTTCTTAATAAGTAGAAACTAGTTAACCAGATCCTAACCTGCTGGGGCATTATCAGAGCCTAACTAGCTGAGGAAAAGGGAAATACCTAATTCCAGCCCACTATAGAGAATGCTTCCCCTGCTCTCCGCACCTTCCTACCACATCACTAAAGGCCTATTTACAGGAGTTCCTTTTACTCAGTACACCATTTCTGGCTATCAATGTAAAATTACAAGGCATACTAAAAGGCAAAAACACAAATTGAAGAGACAGAGCAAGGATCAGAGCCAGACATGACAGGGATATTAAAATTATCAGACCAGGAATTTAAAACAACTATGGGCCATCCCTTTCTCCATCAGCCAGGAAGGGCATTGGTGTTGAGACTGACATACCAATTAAGAACAGTAACTACCAGGGCTTCCAGAGCTTTGACAGAACCTCAGTTGCTTGGCCTTCTGACCAAGTGTCTGTGATTTCATATTGTTGGAGTATTTGTTGTAGCTCTTTATAACTTTGCTGTGGCTGAACCCAGAAAGAAAGCATCTATAGATTTCTAAAAAAATTGTAATCCCATGAAAAATTTTGTGGAGATGAGGAAAGTGCAAAGTGATTTCAGAATATAAAGAATTTATTTGTGTTGTATTACCTAGAAGTTTGTCATTGACCTGTGTTCCTGAACTATGAAATATGAATATGTGGGCTAAGAAATAGTTTCCTTTGATAAATAAACAATTATCAAATACTTTGGACAGTTAAAAAAAATAAAACAACTATGATGAATATGCAAAGGACTCTAATGGATAAAGTACATAACATGCAAAACCAGGTGGTTGGCTGGGCACGGTGGCTCACGCCTGTAGGGAGACTCAGGAGGGTGGATCACCTGAGGTCAGGTGTTTGAGACCAGCCTGGCCAACATGGTGAAACCCTGTCTCTACTAAAAATACAAAAAATTGGCTGGGCATGGTGGCATGCACCTGTAATCCCAGCTACTCAGAGGCTGAGGCAGGAAAATTGCTTGAACCCAGGAGGCAGAGGTTGCGGTGAGCTGAGATGGTGCCACTGCACTCCAGCCTGTGAGACAGAGTGAGATTCCATTTCAAAAAACAGACAAACAACAACAACAACAAAAACCCAAACCAGGTGGGCAATGCAAGCAGAGATGGAAATCCTAAGAAAGAGTAGAGAATCTCTGAGTTTGGGGATATTCCAATAGAAACCTCCAAAACTGAAAAGCAAACAGCATACAGACTGAAGAAAGAAAAAAAAAAGAACAGAATATCCAAGAACATGGCGACAACTACAAAAAATGTAAATACGCATAATGGGAACACCAAAAGAAGAAGAAAAAGAGAAGGGATAAGAAGACATATTTGAAACAATAATGACTGAGAATTTTCCCAAAGTGATGTTAGACACCAAACCACAGATCCAGGAAGCTCCGAGAACATGCAGGAGGATAAATGCCAAAAACAAAACCAAATTCCACAAAACTACACCTAAGCATATAATTTTTAAATTACAGAAAATCAAGCCAGGCATGGTGGCTCACACCTGTAATCCTAGCACTTTAGAAAGCCAAGGCAGGAGGATCGCCTTAGCTAGGGAGTTCAAGATCAGCCAGGGCAGCATAGTGAGACCTCGTCCCTAAAAAAAAGGAAAAAAAAGAAGAATAAAAAAAGAAAGAAAATCAAAGATAAAGAAAAAGTCCTGGAAGAAGCCACAGGAAAAAGCACCTTAGCTACAGAGGAGCAAAGATAAGAATAACATCCAATTTTTCCTCAGAAATCATGCAAGCAAGAAGAGAATGGAGTGAAATAAAGTGTTGAGTGAAAAAAAGGCTTTCATCCTAGAATTATGTACCCTGAAAAATTATTTTTCCAAAATGAAGGATAAATAAAGACTTTCTCAGACAAACAGAAATTGAGGGAATTTGTTATCAGTAAACTTGCCTTGCAAAAAATATTAAAGTAAGTTCTTTAGAGAGAAGGAAAATAATGTAGGTCAGATACTTGGATCTGTATAAAGAAAGGAAGAACATTTAAGGAGTGAGTGAAGATAAAAACTTTTTCTTACTTGACCTAACAGATATCAGTTTGTTAAAAACATAACAATAATGTATTCAGTTATATATGCATCTATATTTCTGTATGCTTATATGTAAATTAATGGCAGCAATGGTACAAGGAACAGGAGGGAGAAATTATTAGTATTATTATATTATTTGAGACAGAGCCTTGCTCTGTCCCCCAGGCTGGTGTGTGGTGGCACAATCTCAGCTCACTGCAACCTCCACCTCCCAGGTTCAAGCAATTCTCCTGCCTCAGCCTCCCAAGTAGCTGGGATTACAGGTGCACGCCACCATGCCCAGCTAATTTTTGTATTTTTTAGTAGAGACGGGGTTTCATCATGTTGGCCAGGCTGGCCTTGAACTCCTGACCTTGTGATCTGCCCACCTTGGCCTCCTAAAGTGCTGGGATTACAGACATGAGCCACTGCGCCCGGCCTAGTATTATTTTGTTATTATAAAGTATTCATACTATCAGTGAAGTGGTATAGTGTTATTGAAAGTGGACTGGATTAGTTGTAAATGTATTTTGCAAAGTCTAGGGCAATGACTAAAAAGTTTTAAAAAAAGAAGTATAATTGATATTCTAAGAGAGAACATGGAATCATATGAAATGCTCAATTAAACCCACAAAACACAGTAAAAGACTTAAGACAAAAATAGGAACAAAGAACAAGGGCTACAAATAAAAAATAGTAATATGTATGGTAGATATTAATCCAACTATATCAACAATCACTTTGAACATCAATGATCAGAATGCACCCATTAAAAGACAGAGATTGTCAGAATGGATCAAAAAACAAGACCCAACTATATATAGCCTATAAGAAACCCACTTTAATTCCAATTAAATCAGAACAACAACAAAAGAAATCCACTTTAAATATAAAGATGCACATAGATTACAAATAAATGGATGAGCTGGGTTTGGTGACTCATGCCTATAGTCCCAGCTGCTTGGGAGGCTGGCAGGAGGGTCATTTGAGCCCAGGAGTTTGAGTCCAGCCTGGACAACATAGCAAGACCTTGTCTCTTAAAAACAAAAAGTAGACCGGGTGCGATGGCTCACGCCTGTAATCCCAGCACTTTAGGAGGCCGAGGCAGGTGGATCACCTGAGGTCAGGAATTCGAGACCAGCCTAGCCAACATGGTGAAACCCTGTCTCAACTAAAAATACAAAAATTAGCCGGACGTGGTGGCGGGTGCTTGTGACCCCAGCTACTCAGGAGGCTGAGGCAGGAGACTCGCTTGAACCTCGGAGGCGGAGGTCACAGTGAGCCGAGATCGTGCCACTGCACCTCAGCCTGGGGGACAGAGCGAGACTCTGTCAAAAAAAAAAAAAGCAAATTTATGTAGAAAAATATACTGTGCTAACCAGTAATCAAAAGAAAGCAGGAATAACTACAGCTAACCCCTAAAAAACATGGGCTTGAATGGTGGGGTCCACTTAGACACAGATTTTCTTCTGCCTCGGCCACCCACAAGACAGCAAGACCAACCCCTCCTCTTCCTCCTTCTCCTCAGCCTGCTTGCCATGAAGACGATGAAGATGAAGAACTTTATGATGATCCACTCCACTTAATGAATAGTAAATATATTTTCTCTTACTTATGTTTTCTTTTTTTCCCTTTTTTATTTATTTATTTATTATATCAATAGGTTTTTGGCGAACAGGTGGTATTTGGTTACATGAATAAGTTCTTTAGTGATGAGTTATGATTTTCTTAATAACATTTTTTTCTCTAGCTTACTTTATTGTAATAAAACAGTATGTAATACATATAACACCAAAGATGTGTTAATCAACTATGTTATCAGTAAGGCTTCTGGTCAATAGCAGACGATTAGTAGTTAAGTTTTTGGGGAGTCAAAAGTTACACACAGTTTGCCAGGCACAGTGGAGTATACCTATAAACCCAGCAACTCGGGGCCTGAGGTGGGAGAAGCGCTTGAGGCCAGGAGACCAGCCTGGGTAATATAACAAGACTCTGTTTCTAAAAAATAAAATAAAAACAAAACGTAAAATAAATAAAATATAAGTTTTATATGGATTTTCAACTATGCAAGGGGTCAGAGTTCTTAACCCCTATTTGTTCAACCCCTATGTTGTTCACTGTATACTAACTTCAGACAAAACAGACTTCAAACAAGGAGAGTTATCAAGAATAAAGAGGGACATCACATAATAATAAAGCAGTCAATTCTCAAAGAAGACAACAATTCTTAACATGTAGCATCTAACAACAGAGTGTCAATATATGTGAGATAAACAGAATTGCAAGGAGAAAGCAATGAATCCCACCATCAGTGGAGATTTCAACACTCCTCTATCAGAAATGGACAGATCCAGTAGGCAGAAAATCATTATGGACATAATTGAACTCAAAAACACTACCAAGGCTGGGCACGGTGGCTCACGCCTGTATTCCCAGCACTTTGGGAGGCCAAGGTGGGCGGATCACTTGAGGTCAGGAGTTCGTGACGAGCCTGGCCAACATGGTGAAACCCTGTCCCTACTAAAAAGACAAAAATTAGCTGGTGGCGTGCGCCTGTAATCCTCGCTACTTGGGAGGCTGAGACAGGAGAACCTGGGAGGCGGTGGTTGCAGTAAGCCGAGATCACGCCACTGGCCACTGCACTCCAGCCTGGGAGACAGAGAGAAACTCTGTCTCAAAAACAAAACAAAACAAAACAAAACACAAAAAAGCAAAAAAAGAAACCAAACAAACAACTCCCAAAAAACACTACCAAGAAACTGGATAAAATTAACATCTATAGACAACTTCATCCAGTAACAGCAGAATACACACTCTTTTCAAGCTCTCATAGAACATTCACTAAGACCACATTCTGGGCCATAAAATACACCTTAACACATTTAAAAGAATACAAATCACACAATTTCTGATTTCAGGTCACAGTAGACTTAAATGAGAAATCAACAACAGAAAGGTAACTGGAGAAATCCCAAAATCTGTGGAGATTAAACAACAGACTTCTAAATAATAAATGGGTCAAAGACTAAATGAAAAAGTATTTTGAACTGAATGAAAATGAAAATACCACTTATCAAAATTGGTAAGATGCAGCGAAAGCAGTGCTTAGAGGGAAATGTATAGCATTGAATGTCTGTATTAGGCAAGAAGAGAGACCTAAAATCAATAACCTAAGTTTTCACCTTAGGAAACTAGAAAAATAGAGTAAATTAAATCCAAAAGTAAACAAAAGAAAGGAAATAATAAGAATTAAAGCTGAAATCAGTAAAATTGAAAAATTGTACAGCTTTTTTTTTTTTTTTTTTTTTTTGAGACAGATTCCTGGCTGGAGTGCAGTGGCATGATCTCGACTCACTGCAACCTCTGCCTCCTGGGCTCAAGTGATTATCGTGCCTCAGCCTCCCGAGTAGCTGGGATTATGGGTGTGGGCCACCACACCCAGCTAATTTTTTGCATTTTTAGTAGAGACAGGTTTTGCCATGTTGGCCAGGCTGGTCTCGAACTCTTGGCCTCAAGTGATCCACCCTACTTGGCCTCCTAAAGTGCTGGGATTACAGGCATGAGCAACCATGCCAAGCCAAAAATTGACATCCTTTTAACATTGAGTCTTCCAAACAAAGAACATGTTATATCCCCCTATTTATTTAGGTTGTCTTTAATTTATTTCAATAATATATACTTATTGGATTCATTACCATATATTTGATGTTTTTGAAATTATCAAAATGGTGTCTTTTTAAATGCTTATTTTCTATTTGTTGCTGGTATAAACAACTAAAATTGACTTTGCAATCCATCAAGTTTAAATAACTCATTAAATCTAATGATTTATCCATAGCTTATTTTGGATTTTTAGGTTTAAAAGCATATTACGTGAAGTTAATGACACTTTCATTGTTTTATTTCCAATCTTTAATCAATTTTCGATTTTTTGCTTTATTGCACGGCTAGTACCATATTGAATGAAAAGCAGATATCCTTTTATTATTCAAGGGAAATCTCAACATTTCACTGTTAAGTATATGGTTACTGCAGATCTTTTGTAGGTGCTATTTATCATATTATGTAAGTTTTCTATTATCCCTAGCTTTTAAAGAGTTTTATCATGTAGTGTACACATTTGTAATCAGATGCTCTACTCGTTGTCAATTATTTTAATAATAGTAATACTTTTTGCTTGTTTGTTTGTTTTTAGGCAGGGTCTCACTCTATCATCCAGGTTGATGTGCAGTGGCACAATCTCGGCTGTCTGCTGCCTTGACCTCCTGGGCTTGAGTGAGCCTCCTGCCTTGATCTCCTCAGTGATGAGACTGCAGGTGTGTTACCATAGGCAGCTCATTTTTTTTTTTTTGAGACAAAATATTGCTCTGTCACACAGGCTGGAGTTCAGTGGTACCATCTTGGCTCACTACAACCTCCGCCTCCCAGGTTCAAGTGAGTCTCTCATGCCTCAGCCTCCCAAGTAGCTGGGGTACAGGTGCGCACCACCTGTACATTTTGTATTTTTAGTAGAGACAGGGTTTCACCATGTTGGCCAGGCTGGTTTTGAACTCCTGACCTCCAGTAATCCACCTGCCTTGGCCTCCCAAAGTGCTGGGATTATAGGCGTGAGCCATCTTTCTTGGCCAGGTTTTTTATTTTTTTATAGAAAGGATGTCTTGCTATGTTGTCCCAGGCTGTTCTCAAACTCCTGGCCTCAAACAATCCTTTGCCTCAGCCCCCAAAATTGCTGGGGTTAGAGGCGTGAGACACCATGCTCAGCTTATGTAATACTTTTTTTAAAATTAGAATTTTATATAGACAATGGTAGCCACAGGTAGTTCTTGGGCATGGGCACACCCTCCTCGGTTTGTCATCCTCATTGTTGGTTTCGGGAGCTCTGTCCAATGCTCTCTTGAAGTCCAGGTGGGAGGTGTACTGAGACAGCGGCAAGGCCAGTGGTGCAGGGAGTGTGGAGGGGGCATGATTGGCACGGTCCCAGGCTCTGACCGCCGGCCTGTGGCAAGACTCACACAGAACCTCAATATATAGAGCATACAAAATGAACTGCTGTGCTTTAAAATGAAGTGAGGGTTTTAAAGCTCCACATACAGCCTCTTTTTTGCCACCAAGCCACAGCCTTGGAAGCAGCTCTTTGTGAGAACATAGTTTGAAAACCAGTGCACCAAACCAACCTCCTTACTTTAAACCATTTCTTTACTTTCCAAAGCTCTTAAGTATGCAATTTGATAAAAGTGAAATAATAAATAGCTAAAATAGATTGACCATTTACTCTGTGCCAGATATACTCTTAAGGGTATATGGACAATCTCATTTAATCATCATGACCATCCTAGACGATGCCATTAATCAGATAATTTTTCATTTTGTAGATGAGAAGAGTGAAGTTTGAAAAGTTTAAGTTAACTTAGCCCAAGATCACATAGCTAGCAGGGGGTGACTTTGATTCCACAATCTGTTATTCTTTTTTTTTTTTTTTTTTTGAGATGGAGTTTTGCTCTTGCCCAGGCTGGAGCGCAATGGCGCGATCTCGACTCACTGCAACCTCAGCCTCCCTGGTTCAAGCAATTCTCCTGCCTCCGCCTCCAGAGTAGCTGGGATTACAGGCGCCTGCAACCACGCATGACTAATTTGTGTATTTTTAGTAGAGATGAGGTTTCACCATGTTGGCCAGGCTCATCTCAAACTCTGGACTTCAGGTGGTCCACCTGCCTCGGCCTCCCAAAGTGTTGAGATTACAGATAACCATCCTAGTAGATGTCATTAATTCAGATAATTTATCATTTTATAGATGAGAAGAGTGAGGCTTAAAAAGTTTAAGTTAACTTAGCCCAAGATCACATGGATAGCAGGGGATGACTTTGATTCCACAATCTGTTATTCTTTTTTTTTTTTTTTTTTTGAGATGGAGTTTTGCTCTTGTCCAGGCTGGAGCGCAATGGTGCGGTCTCAACTCACTGCAACCTCGGACTCCCTGGTTCAAGTGATTCTCGTGCCTCAGCCTCCCAAGTAGGTAGGATTACAGGCGCCTGCCACCATGCACGGCTAATTTTTGTATTTTTAGTAGAGACGAGGTTTCACCATGTTGGCCACGCTGGTCTTGAACTCCTGACCTCAGGTGATCCGCCTGCCTCAGTCTCCCAAAGTGTTGGGATTACAGGTGTGAGCCACTGCACCCGGCCCACAATCTGTTATTCTTAATAGGTAAATTAATCTGCTTTCCAGTTGATATATTTCATCCCTAATCAATGTAGCTAGCCATGTTTGAAAACACCTCCTACTTTCAGTTCAAGGAACATCTGTTTAATGTTTGATTTTGCCTACATAGCAGCACAGCTGGCTAAACAGGTGATGAAAGACACATAATGGGAGGTGGCAACAAGAAGTGCTGATTGTAATTTGAAAATCTGTATCCAGAGTAGCACATTACTTTTGAAAATATATCATCTGGGCTAAACATATTAATTATTCAGATGTCATCTCAGATGTAGTACTTGTCAAAAACAAAGATCGCTGTGTTCCCAAAACACGTCACACTCAGTGCACCTAGTATCAGAAGCTGTTTATGTTCATTCTAAATTACTTCAGTGCTTCAACTTAAGCCTTTTCTATTTAATATGCATGGCCTTAGATGAGTTATTCATTGTGTAAAAATATCTAGGGACTGATAATGATGTATTTTATGCTCCAACATGTTGTAGTATAGATGACACTGAATTTGGTCTTTCATTTCATTAGTATTTTTTTCTGGTAGAGTTCCTAAAGGATTCCTCCTCCTCCTCGTCCTCCTCCTCCTTCTCCTGCTTCTCCTTCTCCTCCTTCTCCTGCTTCTCCTCCTCCTCCTTCTCCTGCTTCTCCTCCTCCTCCTTCTCCTGCCTCTCCTCCTCCTTCTCCTGCTTCTCCTCCTTCTCCTTCTCCTGCTTCTCCTCCTCCTCCTTCTTTTCTCTCTCTCTCCTTGCCTCTCTCTCCCTCCTCTCTTCGCCATGTCTCTCACACACTATTTATTTATTTATTTATTTATTTTTGAGATGGAATCTTGCTCTATTGCCCAGGCTGGGGTACAGTGGTGCAATCTTGACTCACTGCAACCTCCGACTCCCAGGTTCAAGCAATTCTCTTGCCTCAGCCTCCTGAGTATCTGGGATTACAGGCGTGTGCCACCACACCCGGCTAATTTTTTGTATTTTTAGTAGAGACAGGGTTTCACCATGTTAGTCAGGTTGTTCTTGAACTCCTGACCTCAGGTGATCTGCCCACCTCGGCCTCCCAAAGTGCTGGGATTACAGGTGTGAGCCACTGCATCCGGCCCGCACCAATTATTATATTTCCTTCTCAGAGACCTATTCATTGTTTTAACATAACATAACTTGAAAGTATATTTTCTAGTTACTTACATTCATGACCAAAGTTTTTTGCAAGATAAGGCAGACAGCTCTTCCTTCTGAGATATGAGTGTGCTGATGGAAGCCTCTCAAGGAAAATTCTATATGATCCCACCCAGCAAGCACCTCCCTCAACTTGTGTGTCCTTCTGGCTCCACTTCTGCTATTGAGGAAGACCTAGGCACTCCTACCCTCAGTGACCCCTCCTTTCCTCCCTCTTTCTCTTCCCTGTACTCTGACAGAGATTCCCTAAATTCCTCCCATTCTTTCCATCCCAGGTCAGGTCAAGCCTAAGAGAAATAAAGTCCAGAGAAAATGTTCCTTTATTTCTTGATAGGAATAAGCAGGTGAGGAATGCATACAGAAACATTACATTGGATGCAGATATTTCTCATCCAGACTGACATCAGTCTTTAAAATTAGACTGGACGTGGTGGTGCATGACTGTAGTCCCAGCTACTTGGGAGGCTGAGGTGAAAGAATTGCTTGAGCCCAGGAGCTTGAGCCAGCCTGAACGACATAGTGAAACACCTATCTCAAAAGCAAACAAATACATCAAGCTGCATCAATGTTACATCAATGTTATATCTCAGCGAAAAGTTAAAAAATATGTTAGCTTCATCAAAGACCACTGACCATTTAGACCTTCCTCCTAGCTTTAGACTCTCTAACTGTATCTTTACTACTTAGATTCCTAAATAGTTGTAAATCTAATTCTCTTTAAGTATTTTCTGGGGAAGAAAGTTGATTGCTTTCATCAACGACCAATGTCAGAGCTTAATGGTTCTTAATGATTCTTCTATTTTCATCAGAGATAATTATTTTCATGAAACACTTGAATCCGCATTCCAATTTATGCATGTGTAAGAGTCAGTTTCTTTCACAGGTTGTCAACCCTGGCTACACTTGAGGAGCCTTTAGAAAATACTATTATAATGCCTAAGACGGTGTCAAAAAGAAGTTAGGAAAAACAAGACAGGTAACAAATATAAAAAGACTGGTGGTGGCTGGGCATGGTGGCTCACACCTGAAATCCCAGAACTTTGGGAGGCCAAGGCAGGTGGATCACAAGGTCAGGAGTTGAAGACCAGCCTGACCAACATGGTGAAACCCCATCTCTACTAAAAATACCAAAATTAGCCAGGCATGGTGGCTCACGCCTGTAATCCCAGCTACTCAGGAGGCTGAGGCAGGAGAATCGCTTGAACCTGGGAGGCGGAGGTTGCAGTGAGCTGAGATCACACCACTGCACTCCAGCCTGGGTGACAGAGCGAGACTCCATCTTAAAAGAAAAGACTGGAGAAAGTATGGTTCTAAGTACCAAAGAAATCAAACATAAAGATAAATGTCTGGGGATGGGAGGTGGGTTATCTATGAAGATAACAAACTACTCAACAAGATGAAAACTTTGGAAAACCACAAAGCTAGAGAGAAAGGAGGAGACAAAATGAAATTGGATTTGACTGACCAGCTAAAGACCTTGATCCACTGGTCAGCACAACCCAAAGCTGGGGGTTAAGAGCAACCTCTGATAATGTGCAAGAGGCTGCAGATATTTCATTATCACAAGGTAAACCTCTGGGGAGGGATTATGACAATAATGAAGAATGACCAACAATTAGTGACAATATTTGAGAAGAAATAATAATAGCTAACACTTGGTAGGCACTATTCCAAGTATTTTACATACATTAACTCATTTAACCCTGAAAATAACCCTACAATGTAGTCTGGGATACCATCTATTTTGTAGATGAAGGGGTCCAGAATATATCACCCCCAAATATGCCACTTTAGCATAGGTATTATTTTGAGCTGAAAGCAATTGAGAAATAACAGATGCAGGAAGAGACTCTGCCCTTCCTCCATCTGCCTAAAAGCAGGGCATACATTTTCTTTTGCGAAGCTGGCATAAATCTCCCCCAGCATTCCTGTACCAGGATGAAGAGAAAAACCTTTATCATCAAACAGAGAACTAACACTGAGATAAGTTTGCAGAAACAAACCTTACTCAAATAACTCTTATCTTTCATTAGTTTCCCCCATATATTGCCTAGTCACTTTTCCACAATTTTCCACCCCTAGAAGCCAAAACTTCCTTTCCTTTATCTAGTCACTTCTCTACAATTTATCATCCTTTGTTAAAATGATATAGAAACTCCTTTGTCTAGGTCAGGTACAGTGGCTCACACCTGTAATCTCAGCACCTTGGGAGGCTGAGGTGGGAAGATCACTTGAGGCCAGGAGTTTGAGATCAGCCTGGGCAACATAGTGAGGCCTTGTCTCTAGAAAAAATAAAACACAATAAGTGGAAAACAATGATTCACCATTTGATTGAGACTTCAACTCTCATTCTCTCAATGCCACCATTTGCTGTCTTTTATTGTGGAGGGGCTGATTTTGTCTTCACTGATCAATCAGAGCTTGTATTCAAGGACGGTTCCTTCACTCCTTACTCTGATGCATTAATCCAGATGCATTAATCCATTGCTCTCTCCAAAGACTTTCTGATTGGGTGGCTTCACACTCACATTTGTTCTTCTCACTCTGTAGGAAAACTAGTTTAGGACACCTTATAAAGAAAGGATTGCATTGTCCAGGATTCAATACGGAAGCTTTTTAGTCATCTTGGTCACCTTGGTTTCTTAGGCTTGACCCATACTCACACTCCCCAAAGTTCTGACCCTTCCTCCTTGTCTACAGAGCTATCTGATTAAAGCAGATCATGATCCTACAGACCCCCTCTAAGAACCCAGTTCCTAAAAACAGGTGACAGACACTCAGGTACCTGAGACATTAAGAAGATAAGCTCTGGAGTTAGATTGCCAGGGTTCAAATCCTAGTGCCTTCTATAATGTTAAATAAATGTTATTTATATTCAATAATTGAATAGAAGATACAAGGATACATTATGAGAGCACTCTACAACTTAGAATATACATATTGTTTCTAGAGTTTACATGAGATAAATATAGTCACTTATTCATTTTAGTTTATATTTGATATGTTTTATTTCATATTTTTTCATACAGGTGAATGCACTTAGAACAATTTTTACACTGGGGTAAAAGAGAATGCATAGTTTTTAGCATTTGTTGGGAATCCTTCAGGTGTTAGATACTGTGAGTTCTAAATTTCTCTTCAAAGAAGCAGTATGTCACTATGTTCAGTTCTTTGTCCTCCATTTTAAAGTTTAACTTCCTCATAGTTTCAGTAAACAACCTTTTCCACCAGTTTTAATCAGCAGTTCACATCTGTTCCCCGGGTCACCTGCTCTGTCCTGACTCATCCTGGTCACCTGCTTTGACCTGAGTCACCCCTGGTCACCTGCTATGATTTAAGTCACCTTTAGTTACCTGTTCTGTAACCGTCTTTCCCTCCAAACTGCTCACCCCACCACTCTGGCTTATACCCCTGCTCTCTTTAAAATAGCCAGTTGGGATTAGCCTAGACTGTGCAGTCCAACCCTAGCCAATGGGGAAATGACACAGCAGCAGGGGCTACCTGCATCAGGAATAAGAACCCCTTCCCCTCCCTTGTTCACGTGTGCTCTCACCGTTGCTCCATCCTCAAGTCGCACCCTTCTATAGAAGTAAAAATTGCCTTGCTGAGAAAATTAAATTTATCTTTGAGTGCTATTTCTTTGGTGGCACCAAAAATTTATTTATAACACAGTTAACTTGAACTAAACAGGAAAATGAAAAACATGAAACTTTTTTCTAGTTTATAAAAGAGCACAGGCTAAAATAACATTAATTTAAAAAGTAGAAAATCGAATTTTGTCTACAGTATAATTAAAACTGAGAACAGTTTGATTTATGGTGATATTAGAATTACGGGTGAAATTTTCTTTTATTTCAATTTATGTTAAGGCTGTTATAGCTATCATGTACAATAAATGAATAAAATTGAGCTATTAAAAAAACTACATTATAGTGTATATGTAAATTAAAAGATTTTCGTCAATTAGTTCCATGTTTAAAAGCATTGAAAACTAGTATAATGTCTCAACAATTTTTTTTTTGAGACGGAGTCTCACCCTTTCGCCCAGACCGGAGTGCAGTGGTGCTATCTTGGCTCACAGCAAGCTCTGCCTCCCGGGTTCATGCCATTCTCCTGCCTCAGCCTCCCGAGTAGCTGGGACTACAGGCGCCTGCCACCATGCCAGGCTAATTTTTTGTATTTTTAGTAGAGACGGGGTTTCACCATGTTACCCAGGATGGTCTTGATCTCCTGACCTCGTGATCCACCTGCCTCAGCCTCCCAAAGTGCTGGGATTATGGCGTGAGCCACCGCGCCCAGCCTGTCTCAACATTTTTGTAATTGCATCTGAGGCTATAATTTTCAGAGAATTGGTTATTAACATAGAATTAAAGCAGGTAAAAATCATATTGGTTGTTGACTATGAGAAAGATATAGTTATTATCTAAAGTGAATAATAAAAATTTTAATATAGTTGCATGCCACAGAATACATTAGTAGTAATTTCTCAATTAGAAGAAAATAAATCTACAGATAGAGTTTTCTTTGGTTGATCTCTTTTGGGAGAAACAGGAAAAATCTGTAGCATACATATACTATGTGTCTATATTCCCAAACTTTCAGTGTTTGGCTCTGCTGGAGATTCAAGTCCATTATTCTATCTCGATCTAGAAAATTTTCTATGAGGTTTGAAATTAAAGGTCAATACTGAAGCTGTAAAACTCCTAGAAGAAAACACAGAGGAAAAGCTCCTTGACACTGTCACTGGCAATGATTTCTTGGATATAAAGTAGTCCCCACTCATCTGTGGAAGATGTTCCAAGACTCCTAGTAATGTAGGATTTTTCTGCTCCTTAGCTCAGCTAAACCCAGGTTCTTTTCTCATGACCAGGAAAAATTGGGCATGCGGACATTGAAGAGTGAGTGGAGTAGAATTTATTAACCAAAAGGAAAATTCTCAGTAAAGAACAGGGTCCTGAAAGCAGGTTTCTAGTTGCCCCCCTTCACAGTTGAATACAAGAGCTTTTTTTATCCAAGCTCATGGGGCTGGGTTCCCTATTTGTATAAGGCATGAATTCCTGGTGGCTCCACCTTGTCCTTCCAGTGTGCATGGGGGGTTTTAATCTGAGCCACTCCATATTGATGTATTTCCCCTTACTGTATGTTTGTTAAGGAATGGAATTTTCCACTGTGGACATGTTTAGGCAAGCCCCTTGTGCAGCTTCCCTTATCTGCATAAAACATCTGGTATAAACACTTGTGGGGCAGGTTGGAGAGTCTCTGGGGGCCCTTCCCTTACTATCTTCCTAAAGTAAGCTAGCTAACTCCTTTCACCAGTGGATGCCTGAAACCATGGATAGTACCAAACCCAATTGCCATAAACAGGAACACATTTCTGTTTATGTATTTCACGGATAAATTTAATGCCTTTTCTATCTTAGTTAAGCACTTATCACACATTGGATGTAACTTTTGGAGTTTGAGATGTGATTCCCGCCAAGCTGCTGTTTGTTCCAACTATAGATCTTAGCAACCTCAGCATACAATTTTTTTTTTTTTTTTTTTTTTTTTTTTGCTTTCCTTATTAGGTTGAGAACTTTCACCTTTTCACTTAAGGAAATACTTTATTTTTGCTCTTTGGCATATCTGAATTGGCAACATCACTCCTCTTGTGCTTTGGTCCATTTTTAAGTAAAATAAGGGTGACTTGAACACAAGCATTCTGATACCACAGTAGATCTAATAACTGAGAAGGCTACGAAATGACTTTTGGGTGGGTCACACAGACAGTGTGAATCGGTTGGACAAAGGGATGATTTATGGCCTGGGTGGGACAACATGAGATTTCATTATGCTACTCAGAATAGTATACAATTTAAAACTTATGAATTGCGCATCTCTGGAATTTTCCATTTAATATGGTTGGACCCCGGTGGACCATGGGTAACTGAATGAAAAGAGAAACAACAGATAAAGAGGGACTACTTTAACACCAAGAGCTCTGGTAACAAAAGTAAAAATAAACAAGTGGAATTACATCAAACTAAAAAGTCTCTGCACAGCAAAGAAAACAACCAACAAAATGAAAAAGTAACCTATGGACTGGAAAAAAAATTTGCAAACTAAAAATATTTTGGATAAGGTGTTAATCACCAAAATACATACAGAACTCCTACAACTTAACCACAAAAAATCAAATAACCTGATTGAAAAATGGGCAAAAGAAATGAATAGACATTTTTCCAAAGAAGACATACAAATGACCAACAAGTATATGAAGAGGTGCTCAACGTCAACTATCATCAGGAAAATGCAAATCAAAACCACAATAAGCTATCACCTCATACCTGTTAGAATAACTATTATCAGGCCAGGTGCGGTGGCTCACACCTGTAATCCCAGCACTTTGGGAGGCTGAGCTGGGCAGATCACCTGAGGTTGGGAGTTTGAGATCAGCCTGACCAACATGGAGAAACCCCGTCTCTACTAAAAATACAAAAATTAGCCGGGTGTGGTGGCAGGTGCCTGTAATCCCAGCTACTAGGGAGGCTGAGGCAGGAGAATCACTTGAACCTCAGAGGCAGACGTTGCAGTGAGCCAAGATCATGCCATTGTGCTCCAGCCTGGGCAACAAGAGTGAAACTCGGTCTAAAAAAAAAATAGCTATTATCAAAGAGACAAAAAAAAAAATAGTTGTTGGTGAGGGTGTGAAGAACAAGGAACCCTTGGCTGGGCACGGTGGCTCACCCTGTAATCTCAGCACTTTGGGAGGCCAAGGCAGGAGGATCACTGGAACTTGAGACCAGTCTGGGCAACATAGTGAGACCTTGTTTCTGCAACAAATAATAATTTAAAAGTAGCTGGGTGTGGTGGTGTGTGCCTGTAGTTCCAGCTCTGCAGGAGGCTGAGGTGGGAGGATTGTTGAGGCTGGGAGATTGAGGATGCAGTGAGCTGTGATTGTGCCGCTGCACTCTAACCTGGATGAGAGAGCCATACCTAAGAAAGAAAGAAAGAAAGAAAGAAAGAAAGAAAGAAAGAAAGAAAGAAAGAAAGAAAGAAAGAAAGAAAGAAAGAAAGGAAGGAAGGAAGGAAGGAAGGAAGGAAGGAAGGAAGGAAGGAAGGAAGAAAGAAAGAAAGAAAGAAAGAAAAGCAAAGAAAACAAAGAAAAAGAAAAGAAAGAAGGAAAAAGAAGGAAAGAAGGAAAGAAAAGGAGGAGGAGGGAGGAAGGAAGGGAAACCCTTGTACACTGTTGGTGGATATTTAAACTGGTATGGCCATTATAGAAAACAGTGCAGAAGTTCCTCAAAAAAATTAAAAATAGTACTACCGTGTGATCCAGCAATTCGTCTTCCAAGTGTACCCGAAGGAAACAAAATTAGTACCTTAAGGAGGTATCTGTGCTCTCATATTCATTGCAACATTAATCATGATAGCCAAGATGAGGAATCAACCTAAGTGTCCATTGACAGATGAATGGAAAAAGAAATTGTGGTACATATACACAATGGCATATTATTCAGCCTTAAAAGAGGAGTAGATCCTGTCTTTTTTTTGTTTGTTTTTTGAGATGGAGTCTTGCTCTGTTGCCCAGGCTGGAGTGCAGTGGCACGATCTCAGCTCATGAGAGCCTCCACCTCCTGGGTTCAAGTGATTCTCCTGTCTCAGCCTCCCCAGTAGCTGGGACTACAGGTGTGTGCCACCACGCCTGGGTAATTTTTGTATTTTTAGTAGAGATGGGGTTTCACCATGTTGGCCAAGCTGGTCTTGAACTCCCAACCTCAGGTGATCCACCGGCCTTGGCCTCCCAAAGTGCTGGGATTACGGGAGTGAGCCATTGCGCCGGGCTAGATCCTGCCATTTTTGACAACATGGGTGAACCTAGAGGACACTATGCAAAGTGAAATAAGCCAGACACAGAAAGAAAAATACTGTATGATCTCACTTATATGTGAACTCTAAAAAAGTTGAATACATAGAAACAAAGTAGAAGGGAATGGGGAGATGTTGGTCAAAGGGTACAAGGTTGCAGTTAGGATGAATCAGTCTAGAGATCTAATAAACAGCATGATGAGTACAGTTAATAATGTTGTATCATAATCATTCTGTATAGTTAGTAACACTATATTGGGAATTTGCTAGAAGTAGGTTTCAGGTGCTCTTACCGCACACACACAGAAAGTAACAGAAGATAACTATACACACACACAGAAGGTAACTACATGAGGAGATGGATACTGTATTAGTTTGTTCTTGCTCTGCTATAAACTGGGTAATTTATAAAGAAAAGGGGTTTAATTGGCTCACAGCTCTGCAGGATGTACAGGAAGCATAGCGGTTTCTGTTTCTGGGGAGGCCTCAGGAAGCTTCCAATCATGGCAGAAGACAAATGCGGAGCAAAACATCTCACATGGTGGGAGCAGGAGCAAGAGAGAGCGAGGGCAGCACACTTTTAAATGACCAGATCTCTTGAGAACTCACTCACTATCATGACAATGGCACCGAGGGGATGGTGCTAATCCATTCATGAGAATCCACCCTCATGATCCAACCACCTCCCACCAGATATGTAATTTGCTTGACTGTAATAACCACTCACTATATATATGTATATCAAAACCTCATGTTGTATACCTTAAATATATACAATTTTTATGAAAAAAAGAAATTAAAAGTCAATACTAAGTTAAATAAACAAACCAATTAAAAACACTTTGTGTCCCCAAAGGGAATAGTAATTATTTTTTCTCAGTAGAAATTAATGATGCATAGTAAGATCATCAGAACCACAGAACCCCAACAGCGTCTTGTCTGACATGGAGTGAATATGAGAATTTTAGATGCAGACTGTGGGCTCTGCATGATGTTTCTTCCTTTGAATCATGCCATATTGCCTGGGCCAATTTAGTTCAGCCAACATTTATAGATCTGCTGCCTGGGACTAGATACTGTGCCAGGAGCTAGAGACTCCAAGACTGCCAAAATCGATCCCTTCACCTCTTGGCCACCCTGCATACAGCAATGGTATTTAGTTTGCTTAGCTATTTAAACAACTGTGAAGTATTACAGAAACACAAATGTATATTGTGTGATGTGAAATACAAATGTACACCCCATAATTGTAAAGCAAATACAAGTATAACCATTCAACTAGGAAAAGAAAAAACAAACAGTAGTGTAATCGTCCTCCAAAGCAAGAAATAAGACAATGGTAACACCCCTGAAGTATCTACCAGCTTTGTAACTCTTCCCCATGACATCCCCTCTCATCTCTCCCAGAGCTAACTTCTCTCCTGATTTTAAAGTAATCACTACTTTTTCACTCTAGCTATCTAAAAAAGTATAGATACATACTTTTTTTTTTTTTTTTGAGTCTCACTGTCTCCCAGGCTGGAGCACAACGGTGCAATCACTGTTCACTGCAATCTCCACTTCCCAGGTTCAAGGGATTCTCATGCTTCCGCCTCCCAAGTAGCTAGAATAACAGGCACGCACCACCACACCTGGCTAATTTTTGTATTTTTAGTAGAGACAGGGTTTCACCGTGTTGACCAGGCTAGTCTTGAACTCCTAACCTCAGGTGATCCACCCGCCTCAGCCCCCCAAGTTGCTGGGATTACAAGAGTGAGCCACCGCACCCAGGCTATGGATACATACTCTCTATGTATGCATCCCTTAAATAATATAGCTTAGTTTTGCTTGCTTTTGAATTTTATGTAGATGCAGCCATACTGTCCATGTTCTTTTGTGTCCTATTTCTGTTGTGCAACAGCCTAAGATTTATCCTTATTGCTCCATGTAGCTGAAAGCTTATCCATCTTGATTGCTGCACACTACCATTTATTTATCCGTTCTACTGACTGGGCCACAGAGCTGCTCCAGAGGCCAAGAACCTCCAGGACTGTCCCCACAGTTGATGTCCTTCTTGTTGATGTGCTTCAACCCACTAGCTTGCAGGTCCTTTTCTTCCAGTCAACCCAGCCAGCATGCTACATACTTCCATAGTCCTTGATGTTGTGTCAACCAAAAAGGAAAACATTCAGGAATCTTGGAAGCCTTTTATTCCAAAAATGATTCACTAAAAGAAATGTGGTCTTTCTAACAACAGCTTTCTGTCCTCATTTTATTCAAGGTGTATAATTTAAATTCTATTGGTGATGAGAATGGCAAGTTATCTGAAGATAATCAACACTATCTACCTTAATTTTTCCCTTTTCTTATTTCTAGTTCTTTCACTTGTAGCTATATACATTTTCTGATTTCAATAGAGGCTTTTCTCTCTTCAAAAAAAAAAACCCACATCATTTTCTTTAAAGTTAATATGAAATTCAAATCCATTCATATGGTAATTCCATCATTCAAATTTATGGCTGTATTGAGAATCTTACATTATTTGATCTAAGGATAATAAAAATGAATAGAGCTATGGTCAGATCAAAGTGAGTTTTCAACACATGCAACACCAAAACTAAATGAGGTTATTTAATACTGTCTAATATAATATTCAACAGTCATGGAATACTTCCCTCAATTTCTTCAAAGTTATTCTTCTCTATAAAGGACAAATATGAATAAAAAAACCACCACAGATGCTGCTGCCTATCAATTTTAACGCCTCGAAATTCTTACCACATGTGAACTACATTTCAGAGACATTCATTTGTTCGCGTATTCTATAATCATTTGTAGACTGCCTGTTAGGAACCATGTTAAGCACTAAGAATACAAAAGTAAATCAAAATAAGACAAAAAATGATTTGTCCCTTATTGATTATTTGGATGGCAAGGAGTTGGAGAAAGAGACTTAGGAAAGAAGCAGGACATCAACTAAAATTATTAAATAGTGAGATACATGCTGTAATAGAGCTAAACCTAGGATGCAAGAGAGAGATGGGAGGGGGAAGGAATACAGCAATGCTGGGTGGGATTTGGGAAAATTTCCTTGAGCAGCTGAATCTGCAAAATAGTAAGAACCAGGCAAAAGGAGATGGCAAAGACATTTCAAACAGAGGTGGGCAGAAAAAGCAAAGATCTAGAAATGAGAAAGAGCACCTTATGGTCCCTGAACTGCAAGTGGCTTAATACAACTAGCTTGGAATGAGAGGTGGAGAGTGGTAAGAGGTGAGGCTGGAGAAGTGAGTTGGTACCACATCATAAAAGACCTGTAGGCAATTGTAATGGGTTGAATATTGTCCCTCCAAAATTCACATCCCCCTGGAATCTCAGAATGCGACCTTATTTGGAAATAGTCTTTGCAGATGTAATTAATTGAGAATCTCAAGATAAAAAGTCATCTTAAGGTGGGTCCTAAATCCAGTGATCCCTGATTTTATAAGAAAAGACTCTGGCCTGGTGCGATGTTCATGCCTGTAATCCCAGCACTTCAGGAGGCTGAGGCGGGTGGATCACTTGAGGTCAGGAGTTTGAGACCAGCCTGGCCAACATGGTGAAACCCTGTCTCTACTAAAAATACAAAAATTAGCCAGGCATGGTGGCAAGCACCTGTAATCCCAGCTACTCTGGAGGCTGAGGCAGAAGAATCACTTGAACCTGGGAGTCGCAAGTTGCAGTGAGTCAAGATCGCACCACTGCACTCCAGCCTGGGAGACAGAGTGAGACTATGTCTCAGAAAAAAAGAAAAAAGAAAAAAAGCCTCAAAGAGACACAGAGAAGGCCATGTTAAGACTAAATCAGAGACTACAGCAATGCAGCTACAAGCTAAAGAATGCCAAGGATTTCAGGGAGCCATGAGAAACTAGGAAGCAGTAAGGAAGGAGTCTTCCCCGGAGCCTTTGGAGGGAGGATGGCTCCGCCGAACACCTTGATTTCAGACCTCTAGCCTCCAGAACTGTGAAAGAATAAATTTCTACTATGTTGTCTCTGTGGTAATTTGTTATGGCAGCCCTTAGAAACTAGTACAATCATATTAAGGAGTTTGAGCAGATTTGTAGATACTCATGTATCCTATGACATGTCTTACTCTTTTAAGGAAAAAAGTGACATCAAATGAGTACTTTCTTTTTTTGAGAGAGAGAGAGTCTTGCTGTGTCGCCCAGGCTGGAGTACGGTGGCATGATCTCAGCTCACTGCAACCTCCACCTCCCAGATTCAAGCCATGCTCATGCCTCAACCTCCCAAGTAGCTGGGATTACCGGCATGTGCCACCAGGCACGGCTAATTTTTGTATTTTTAGTAGAGATGGGGTTTCTCCATGTTGGCCAAGCTGGTCTCCAACTCCTGACCTCAAGTGATTCACACGCCTCGGCCTCCCAAAGTGCTGAGATTACAGGCATGAGACACCATGTCCGGCCGCAATGGGTAGTTTAGAAAGGTCATTTTGAGGCAGGGCATGGTGGCCCACACCTTAACCCCAGTACTTTGGGAGGCAGAAGCAGGAGGATCGCTTGAGGCTGGGAGTTTGAGACCAGACTGGGCAACATAGTGAGACTCCATCTTTACAGGAAGTTTTAAAAAAATTAGCCAGTTGTGGTCACATGCACCTGTGGTCCCAGCTACTTGTAAGGCTGTGGCAGGAGAATTGCTTGAGCCCAGGAGTTTGTGGCTGCAGTGAGCTATAATGGCACCACTGCACTCCAGCCTAGGTGACGGAGCAAGACCCTGTTTCTAAAAAATAAAAATAAAACATAAAGTCACCATTTTGCAAACTCTGGTGAAACATGGGCTATAAGGAATGCTCACGAATGGCTGCTAAAGCCATTAGGTGAAAGGCTGGAAGGGAAATTTGTTTATTTATTTATTTAGAGATGGAGTCTCACTCTGTCACCCAGGCTGGAGTGCAGTGGCACAATCTCATCTCACTGCAAACTCTGCCTCCCGGGTTCAAATGATTCTCCTGCCTCAGCCTCCTGAGTAGCTGGGACTACAGACACGCACCACCATGATTTTTTTGTATTTTTAATAGAGACGGAGTTTCACTCTGTTGGCCAGGTTGGTTTCGATCTCCTGACCTCTGATGATCCACCCACCTCGTCCTTCTAACATGCTGGGATTACAGGTGTGAGCCACCGTGTCCAGCCGGGAGGGGAATTTTATAATGAGTTGATCAGGTATAACAATACCTGAATTCATCCATCAATCTCAATATCACTATAAGTGGAACAACCAGAAATTAAGAACATCATGATGTGACACAATATGAAATATATCACACCACCTATGAAAAATACTCAACAACAACAAAATTAAACAAATATCAGAAATATCAGAAACAGGCTGGAGATACTTGCCAGCACAATTATTATTCAGCATTGTTTTGGAGGTTTTAGCTGAGGGAGTAAGGCATAAAATAAATAATATTAAAATAAAAATGTTCAAAAAGAAGACACAGAATTTGAAGATAATATGATTATGCATCCAGAAAATATAACTCAATTTAAAAACTATTAAAACTAACTAGAGGCTGCTGAGTAATGTAGTTAAATACAAATGAGGTATATAAAAATCTATTATTACCTTTACACTAGGAATAATCATTTGAAAATTAAAGATGAAGAAAAACATTCACAATAGAGACAAAAATAAAATACAAGGGAACAAATTAAATAGGGACAATTTTAAAAGACTAAAACTTTATTTAAAGGCATAAAAATGGAGTGTCAGATACAGCTTAATAATGGCTGTGAGGGTCGATATTATAAAAATGCCAATCCTTCTTTAATTAACATATAAATTTAATGGACTTCTAATTAGAATCTTGTTTTTTTAATGAAGCTAAGCAAAATTATATTAATTAAAAATATTTGGTCAGGTGTAGGGGCTCATGTAACTTCAGCACTTTAGGAGGCCAAGGTGGAAGGATTGCTTGAGCCCAGCAGTTCAAGACCAGCCTGAGCAATATGGTGAAATGCTATCTCTATTCAAAAAAAAAAGTTAGGCCGGGCGCAGTGGCTCACGCCTGTAATCCCAGCACTTTGGGAGGCCAGGGCGGGCAGATCACCTGAGGTCAGGAGTTCGAGACTAGCCTGAACAACATGGTGAAACCCCGTCTCTACTAAAAATACAAAAAATTAGCCGGGCGTGGTGGCTGGTGCCTGTAGTCTCAGCTACTCAGGAGACTGAGGCAGGAGAATGGCATGCACCTGGGAGGTGGAGCTTGCAGCGAGCCGAGATCGCGCCACTGCACTCCAGCCTGGGCGACAGAGTGAGACTCCGTCTCAAAATAAATAAATAAATAAATAAATAAATAAATAAATAAATAAATAAAGCCAGTCATGGTGGCACACACTTGTAGTCTCAGCTACTTGGGGACACTGAGGCAGAAGGATTGTTTGAGCCCAGGAGGTCAAGGCTGCAGTGAGTCATGTTTCTGCCGCTGCACTCCAGCCTGGGTGACAGACAGAGACCCTGCCTCAAAAAAATTATTTAAAATTTTGTATAGAGTGATATATGCCAGAATAATTAGGAAATATTTGAATAAAAGACTATGGAGGAGAATTTGTCCTATCAGAGAGTAAAACTTATTGTAAAGTATCTGTAATCAAAACAGTAAAGAAATAGAGAAATATGTATAAAGAGTGTAGAAATTATCTAAATGTACATAGGGTATTACTAGGTTGATGCAAAAGGAACTGTGGTTTTTGCCAGTTGTTTCTGTACCAACCTAATGTTAGATTACATTTAAGTGGGAAAAGGACCTTTTATATAATAAATGGTACTGGCATAATCTGCTAACAATTTAGAAGAAAGTTAGATAAACCAGATGGAAAGAAACATAAACTTTAGTAAACCAGTACCTAAGAGTAAGATTGAAATATACTCAAAAATATCTTTCATTTCACCACCTTCCATAAAAGCACTAGGCCCAGACAATTCTTGTGATTTCTATAATACTGTCACATTTATTAAGAAATAAATTATTCTCTTATCAAGCTGACTCAGAAAAGTAATTTTTTAAAGTATGATATTAGGTGGGTGGGAAGCTATTTGACTTATTTTGTGAGATAAATATAACATTAATGCCTAAACTGAGTAAGCCCAGTGTATCAGTTAGTTGCCTTTTGTTGCTATAGCAGATTACCACATACTTAGTGGCTTAAATACACAAATCTATTATCTTATAGTTCTGGAGGTCAGAAATCTGAAATGAGTTTCACTGGGTTCAAATCAAGGCATTGGCAGGGCTGTGTTCTTTCTGAAGGCTCTAGGGGACAATCCATTTTCTTGCCTTTTCCAGCTTCTAGAAGCTTCCTGCATTCCTTGGCTCCTAGCCTCCTTTCCTCTTCAAAGCCAGCAATGGCTGGCAGAATTTTTCTCACATGGGCTATTCTGACCCTGACTCTTCCATCTCCTTCTTCCACATTGAAGCGCTTGTGCTTACACTGGGCCCATCCAGATAATCCAAAAATATCTTTCTATTTTAAAGTCAGCTAATTAGTAAACATAATTTCGTCTGCAAATGTAATTCCCCCTTCCATGTAACATAACATATTCACAGGTTCCAGGGATTACATCGTGGACATCTTTAGGGAATGATTATTCTGCCTAACAGAAACAGTATAAGAAAAAATAACCATAGGTAGGTGAGTAACTACCCTGGCTTGACTGAGGGTTTTCTGGGATGTGGGGCCTTCTTTTTGTTTGTTTGTTTGAGATGGAGTTTCACGCTTGTTTCCCAGGGTGGAGTGCAATGGCGTGATCTCGGCTCACCGCAACTTCCACCTCCCAGGTTCAAGCGATTCTCCTGCCTCAGCCTCCCAAGTAGCTGGGATTACGGGCCTGCACCACCATGCCAGGCTAATCTTTTGTATTTTTAGTAGAGACAGGGTTTCGCCATGTTGGTCAGGCTGGTCTCAAACTCTTGACCTCAAGTGATCCACCTGCCTCAGCCTCCCAAAGTGCTGGGATTACAGATGTGAGCCATCAGGCCCGGCCCAGACCTCTGTTTTAAAACTAGGATGGATGGTTCTGGGCCAACAAGGACAGTTGGTCAGCCTAAGAAGGTTAATATAATTATAAGCACACATGTGAAAATCTTAACATTTAAGCCCAGGAATGAAAGATTGTTGCACATCAGATAGTTTTTTCATATAATTTACCCATTTATAGACTAAAGCAGCAGTCTCCAACCTTTTTGGCACCAGGGACTGATTTTATGGAAGACAATTTTTCCACAGACCGGGTAGTGGGGGATGGTTTTGGGATGATGTTTCTCTATTTTTGTGTAGGTTAATGTTTTTTCACGATAAATACTGAAAAAGGAATTAGGTATAATCACCACATATTTTACAACTGCAGCTTATGAAAGGAAGAAAACAGATGTATTTTTCCCAATTCCAAGAGAATCTGACAATTGCTTTACACTTGTTGAGTTTGGATTACAATAAAGATTGGTTATAATGTAGATGAGGAAATTCAGATTGAACTTTTTGTAACAATGAAGAAATAAAATTTCTCAAAACAAACAGTAAAACAGGCACCTTTGTCTCAAAATTAAAGGTTGTATAACAATAAACCATAGTAGTTAAAAATCAAGATGCAGCTGGGAAACTTCTTAAATGCACACTACGGCCGGGCGCGGTGGCTCACGCCTGTAATCCCAGCACTTTGGGAGGACGAGGCAGGAGGATCACAAGGTCAGGAGTTACAGACCAGCCTGGTCAATATGGTGAAACCCCATCTCTACTAAAAATACAAAAATTAGCTGGGTGTGGTGGTGCGCACCTGTAGTCCCAGCTACTAGGGAGGCTGAGGCAGAAGAATTGCTTGAACCTGAGAGGCAGAGGTTGCAGTGAGCCAAGATCATGCCACTGCACTCCAGCCTGGGCAACAGAGTGAGACTCTGTCTCAAAAAAAAAAAAAAAAAAAAAAAAAAAAGCACACTAGTCAGAATCAATTTCATGATGACAAGAAACATAAATCTGTGGAGAAAAGAACTTCACCCCAACCTAGCTAACGTTTACATTTTTAATGTGTTCAAGATATCTGATTGGTCCTTATCTCTATAATGAGCTGCAATGGCCAGTTTAGTATTCTGTAACCTTAAAATGCCTGTGTCAACATCTCACCTGGCCAAGGTTCTTGTTACTGAAACATATGGCACTTCTGGTACAAGTACAGTTTTATTCAAGGCTGACTTAAAGAGATTTGGGGCTTAAATGTTTTAAAAATGTCCACTGCTCTAGGTCTGTAATTTTGAGAGTCCATGAGTGGGGTAGGCTTGGGAAAGACTAATGCTATGTAAGGGAGATTGTTCTCCCCTGAAGACTTGAGATAGTCCCTGCAGGATCATCAAAGGAGTTGGCCACAGTTGATGATGTTCCAACATGTTGTTAGATGATGTAAATGTCAACAATATGTGTGCTAGCCAGAAGTCATGACACTGGGTCCCAGTCAGACTCCAGAGCCATCTCTACCTGGGGGTGGAAGGAAGACTAACCCCCTTTTGGCTGTGAAAACCTCTAAGGCTTTTAGACAATTCAGAGGAAATGTGGAGACTTCAAGAAGTAGATACTGAAGTTTTCTAGCTAAAAAGGCCTGTGGACTGAGGGTTTTGTGGTTCCAGACATCCTAAGTGTGTGGAGCACTTCCTTCTGAATGCACCTGCGAAGTAGAGTCAGTGTCCTCTTCTGGGCTTAAGGAGGGGTCTGTAGAGTAGGGGAGTTAAGGGTGGAAGTTTGGAACAACTGCCATGAGGAATTGAAGAAAAATCCAACAAAGCATTCATTGAAGGACTTTGGGTTATGAGGAAGAATAAGTTGAGGCTGGAGAACCTTATTACCCTAAAGCAGCTTGAGAGCGGGCCCTGAAGTTGGATGGGTAAAGGCTAGGGTACGATGGGAGGCAAAGGAGGGGCAAAGATGGGAGGTCCCTGATGAGACCATGATTAAACTGATGCATCCAGGGATCTGGTATGAATGAAGAAAGTAGGGAAGACAAAAAGGGTATGAAAGTTAGAGAGAAACACAGGGCAGTTCCTGGGTAGGGGGTGGAGGGGTGGGGCCTTGGGTAGATCAAAGGCCAAGTGGAGGAGTGAGATGTAGAAGAGCTAGAAGCTTGTGATCAGAGAGCAATTTACTGGAATTCAATATATCAGAGGTGGAGCACATAGCTGTGCAAAGGTCCCCAGGTGTGCCCATGGGAGGAGGCATCGATATGGAATAAAGGTCATTGTATATGAAGCCATCATGAAGTTAGGGTGTTGATGACTTATCTGACTTATCCTTGTGGGTGTTTAAACACTCAGACTCATGACAAATACCAAAGAGACTCTCTGGCACAAATTTAGAAGAATACCAGCAGATTAATAGATGACAGGCTGCTTTTATTTGTGAGTATCTGTCCCAGCCTCCAGTCTGTAGCCGTTGTATTCTGGAAACCTGGAGAAGAATCCAAGGACCCTGATCCCGCATTTTCTGAATATTCTCTAAAACACACACACACACACACACACACACACACACACACCTCTGAGGCCTCTTTCCTTCTAAACTAGGAAAAAGCAATTGAAAGGTCCTAAACATAAATCTCTCATTAACTCAAAGGAGAAGAAACTTAAAATGACAACAGTTTATAAGACAATTGGTTTATTGCAGTATTATGAGTCAAGAAGTCAGTACATTTATTGCAGGTTTATTTTATGCTTAGCATAGCATTTAAAGGTATGGCTTTTGGAGTTTAGCTGTCCTAAGACCAGATCTAACATTTAATATCTGCATGGAGAGGGCAAGTTACTTTATCTTCCTAAGCTTCAGATTGTTGTCTTAAGGTTATTATATTATGACCTACTTCACTGAGTTGCCTTGAGGATTAAATGAGATGCTGCATGTAAAATATAAAGTGCTTAGAATAGTAAGTACTCAGTCCTACTAAGTATTGTTATCACTCTCATTCCTCATTCTTGAGGCATGTTTCTCACAGGCCTCTCTTTACTCATTCTAGAATGAAGGTAAATTCATGCACGTTTAGTATTTTCTAGGGAACATGGTGGATCCAGCTGATGCCAACTCAGGGTTGTGTGCATCTCTTCCCAACTTGTGGTTCAGCGATGTTGATAGCTGAGGTCCACCATGGTGGTAGTATTTACACATGGAAATTGGCAAATACTACAACCAAAATAGCCCTCCTTCCCTGTTTTTTGTGGAAATCAGTTTACCAGCACACCATTGCATCTTGGGTTTCTGTTTGGGTGATTCCTTCTCAGATCTGTAACTAGATAGCAGGCTCATGTGCAGCTCCTAGCCTGATTCCCAGCCTCTTGCAGGTTTTCACTGGGTGAAACTTTCCAGGCCTTAGATGATAGCCTCTCCTGCTCCCACTGCCTCTGTCACCTTCTGATTGCTGGGATGTGTGAAACATACAATTGGCAGATTCCACGACTTTCACAGCTCTTTCTGTCTTTTGGTCTCTATAGTGTTAAGTTAGGGATCTATAACACCTCCAATATTACCCCAGTTCCTGCCTTGTTTTTGTCATAGTATTTAAATGTTTTTAGAAAGAGAATGGAAGATTGGGAGAGAACACGCCAGCTCCCTCAAAACATGCCTCCCATAAGGGGAGGTTTGGCTGTCCAGGGTCTTCATTGCTGCGGTCTTATTTTTCTTTTTCTTCTTTTTTTTTGAGATGGAGTCTCACTCTGTCACCCAGGTTGGAGTACAGTGGTGCAATCTTGGCTCACTGCAACCTCCGCCTCCTGGCTTCAAGCGATTCTCCTGCCTCAGCCTCCCAAGTAGCTGGGACTACAGGCGCACACCACCATGCCAGGCTAATTCTTGTATTTTTAGTAGAGTCGGGGTTTCACCATGTTGGCCAGGCTGGTCTCAAACTCCCGACCTCAGGTGATCCACCCGCCTCGGCCTCCCAAAATGATGGGATTACAGGTGTGAGCCACTGCACCCAGCCTATAATCTTATATTTAAATCAGAGCAAGGTGAAGATCTTTCCACCTGCTTTCTTGCGTAACGTTTATCCTTTTTCTCCAGTGGCATAGGAAGATAGAGCAATGGATTAAAATTTTCTAAATGGTTTCATCTGTCTCATTCTTAGTGGAGTATGCTCCCTGCTTCTGCCCGTAGGTTGTCAGTTTTCACTTTAATTTTGATTTTTATCTTTTTTTCTTCTTAAGTATTTCAATTGGAAATTTAAAAAGAATATGTCAGGATTTGTTAGCTGAATGCCATTTTATATTGGAAATCTTCCTATGATAAACACAACTTTACTTACAAACTTTATTTTTCTTCTAGCCCTTTTCATGCAAAAATGTTGTGATTAAATAGAGCTATTTCACATTATATTTCCTTAGAGCAAGAGCATGTAACGAGGACAGACCCAATTCAGTCTAGAATTTCTTTTTTTTCTTTTTCCTTGTCAGCAGGAAGTCATCTATCTAGAGTCTGTAAGAATGTGTTGGAATTTACAGTGGTGCCCTGAATAAAAAGATTCCTTTAATATGCACAAATGAATTAGCAGAATTATAAATTCTGCTTAGAAGGAGAGCTGATGGTGCTGTAAGGATAAAAAGCATCTACTGAAGCATGTTTTTTTTTTACTACACTGAACCTGGAAACATTGGAATTTCTAGACAATCATGGAACAGTTGTGTAGTCCACACACACAAGCAGCTGTGCTCATGCTCAGCATGCGGAGCTGGTCCCCCACCATGAGGAGGAGCTCAGGGACACCGAGTGTGACCACAAGATGAAGGAGACTCTATGGAGAGCCACACTGGGGGAGGACATATCCTCCTTCTTATCCACCAAACATCCTTTTAGCAAGACCAGGAAAAGTCAGGAGACCACTCAAAAAAGAAGGAGACTCTGAGAAACGATCTCAAACAATGTCAGCAAGACAGGATCATTGTGACATTTTCAAAAAAGACTTGTGATCCCAACGCTTGGCTTAAGCCTCAGCCCTGGTCACTGCTCTGTTCTCATCCTCCATGAGTCTGTGGCTCTCATCTGTAAAGTGGGCACAGTGGTGAATTTGCCGGACTGTAATGATGCCTGAGCTTATGTATGCTGAGATATTTGTAAAGCATCCCCAAATAGTCATATTCAAGTTATCATAACTATTAATAATAAATAATTGTTATTACTTTTATTTAAAAAAAAGGAGAGGTGAGAGCCAAAAAATAAAGACTCAAATTTATTAAAATATGTTTCCAAAAACTACCTTTTAACTTGAATAGCTAATGTGTATATTCAAATTGAAACTTTAAAATTCTCTTTTTATTATTATTATTTTTAGAGACAGGATCTCGTTTTGTTGCCCGGGCTGGAGTATAGTGGCACGAACATAGCTCAATGCAGGCTCAAACTCCTGGGCTCAAGTGAATCCCCTCATTTCAGCCTCCTGAGTAACTGGGACTACAGGCATGCACTACTATGCCTGGCTAATTTTTGTAATTTTTTTTGTAGAGATAGAGTCTTGCTATGTTGCCCAAGCTGGCCTTAAACTCCTAGGCTCAAGCGATACTCCCCTGCCCTCCCTGCGGGCAACCAATACCCACTAAGCTAAACCCCCCATCCTCTGGGGCTGTCAAAGTGCTGAGATTATAAGTGTGAGTCATCCTGCCCCGCAGAAAATTACCTTTTTAAAAAACTAACAGATTTAGGTCAAGCGGGAAATCAAGCCTCAAATATACATATGTATTAGATACCATCCACCAAAATAATTTCTGGCAGAGAAAAAAATAGCATGCCTAACAGTAGCATGGCAAAAACCATGCCAGAAAAACCTATATATTTGGGAACATCTTTAGGAATGCATGTTGTACAACTAATAGTGGAAATTTTCTGAGTAAGATCTGGTGATTCGAAAGGGAAAGGA
This sequence comes from Homo sapiens, assembly GCF_000001405.40. Taxonomy (NCBI): domain Eukaryota; kingdom Metazoa; phylum Chordata; class Mammalia; order Primates; family Hominidae; genus Homo; species Homo sapiens. Next base: position 57,051,154 of record NC_000005.10, on the reverse strand, counting down.
ACAGTTAACTGGGAGGGTATCCGCGGGTTTCTAAAAGGCTGGTCTGGTGCTGCAGAACTCTGTGGACCGCCTTGTCCTGGGAAACAACACGGGTGAGGCTCTCTTCCTGTGTTTCTCACCTATGGGCAGTCTAAGGGGCTGAGTCATGCCAGTTTGATTTACTTTACATGCATGCTGTTTATGTTTACGTGCATAGGCTATGATTAGCAGTAAAGAGGAGTAGCCTCTCTCCTGTGAGTGAGTCAACAAGTTCTTTTATTTCTATAAGAGTAACACCCCAGGCCGGGCGCGGTGGCTCATGCCTGTAATCCCAGCACTTTGGGAGGGCGAGGCGGGCAGATCACGAGGTCAGGAGTTTGAGACCAGCCTGACCAATACGGTGAAACTCCATCTCTACTAAAAACACAAAAATTAACCAGGCGTGGTGGCATGCGCATGTAGTCCCAGCTACTGGGGAGGCTGAGGCAGAAGAATCGCTTGAACCTGGGTGGTGGAGGTTGCAGTGAGCCAAGATTACACCACTGTACTCCAGCATGGGTGGCAGAGTGAGACTCCATCTCAAAAAAAAAAAAAAAAAAAAAAGAGTAACACCCTCCCTTCAACGTTGGGGGAGCCAAGCAAGCGTGGCAAATCCTGTGAGTGTTAGACATTGGTAAACAAATTAGAATCCTTTTATTTGGCAGTAGGCACCAGCTTGGGTTCACCACGGACAAAGCATGTCAAACTGACCTTATTTTCCAAATTTAAGAAAGACTGATAGAAGAGAGGAATGTTATAGAAAGTTATTTCTTGGTTTAGTGAGACACCCAACAAAGACAATTAGGATATCTTTGTGGATGAGTCCAGGAAATGTCATATGGGAAATAAAACAACTATCTGTACTTGATTTCTAGCTAATTTAACAACAGTGGCCAAACATCTCTGTTTACACAACCCATATTTGCTTAGAGGATTTTTTAAAATAGCTTTATGCAGGATTCATGAATTGTTCATATCTTTATTAGTTACCTTGATGAAGATCTAAAAAAATGGTTAGCAAATAGGAATATGACTCAAAGTTGAAAGAACAGATTACAGGTTGGGTGATGGAATCAAGATCTCCGCAGACTACATGATAGACTCTCAAAAGATAAAATGTGGCATGGGTTTATAAGTTTATATTTAAATTGTAAAGATTAGCCTCATAAATACAAGTTGAGGGAGACCTAGAGAAGAAAAAAAAGTCTTTAAAAAATAGTAAAGGGTTTTGTTGATTTTAAACTTATGTTACCTAATAGTTTGCCACTAAAGAAGAAGTCAAATTATTAGTTTTTTGTTTGTTTGAGACAGAGTCTTGCTCTGTTGCCCAGGCTGGAGTGCAGTGGTATGATCTCAGCTCATTGCAACCTCTGCCTCCTGGGTTCAAGAGATTCTTGTGCCTCAGGTTCCAGAATAGCTGGCACTACAGGTGCCTGCCACCACAGCCTGGCTAATTTTTGTATTTTTTGTAGAGACAGGGTTTTGCCACATTGCCCAGGCTTGTCTTGAACTCCTAGCCTCAAGCAATCCACCTGCCTCAGCCTCCCAAAGTGCTGGGATTACAGGTGTGAGCCACCTCCCCTGGCAAATGCTTGTATTAATAAAAGCACAGCAAAAGATTATTGAAGCCCATTGTTTTCTGTAATGATTAGACCACAGTCACTCATGATTATTTATTACCATGGCTCAGGTCATTATTCTAGAAGTTATCGGAATCTGAAGATGGATCAACCTGAGTTACTTAAGGAAGCTTCCAGTTTATTTAGAGGATAAATAAGACTGTATTTTAATAGCTAAAGTAGAAGTTAGGAATCAATACTGGAAAGAAGTACAGATAAAGCCGTATATAAATTCAGAGAAGCTAGAGATTGTTTCTGGGAGTAGTGATCAGGAGATGCGCATTGAGCAGAAGGAACAACTAGAGTCTAGAACACAGTCAAATCTCTTGTGCTGTGCATGAGCCTTGTAGGGGGCTTCGTGTTCGTGGCCAGCAGATATTTGGTGTACAGCTGCAAAGGACCAATTTAAAGTGCCAGAGGCAAAATCGATATAATTGGAAATCCGAGTGCAGAAATGGCACAGAAAGTAATTAAGTCCAACTGAGTTTGTCAAGGGCAATAGTATGAAATAAGTTTGGAAAGGTAGTTTGGAGCTAGAAAAATTTGCTTCATTAATATGAATAAGAAGGGACCTCAGGTCTTCAAAGAGGTCTTTTGCCCTGAGACAAAGGTTGAATTTCCTAGCGTTTCCTTTGTTCTCTGGCTGCAGTCTTACTCTGGGTTATTATTCTGCAGCTCACCCCACTGGGGATTTGCTGTTTCTTGCTATGCAGACATATATATGACTCTGATTTCCTTCATATCTGTTTTTGCATCCTGCCTATGCCCCCTCCAAAACCCAATCTCAGGCCACTCATGTCTTGTACTGTACTTGTAACACTTATTTCTCATGTAGAAGTCCTCACATGCCAAACGAATGTGTTTGCATTTTACAGAATATACAGCCAAGTGGAGTAATCACAGAAATAATTTGAACAACGAATCAACCCTGTAGGGTAGACAGAGTGGAAAGGAGAAGGCTGAGGTAGAGAAAACTGTAAGGAAGTTTAGGGGCCAGGCACGGTGGCTCCCACCTGTAATCCCAGTTACAACAAGAGTGAAACTGTCTCCAAAAAGAAAAAAAAGGAAGGTCAGATTTAGGGTTGTACTTATAGAAGTCTAAAGGAGGGAGCAGGTTTTTAAAATGTGTTTATTTGTTGTTGTTGTTGTTGTTGTTCTTGAGATGAAGTCTTGCTCTGTTGCCCAGGGTGGACTGCAGTGGCACAATCTTGGCTCACTGCAACCTCCGCCTCCCAGGTTCAAGTGATTCTCGCACATCAGCCTCCCACTAGCTGGGATTCCGGGTGTGCACCACCACGCCCAGTTAATTTTTGCATTTTTTTAGTAGAGATGGGGTTTCATCATGTTGGCCAGGCTGGTCTCAAACTCCTGGCCCCAAGTGATCCTCCTGCCTCAGCCTTCCAAAGTGCTGGGATTACAGGTGTGAGCCACCATGCTGGGCCAAGGGAACAGTTTTTAAAAATAAAAATATACATTGTCACTGCCAACGCAGGACCTTACTTACTGGGGAATTCTGTACACATTGTTGCTCAGGCAAGAATGATCACCAGCTCCACAACAAATTAACTGCCTAGGAGATTGTAGCCTATACAATCACACAGTGGAAGACAACTAGAAGGTTAAAAGATGGAAAGTAAGAGGCAAAACTGTCTTTATTTCTAAGTGATATGATAGTTTACCTGAGAAAATAAATAAAACTGTAAAATTGAAAAAAGATAAAAACAACTCAATCTAACTATGTATCAGATTGGTAATTCAACTATAAAGAGAAAAGAATTATTTCAGCTCTCTTTAGAACATAGAACTCTGACCATACATCCTTAGCGAAATGTAAGTGTAAAAAAGGACAAAGAAATCTTCCACTTTAGTAGTAACTTCATTATTGATATTGATATTATAATTTTGAAACTTTTTTCTTTTTTATTTTATTATTATTACATTATATTTCTGAAACTGTTTTATGCATATTATAGCATAAAACAAAAACTATGATAACATTATCAGGAATCAGTATTTTCAGCGTGAGAGAAGAGATAGAAAGTCAGAAAGAAGATAAGAAAAGCTTGTGTCATTCTAAAGCTGGGAAGGGAATTTAGCTGATTTTGGTAAGGTACTGCAGGGGAGAAAGAGTGAAATCCTTTCTTCTCCATCACTAGTTTCACGGATGAGGCATCTATAACAGAAGACAGATCAACAAGAGAAAAGCATGGGAGCCTTCAGAAGTGAAATGGGGAAACCTGTGTATTTTTATGCTTAAGTTTGATGAAGAGAGGACAGTCACGCAAAAGTACGATTGGACAAAGGGGGGTTATTACCATCCAATGGTAATAAGCTAGGGGGAGCTCTGCAAGGTCTGTTTGTTCAGATTAATCTCTGTGTCCCTGTGTCTTCAGAGAGAAGGGCATTCCTTTACTCCAGGTATAGAGCAGGCACGTCTGGAGCGAGAGTCATAGGCCCTACTTTACAGGACCCAGAACTGCTGAGGTTTACGACCTACTTCAGGGGAGAAGAGGTGAGGGGAAGGTAAGAAAGTCCTTCCTGCTTCTGTTGTTTTCTCAAATGCCAGGGTCTTCCACATTTTGGGGTTGTGTGTCCTGAACACCATCAGTGCACATACAAAACACAACCATAATAATAACTAATATCATTTAATGGCAAAATATTGAATTTTTCCCGCTTAAATTGGAACAAAACAAGACTATCTATGGTTATCACTTCTTTTCAACGTTGTACTGGAGTTCCTAGCCTATGCAAACAAAAAGAAAAGAAAAAAAGGACAAAGAAAAACAAAATAGAAAAACGTACAACTGGAAAGGAAGAAGTAAAATTGTCTTTATTGGCAGAAGATATGCTTATATACTTATAAAATCCAACCACAGCAACACATACATTTCTAGAAAAAACAAGTTGAATTTAGCAAAGATGGCTGGATACAAGATTAGTTGGAAAACTAATTAATACTCAGGAATGAAGTTAATCAAAGATATGCAAACTTCTATAATGAAAACTACAAAACATTGCCAAGAAAAATTAAAGATGGCCTAACTAAATAGAGAGATACACCATTTCGAGGATTGGGAGACTCAATTCAAAATGTCATTCTCCCTAAATTGATCCATCGATTTCATACAATTCTATTAAAACAATAATCTCAGCAGGTTTTTTCGTTTTGTTTTGTTTTGGAGATGGAGTGTCACTCTTGTCACCCAGGCTGGTGTGCAATGACGCAATCTCGGCTCACTGCAACCCCTGCCTCCCAAGTTCAAATGATTCTCCTGTCTCAGCCTCCCAAGTAGCTGAGACTACAAGCGTACACCACTATGCTGGGCTAATTTTGTATTTTTAGTAGAGACAGGATTTCACCATGTTGGCCAGGCTGGTCTCAAACTCCTGAATTCAGGTGATCTGCTTGCCTCGGCCTCCCAAAATGCTGGGATTACAGGCGTAAGCCACCGTGCCCGGCCTCGGCAGGTTTTTAACCATGGAATTTGACAAGCTGATTTTAAGATGTATATGAAAAAAGAAAAAAAATTATAATAGTCAAGCAATCTTGAAGGAGAACTGACTTGGAGGACTAACCCATGAGACATCAAACTTAAACGTGAAATCTAAACTGGGCACAGTGACATGCACCTGTAGCCTCAGCTACTAGGGAGGCTGAGGAAGGAAGATTGCTTGAGCCCAGTATGGGCAACATAGCAAGATCTTATCTTTTTTTTTTTTTTTAAGAATTAATCTGAAACTTAGCCTAAAAGAGTCATAAAGGAATTGTGGTACTGGCATAAAGACAGACGACTTAATGAAATAGAGTCCAGAAATAGATCCATGCACACATGGTTACTTGCTTACGATAAAGTCACCAATGCAATTCAGTGGGAAAAGGGTAATTTTTTTTCAATAAATGAAAAAATCGAATAGTTACATGGAAGACCCTTGTAATATGCTCAAAAATGAACTTATGATTAAATCATAGATATAAATGTGAATGACAAAACTATAATGCTTCTAAAAAAATATAGAAAATATATTCATGGAATTGGGGTAGGCAAAAAATTTATAACTAGGATACAGATGAATTAACCATAAAAAGGAAAAGTTGATACATTGGGCTTCATTAAAATAAAAAACTTCTATTCATTCAAAGCACAAAATAAAATAATATATCTACAAAGAGACTTTTACTAGAATGTTCATAGCAGTTTTATTCATAGTACCCCGCAAACTGGAAATGGTGCAGGTATCCATCAACAGGAGGATGGATAAATCAACTGTGAGTGTATGGGTGACCACTGGATGATCCTTTCAACTTTTCTACATTTTTGAGATTATTCATAATAAGATTTTGGAGAGAAAAGTGTGGGAAAGAAACAAACATGAAAGGGTGCAATACTAAATGTGCTTTTTAATTGTCTTTCAGTATTCAGATGTGAAATGAATGTATGAACTGACAAGGACACACGTCTTATTATATAAAATCATTTCTACTTTCTGTTCCATACAGCATATCTGGATAGTTTAAAATTTAGTGTATATATATTTTAATAAATCATAAGTTTTACTTTCTCACATGGTATAAAAGAAGTTTATTCACATTCTGTTACTGCAAGTGCACCTATAATTGAGCCAGTGCCAATACATTTTCAATGAGATTTTAGAGGCACATTGAATTGTCTGACTTTTCACAATTACTCTTTGAGTGTATAGTACCAAGTAAGATGGTTATTTTAAAAACATGGAAAACGTGGAAATAACTAGTGCAGCAGTAATTTGGATGTAGTTCTTTGTTATTTAAGTTGGATATTTCTTATATTACTGAAATTGTTTTTAGAATTTTTTTACCCCAAAATGCAGGCAGTATTTTCACAGAAGTTAATGTAGACTGATTAGAAGTATTTTAAAAAAGAAGGTAATGCATGCTTTTTCTATACAAAATATATGAAAACAAAATTTTCTTCTTTTGAGACAGAGTTTTGCTCTTGTTGCCCAGGCTGGAGTGCAGTGGCGTGATCTCAGCTCACTGCAACCTCCACTTCTTGGGTTCAAGTGATTCTCTCTTGCCTCAGCCTCCTGAGTAGGTGGGATTATAGGCACGTGCCACCATGCTCAGCCAATTTTTTGTACTTTAAGTAGAGATGGAGTTTTATCATGTTGGCCAGGCTGGTCTTGAACTCCTGACCTCAGGTGATCCACCCACCTCAGCCTCCCAAAGTGCAGGGATTATAGGCGTGAGCCACCGTGTCCTGCCAAAACCAAAATTTTAAAAAAGAAGATAAAGGCCAAGTGCAGTGGCTCAGGCCTGTAATTCCAGCACTTTGGGAGGCTGAGGCGGGTGGATCACTTGAGGCCAGGAGTTCGAGACCAGCCTGGTCAACATGGTGAAACCCTGTCTCTACTAAAAACACAAAAATTAGCCAGGCGTGGTTGTGGGTGCCTGTGATTCCAGCTACTGGGGATGCTGAGGTGGGAAGATCACTTGAACCTGAAAGGTGGCAGAGGTTGCAGTGAGCTGAGATGGCACCACTGTGCTCAGGTCTGGGCAACAGAGTGAGATACTGTCTCAAAAATAATAATAATAAATAAGTAAATAAATAAATAATAAAGGGAAGAATTGGAACGGTAGGGAAGGCACTGATATAAGGTGGAGATAGCACAGAGCTTCAAGCCCATGGGAATGCTGAATGGGTTCTGACCCAGAATGCCAGCTCCACCCAGCCAAGCCCTCTGAGAGGTTTTTCGCCTGAACCCCACAGGTGGAAGCAATCCCAGGTGGTGGTTTTCAGTCGTGCTGTTATCCACATGTGCCTGCTTCAGCTGATTGCAGTAAGTTGGCCCCGCGGGCGCTGCAGTGATTTTCTGGACAAATCAGATTCTTTCTGTTGAGGAGTTCAGAAAGTTTCAAGAGAGAGCTGTGTTGCTGACACACTGGAGTAGAAGCAACGCTCATACAGAGGGAAAGCAACATGCAGACGCTATGGGGGAGTCCAGGCCTGAGGAAGAAACCATGAGTGGAGGACATGAGCATGAGAAACACTAGTGGAAAAGTAGTTGGCTGACAGGAATGGAAAGAAGCAGGCATGAATTTGAGCTGTGCCAGAATGCTTACATGGGGCTGGTTGCTTGCCAGGGAATGTCCACATTTCATCCATAATTTAAGGTAGATATGTTTATTATTCCCATTTTTACAGATGAGGAAACTGAGGTGGAAAAGTGTTAAGTGTCTTGGCAGCCTGGTTCTTGAGCCCTGCTTTCAGCCACTGCACTGTGCTGCCCTTGTCCCCACCTTATGCCCACCAGGAGAGCAGCTGTGGGTCCTCAGGCCATGTGCCACAGCCAGCGAGTCCCTGCTGTACAGCTGGTCCCATTCTCCTGTGAGACCTTTTTTTTTTTAATGATGTCTGACTCTACACCTGAGGCTCTACCTTATGATACATGGAGGACAGAGGAGAAAAAAATGGCCCCAGGAGGAAAACAGTCATGGTGAGAGGTGAGACTTGAAGAGTCAGCAGTAAGCATCCTATGAGCCATGTTAAAGAGTTTACACTTTATCCCCAAAGCAAGGAGTACCATTGAGGTGTTGTTGCAAGCGTGGTGGGACAGATAGGGAGGAGAGGCAGGAATCATGATGAGATTTGCTTCCTGAGAAAGATATCCTGGCAGGCTTAGTGGAGGAGGGAGCTGGCAGTAGTGAGTGGGGGAAGCTGAAGCAATCTAGGTGAGGGTGATGTCAGCCTGCATTAGGAAGGCTGGCAGGGGAGATAAAGAGGTGTGGACAAGTTTGAGAGGTATTTAAGTGGGAGAATTCAGGACCTGGTGATTTACTGGCTGTTAGGAGAGAGAGAGAAGAAAAGTCAAGAGTGATAGTCAGAGACACTATAGATGATGATGTCATTCTTGAGATAGAAAACACAGTAGGAGAGAGTCCATCAGGTCGGGCTGGCTTCACGGGCACACGATCTGTGCACAGAGGAACCATGAGTGGCTAATGCTCTACTGCTCCTGCCTTGATTTTTTTTTTTTTTTTTTGGAAGAGATGGGGTCTCCCTATGTCACTTATGCTGGTGTTTTGAACTCCTGGCCTAAAGCAATCCTCCTGCGTTAGCCTCCCAAAGTGCTGGGATTACAAGCATAAGCCACCATGCCTGGCCTGCCTTAAAATTCTTAGTAGCTTTTGAACAGGGAACCCCACACTTTGGTTTTGTACTAGGCCCTACACATGATGTAGCCTATCCTGCCATCAGGGACTTAGGAGTGCAGCCTCAGAGCACAGAGGAATAAGGATTTGAGTACTGTTCCCCAAAGAGTGTTTTCAAAGGGTACTAACAGGTATTGTGTGGGAGGAAAAAGTAGGGTCTATAAAATGAGGCTCCATGGTCAAATAAATTGAGGAAGAACTGGTTAAGCAAAGTTAAATCTTTTTTTTAACCTACAGACTATCCCAGAATTATTAATATGCCAATGAGCTGTGGCATAATAAAAAATATCTGAGTTTTGTCCCTTGCTCCTGACACAGGGATTTAAAAAATCTTTGGAATTATCCAAGTGATAGAGGGAGAGGGGCCCTGATGGCCTCAGGATGGGGGCTGGTCATCAGAGAAACCAAGCCTGTGATTAGGGAACTGGAAATTTCAGCCACCCAGCCTCCAAGGAGGGGAGGAAGGCTGGACAGTGAGTTCAATTACATGGCCAGTGATTTAATCCATCATGCCTGTGTAATGAAACCTCAATAAAGAACCCTGGACTCTGATGCTCAGAGGAGCTTCCTGGTTGGCAACACTGATGTCCTGGAGGGAGGACATGCCCAGATTCCACGAGGAGAGGGCATCAAAGCTGTGTCCTCCCCACCATCCCCAGACCTTGCCCTGTGTGTCTCTTTCATTTGGCTTTCCTGAGTTGTATGCTTTACAGTAAAACTGTAATCATCAGTATAATTTTTTTTGTTTTGTTTTCTTTCTTTTCTTTTTTTTTTTTTTTGAGACAAGAGTCTCGCTCTGTCACCCAGTCTGGAGTGCAGTGGCGTGATCTCGGCTCACTGCAAGCTCCACCTCCCGGGTTCACGCCATTCTCCTGCCTCAGCCTCCCGAGTAGCTGGGACTACAGGCGCCCGCTAATCACGCCCGGCTAATTTTTTTTAGTAGAGACGGGGTTTCACCGTGTTAGCCAGGATGGTCTCGATTTCGTGATCTGCCCGTCTCGGCCTCCCAAAGTGCTGGGATTACAGGCGTGAGCCACCGCGCCCGGCCTCATCAGTATAATGTTTTAAGGAATTCTATGAGTTATCCTCGTAAGTTATTGAACCTGAGGGGGTCATGAGAACCCCCAAGGTTATAGCCAGCTAGTCAGAAGTGGGGGTGGCCCCAAGACTTCAGCTGATGTCTGAAGTGGGGGCAGTCTTGTGAAGGACTTTGTGCCAACTCCTGGTGGTTAGTATCAGAACTGAATTGAATTGTAGGACACCCACTTGGTGTCAGAGCACTGACGTTGGAACAGTCGAGCTGTAGCAGTTGCTTTGGTATGCACCATCCAGCCCAGATTTCCCGTTCAGGACGGAGGCACTCATTTCCCCAGCTGAAGGAGGGAGGTGTTGATTGACGACTGCTTACAGCTCCATCCCTTTCTGGGGAATGTCCTGGCAGAAGAGAGCTGAATTGCCATGGTTACTTCCCCTCATCCCTGGTAGAGCCTACCTCCAATGACTAGAGAAGCACAACCCCTCTTGCCTCAATACAGAACAACTCTGAAGGGCTATTCCAGCTCTAGAGCTTCCTGTAGGATCAGCTGACAGTGCTGTGGCAAGTGTGGGACTTATATCCAGAATTATTAAAAACTCTTACAACTAAAAAATTAGAAGACAACCCAATTAAAAAATGGGCAAAGGATTCTAAAGAAGAAATACAAATGGCCAGTAAGCACACAAGAAGAGGCTCAACATCATTACCCTTTAGGGAAGGATCCAGTGAAAATTGAGGCAAATGCACAAGAGAGGCCAGAATTAATGGTGCAAAGTTTTGTGAGAAAGCCGAAAGTTAAACTAAGGAGAAATGGGAGACTTACTTTTGGAAAATGGGCAGGATATTTCTCTAAGACAGCAGGAACGGACCACCCAGTACACAAAGACGTTTGGAGGTCGTGAAAGAAAATCTGATGGAGTCCTCGTCCCATGGTCTCTACCTTCACAGTAAATAATTCTGTGAAACAAAGTTATCCTAAGAAAGTGATGAAAGTTGAATATTTCATTTAGCTCTATATAATACAGATTTTTTATGAGTTCAAAGTTTGGGTGGGGTCGGGTGTGTTGGCTCACGCCTGTAATTCCAGCACTTTGGGAGGCCGAGGAGGGTGGATCACTTGAGGTCAGGAGTTCGAGACCAGCCTGGCCAACATAATGAAACCCCCATCTCTACTAAAAATACAAAATTAGCCAGGTGTGGTGGTGGGTGCCTGTAATCCCAGTTACTTGGGAGGCTGAGGCAGGAGAGTCACTTGAACCTCAGAGGCAAAGGTTGCAGTGAGCCGAGATCATGAAGCCTGGACAATAAGAGCAAAACTCCATCTCAGAAAAAAAAAAAAAAGTTTTGGTGGGGTATAAGGAGTCTTTAAAAAAAAAAAAACTTTTATTTCCAATGAAAACGTTATAGAACCCTTTTATAGAAAATTTTGTACGGCAATTGAAGAAGAAAATGCTTGTAATCCTGTGACCCTAAATATAACTACCAGTAATATTCTGATGAATTTCCTTCTAGCCTTTTTAATGCACCCTTTAAAATTTCACTGTACTTAAAATGTCCAGTTAATTAGTATCTTGAGTTTTTTGTGTTTCTTGTTTTTCCCTTATGAGTCTCCCTGCCCGTTTCCTCCACCCTGCCACCCCATGATGGTGTATAGCCTTAATATAGTGGTAATTTTTAGGGACTGCATAAAGTTGATAAATAAATTTATTATAATTAAACAATAAGTTCCCAAGAATTGAACATTGGTTTCACTTTTCCAACATCATTAACTCTAGAAAAAAAATTTTTATACTTAGTACAGATTATTTCCTTAGAATAAATTGACAGGTAGAATTACTTGGCCAGGAATTATAAATACTCATATGCCTTGTGATACAAATTATTGGTTTCAGTACACATTGAGAAACTGTTTTGCCCATCTCACCAATAATTGAAACAAAAACGAGGTATCATTTTTGGCCTACCATCAATTTGGTTGACCAAATCTGCCAAAAAACTTAATAAATGAAAGTATTCACATAAGTGATTATGAGTTTTTATAAAGCAATTTGACAGAATATACCAAGGGCCATAAATGTTTTTATACTCTGTTCACCACATGTTTAAGGGACATTGCCAAATTAGAGCATGCTGAGCAAAAGTATTCAAGATTTTCCAAAATGGGAAATCCTCAAAGAGATTGCGATCTACTTAAATTTCAAAACCTGAAAACAATGAAAATAACCAGCCTTCAGTTGAGTATGATCATCATAAAATTAGCAAACAAGACATTACATTACAAATTCTAAGTTTAACAAAGATTTAATTACTCATCAAAAACAATGAAAATGAGCAAGAAAATTATTCTCATCAAACACACAACCACACAACTTGAACAAATAGATAAAATTTCTGCAACTGCAAATTTTGTACCAAATGGAGGTTACAATTATTGATTAAAAAGAAAATGTGAGTAAGCTTCAGGTGTACGCTTGCCTCAGGCCCTGTAAATGTTAGGGATGGGTCTGTGGAGGCAGGAGGTAGTGTTGAGGCAGAAGAGGTTAACCAGCAGGCCAACATTTTGGTGTGGGTAAGCCGTTTGTTTTTTTTCTGAGCTCTACTTTTGTATTATTTCTAAATAAAATATAACAGCTTTCAAGTACATAAACTTTGAATATATTTACAAAAATATAAAGTGAATTTTCAAAAATAAAAAATTATTTTATATATGTGAGATGGTTAATTTTATGTATCATCTTGGCTAGGCTATACTAGCCAGTTATTCAAGTGAACACTAATCTAGGTGTTATTGTGAAGGTATTGTGTAGATGTGGTTAATGTCTACAATCAGTTGACTTTTAAGTAAAAGAGACGACCCTTGATAATGTTAGTAGGCCTCATCCAACCTGCTGAAAGACCTTTAAAGAGCAAAAACTGAGGTTTCCATCAAGAAGAAATTCTGCCTCAAGACTGCAGCATCAATCCTGCCCAAGAGCTTCCAGCCTTGCTGGCCTGACCTACAGATTTCAGACTTGCCAGCCCCCACAATCGCCTGAGCCCATTTCTTGAAATAAATCTCTTTCTGTCTCTCTCTCTCTCTGTGGCGAACTCTAAAATAATATGTTTTTAAAATAAGGTATTTTTTCTTCTAAAATATTCAAGACCATTTATTAAAACTAGAAGACCAAATCAATTCAAATCATAATGCATTAATATAAAAAATGCAAACTTAAAGTATCTTAATAAAATGGAAGTTTATTCAATTCGTTAACAGTTTAATTAGCTCTTATATGAAATAAGTTTGGAAAATAAAGCCATTCACAATCCCAGTGCACTCTGTCCACGTAGTTGCACTGTAAAGAATTGTCATGTTGCTTGCTTCCCACATTTAGATCCACAGTGTTGATCGGGGCAGTTAGGAAAACAGAAGCCACACTAGTTGTTTTCACAGCAAAAATTAAGGGATTGGTTGAACAGGTATCAGAGGACTAAAAAAATGAAAAGGTGACATGAAGGTACATGCACATAGTATCTGCAGAAGCCATCATCTGCAGAAAGAAGAAACTAGAAGCTCAGAACCCTGCAGAACTGGGGCACGGATTTTGAACAGGAGGCGTTGCCTGGGTAGTGCTGATGTCTCCAAAGGGGTGTCATGAGGCTGGTTCTGGGACTGCGCAAAATAGCTGGACACTGGACAAGCAGTGGCAGTTCCAGCCATGTTGAAGGGCTATTGTGGGGCTGTTGCCAACAGGAACATCCAGTAAACAGGGGGAGGAGCCAGCCCCTCCCTTCTCTGGCCTTGCAGTCTCCCTCTAGCATGCCCTATTGGCAGAAAGTAAAAATGTAGTTTGCAGAGCTTCAGTAACGCCTCACAAAAAAAAATATAGGTGGATTCAGATCTGAGGGATAATACACATTTAAGAGTAAAACGATTTATTCGGTGTTACAAAATGTGCCTCTGCCACCATATGCAATTGTGAATACAGCATTAATTCGTCAGTTACTCCAGAACCATTAATTGGAACACACCAAAAAAATAAGAATGCTTGGTGCTATTGGGACATGCTTCACTATGGAAAATTTGTTGCTTTCATGCTCTCTGAGAAGGATTTGACAAACTAACAAATCAGTCTTTTTTGTTACCTAAGCAGATCTGCTGCTCAAATCTGTCCTGAACTCCTAAAAGGCACTGGCCTCCAATGTCAGTGGTGGAACACTCTACAAATCTTCTTGGTATTTTGACACAGCTGGCTTTTGTTTGGAGGATGGAAGAGCCATGAGAAGATGTATTCCCCTGGGACCAGAAGAGTGTTACTCATAGGAGCAGGTGTTTAGGGTTAGAGGTTGTGCCATGCCAGTGCTGATGGCAGGATTCCAAGTGAGACATGCTCTTTGATTTTTCTCTGTATGTATACTGATGAGAGGCAGGGTTTGTGATCTACAACCGAAGCATGAAGCCCCGGGCAGCGGTCCTTCTTGTCTGGATCTGAGAGTGATACTGCTCAAGTGTGACCTGGCAGTGTGGGGGAGTTGATGCTCCTGAGGGAGAAATTTTGACCAATGAAAGATGGGAGTCAATGGATAAATTCTTCCTTTGTTTCCTTTCCTTCCCCAAGATGATGCTGAGATGGTGTGTATGTGGTTTCGCAGGGGTACAATCTTATGGCTTGGGAAATCAGTTGTGTTTATTGGTGGTCAGCTTGATACATCATCTTGGTATTGGTCCTTTCTCCTTCTCTGCTTCTCTGCCCTGGAGCTTTACTCCTGCTCTTTGGAATTGCATTTCCTGGTAAGGTACCCATGCATAAGGCCTCTGCTTCAGGCTCTTTTTTTTGGGAGCCTCAGCTAAGACACTGTCAGTACCGTAGCATGAAAAACACAATTGGAGAGTACTTCTGTTCTGGTTAAGAAAGGTAAGACCAGTTCTCTAAGACATGGTTGGGATCAGAGTGAGGAGAGAGAGATACCTAGGAAGCAAAATTTAAGGGAACATTCACTCCCAGGGTCATGCAAGTATAGAGTTGGCCTTAAAAAGGAGTGCCTCCTTAAATTTTGTGCCCTAGATGTCTTTCTTGCCCTACCCTAGTCTGCCTTTCTCTGAGATCACTCTGTTAGAGGTTAATGGTGTCAATCAATCACTCCTGCGCCTGGAGTACCAATCAGTTAGAAACGGATGTAATAAACCAATATAGCAGAAGCTATATTATTAACTGGGCAGTGCCAACAACTATAAAATAGCGAGTTTCTATTGTGTTGGAGAATGTGGATTTACACTGTAATTTTCTTCAAATCCACATTAGTGACATTTTCTGAATACTTCTGTATAAGTAGACAAACAAGCTCATCATTGTTTTTCAGCAAAAAATATCTTCCTATCATTAGGCTGTAGGTGCAGAGAAATGAGTTAATCATTCTCGGTGTGTGGCATATTATTTTTGTTTCCAGGATGTCTTCTGAACATTAATGCCCAGCCTTCTTTAAATGTCCCTTTTAAAAAACTTTATTTTTTGCTTTTTTGCTTTTTTCTAATTATTAATTCCTTTTAATTGCAGAAAATTTAGAAAGTTTATTAAAATATAAAAATACTCATAACCCTACATCCAAACAGTACCATTGTTAACATTTTTATAATTCTTTCTAGACCTTTCTCTGTATATTTTAATGTTTTAGGATATATTATGTATATACTTCATGATTTTTTTTATCATGCTTTTAAACTTAAGAGTATATTGTGATAATTTTGCAATGCCATTAAAAACTCTTAGGCTGGGTGCAGTGGCTTATGCCTGTAATCCCAGCACTGTGGGAGGCCGAGGCGGGCAGACCACCTGAGGTAGGAGTTCAAGACCAGCCTGGCCAACATGGGGAAACCCCCATCTCTACTAAAACTACAAAAATTAGCTGGGTGTGGTGGCATGCACCTGTAGTCCTGGCTACTCAGGAGACTGAGACAGGAGAATCACTTGAACTTGGGAGGTGAATGTTGCAGTGAGCTAAGATTGTGCCACTGTACTCCAGCCCGGGCAAAAGGGCCAGACTCTGGCTCAAACAAACAAACAAACAATCCCCCCACCCCCCAAAAAAAACCTCTTAATAAAATTTTAAGATAGAAATAACTTGATTTTGGCAATAAAAGTAATACATGCTTATTATAAAAATTTTGCTAGCACAGAAACATTTAAATAATAAAATAAAAATCACCTGTAATTTCATATCTCAAATATGCACTGCTAACATTTTAGAATATAGTATCTTTGTGTCAGATTATATGCAAAAATGGCCACAATTATTTCCTCTCCTGAATTCACACCTCTTTGCCGTGTGACCTGGCAGTTCCTTATATCAAGAGATACAAGATATGAAGAGTCTATTTGCTCTCCTCTTGAATCGGAGCTAGCTTTGTGACTTACTTTGGCCAACAGAATGTGGCAGAAGTAGCACACCAGGTATCAGCTCAGGATTCACTCTTGCTCTCAGAACCTTGGGGGACACTCTATGAACAAAGCCAGCCTTGTTTTCTGGGGAATGAGAGGCCAGGTAGAGCAGAGACTGGTGGGACCAGTTTTCAGGCAACCGGCTGCAGGCCACAGATGCATGAATGAGCCTAAGACTAGAAGAACGGCCCAGCTGAACACAGCCCAAATTGCTGCCCTGCAAAATGATGAATGAAAGAAATGGTTGTTATTTTTTAAGCCATTGAGTTTTAGGGTGGTCTGTTATGCAGCAAAAGTGAACAATGCAGTCTTTCCAGACTTCCTTCCTTTCTTCCTTTCTTCCTTTCTTTCTTCCTTCCTTGCTTTCTTGTTTTGCTTTGCTTTCTTTTCCTTCTTTTTCAGACAGGGTCTTGCTTTGTTGCCTAGGCTGGAGTGCAGTGTGCAATCATGGTTCACTGTACCCTGAACCTTCTGGGCTTAGGCAATTCTCCCACCTTAGCCTCCTGAGTAGCTAGCACTACAGTGCGTGCCACCACACCCAGCTAATTTTTTATTTTTCGTACAGACAAAGTTTTCTTATGTTGCCCAAACTGGTCTTGAACTCCTGAGCTGAAGAGATCCTCCCACCTCAGCTTCTCAAAGTGCTGAGATTACAGGCATGAGCCATCGCACCCAGCCTGGACTTCTTTTTCTATGCTTCATACACACATAGACTTTAAAAAAAAAAAACAACACTATCTTACTCTATGTATTATTTTGTTTCCTGCATTATATCTCTTTAATAACATAGCATGTGCTAAATAAATATCTTTCTGTGCTAAATAAATTAGTTTAATAGTTGCTTCATATTATTTTCATATTAATATTATGATCTTTTAATACCATAATTTATTTAACTACTTCTCTATTGGTGGACACTCAGGTTCTTTTCTGTTTGATTTTTCTACTGTAAAAGCCCTGATTAACATTCCATATATTATATCATTGCAAATTTGTACTGCTATTTCCTCTTATTAAATTTTTAGAAATGACTTGTTGGGTAAAAGGCCACATATGTATTTAAGTACATTAATACATGTTCTTTTTTGTTGCCCAGGCTGGTCTTGAACTTCTAGGCTCAAGCAATCCTCCCAGCTGAGTCTCCCAAGTATCTAGGACTACAAGCACGTGTCACCATGCCCAGCAACATGTTCTAAACTGCCTTGAGAAAGGTGACATCACATTGCCAATTCTGTTCCTCATTATCTCTATTATGAATTTTAACTCTGCTATCCGAGTTCATCTCCCTTTTCCTTTCATTCCATTGCCTTTCCACCTCAACCTGTTCTATGGTTTTCTGATTCTGCTTCAGAGAGGTGAGTTACTTTGCAGTCTTCTAAGGATGTAAATTTTTCTCAATTTTTCTTTTCTGTTTCCTGTAGGAATAAATGAAGCCCAGATATCTAATTTTCTTATTCATTATTTATTCTCTCTCTGGAGAAGCCACCTCTATCTAGGGACTTCACTTGGGTGTGCTTTTTGCCCACAGTGCTGCTCCCTGTTCACTTGGGCACAGGTCAGGTCCATGAGTCAGATCCATGGCAAATGGCCAGCAGGTACACACCCCACTCTGGATCCAACTCAAGTATCAAGTAGATTGTCATCAGCTGTCTCTGTTGGAATGTGGTGGGATCTTCTTTCCTCTTTTTATTTTTTTTTTAAGATCTCAGCTCACTGCAACCTCTGCCTCCTGGGTTCAAGTGATTCTCCTGCCTCAGCCTCCTGAGTAGCTGAGACTACAGGTGCACGCCACCACACCTGGCTAATTTTTGTATTTTTAGTAGAGACAGGTTTGGCCAGGCTGGTCTTGAACTCTGGACCTCAAATGACCCACCCACCTCAGCCTCCCAAAGTGCTGGGATTACAGGCGTGAGCCACCGCACCTGGTCTGGGCTCTTCTTCCATACCCACTCTGAACAGATACCATTTACAAAAAATTACAGTGTCCAGCATGCACCTCTCAAGGGCTCTTTCTTTCTCTGCCCCCATCTATAAGGACTCTACTTGAGAAGCAGCCACATCACAATTTAGTTGAGTTTTTTGTATCTAACGGCTCTCTAATTACTAGTTAGGTTGTCATGTAATGACATTGCATTAATTAAAGACTTAAATGGCACACCTCTATCTATTGGAGAGGCTAGGGTTCAAAATGTCCACTGTGATTTGACATTCCATTTGTATTTCTGCTCTAGCAATTTTCAGAGTTCTAAGCAGTTGGCCAACATTATCTCCAGTCCTCAAAACAACCTCAGAAGACAAATAGGAGGCAGGTGTTCTTGTCCCTGAACTTCATGGGGAAGCAGAGGCACAGGGGGACAATGTGACTCATCTGCCCAGTCTGTGGACATTTGTCAGCTGCCTTGCTTCCCCTCCTTTGCTCCATGCTTCCTATCTTGTGGCACCATGCTGCCAGACTGCCCATCCCTGAGGCTGGTTGGACTGCAGTAGAAGGTCAATTAGGATGAGTCATTCAAACATTTGAACTGCCTGGTTGCTGCTTAGAGAGTGCCCTTAACACAGGTTGCCCTGCTGAGCATTTGAGGTGTGGTGCTGAATAAAACTGCATGCCACCGATCTTGCCCTAAAAGCCCTGCATCATGCATTTACCACTCAGACTCCATAAGTCTTAATCCACTTCTTCCTCAATAACAGCTTAGTCAGTATGAAGTGACTCTAATAATAGCAGCAGCAGATTGAGCATACACAATGCCTGCCATCCTGAAGGTGTTTTAGGAAGCTCTGCTGAGGTGCTTCTCTGTCTGTCTGGTCATATCTTTAACCATGCATCTGAAACCAGATGCTCATGGTAAGGGAGATGAAAATATTTGGCAACTGGGAAGTCACGGGGCTGTACCTAAGGGGTTCAGAGAGATTATGACTAGGTCCAGCTGAGCACATTAGACTTGTCACTTGCCATGAATGTGCATCATTAGGAGAATGGAAACAGTATTTACTAAACATGTTTTAAGAGTCTTTTGGTTTCCAGGAAATGTAAAACTATGATGGATACAGCAGGTGCAGAGGCAAGCCAACTGTGAAAAGGTTAATAGGTCAGCTAGCCTAATGGCTGATATTAGGAATCAGAAGGTAGATATCTGTTGGACTTACAGAAATGGAAGCTAGTAGAAAAGGAGAAAGAGAGAGAGTGAGAGAGAACGGAGATAATATCATTGCTCCTGTTTCAGAAGAGGAGGCATTTAATTTATTGATTAGAGAGATCCTGGGGCTGGTGGGTTCCCAGGAGGTCAGAAGAGTAAACAAGACAATTTGCTGGCGAATGAAAATGAGGGACTGGGCGCAGTGGCTCACGCCTGTAATCTCAGCACTTTGGGAGGCCAAGGCAGGCAGATCACTTGAGGTCAGGAGTTCAAGACCAGCCTGGCCAACATGATGAAACCCCGTCTCTTCTAAAAACACACAAAAAAATAGCTGGGCATGGTGATGCATGCATGTAATCCCATCTACTCAGGAGGCTGAGGCTTGAGAATCACTGGAACCTGGGAGGCAGAGGTTGCAGTGAGCCCAGATCGTGCCGCTGCACTCCACCCTCGGTGACAAGACAGAGACTCTGTCAAAAAAAAAAAAAAGAGAAGAGAAAGAAAGAAAGAAAAAGAGAGAGGGAGGGAGGGAGGGAAAGAAAGAAAGAGGAAAGAAAGGAAGGAAGGAAGGGAGAGAGAGAGAAAGAAAGAAAGAAAGAAAGAGAAAGAAAGAAAGAAAGAGAAGGAGAAAAGAAAGAAAGAAAGAAAGAAAGAAAGAAAGAAAGAAAGAAAGAAAGAAAGAAAGAAAGAAAGAAAGGAAGGAAGGAAGGAAGGAAGGAAGGAAGGAAGAAAGGGAGAGAAAGAAAGATGGAAAATTAGGCTGAGCAGATATCAGAACCAGGAAGGCTGTGAGATGCTTTAGCTCCTCTCGTCACTCTGCAGACAAGATGTGGTCCTTTGCTCAGAGCCACACTGCAAGTATGAAATACTGAGATGGAAGTAATGGGCCCTGGAGAAGAAAGATGATGACAAGGAGAGAGGAAAAGATCTGAGATGAATCTGTTGCTTCAACCTCCTGAAATAGAAACATACATAAGTAGCAAATATAAACATGTATAACCCAGAAACACCTATGACTCTTCCAGGAGAAAATCCTAATTCTGTGATTTCACTCCATGAATAAACCCACACTGTCATTTATTTTGATAAATAAAATTTTACCTGTGGACTCAAGTCTATTTAGAAAACTTTTCCTGTTTCACAAATCTCATCAGTGTGAAGACTACGTGAAAATCATTATCTGTGGAAGCTCCTCATTTTGATCTCCACACTGTAGCAATTCAGTTTCTAGTCAGCCATAGAAAGATAAATAATCTTAAGACAACAGTCCTAAAGGTAGAAAACTACTGTTAACATTCAGTGTACAAGTCATACCTCTGGAGGGGAACATACTCAGTATCAGAAGAATTATGGTGGGTACGGCAGTTTCGAGTTTCACTTCCTTCTTCTTCAGCCATAATTTTAGAGGCGTGGCATCCGGAGCCATAAACCTAGAATTACATGCTAAATCACGCTCACAGGCTAGGATATGCTTTCAGGGGTTTCTGGAGTGAATGGAAATATTTTCATGGACCTTAAATGGCTACACTGTGCATTCCTTTCTCTCCAATTTTTATTATAAAAATTTCCAAACATTCGGAAAAGTTGAAAGAATAGTTCAGTGAACATCCATATATCTCCTTCTTAGATTCAACAGTGGTTAATGTTTTACCATATTTGCTTTTTCTCTCTCTGAAAATGATCTTACTTATTTATTCCCCTTTGGAAGTAAGTTATAAATACTATGATATTTTACCCCTAAATACTTCACCAGGTTTAACACTTTTCTTTTTTTTTTTTTTTTTTTTTTTTTTTTTTTTTTTTTTTTTTTTTTGAGACGGAGTCTCGCTCTGTCGCCCAGGCTGGAGTGCGGTGGCACGATCTCAGCTCACCGCAACCTCTGCCTCCAGAGTTCAAGCAATTCTCCTGCCTCAGCCTCCCAAGTAGCTAGGACTACAAGCGTGTCCCACCACCTCTGGCTAATTTGTGTATTTTTGGTAGAGACGAGGTTTCACCATGTTGGTCAGGCTGGTCTCAACTTCTGACCTCAAGTTATCTTCTCGCCTTGGACCCCCGAAATCCTGAGCTTACAGGCGTGAGCCACGGTGCCGGCCAGACCAAGGGAATTCTTAAGGAAGAAAAGTGAAGCTTTGTTTAGAAAGAGGATGAGCAAGATGAATTGTCAGCATGACTCCTGGGAATGGTTTCCAGCACTTAGCTAATTCTCACATCGATTCTCTGATAAGTGGTGCTATTTTACAAAACATGGGTAATAAATTCCGTCTTGGTAGTTCTTGTTTCAATAATTTCTAAAGAGACAAAGCAAATCCATTTTAATTCTGCTGCTTTCATATCCATTTTCTTCATTGCTTATTTCAAAAATATATCTTTATTACAATGTCCTATTGTACATACCAGAAGTTACAACTTGTTTTTTTCCTCCCAGCATACTAAGCACTAGAGTTATTTTACGATACATATTTGGAACTATTAAGAAGGGAGTTAAGCTCTTTGATTATTTTGCCTGTGACTTGAATGATAATAAAATACAGTACTCACTTTTCAAGGCAAAAGATGTAAAACATCACATTAACAGTTGCTGATTACAAGGCATTACTGTATGGTACATTATAATAATGGTTATCTTCTCCAGAAAAATAATTATATTATTTAAATGCACTCATAATATCACTGTAATTTTTAACTGCTGTTTTGTTCCCAAGCCATCTTGTACACAAATAAAGAACTTAGTGCCAGTTAATCAGGGCTAGATTATAGAAGGGAGAAATTATTCATTAGGAAACTACAGATGTCCTATCTTTGTTTCAGAATGCACCAGAGAATTTAATTCAAAGTTCTAAAAAAAAAATGTTGACAGACAGATGGGATATGAACCTAATGAACCAGCTATAGTACAACACTCTCTAATATGCCAGGCCCCTCTCTGGCACTTTCCTTTCTGTCAATCCCCAATTCCTCACAATAGGTCAACACGTGGCACCATGACAAATAGTCAACAATAATTGTCTAAAATTGGACAAAAGCCATTGTAATTGAACAATAATGATAAATAAAACAGAGTAAGAGCCAGCTGTTTTAGGTAAAAAGTAGTTTGGGGCTCAGGAATCTTTATTCTATTTGGTTCCCTACGTTATTCTGATGCCGACCATGAAGAAACATATTTTGACCTACACTGTTTCCAGCACCTGACATACTAAGAGGATGGGTCATTGCTAAGCGCAATCCATCATATGTGAACTGATTTAATGCTGTCTCCACTGGTTGACTAGTGCTAATGGTTTCTATTCTATCCTACATCAGTCACTGGTCAGGAGGAGCCAGGGACCCATATCCTGCCACTAAGAATCATTGTGTTGGCTGACTCTGAAGAGGGTACTTACTTCTCTTATCAGCCCTGAACAAATGTATATGACAGGAAATCTGCCTAGTAGTAGCTAAACAAGGGGTGTGTGTGTGTGTGTGTGTGCACGCACATAGTACTGGACCCAAGATCAGTCTTTTAAGGATCTACTTCACACTCCCAATATAGTTCTGCTATAATAAACATATGCCCTCAAAAAAGTCAGTATGCAATGCACAATAGGAAAAAAATGGGCTTAGGGTGTCAACACTCAAAATTTTCTTCAGTGACAGATTTCTAAAAAGGCATTGGAGCCTAATAAAGACAGTAGAACAGTTTTACACAGTTAAATGGTTAAGAAATTCACAAAGAATACAACAAATAAGGCACCTTGCTTTAAACAAGATCTGAAATTTGTGGAAGTGGGCATGGGAAAGGTTGCAGCTTGTGACTTGTTGGGGAGTGTGGGAAGGAAGTTACCTGAACTCAGTTACCTGAATAATAAGAGATCACCACAAACCTATCAGGATGGCAAAAATTAGGATGGAAGTGTTGTAACACCATAAGTGGATGGGTGGGAATCATAACACACATAGTGAACTGAAGTAGCTAATAGATGTTTGAGGTGTGTGCTGTGTGTGCATTTTGCGTATTATCAAGCAGCTCAGTTCAGCTGAGAGCAGTTTTCTGCTTTCACCTAGTGTTTCTCATTCATAAGATCTCACGTCACCAAACCAAATTTGCATTATGCTCATATTGTTTCCTAAGACAGATTGAGTATCCCTTATCTGAAATGCTTGGGACCAGACATATTTTTGCTTTTGGATTTTTTTTTGGATTTTGTAATGTCTGCATATACATAATGAGCTATCTTGGGGGACAGGGCCCAAGTCTAAACACGAAATTCATTTATGTTTCATATACACCTTATACACATAGCCTAAAGGTAATTTTATTTTTCCCTTGGCAATGCTGAATAAACTGTATGTTGTGCACTTGTGTTTTGACTGTGAGCCATCCCATGAGGTCAGATGTGAAATTTTCCTCTTGTGACATCATGTTGGCATTCAAAAACTTTCAGATTTTGTAGCATTTTGGATTTCAGATTTTTGGATTAGGGATGCTCAACCTGTATATCAATCACGTGTGCAATAACTTTGTGTTTTTAAGACCAGCGTTACAGCAGAACTGGTCGTGGCTGTAAGGAGTTCAAATCCTGTGTTGGTTCCAGGTTGCCTAGACCCTGAGGGTGGCCAGGAAGACAGTGTTGCTATAGCACTGACAATGCTTCAAGGCCACCCACATAGCCATGAGGGAACTCAGCATCTGTTGGGTATCATTCTATATTTCCATAGACTGAGGTTTATTATAACTATTAGATACTGTATAGAAAGAAAACCAGCATAGGATTAAGCCTCAGAGAACCACATTTTATTTTTAGCTTTGTAAGCTGTGTGACCTAAGGCGAGTCCCTTTATCTCTATTGGATTCAGTTCCTGATCTGTAAAATAAACTGGACTTCATTTCATCTTGCTGAGATCCCTTCTAGCTCCAATATCTTGTGACGCTGAGGCCTTCCACGCTGATTAAATGCAGAGCAAACGAACCATTTTCAATCTCTTCAAAACTCTCCACGTTGCTCAGCAACATTTGTTCCCAGGTTGTCTTCCTTGGTTGTTTCCCAAAGTAAAAATTCCAAATTGTTATGATTCTCAATCTCCACCAACAGATGGAATCCGCCAAGGCAGATCAAGTCTGAGTTCATAAGGCTGTCTTTACTGAAATAAAATTGACCTACAATAAGCTGCACATATTTAAAGTGTGTAATTCGATAAATTTGGACTTATGTATATATATCCATGAAACCATCAACACAACCAAGGTAATGAAAACATCCCATTCCCCTAAAAGTTTCCTCGTGCTCCCTTGTAATGCCTTCCTCCCCTTCTACTTCTTCCCCCATACGCAGGCAGTCACTGATCTGCTTTCTGTCATTATAGACGGTTCACATTTTCTAGAATTTTATATAAATGGAATCATGTAGTATGTTCTATTGTTTTGTCTGGCTTCTTTAACTCAGCATAATTATTTTGAGATTCATTCATGTTCCTTTTTTTAAATAAAAGCGTAGTAATAAAAATGAGCTGGGTAGTAGTCTACCATGTAGATATACCTCTATTTGTTTATCCAGTCACTTGTTGATGGACATTGGGCTATTTCCGGTTTTGAGGCACTACAAAGGAAGTGACATTGCAGTGCCTCAAAATGTTGTAAACATTTTTGTACAAATTTCTGTGTGAGTATATGCTTTCATTTCTCTTGGGAGAGAGAAAGATTAGCACCCCTAATCCAAAAATCTGAAATCCAAATCCAGCCAGCGTGGAAGGTATAGATTATATGCAGTAAGTGTATATTTCACTTTTTTAGAAGCTGCCAAACTATTTTCTGAAGTGGTTGTACTATTTCATATTCTCACCAGCACTGTATGAAAGTCCCAATTCTTCCATATCCTTACCAGAACTTAGTGTGGTCAGTCTTTTTTAAATTTTTGCCATCCTAATAGGTTTGTGGTGATCTCTTGTTGTTTTCACTTGTGTTTCCCTAGTGACTAATGATTTTGAATATCTTTTTATATGCTTATTTTCCATCTGTATATCTTCTTTGGGGAAGTATCTATTCAAATGTTTTGCTCAATTTATAAAATTGGGTTGTTTTCTTATTATTGAGTTTTTAAAAATTGCAGTAAAATACACATAACTTAAAATTTACTGTCTTAGCCATCTTTATATGTGCAGCTCTGTGGCATTAAGTACTTTCACACCATGCTACCATCATCACAATTTCATACCATGCTACTGTCTCCAGAACCCCTCATTGTAAAATGGAAATTCTGTGCCTATTATACAATAACTCCTCTTTCCTCTCTCCTTCCCTTCAGGCCTTGGCAGCCACTATTCAAATTTCTATCTCTATGAATTTGACTACTCCTAAGTATCTCATATAGCCAGGGGATACGGTTAGGCTTTGTGTCCCCACCCAAATCTCATCTTGAATTTTAATCCCCAGGTATTTCGGGAGTGACTTTGTGGAAAGTGATTGGATCATGGGGGCAGTTTTCCTCATGTAGTTCTCATGATAGTGAGTGAATTCTCATGAGATCTGATGGATTTATCAATGGTAGTTTTTCCTGTTCTCTCACACACTCTGTCTTGCCTGCCACTATGTAAGACGTGCCTGCTTCCCCTGCCATGATTGTAAGTTTCCTGAGGCTTTTCCAACCATGCAGAACTGTGAGTCAATTAAACCTCCTTTGTTTATAAATTACCCAGTCTCAGGTAGCATTTTTGTCACAGTGTGAGAACGGACTAATACACCGGGCATGAAGGCTCATGCCTGTAATCCCAGCTACTCAGGAGGCTGAGGAGGGAGGATCCCTGGAGTCCAGGAGTTTGAGGCTGCAGTGAGCTATGATGACACCACTGCACTCCAGCTTGGGTGACAGAGAGAGACTCCATCTGTCTGTTATTCTTATCTGTTATTCTTAAAAATAATAATAATTTTTTAAAAACGTACTTCATATAAGTGAAATCATACAGTATTACTCTTCCTGTGACTGGATTATTTCACTTAGCGTAATGTTCTCAGGGTTTGTTTACATTGTAGCATATTTCAGAATTTCCTTCCTTTTTAAAGCTGGAATAATAATCCATAGCATGTTGTCCATACATTTATACCACATTTTGTTTATCCATTCATCCACGGACGGGCACTTTGGCTGTTGTGAATAATGCTGCTGTGAACATGGGTGTGCAAATAACTCTTTCTGTCCCTGCTTTCAATTCTGATTATTGAATTTGAGTATTCTTTATTTTTCTGAGTATTCTTTATACATTCTGGACACAAAATTTTTATCAGGAATATAAATCACAATTTTTTTCTCCTAGTCTGTGAATTTTCTTTTCATTTTTTATCAGTATCTTTCAAAAAGCAGAAGTTTTAAATTTTGATTAAGTCAAACTTATAGATTTTTAATTTTGTTGGTTTTATATCTGAGATGTTTTTGCCTCACCTTAAATCATGATGATTTTTCTCCTATTTTCTTATAGATAGTTTTTGGTTTTACAATCCGGTCTGTAATCCATTTTGAGTTAATTTTTCTTATAGTATAAGATACGAATCAAAATTCATTTTTGTGTATATAAATATCTAATGCTCCAGCATCAATGTGGAAAAGGCTGTCTTTTCCCCCACTGGATTGTTTTTGCACCTTTGTCAAAGTCAGTTGTTCATATATGTGTAGGTCTCTTTCTGGACTCTAGTCTGTTTCATTGATCTATTTGTCATTATAATATGCTGTCTTGATTACTGCAGCTTTATAAGAAGTCTTGAGATGAGGTAGTATTAGTTCTCCAATTTTATTTTTCTTTTTCAAAGACATTTTGGCTGTTCTAGGTCCTTAGCATTGCCATATGGATTTTAGAATCAGTTTGTCAATTTCTACCAAAAAAAAAAAAAAAAAAAAGCCTGCTGGACTTTTGATTGGGATTGTGTTGAAACTATAGATCATTTAGGAGAGAATTGATATCTTAGCAATACTGAGTCTTTCATGAACACCTTACCTCTTCCATTTATTAAAGTCTTCCTTAATTTCTCACAGCAACGTTTTGCAGTTTTCAGTGTATATGGACAACTTTTGTTAGCTTTATCCTTAAGTATTTCATATTTTTCTGCTATTTTAAGTGCTATTTTTATTTCAATTTCCAAGTGTTTATTGCTAGTATATAGAAACAGTAGATTTTTCAATATCTTGACCTTGAGTTCTGTAATATTGCTAAATTCATTTATTAGTTCTAGTAGCTTTTTAATATATTCTATCAATTTTTCTATTAATATTAATATATAAATAATGGTACCTTCTGTAAATACAGTTTTACTTCTTTTTTTCTAATTTGGATGCTGTTATTTATTTATTTACTTATTTATTTATAGCCTCATTGCACTGGTGCGTATACCAGACCTTCTGGTATAATGTTGAATAGAAGTGACAAAGAAACACAGCTTTGTCTTATTCCTGAACTTATAGGGGTGAACATTTAGTATTTCACCACTCAATATAATGTTAGCCATAGGTTTTTTTTTTTTAGATGTACATTATCAGATGGAGGAAGTTCCCTTTTATTCCCAGTTTGCTGAGAATTCTTCTCTTTTTTTAATCAAGAATTGATCATGGATTTTGTCAAACGCTTTTTTTTCATCTATTGAAATGATCATATGAGATATTGTTTTATTTTTTAACTAAAAGCCAACAAATTGTATGCTAAATTATGTTGATTGCTATTTAAATGTTGATCTAATCTTGCATTCTTTGTTATTTTTTTGAGATGTGAATGCTTTTTTTCATCCATTGAAATGATCATATAGGGTATCATTTTATGTTTTAACTAAAACAATTTGTATGTTAAATTATGTTGATTGATATTTAAATGTTAATCTAATCTTGCTTTTTTTTTTTTTTTTTTTTTTTGAGGCAAAGAAGTCTCTCTCTGTTGCCCAGGCTGGAGTTCAGTGGCATGATCTCAGCTCACTGCAACCTCCACCTCCCAGATTCAAGCAATTCTCCTGTCTCAGCCTCCTTAGTACCTGAGACTACAGGTGCCCACCACCACACATAACTAATTTTTGTATTTTTAGTAGAGATGGGGTTTCATCATGTTGGCCAGGCTGGTCTCAAACTCCTGACCTCAAATGATCTGCCCGCCTCAGCCTCCCAAAGTTCTGAGATTACAGGTGTGAGCCACTGTACTGACCTAATCTTGTACTTTTTGGATAAACCCCATGAAATCATACGGTAGTATTATTTTTATATATTGGTGGGTACAATTTACTTAAAATTTGTTTTTGAATTTTTGTATCCATGTTCATGACAGATATTGGTCTGTAGTTTTTGTCAGGCCTCTGAGCCCAAGCTAAGCCATCACATCTCCTGTGACCTGCATGTATACATCCAGACGGCCTGAAGCAACTGAAGATCCACAAAAGAAGTGAAAATAGCCTTAACTGATGACATTCCAACATTGTGATTTGTTTCTGCCCCACCCTAACTGATACGATATATTCTACCCCCACCTTAAGAAGGTACTTTGTAATATTCTCCCCCGCCCTTGAGAATGCGCTTTGTATGCCTATCCCAAACCTATAAGAACTAATGATAATCCCACCACCCTTTGCTGACTCCTTTTTCTGACTCAGCCCACCTGCACCCAGGTGAAATAAACAGCCTTGTTACTCACACAAAGCCCATTGGTGGTCTCTTCACATGGACGTGCGAGACATTTGGTGCCAAAGACCTTGGACAGGAGGACTCCTTCTGGAGACTGGTCCCCTGTCCTCACCCTCACTCCATGAGGAGAACCACCTATGACCTCGGGTCCTCAGACCAACCAGCCCAAGGAACATCTCACCAATTTCAAATGAGGTAAGCAGTCTTTTCACTCTTCTCCAGCCTTTCTTGCTACCCTTCAATCTTCCTCTCTCGCTACCCTTCAGTCTTCCTCTCTTGCTACCCTTCAATCTCCCTGTCCTTCCGATTCCAGTTCTTTTTCCTCTCTAGTAGAGACAAGGAGACACATTGTCTCCGGCCCAAAACTCCGGCACCGGTCACAGACTTGGGAAGACAGTCTTCCCTTGGTGTTTAATCACTGTGGGAATGCCTGCCTGATTATTCACCCACACTCCATTGGTGTCTGATCACCACGGGGACGCCTGCCTTGGTCATTCACCCACATTCCCTTGGTGGCAAGTCAATTGCGGGGATGCCTTCTTTGGCTGCTCATCCACATTGCAGCCCAGGGCTGCTCACCACCTTCCCTTCCATGTCTCTACCCTCTCTTTTCTCTGGGCTTGCCTCCTTCACTATGGGCAACCTTCCACCCTCCATTCCTTCTTCTTCTCCCTTAGCCTGTGTTCTTAAAAACTTACCTCTTCAACTCACACCTGACCTAAAACCTAAGCATCTTATTTTCTTCTGCAATACCGCTTGGCCCCAATACAAACTCAACAGTAGTTCCAAGTAGCCAGAGAATGGCACTTTCGATTTGTCTATCCTACAAGATCTAGATAACTCTTGTCAAAAAATGGGCAAATGGTCTGAGATGCCTGATGTCTGGGCATTCTTTTACACATTGGTCCCTCCCTAGTCTCTGCTCCCAGTGAGACTCATCCCAAATCTTTCTCTCCTGTCTATTCCCTCAGTCTCCACCCCAAGCTCTGAGTCCTTTGAATCCTCATTTTCTACAGATCCATCTGACCCCTCCCCTCCTCCCCAGGCTGCTCCTCGCCAGGCTGAGCCAGATCCCAACTCTTCTTCAGCCTCCGTTCCCCCACCCTATAACCCTTCTATTACCTCCCCTCCTCACACTCGGTCTGGCTTACAGTTTCGTTCTGCGACTAGCCCTCCTCCACCTGCCCAACAATTTCCCCTTAGAGAGGTAGCTGGAGCTGAAGGCATAGTCAAGGTTAATGCTCCTTTTTCTTTATCTGACCTCTCCCAAATCAGTTAGCATTTAGGCTCTTTTTCATCAAATATGAAAACTCAACCTAGTTCATGGCCCATTTGGCAACAACCCTTAGATGCTTTACCGCCCTAGACCCAGAAGGGCCAGAAGGCTGTCTTATTCTCAACATACATTTTATTACCCAATCCACTCCCGACATTAAAAAAAGCTCCAAAAATTAGATTCCAGCCCTCAAACCCCACAACACAACTTAATTAACCTTGCCTTCAAGGTGTACAATAATAGAGTAGAGGCAGCCAAGTAGCTGTGTATTTCTGAGTTGCAATTCCTTGCCTCCACTGTGAGAGAAACCTCAGCCACATCTCCAGCACACAAGGACTTCAAAACGCCTAAGCTACAGCAGTCAGGCATTCCTACAGGACCTCCTCCTGCAGGATCTTGCTTCAAGTGCTGGAAATCTGGCCACTGGGCCAAGGAATGCCCACAGCCCGGGATTCCTCCTAAGCCATGTCCCATCTCTGCAGGACCCCACTGGAAATTGGACTGTCCAACTCACCCGGCAGCCGCTCCCAGAGTCCCTGGAACTTTGGTCTAAGGATCTCTGACTGACTCCTTCCCAGGTCTTCTTGGCTTAGCAGCTGAAGACTGATGCTGCCCAATCACCTCAGAAGCCACCTGGACCATAACAGATGCTTTGGGTAACTCTTACAGTGGAGAGTAAGTTTGTCCCCTTTTAAATCAATGCAGAGGCTACCCACTCCACATTACCTTCTTTTCAAGGGCCTATTTCCCTTGCCTCCATAACTGTTGGGGGTATTGACGGCCAGGCTTCTAGACCCCTTAAAACTCCCCAACTCTGGTGCCAACTTGGACAACATTCTTTTATGCACTCCTTTTTAGTTATCCCCACCTGCCTAGCTCCCTTATTAGATCAAGACATTTTAACTGAATTATCTGCTTCCCTGACTATTCCTGGGCTACAGCCACACCTCATCGCTGCCCTTTTCCCCAGTTCAAAGCCTCCTTTGAGTCCTCCTCTTTTATCTCCCTACCTTAATCCACAAGCATGGGATTCCTCTACTCCTTCCTTGGCGACCAATCATGAACCCCTTATCATCCCATTGAAACCTAATCACCCTTACCCCACGCAATGCCAGTATCCCATCCCACAACAGGCTTTAAGAGGATTAAAGCCTGTTATCACTCACCTGTTACAGCATGGGCTTCTAAAGCCTACAAACTCCCCTATCTTACCTGTCCAAAAACTGGACAAGTCTTACAGGTTAGTTCAGGATCTGTGCCTTATCAACCAAATTGTCTTGCCTATCCACCCCGTGGTGCCAAACCCATATACTCTCCTATCCTCAATACCTCCCTCCACAATCCATTATTCTGTTCTAGATAAACCTAGCTGACCCTGTAAATCCTAAATCCTTTCCCCACTCCCCTTTCCATTCCTTAATAAACAGCCCTAAAAGCTGCTCCCACACTAGCTCTCCCTAACTCATCCCAACTTTTTTCATTACACACAGCCGAAGTGCAGGGTTGTGTGGTCGGAATTCTTACACAACAGCCAGGACCATGCCCTGTAGCCTTTCTGTCCAAACAACTTGACCTTACTCTTTTAGCCTAGCCCTCATGTCTATGTGTGGCAGCTGCCACTACTTTAATACTTTTAGAGGCCCTCAAAATCACAAACTATGCTCAACTCACTCTCTACAGTTCTCATAACTTCAAAAATCTATTTTCTTCCTCACACCTGACACATATACTTTCTGCTCCCTGGCTCCTTCAGCTATACTCACTCTTTGTTGAGTCTCCCACAGTTACCATTGTTCCTGGCCTGGACTTCAGTCCGGCCTCCCACATTATCCCGGATATCACATCTGACCCCCATGACTGTATCTCTCTGATCCACCTGGCATTCACTCCATTTATCCATATTTCCTTCTTTCCTGTTCCTCATCCTGATCACACTTGGTTTATTGATGGCAGTTCCACCAGGCCTAATTGCCACTCACCAGCAAAGGCAGGCTATGCTATAGTATCTTCCACATCTATCATTGAGGCTACTGCTCTGCCCCCCTCCACTACCTCTCAGCAAGCCAAACTCATTGCCTTAACTTGGGCCCTCACTCTTGCAAAGGGACTACGCATCAATATTTATACTGACTCTAAATATGCCTTCCATATCCTGCACCACCATGCTGTTACATGGACTGAAAGAAATTTCCTCACTACACAAGAGTCCTCCATCATTAATGCCTCCTTAATGAAAACTCTTCTCAAGGCCACTTTACTTCCAAGGGAAGCTGGAGTCATTCACTGCAAGGACCATCAAAAGGCATCAGATCCCATTGCTCAAGGCAATGCTTATGCTGATAAGATAGCTAAAGAAGCAGCTGGCGTTCCAACTTCTGTTCCTCATGGCCAGGACTGGACAGTACTTTTACCTCTCGCCCTTCTCAGAATTAGAGCCTGTCCTTGAGATGCTACAGGGTATAGTCCATTTGAACTTTTATATGGACGCACTTTCTTGCTCGGCCCCAACCACGTCCCAGACTCCAGCCCTCTGAGCGACTATCTTCAAGTCCTCCAGCAGGCTAGACAGGAAATTCCCTAGGCTGCTAATCTTCTCTTGCCTACTCCAGATTCCCAGTCATATGAAGACACCCTAGCTGGACAATCAGTTCTTGTTAAGAATCTGACCCCTCAAACTCTACAACCTCGGTGGATTGGACCCCACTTAGTCATCTATAGTACCCCAGTGGCTGTTTGTCTGCAGGAACCCACCCACCATTAGGTTCATCACGCCAGAATAAAGCTGTGTCTGTTGAACAGCCAGCCTGATCTCTCCTCTTCCTCCTGGAAGTCGCAAGTACTCACCCTTACTTTCCTTAAACTCACCCGCATTCCTAAAGGATAATAGTAACCCTTATAAGCCTAATACATCCTTTCATTTTTATTAAGTCTCATCTTCCTTATTCTACTCTTTACAACAGGGCTTTACACAGTCACCCCCACCCACTACTTGGACTGTACCCCAAAAACTTGTCATCCCTTCTATCTTCTGTCTAGTCATACTCCTATTCACCATTCTCAACTACTCATAAATGCCCTGCCCTTGTTTACACTGCCGGTTTACACTTTTCCTCCAAACCATCGTAGCAGATATCTCCTGGTACTATCCCCAATCTGCCACTCTTGACTCCCTCTTGGAGTGGAGGAGTGGATGGATGATCTCTGCTGACAGGGCACGCTCCAATACTTCCACCCTGATGAGGTCCTATTCTTTACTTTTATACTCACTCTTATTCTCATTCCTGTTCTTGTGCCACCCTCTACCTCTCCCCAGCTATCTCCACCACACTATCAATCTCACTCACTCTCTCTTAGCCATTTCTAATCCTTCTTTAACAAACAATTGCTGGCTTTGCATTTCTCTTTCCTCCAAAATCGCCGAGGCCTCAATTTACTCACTGCTGAAAAAGGAGGACTCTGTATATTTTTAAATGAAGAGTTTTTTTTGTTTTGTTTTGTTTTTTACCTAAATCAACCTGGCCCGGTATATGACAACATAAAAAAACTCAAGGATAGAGCCCAAAAACTCGCCAACCAAGCAAATAATTATGCTGAACCCCCTTGGGCACTCTGTAATTGGATGTCCTGGGTCCTCCCAATTCTTAGTCCTTTAATACCTGTTTTTCTCCTTCTCTTATTCAGAACTTGTGTCTTCCATTTAGTTTCTATATGACAAATGCTCCTTCTAACAACCCCACAATATCACCCCTTACCCCAAAATCTTTCTTCAGTTTAATCTCTCCCACTCTAGGTTCCCATACTGCCCCTAATCCCACTCAAAGCAGCCCTGAGAAACATTGCCCATTATCTCTCCATACCACCCCCAAAAATTTTTGCTTCCCCAACACTTCACCACTATTTCGTTTTGTTTTTCTTATTAATATAAGACGACAGGAATGTCAGGCCTCTGAGCGCAAGCTAAGCCATCATATCCCCAGTGACCAGCACGTATATATCCAGATGGCCTGAAGCAACTGAAGATCCAAAAAAGAAGTGAAAATAGCCTTAACTGATGACATTCCACCATTGTGATTTGTTCCTGCCCCACCCTAACTGATACGATATAGTCTCTCCTGCCCTTAAGAAGGTACTTTGTAATATTCTACCCTGCCCTTAAGCAGGTACTTTGTAATATTCTCCCCCACCCTTAAGAAGGTACTTTGTAATATTCTCCCTGCCCTTGAGAATGTACTTTGTATGCCAATCCCAAACCTATAAGAACTAATGATAATCCCACCACCCTTTGCTGACTCCTTTTTCAGACTCAGCCCGCCTGCACCCAGGTGAAATAAACAGCCTTGTTGCTCACACAAAGCCTGTTGGTGGACTCTCTTCACATGGACACGTGTGACAGTTTTCTTATAATAACTGCCTGTTTTTGGTATCAAGGTCATGCTGGTCTAATAGAATGAGTTAGAGAGTATTCCATTCTCTTCCATTTTCTAGCAGAGTTTGTATAGAATTGGTATTATTTCTTCCTTAAATGTTTGATAGAATTTTGTAAAGACATATGGCCCTGGAGGTTTCTTGGGGGAGGGTATTTCACTACAAATTTAATTTTTTTAATAGAAACAGGGCTATGTAAATTATCTATTTCTTCCTGAGTAAGCATTGGTAGTTTTGGGGGTTTGTTCATTTTATCATCTAAGTTGTTCAATTTATTGGCCCAAAGTCATATGTAATATTTCCTTATTGTTCTTTTAGTATCTGTAGAAACTGTAGTGATGTCATTTCTCTCATTCCTGATATTGGTCATTTGTTACATATTTTTTTCCTAATCAATTTGGTTTATCAATTCTATGGATCTTCTCAGAGAACCAATTTTTAATTTCATTGATTTTTCTCTATTGTTTTCTGTTTTCTACTTCATTGATTTCTGCTCTGACCTTTACTATTTCCTTTTTTCTGCTTACTTTGGATTTACTTTGAGTATTTTTTCTTCCTACTTTCATAGGCTAAAGCTGAGGCATTTAGTGTCATAAATTTCCTCCTACGTACACTTTTAAGGGCTGTACTAGTTTCTTATGTTCTCTGTAACAAATTACCACAAATTTAATGGCTTAAAACAACACAACTCTTAGTTTCGGAAGTTAGTAGTCCAAAATCAGATTTGCTGGGCTAAAGCATACCTGTTGCAAAGTGCATCACTCCAATCTGTGCTTCTGTCATGATGAGAGGCAGGACTAGCTGGATTTCCTAAGCCAACTAAGAATTCCTAAGCCTAGCTGGGGAAGGTGAATACACCCACCTTTAAACACGGGGCCTGTAACTCACCTCACACCCGACCAATCAGGTAGTAAAGAGAGCTCACTAAAATACTAATTAGGCTAAAAACAGGAGGTAAAGAAATAATCAAATCATCTATTGCCTGCGAGCACAGGGAGAGGGACAATAGTTGGGATATAAACCCCAGGCATTTGAGCTGGAAGTGGCAACCCCCTTTGGGTCCCCTCCCATTGTATGGGAGCTCTGTTTTCACTCTATTAAATCTTGCAACTGCACACTGTTCTGGTCCGTGTTTGTTACGGCTTGAGCTGAGCTTTCGCTCACTGTCCACCACTGCTGTTTTCCGCCATCACAGACCCACTGCTGACATCAACCCCTCCAGATCCAGCAGGGTGTCTGCTGTGCTTCTGATCCAGCGAGGCACCCGTTGCCACTCCTGATCAGGCTAGAGGCTCACCATTGTTCCTGCATGGCTAAGGGCCCAGGGTTCATCTTAATTGAGCTGAATGAACACTAGTTGCTGGGTTCCACAGTTCTCTTCCATGACCCACGACTTCTAATGGAGCTATAACACTCACTGCATGGCACAAGGTTCCATTCCTTGGAATCCGTGAGGCCAAGAACCCCAGGTCAGAGAACAAAAGGCTTGCTGCCATCTTGGGAGTGGCCTGCCACCATCTTGGGAGCTCTAAGAACAAAGTCCCACCCATAACAATGACATTGCCCTCTTCTCTAACTCTGACTTCTCCTGGGTTCCTCCTATAAGGACTATTGGCCCACCCCAATAATTCAGGATACTCTCCCCACCTCATGATTCTTAACTTATCACATCTGTAAAATCCCTTCTGCCATGTAGAGCAACATCCACAGATTCTGGGGATTAGAATGTGGACATATCTGGGGGCTCCTTTTCAGTCTACCACAAAGGCATCCCATACAATTTGATATGTTATGTTTTCATTTGTACTAAGTTGAAAATACTTTCTAATTGCCATTTTCATTTTTTTTGCCCCACTAGTTGTGTATGTGTATTATTTAGTTTCCAACCATGTGACAGTTCCCCAAAGATCTTTCAGTTATTGATTTTTAATTAATTCCACTGTAATCAGAGAATATACTTTTTATGACATGAATCCTTTAAAATTTACCAAGACTTGTTTTATGGCCCAGAAGCCCAGAACATGCTGTATATTGGTAAATATCTTATTTACATTTGAAAAAATTATGTGTTCTACTGTTTTTGGGTGGTGTGTTCTATAAAAATAAATTAGATCATGTTGGTTGATAGCATTGTTCAAATCTTCTATATTCTTATTGACTTTCTCTTTACTTGCTGTATTAATTATTGAGACAGGGTATTTGAAATCTCTGACTGTAATTGCTAATTTATCTACTATTTCTTGCAGTTCTGTCAGTTTTTGCTTCATATTTATTTGAAGTTCTGTTATTAAGTGCATAAACATTTAAGATTGTTGTATCTTCCTGATAGATTAACCCTTTATCATGATGAATTTATTTTCTTTATCCCTGGTGGTATTCTTTGCTCTGAAATCTTTTTTGTCTGCTATTAATGTAGCCTCCCCAG
Organism: Homo sapiens; assembly: GCF_000001405.40. NCBI lineage: Eukaryota > Metazoa > Chordata > Mammalia > Primates > Hominidae > Homo > Homo sapiens. The sequence goes on along the minus strand of NC_000005.10, from coordinate 57,013,993 downwards.
CTTTGTTTTATTTAGTGTTCACTTGGTATATCTTTTTTTATCCTTTTACTTTTAACCTTTTTGTGTCTTTGTATTCAACATGTGTTTCTTGTAGGCACCTCTACAGTGAATCTTGCTTTTATAACCAGTTAGACAATTTCTGCCTTAAAAATTAATAGACTTTATTTTTTTTTTGAGCAGTTTTAAGTTTACAGAAAAAGTTAAGTGGAAAGTACAAAGGATTCTCCCTCACTACCCCCACCCTAGTTTTCCCTCTCATTAACATCTTGCATTAGCATTAGTGTAGTCCATTCGTTACATTTTGTCTTAGTCTCCTTGGGCTGCCATAAAAAATACCAGAGACTGAGTGGCTTAAACAACAAAAATTTATTTCTCACAATTCTTTCTGGATTATTTACTTTTTGGTGAGGGCTCTTTTCCTGGTTTGCAGGTGGCTGGCCACCTTTTTCACTGTGTCCTCATGTCGCCTTTCGTGTGTGTGTGTGTGTGTGTGTGTGTAGAGAGAGAAAGAGAGAGGTTTTTCTTTCTCTTCTTATAAGGCCACAGTCTTAACAGATGAGAAACCACCCTATGACTTTATTTAACCTTAAGACCCTACCTTAACCTAAAAACCTTATCTCCAGATACAGTCACATTGAGTGTTAGGGCTTCAACATATGATTTTGAAGGGGACATAATTCAGGCCATAGCACAATTAATGAGCCAATATTGATATTTTACCATCTCTGTCTTTTAATTAGGATGTATAAACATTTACAGGTGTGATCATAGATATAGTTAGATTTAAATTGATCATCTTTATATTTGTTTTCTGTTTTTCTCATATGTTTTTGTTTTGTTTTTATTTTCTTTGTCTGAATAAAGCTTCTTTAAACCTAGAAGAATTTACTACTTTTGTCCTGTTTTCAATGACTAGCCGTAGGTGTGGATTATTGCTCTCTAGCCCCAATCCATTTCTTATCCCAATGACCTCCTCTTCTCCCATCAGCTCGTGCAGCTGAAGTTCCAGTATGGCTTATCCCTACTCTGACGAATTTCAAGCAAGAGTAATTTTCAAAACCTTTGGAATGTGAACTTAAGGTTTTGTAGAACTTAGTTCCACCTACTTATCCAGCTTCATTTCCCAAATCCTTCCTCAGACAGTCTCCATATTTTCTCTGTAACTTTGTATCTAATCGTGCTCACACCTTAAATTACTTTATCCTCAGCCTCAGCTCCCTCCTAGCATACATTTGTTTATGCTTTTCCCTTTCCTCATCTCTTTGTCTAATGACATTTTATGACCTTTTAAGGACTCAGTTCATGTTACTTCCTTGTGAAGCCTGTCCTGACTGCCCATGCTCACTCTAAGAGGGAAAAGTCTCCCTCCATAGGGTTCCCAAGAGTCTTTCGCAGGTGCATCTATTATAGCACTTTTCATAGGATGCACAGTGAGATCCCTGTGTGTCTGTTTCCCCCATCAAGTGCTAAAATCTTGAGGTTACAGAGGCCATGTATTATTTCAAAGTCTCTTTCAGATTGTTCTTATATAGGCCAAGAATCTTGGTTGTAAGCAACAGAAATCAATTTTGGATAACTTAAGCAGGAAGGAATTTGCTAGAAAGATGAATATACCTAGTAGAATTGGTGGAAAGGGTGTATAACTAGAGAAGAAATGTCCAGGACCCAAGAGACTAGGTGACATGGAGATGTGCAGCTGGGACCACCTCACTGGGCATTTGTCACCTCTGTTGCCACTGCCAGACTGTCCTCCCTGCTTCCATGACTTTCTTCAGAAGGAGAAAACATATGCCTATGGATGACTTTGAAAATAATGGAAAATCTAATTCAAAAGAAAACCCCTCCCTGTGGGGCAGAGTTCAGGTGAAAATACAATCAGGGCTTCGGTTCCATTTTTCTGAGGTCCTTTTGATCCTACCTTCACTTTATAAATGTCAACTTTATTCTTAGGATGGATACCCTTATGGATGCAAGATGGCTGCTAACCAGGAGTATGAGTCCTTCTCTCCACTCTGATGGTGCGCATTTTTGGTTAAGTACCTACCCCTCAACATTCACCTGGGGGCTGCCATGGGCTGATTGATATGAATCTGGAACATGGGTTCCTGAACCAGTCACTGGCAAGAATCAGCAGGACAGAGGGGAAGAGTGGATGTTTGTAACACACTGCCCAGAGATGCCCAGTGGCTCCCAATGAAGCCTTTGGGCTACAAGGAGGTACCTGCACACAGCAGGCAGCCTGGCTCTCCCACTCTCCCAAGTATGGCAAGAAGAAAAGATAGCTCCTCCTTGTCTCCTCTGGGGATCGTCTGATGTCCATGGCCTCCAGCATATCAGTGAACAATATCTACCACAGAATCAGTGATTCTTCCAAAACAGGAGGCTGTTGAAACGCCACAAACTGATAGTAGCCAGAAAGAGAAAAAGAGAAAAACATTCACTCTAATTGTATTATCACTAGTTCTTCGGGATATTAAAAAACTCACATTTGTTTAAACTACTGATCCTACTTCATGGAGGCCCATTTCCTCATGAGATTTGTAATATAATACAAAAGTATTACAAATATTTATAATGTAATATAAAATATTATAATATAAAAGTATAATATATAAATATAATAAGCTTTATTTTTTGAAAAAGTTTAGATTTACAGAAAAATTACAGAGATAGCACAGAATTCCCCTGTACTTCACACTCGGTTTCCCTGATTATGAACCTCTTCCATTAGGATGGTATATTTGTCACAATTGAGGAGCCAATATTGATCCATTATAATTAACTAAAGTCCATACCTTATTCAGATTTTCTTAGTTTTTGCCTAATTTCCTTTTTCTGCTCCAGGGTCCCATCCAGGATCCCACATCACATTTAGTTGTCATGTCTTCTTAGGCTTCTTTTGGCTGTTACATTTTCTCAAACCTTCCTTATTTTTAATTTATTTTTTTGTAAAGATGGGGTCTCACTATGTTGCCCAGTCTCATCTCAAACTCCTGACCTCCAAGTGATCCTCCCGCCTTGGCCTCCTAAAATGCTGGGCTTATAGGTGTAAGCCACTACAACTGGCCTCCTTCCTCATTTCTGATGTTCTTGGCAGTTTTGAGGATGATTGATCAGTAGTTTCATAGACTGTCCCTCCACTGGCATTTGTCTGATATTTTTCTTATGAATAGACTGGAGTTACGTGTTTTGGGAGGAAGCGCCGTTCTCATCACATTGTGTCAAGGGTACATGCTATTGACACGACTTATCACTGACATCCTCCATATCTGTGATGGCCTGGCTGAGACAGTGTTTGTGAGGATTCTTCACTATAAAGCTCGTCTCTTAGCAAGAGGGACTGTATCACTATACACAACCCACACTTAAGGAGTGAGGAGTTGTGCTCTACCTCCTTAAAGATGAGGTTTGTCAGTTTGTAACTCTGACATGACCGTCACTGAGCTGTGCTCCCTGGCAATCTCTCATGCCCTTGTTGTGGAAATGTGCAGAAGAGAGTTAACATAGCAGGCCTGAGACTGCTGTCCTTAGAAATGTCTGCTTGCAAGGTAGGGCCCTTGGCTGGAGTTTGGGAACTTAGATTTCAGGAGGGCTCCCACTATTCTCAGAACTGATAAGAATGATGCTTAAATTGTTTGTAAAAACAATGTGGATTTTTTTTCTTCCTTAATTTTTTTTTTTTTTTAAAGAGATAGGGCCTGGGTCTGTTTTGTCACCCAGGCTACAGTGCAATGTCATGATCGTAGTTCACTGTACCCTTGAACTCCTGGGCTCAAGTGATCTTCCCATGTCAGCCTCCGAAGTAGCTAGGACCAGAGGGGCATGGAACCATGCCCAACTAATTTTTTTTTTTGAGACAAAGTTTCATTCTGTCCAGCTCAGACTGGAGTGCAGTGGCACAATCTCAGCTTACTGCAAACTCCGCCCCCCAGGATCAACTGATCCTCCCACTTCAGCCTCCTGAGTAGCTGGGACTACAGACACATGATACCATGTCCTACTGATTTTTATATTTTTAGTACAGACGCGGTTTCGCCATGTTGGCCAGTCTGGTCTCCAACTCCTGACCTCAAGTGATCCGCCCGCCTCAGCCTTCCAAAGTATTAGGATTACAGGTGTGAGCCACTGCACCCAGACTACTTTTTAAGTTTTTTGTAGAGACAGGGTCTCACTATGTTGGCTAGGCTTTTCCTTAGTTATTTTTATTTTGGAGGTCACATATCATATGATTCCATTTGTGTGAAATGAACAGAGTGGGCAAATCCACAGAGTCAGAAAGGAGAGTAGTGATTTCTAGAGGCTGAGGGAAGGGGAATAGGGATTGACTCTGATGCACGCAGGGTTTCTTTCTGGAGTGATGGAAATGTTCATTGATTGTGATTATTGGAAAACACTGTGAATATACTAAAAACCATTGAATTGTACAATTTAAATGGGTGAGTTGTATGGTATATGAATCATATCTCAATAAAGCTGTTACCAAAAAAAATAAATAAGTAAAGCAAAAAACAATGTAGTTTATGCTGAAGACATTCTTTCCTTCTGGGATTCTTGGATTTTGTCATGAGTTAGGCAGAGGATACCTAGTACCTTCATGACCAACCCCCAAATAAAAACCCTAGGCACAGAGTCTCTAACAATCTTCACAACTAGACAACATTTCACACATATTGTCACAGACTCTTGCTGGGAGAATTAAGTGTGTCTTGTGTGACTCCATTGGCAGGGTACTCTTGGAAACTTGTATCTGGTACCTCTGGAACTTCACCCATGCATCTTTCCTTATGTTTTGTATCCTTTCCCTGTAATAAGTCACAGCTGGCAGAACTATTTTCCGGTCTTGTGAGTCCTCCTGTTAATTGTTGAACCTGGGAATGGCCTAGGGGACCCTCCACATGGGAGACACGTCTACAAGATAGGTTTGTGATGCTTTTTCTGGAGCCCTAAGAGTCACTGCTTCTGGGAGAGTTTCTAGGTTAATCTTTTAGCATTTCTTCTTCCATAGGGAAGTATAAATTTGTAGCCCCAAAATCTTTTTTTTTTTTTTTTTTTGAGACAGTTTCTCACTCTGAGGTTCAGGCTGGAGTGCAGTGGCACAATCACAGCTCACTGCAGCCTTGACTTCCCAGGCTCAGGTGATCCTCCCACCTCAGCTTCGCAAGCCGCTGGGACTACAGGCATGTGCCACCATGCCCAGCTAACTTCTCTATTTTTTGTACAGAGGAGGTTTCACCATGTTGCCCAGGCTGGTCTCGAACTCCTGGGCTCAAGCAATTCACCCACCTCAGCCTTCCAAAGTTCTGGGATTACAGGCATGAGCTGCTGTGCCTGGTCCCAAAATCTTATGGCACAGATTTGGGGTTCTGATTTCTGATGGATGCCATTTTCCCCTGGTAGATAAGTAGCTTCGCTGACACTTCTCTAGATAGTGGTTCATTATTGTGGGTGGAGCAGCCCTGCGAGTCCTGGCTTTTTTATTATTTATTTATTTATTTATTTATTTATTTATTTATTTATTTTTGAGACAGAGTCTCGCTCTGTCGCCAGGCTGGAGTGCAATGGCACAATCTCGGCTCACTGCAAGCTCCGCCTCCCGGGTTCAAGCAATTCCCCTGCCTCAGCCTCCTAAGTAGCTGGGACTACAGGCGCACACCACCACACCTGGCTAATTTTTGTATTTTTAGTAGAGACGGGGTTTCACCATGTTGACCATGATGGTCTCCATCTCTTGACCTCGTGATCTGCCCGCCTTGGCCTCCCAAAATGCTGAGATGACAGGCGTGAGCCACAGTGCCCGGCCGCCCTGGCTTTTTTTGGAGGCCCCAAGCCTCACCTCCCATCCATATGAGAAAACTAATACTCCGGTCTTCAGCCTCTGGGCCCTATATTGATATTGTTTTGAGAGATTTGGCTTCAACTCCCGTTTTGTGCCTCTGGCATCTGGGGATTTCTCTTGTTTGCTTTCAAGCCTGGCCATGTATTAAAATTATTTTGTTTTCCCCAGCAATATTATTGTTTGAAGGTGATCCTTTTATATCAGCTCAATTCAACCTATTGCCTGTATCACTCTCCTCTTGAGTCCTCTTTAGCATGGAACCCAGACAAGGTACCTAGAAATGGTGAGCAAACGTTGAAACGTTATGAATGAATAGATAGAGCACAACTCTTGTTGACTCCCTCGCTCCCAGTTCTGCCTCTCCACCAATTGATGTCCACGATCCTAAAGCCCATGTTCACAGCAGGTCTCCCCATTCATGACCTAAAATAAAATTGTTAAAAAAAAAAAAAGATGTACAAATCAAGACCTTTCTCAGTTTGTGAGTGCTGTATTACCTCATCAAGATAGTAGATACTGACCTGTCATATATGTCTGCACAGTGATAATGCTCCCCACCCCTAAGGGTGCAGCAGAATGTAAATATGACTACTAGGGTTTCACTTGAGATACCATCTCAGCGATGGCACTTCCGGTGCCACTGAGAGGAACAGAAAGGGCTGTTTGAGGAAATGGGCCATGGATGACTGTCACTTAATGGAGATTTCTCACACTACATTGTGTGGACAATGCAGAGTCACTTTTGGAATGATAGGAATCAATAGAATCTTCTCTGAGGTTATCCATGACTATGATTCTTCTAATGAGCTATGTCCAGGATAAGATGCTATGCAGAAAAGGACTATAGATTTTTCCAAATTCTGGATGCATGAAAGTGACCCACAGCTCTAATCATTTGCCAGAGCTCTAGAGAAGAGGATGGGCTGGAACAGACAAGGCTGACATGATGAGTAAAGGGAAGAGCTACACAAATTGACAACTAACAGTAGCAGTAAATACTACAGGTCTGGAGGCCAAGAAATGAGTTGGGGTGGGGACCTCTGTTACACAATTTCAGATCACACTGTATACATTGACTTCATAGCAATTATTGTCACCACAGCAAAACAATCATTGGCACAATCATTTGTTAATTGTCCATCTCCTTCATTTAACAATAAATTTCATGAGGAAATAAACCATGTCTGTCTTACTCATCCCAAGGCCTGCAGTAGCAGGCACATAGTAAATATTTGTTGAATAAATTAAGAGTCAAGAACCAATCCTACACTGAACCTTCTTACACAATCTGTTCCTGCATCTGGATTAAATTCTGTACAGACCCTCCAAACTCACTGACTGCCCCACAGTTTCACAAAGGAAGCCCCACCACACAGTTATTTAACCTCTTCATTCATGCAGCTCTGACTAGAGTGTCATGGCTGCCATGAGAAAGCAAAGAATTACTTTTTTGGCTTTTTGCTTTGTTTTCTTTTACTCTTTCCGTTTTGGTTTGGCTAGGTTTTATAACTTCTTTTTTAATTATTTATTTATTTTCATTTTGAGATGGAGTCTCACTGTGTTGCCCAGGCTAGGGTGCAGTGATGGGATCTCGGCTCACTGCAACCCCCACCTCCCAGGTTCAAGTGATCCTCCCACCTCAGCCTCCCAGATAGTTGGGATTACAAGAGTGAGCCACCATGCCCAGCTAATTTTTGTATTTTCAGTAGAGACACGGTTTTACCATGTTGGCCAGGCTAGTCTCAAACTCCTGACCTCAGGTAATCTGCCCACTTCGGCCTCCCAAAGTGGGAGGCTCACAGGCATGAGCCACCACACCTGGCCTGGTTTTGTAACTTTCATACAAAAGTAGAGGAAACATCCAAGTGACAGAGGGAAATGAAAACAAACACCACTGTAATTTTACAGTAGTAACTCTCTGATACAAGGTGACCACAGAAAAGAAATTCAAAAATTATGGCCGGGAGTGGTGGCTCACACTTGTAATCCTAGCACTTTGGGAGGCCGAGGTGGGTGGATCACCTGAGATCAGGAGTTTGAGACCAGCCTGACCAACATGGTGAAACCCTGTCTTTACTAAATACAAAAAATTAGCCAGGCGTGGTGGTGCATGCCTGTAATCCCAGCTACTTGGGAGGCTGAGGCAGGAGAATCGCTTGAACCCAGGAGGTGGAGGTTGCACTGAGCCAAGATTGTGCCATTGCACTGCAGCCTGGGCAACAAGAGCGAAACTCCATCTCAAAAAAAAAAAAAAATTAAAAATTTAGTCCTCCTTTCTTCTAACCACACACCACTGTGTCAACATGTCACTTTTGACCTTCAAGCTTTTACCTGTGGAGTGGTAAAAAGAAAACCTTTTCTCTGTAGTTAGCCTCTTAAAAATGGGTACCAGGCCAGGCGCGGTGGCTCACATCTGTAATTCCAACACTTTGGGAGTCCTAGGTGGGTGGATCACCTGAGGTCGGGAGTTCGAGACCAGCCTAACCAACTAGGAGAAACTCTGCCTCTACTAAAAACACAAAAATTAGCTAGGCATGGTGGTGCATGCCTGTAATCCCAGCTACTAGGGAGGCTGAGGCAGGGGCATCACTTGAACCTGGGAGGTGGAGGTTGCGGTGAGCTGAGATCATGTCATTGCATTCCAGCCTGGGCAACAAGAGTGAAAATCTGTCTCAAAAAAAAAATAGTGTTTGCTCTAAGTTAATAGATACTATTAACTTTAACTTTTGAAGGCAAGGGTGTGAGCTGACTCTGGAAGCCATAGTTTTATTGGTACTCAATACAGTAATAGGATAGGTAATATTTGTAATTGAGGGGAGTTAGTGTAGTCATCCATTCCTTTTAAAGAATCATGGTCTATAATTTTGAAAAGCACACTACTGTTCAAGGATACCCATATAAAACCTATGGTAACAGCAAGTCTCCTTGTTCATGACTTAAAATAAAATAAGAAAAACTGCTGTAAAAATTAAGCTGCTCCCAATGGGAACATTCAAGAAGGCTAACGTACCTTACAAATCTGACTGCAAAATTTCGCAAGATGGCATTTGTTTATACATTTAATGGAATATCTACTATGAGTCAGGTGCTATTCTATATACCCTAGGGGTGCAAAGGTTCTTATCACCTATTACTGTAAATAACATATATGCAAAAAGCCTATGTCATGAGTCATAATCCGACATTCCAAAAGAGAGGTGAAGTGTTACAGAGAGTTCAGAGAAAGCTGAGAGGTAGTTAAGGAAAGCTGTTGGTGGGGGTGGCCTGAAAATAAAGAGTACGCCAGCAGGTAAAGATGGGAGTGTGAATGAGGAACACTGCCCCAGAAAGACCAGGGAGGTTCAGTGCGACTGGGGCATTGGGTACACAGAGGAGAAAGGAGGACATACGCCTGGAAACATGGGCTAGAGCCAGGTCATGGAGGGCATTAAATGCCAATCTAAGAAACCTGAACTTAGTTTCCCATAAGTAATTATATGTCATCAAATAATTTTGAACAAGAAACCAACAGGAAGGCTTTGAGCAGCACAATCACAAGATGAATACTCTGCATTTAAGTCATTGTTTCCCAAATCAGAGGGATCTTTAAAATCATCTTAGGGAATTTATTTTAAAATACAAACGTATAGGCTATACTCCTGGGGGTTCTTATTCATTATTCAGTCTCCCGGGGATCCTGATTCTTCATCCTGATTCACCCTGTTCCTAGAGGAGGCAGCTCCCCTAGTGATGGTGAGAGCAGTGGTGCCCACCAGGGCCCAGGACCAGCAGAGGCCTTGGCAATGTTCTGTTCACAGCTATGGTGGTGGTGGTGGCAGCAATGGCCCCCCGTCAGGCCAGCATGACCTTGGCAGTCAGCTCAGCTGCTCAACCTCCCTTGCTTCACATTCCCTATCTGAGCTAGGTTCTTCAGCTTTCCTGACGATAAATTCCTTTACAATTTTTTTTTAAATTTTTATTTATATAGGTTTTGGGGGAACAGGTGGTTTGGTTACATGAATAGGTTCTTTTTTTTTTTTTTTTTTTTGAGATGGAGTCTTGCTCTGTTGCCCAGGCTGGAGTGCAGTGGCATGATCTCAGCTCACTGCAACCTCACCTCCCAGGTTCAAGCGATTCTCCTGCCTCAACCCCCTGAGTAGCTGGAATCACAGACATGTGCCACCACACCCAACTAATTTTTGTTTTTTTAGTAGGGACGGGGTTTCACCACATTGGCCAGGCTGGTCTCGAACTCCTGACCTCAAGTGATCCACCGGCCTCAGCCTCCCAAAGTTCTGGGATTACAGGCTTGAGCCACTGTGCCCGGCCATGAATAAGTTCTTTAGTGGTGACTTCCGAGATTGTGGTGCACCCATTGCCTGAGCAGTGTACATTGTACCCAATGTGTAGTCTTTTATCCCTTGCCACCCCCCACCCTTTCCCCTAGTCCACAAAGTCCATTGTATCATTCTTATACCTTTGCTTCCTCATAGCTTAGCTCTCACATATGAGTGAGAACATACAATGTTTGGTTTTCCATTCCTGAGTTACTTCACTTAGAACAATAGTCTCCAATTCCACCTGATGATAAATTCCTATTCTGCATAATTACCCTAATTCTTTTTCTGTTGTTTGTAGCCAAGTCCTCTAGCCAGTATAAAAACCAAATGGAATTTTCAGTAATGTTCAGTGCCTGCTTATTCCCCTCTACCTGCCTCCATCAGACAGAAGAAAACTTACAGATTATTCCTTTGTCTTCTGGGAGAAAACCTAATTGCTTGACAGCGAATCTTTCCCTGGCTGTGAAATACGCTGGAAAGGTCTTCAAGTCCCAGGAGGTAAACATGAGATTAGTCTTAGTCACTCAGCATCCCTCCCTCATTGCATTGTTTCCCTCCTGGTTTTCTCTCTCTCTTTTTTTTTTTTTTTTTTTTTTTTTGAGACAGGATCTGGCTCTGTCACCAGGCTGGAAGTGCAGTGGTGTGATCAATTGACTCATTGCAGCCTTGACCTCCTGGGCCTCCTATCTCAGCCTCCCGAGTAGCTGGGACTACAGGCATACCACCACCCCCAGCTAATTTTTGTTTGTTTGTTTGTTTGTAGAGACAGAGTCTCACTCTGTTGCCCAGGCTGATCTCAAACTCCTGGGCTCAAGTGATCTTCCTGCCTCTGCCTCCAAAGTGTTGAGATAGATTACAGGTATAAGCCACCACGGCTGGTCTTTTTTTCCTACTTTGACATAGATTTATTTGGTGTAGAATATTTGCTTAGTCAATCAAAATTCCTCTTTCCTTGGAATGCTTTGGTTTTCTAAATTCCTGATTCTTATAGCCCTCAGCTTTCTCTCTTGAATTCAATTCCTCAGATTTCAGCAAAGCTGGCACTATGAGCCTGCTAAGACAATTTGGGAAGCCAGCAGCTGTCCACTAAAGGTTTTCATTCTTCCTGTTTGGTATCAGAGGTAACCTGTGTGTCTTTTAAAAATCCCCGTTTGGCTTAAATAGATATTCGAAGAAAGCGGTAACTCTTAGCCTGGCTGTAAACCTTCACCCCAAGACAGGAATGTGTGAGCACATAGGGTCCAAAGCCTTTGTTTTGATTGTTTTGACCGGGGATTTCTTCTAATTCTTTTCCTTTTAAAAAAGTAATTATAGAGACAAGGGTCTCACTATATTACCCCAGGCTGGTCTTGAACTTCTGGGCTCAAGCGATCCTCCCTCCTTGGCCTCTCAAAGTTAGGATTAGGGCGTGCTAGGATTACAGGCGTGAGACACAGCACGCGGCCTCTTCTCATTCTTTCACATTTGCAGGATCAGGAAATGTAGAGGTATGAGTTTTAGTTTAAAGTTAGCTCATTTGTCCTTTTCAAAAAGTCCTCATTTTGACCCAAAGACTGAATGTCATGTTTTTTTCCTCCACGTGAACTAAAGGAGTCACCTGCCATAGCCCAGAGAGGTGAGGAAAGCTGAAGGTGTTTGACACACAGGGAGTAGGAGGCTGTGCTCTGCTCCAAAAGGAAGCACGTCCTATGAAACAGGAGGAGCCAGACTTCCTTGGAAGATGCTTCAATAGCAAAGTTCAAGGGCTGCTGCTCCATCCTGCCATTGACACCACATGGTCACTTACAGATAGCGTTGGCATGTTAATTTAGAATGATGGGGAAAGATGCCAAATTTCACCTAAAGAAGTGTTGAATGTGCTTCAGAACTATCTGGGATGATTGCTAGAAATATAGATTTCCAGATACATACCAGACCTGCAGACTAGGATTATCTAAAATCTAAGTCTGTGTGTACATGTGTGTGTTGAGTATGTTGGAGTCAGGGAGCTTGGTCATTTTTTAAAATTAGCAAAGTGAGCTTAATAGGGACATAGCAAGTATTAGGTTGGTGAAAAGTAGTTGTGGTTTTTGCCATTACTTTTAACAGCAAACGCTAAATTTTTGCACTGACCTAATAAATCCAAACTAACTTATGTTCAATATTGGTAAATGATGACACTATTGAACAATTGTTGAATACTAATTAACATTTTCATTTTTCACCAACCTAATAAATCCAAACTAACTGACATTCAATATTGGTAAACAATGACAATATTGAATAATTGTTGAATACTAATTAACATTTTCATTTTTCATTATGTATTTAAACATTTTATTTAGAAGTAATTATAGATTTACATGCAGCTTTAAGGAGCAATGCAGAGAGATCTCATATTCCTTTTACTTATTTCCCCTTAATGGTAACATCTTGCAAAACTATAGTACAATATCACAACCAGGATATCGACATTGGCACAATCAAGGTACAGAACAGAACATTTCCATCACCACAAACATCTCTCATGTAGTCTTTTGTAGTGTTGGGGCACAGAAACTGATACCCCAACATATGATGCTTTGACATGGTGCAGTGAAGAAGCCTCGAGATCTCACTGGCCTTCCCCTCATCCCCCAACTTTCCCTCTCAACGCACAGGACAAAGTTCCTTTATCTGCCTAAGATCTAGATCCACCAAACGGAACAATTGTTTTTTCTTTCCCTCTCTGTAAGACCAAAAATGTAATCACACCTGAACAGACCCTTTCACAGGATAATGTACAAGTTGATCCGTATTCCCTGATCCATTCATTCTCCCTAGTAATTCCTTCAACAGAATTCTTCTTCTCCCCATTCCCATAACCTGTTTTGCCAGGGTGGATATAAACTTCTGAACCTCACTGATGGGGGTGGATAATCACTCTGTGGTTCTCTCTGTTTATATACATTAATAATATTTGTATGCCTTTTCTCCCATTAATCTGCCTTTTGTGAGTTGAATTTTCAGTAAAACTTCAGAGGGTGAAGGGGAAGTTTCTCTTGGCCCCTACAGCAGCCATACTTACTTCCCTAACCCCATACCCCAGTCCTTAGCTCCTGGCTATGGCAGTTTTTTTTCTCTAATTTGTCATTTCAATCATGTTGTATAAATGGTTACATTCTGTAACCATTTTGGATTTTTTTTTCACCCAGCATAATTCTCTGGAGATTCATTCAAGTTATGCATATCAGCAGTTTGTCCCATTTTGTTGCCTGGTTGTGTCTGTCATATGGTCTGAATGTACCATAGTTTGTTTAACCATTCACCCTTTGAAGGACATCTGGGTTGTTATTAGTTTGGGACTATTATGAATAAAGCTACTACAAACATTTGTGTATAGATTTTCGGTGAACATAATTTGTCATTTCTCCAAGATAAAAACCTAGGAGTGAAATTGCTAGGTAGTATAGTAGGTGCACGTTTAGTTTTGGAAGAAACTTCCAAACTACTTTCCAGAGTGGTTGTACCAGTTTACCTTCCCATTGGTAATGTATAAGCCATTGGGTTTCTCCATGTCTTTGACAGCATTTGGTATTGTCAGTCTTTTGAATTTTAGTCATACTGATATTATGTAGTGATATCTTATGGTTTTAATTTGAACTTTACTAATTGTTGAACATCTTTTCATGTGCTCATTTGCCATCTGTATATCTTCCTCAGTAAAATGTCTCTATATGTCTTTTGCTAATTTTCTAATTGTATTGTTTATTTTTTACTGTTAAATTTTGAATGTTCTTTATATATTCTAAATACTAGTTGTTTGTTAGGTTAGCAAATCTTGCCTCCTAGCCTGTAGTTTATATCTTTTTATCCTCTTAACTAAATCTTTCCTGGAGCAAAAATTTTAAATTTCAATAAGGTTCAATTTACCCCCACTTTTTTTTTTAATGGGTTATGCTTTTGGTTGGCAAGCCCAAGAACTCTTTACCTAGCCTTAGATCCTGCAGATTTTCTCCTTAAAAAAAAAAAGTTTTACAATTCTGTCTGGGCTCACACCTGTAACCCCAGCATTTTGGGAGGCCAAGGTGGCTGAATCACCTGAGGTCAGCAGTTCAAGACAAGCCCGGCCACATGACAAAACTCCGTTTCTGCTAAAAATAGAAAAAATTAACCTGGAGTGGTGGTGGGCGCCCAGCTGCTTAGGAGGCTGAGGCAAAAGAATCTCTTGAACCCAGGAGGTGGAAGCTACAGTGGCCAAGATTGTGTCACTGCACTCCAGCCTGGGCAACAGAGCGAGACTCTGTCTCAAAAAAAAAAAGTTTTATAATTCTATATATATAGTATGTATAAGTCTATGATGCATTTTGAGTTAATTTTTACATAAGGTGTGAGGTTTGAGGTTAATTTTTTTTTTTTTTTTTTTTTTTGGTCTATGGATGTCAATTGCTCCAACACCATTTGTTGAACAACTATCTTTCCTCCACTGAATTGCTCTTGCACCTTTGTCAAAATTGGTTGGACATACTTGTGTGGGTCTGTTTCTGAGTTCTCTATTCTGTTCCATTGATTGATATGTCTATTCTTTCACTAATACAACACAGTCTTGATTACTATTGCTGTATAATAAGCCTTGAAATTGAGTAGACTGATTTCTCTCATATACTCTTCTTTTTTAAAAAAACTTTTAACTGTTCTAGTTGCTTTGCTTCTTTATATACATTTTAGAATAATCTATATTTACAAAAATCTTGCTGGGATGTTGAATAGAATTGCATTAAACCTGTATATCAATTTCAGCAGAATTGACATATTTACTATGTTGAGTTTTTCAATTCATGAACATGGGTATACCTCTCCATTCATCTAAATCTTCTTTAAATTCTTCCATCAGCACTTCATAGTTTTCAGCATACAAATCCTGTACATGTTTTGTTAGATTTATACCTAAGAATGTCATGGGTTTTTGAATAATTCTAAATGATATTGTATTTTTTCTTTCAGTGTCCATGTGGGTGTTGTGTGTGTGTGTTTTGTTTTTTTTTTTTTTTTTGCTGGTATTAATGTGTGTATGTTTTTCTTGTAGCCTGAGACTTTGATAAACTCACTTGTCAATTCTAAGTGGTCTTAAAATTTTTTTTGTGTATTTTCTATGTAGATAATCATGCAAATAGAAACGGTTTTATTTCTTTATAATATGGTTACCTTTTATTTCCTTTTCTGGCCTTACCACACTGACTGGAACTTCCAGTACTACATTGAATGAGAGTGATGAGAGCAGACATCTTTGCCTTGTTCCCAGTTGTAGGGGGAAAGCACTCAGTCTTTCATCACTTAGTGTAATGTTAGTTGTAGGTTTTTTGTAGGAGCTCTTTGTGAAGTTGAGGAAGTTCCTCTTTGTTCCTAGTACATTGAGAGTTTTTATCAATGGATAAAAGAGACTTTTTATGAATGGATGTTGAATTTTATCAATTTTTTTACTTGGCTGGGTGCAGTGGCTCACGCCTAT
Source organism: Homo sapiens (assembly GCF_000001405.40). Lineage (NCBI taxonomy): Eukaryota > Metazoa > Chordata > Mammalia > Primates > Hominidae > Homo > Homo sapiens. The sequence goes on along the minus strand of NC_000005.10, from coordinate 56,998,371 downwards.
AATCTCAACATTTTAGGTGGCTGAGGTAGAAGAATTGCTTGAGGCCAGGAATTCAAGACCAGCCCGGGCAACATAGCAAGACCCCATCTCTTAAAAAACTTTCATTCTTTATCAATGATATAATCATATACTTTTTATTTTTTAGCATGTTGATATGATGAATTACATGGTTTGATTTTCAAATGTTGAACCTACCTTGCATACCTGGAATAACTCCCATTTGGTCTTGGTGTACTATTCTTTCAATATGTTGTTGAATTTGATTTGCTAAAAATTTGTATCTAACATCTAGGTAAGTGTGTGTGTGTGTGTGTGTGTGTGTGTGTGTACATGTGTGTATTGGGGTGAGGGACATGGTTGTTTTTAATAAATATCCCAAGTGGTTCTAATGTCTTTGGTCCCCAGACCATACTTTGAAAGATGCTGTCCGGGCACAGTGGTTCATGCCTGTAATCCCAGCACTTTGGGAGGCTAAGGTGGGTGGATCACTTGAGGTCAAGAGTTCGAGACCAGCCTGGCCTACATGGTGAAACCCCATCTCTACTAAAAATACAAAAATTGGCTGGGTGTGGTGGTGCATGCCTGTAATTCCAGCTACTCAGGAGGCTGAGGTGGGAGAATCGCTTGAACCTGGGAGGCGGAGGTTGCAGTGAGCCAATATGGTGCCACTGCCCTCCAGCCTCGGTGACAGAGCAAGACTCCATCTCAAAAAAAAAAAAAAAAAAAAAAAGAAGAAAGATGCTGAGTTGAATTAGAACTAGAACCATCTCTAACAATCAACTAATGATTTAGGTCAAGTAAAAATAACAGAATTAAAATAACTAGCTCACGAACTAAGGCAGGATTTCCAGTGTCTAGAAGGCCTCATTCTATACAGGAGATGAAAGTGAAAAGTCTCAAGACCAGCTAGAATACACTCCTGCTCCAGAAAGAGACCAGGGCTGCCATACACTAGGTGTATGGTGCTTCTCAGTGCCAGACAGATGGGCTGGGAGCCTATAGAGAGAAAGGATTATAGGATTCTGGAAAAGATTTAGAAAACCATCTTATCTTACATAGTGACACCCCCAAACTGTCCTAAGCTCAGAGTTCTTGTACTTTGGCCTACCATCCAGTGAAACAGCATCGAAGAGAAGGACATGGTTCCTATGAACCCTGTAAGTTGTGCAAACAAACCAGTCTGGAGGTCCTCTAGTTACACTAGTATCAATAGCTTATTTTGTGTAAAAGAGCCTTTTTTTTTTTGAGACGGAGTCTTGCTCTGTCACCCAGGCTGGAGTGCAGTGGCATGATCTCGGCTCATTGCAGCCTCTGCCTCCCGGCTTCCAGCGATTCTCCTGCCTCACCTACTGAGTAGCTGGGATTACAGGTGCATGCCACCATACCCGGCTAATTTTTGTATTTTTAGTAGAGACGGGGTTTCACCATGTTGGCCAGGCTGGTCTCGAACTCCTGACCTTAGGTGATCCACCTGCCTCGGCCTCCCAAACTTCTGGGATTACAGGTGTGAGCCCCAGCACCTGGCCAAAAGAGAGCCTTTTTTTTTTTTTTTTTTTTTTTGAGATGGAGTCTCGCTCTGTAGCCCAGGCTGGAGTGCAATGGCATGATCTTGGCTCCCTGAAACCTCTGCCTCCGAGGTTCAAGTGATTCTCCTGCCTCAACCTCCTGAGTAGCTGGGATTACAGGCCTGCACCACTACGCCCGGCTAATTTTGTATTTTTATTTGTATTTTTAGTAGAGACAGGGTTTCACCATATTGGTCAGACTGGTCTCGAACTCCTAACCTCGTGATCCGCCTGCCTCGGCCTCCCAAAGTGCTGGGATTACAGGCGTGCACCACCGGACCCGGCCAAGAGGCCATTTTTTATAATCTCTACCAGACCACTTCAGCTCCGGTGAAACTAGAGAGAACTGAGTGCCCCTAGAGGCTAAGATTGGTATTGTCAGTAGCCCTCATATCCGGCAATTTTTATTTTGCTAGTGGTCCTGAGGAAGTTACACAGGTGAGAACTTTGCTGGGGCTGGAATCAGGGACACCTATAGCGGCTGACTCATTTCTTCTCAGAGAGACGCACTTCCCAAGGGCAGAGTGGTGGAGTGCTGGGAACCAGAACAACTGACAGATTAGCCTGGCAGGTGATAACAGAGACAACTTTTTCTATTACACTGCAGCTCAACATGGAAGAATACCAGCTGCAGGGTTAAAAACTATAAAATGCAAACATGAAATAAAAAAGAAAGTCTCTGCAAGTAGGCTCTGCAGTGTGGGGGCAGTAGAGAGAGCCCTTCACAATCATTGCCTAAGAAGGAATAATATTCACATCACTGCACCATCTTTGGTTTGTAAAATAATAACAGGTACCATATGGTAACTGCTTACTACATGCCAGGAGTAAACACTATATACATTGGGTAGTACACACTATATATATTATTGCTAGTCTTCACATCACAGGTAAAATAGCATGAGCATGTTAAACCAAAGTATTTGTTCTAAGTAATCCCTGGGGTGAAGTCATCCCATAGATACCATTGCCAGGCCACTCATGAGGCATTCAGAACATAGATGTTTACATCATAGTACAGAGTGGACGACACTCCCATCACATGGTTAGGCCATAAAGCCCTCTGCTCTAGCAAACCATCAACAAGGAGCACATAACTGAGAAAGTGAAAAGTTGAACTTCATACTTTTTGGTCTTAGCAGATTTTAAGGGGAAAAGGGGTCTATGAAAAGAAAAATAGAGACCTTTCTCTTCTTTATTCCTCAGGGCTGACACTTGGGATAGGGATTGAAACATCCAGTAGGTGGTAGAAAGATCCAGAGATCCAAAGAATGTCAGGGCTCTTCCTTCCCCAGGAATTTCCTGGGCTGGGATGCTTTCATCACCATGCCTGGGGAAGACTGTTGGGTGAGGAAGGCTACTACCCTGCAGGAAGGGAACTAGGGGAGTCATATCCCACTCTCACTCCCCTCCTTCCCTCTCATGGCCTTTCAGGCCTTCTCACTGGCCAAATACAACTGGAAGCCAGTAGACAAAGGAACCACTGAAGTAGTGCATTCAAGCCAGCTTAGGCTTGCAAAGAGCATGGTGGAGGAGAGTATAACTACAGGGGCAAATGGAGACACTTTTCATCTCTCTGTGGCCCTCCTACTTCCAACACACACAGACACACACACACACACTCATTTACTCTCACACACACACACACACGCAGTAACTCAGTCACTCTCAACCTAACTGTTTTTCACCTTGGATCATAGTCACTGTACTGTGGGGTTTGCGCATGTGCTTCCTTCTGTCAAAAACACTCTTTCTTTCACCTATATTCATCTTTTCAGTCTCAGTGTTGACATTGTTTCCTCCAGGGAGCCCTTCTTGGTTCCCAAGCCTGGGCTGGATGCCCTGACTCTGTGTCTCGCAATAGTAGTACTTAACATTTTTAAGTGTATACAGTGGCAGGGGCTGTTCTCAGTGACATCTAATGTGTGTTAATTCACTTATTCCTTACAACTTTATCAGAAAGGTACTATTGTTGTTTCCAATTTACAGACAAGAAAAATGAAGTACTGAACAGTTAATGATCAAGGTCACCCAAGTAATTAATGGTGCGATCTGGATTTGGGTTTGGACAGACAGAATCTAGAGCCCATGCTATTAGTTGCTGTGTTAAATTGCTTTCTGTTCCAAACTGTACTCATCCATAGACCATTCAGAGTGTCTGGTACATAGAAGGCACTCAGCAAATACTAGATTTAAATAGTTGGTTAATTAAGCTATGTAGGACTGGGGTCCTAAGTCAGTTTCTTAAGAACATTTGTGTGAGAAGGATTTGTTATCTAGCTTTTGCTTTGTCCTCATCAAATACTTACATGAGATTCTGTTTTAATGCAGAAGATCTGTCTAAGAACTTCTGGTACACCAGAATTTATTATCCTGGTTGCTATTGGGAGTTGAAGTATCCATGTGATTAAGGATTTGACAGCACAATTTCTGCAAAAACCATTAATGGTATCCACTTCAGCAATTATATTTATCATTTCCCACCTGGGAATTCAAGCCCTATCCTTTGCTCACATGGATGTGCAGTAACTTATGCATCTGATGCAGTGTCTGACGCCACAGTTTCTGCAAAAACCATTAGTGGTGTCTGCTTCAGCAATGAGGTACAGGAATCGGCTCTTGGAAGACATCAAAGAAAAGAAGAGGGTGGCTATGTAGATGAGTTGTGGGAAGATGGTGTAATGTACAGGAAGGAAACGGCTCTAAGGGGGAAAGAATGAAGAAGGCTTATTGGATTCCATTAGATGAAGAGTTAAACTGAGATAATACCAAAGTGAAGAGAGTCGAGAAACTAAAATTTTAGAGTGTACCTTTCATATGGCAGGCACTATCTTTTAAATAATGATTCCTTTAATCATTACAACAACCCAGAAGGATATTTTTCAGTTTACAGATGAAAAAACTGAAGGCCAAAGAGGTTAAGTACTTGCCCAACATTATCCGGAAAGTGGCCCTGCAGGGATTCAAAGCCTGTGTTCGTTCTGCAGCTCATAGCCCTCCTGATACACAGCTTAGAGCTCCAATGCCTGGTACAGAGGCCAAAACATCACTCACTCACTCACTTATTGGTTCATTCATTTATATACAAGTATTTACACAAGTGCTGGGGATATTACAGTGAAGAAGGCATATCCATGGCTTCAAGGATCACATTAATCATGGTGAAACCTGCAATGATAGGACGCTATGGTAGTGCCAGAGCATCTAACCCAGTCTTGGTGGAGGTGAAAAGAGACATTGACCTCAAGAAAGGCTTGCAAAGGAAACTCATTCAGTTGGATCCTTGAGAGACTGGGAATTAGCAAGGAAAGGAAGTGGAGCAATATATTCCAGAGAGAGGATACAGCTGGTGCAAAGGCCTGGAGATCTTCCAGAATTGCCAGTAGCTCCGCAGGAGGTAGGATGATGGCAAGAGATGAGACAGGGCAGATAAACAGGGTTCCAAATGTGTAAAGCCTTGTGTAATATATAAAGAATTTTGGACTTTTATCTTGAGAACCATGAGGAGCTAATGTAGGGATATTATTGGACTTGTGGTTTGGAAGTCTGGCTATGGTGTGAAGAACGAACTAAAGGAGAAAAAATGGAGGCAAGAATAACTTGAACTAACATAGTGGCACTGGGTTAAGGGGAGAGATTCAGAAAATATCAAGAAGGCAGAATCAACCAACAGGACTTAGTGATGAACTGGCCATGAGGAATAAGCGGGGGAAAAAAGAGTCAGTTACAACACCGTGGTTTTTGGTTTCTACACAGAAAGGTGAAATTGACGTTCACTGAAACAGAGTGCAGGAGGAGACACAAGCTTGGAACAGACTGCATTTACTTTAATTCCGGGACATTCAAATGGAAATGCCAGTGGGCAGTTTGTTATATGGGTCTGGACCTCAGGATGGAGACCTAGACTGAATAGAACAATTTCAGTTATCAGCATGAAGATCATTGTTACCACACTTGGTCAGGAATCAGAATTGCCTCTGGGGCTTTTTTTTCCTTTTGCAAATGAAGAGGTCTGATTTCATCCCAAACCAACTGAATCTCAAAGTTTTCAGGTGGCAGGATCTAGAAACGTAGGTTTTTAAAGAGCTCCATTGGGATTCTGTTGCCCTGTCAAGGTTAAAATTTTTTGATATGTGTGGTAGCCATGAAAGTGTACTGCTCACACCTTCAAAAGAACCTGCCTTGAGAAACACAGCCAGTCTCCCTTTGGATCCAGCACCACGTTAACACCAAGACAACACTTCCTGGCTGGCACAGGACGACTTAACAGGCAACTTGGGCTCCAGGATTCCAGATGGGCCTGACTGGAACTTTCTTAGAACTACCTGGAAATCTGAGACGCTTTTTACCCAGACCTCCTTTGTTCCCCCTCTTCTTTCACCTCTGTCAGAATAACATCATGATCTGAATGTTTTCCCAACCTACTCCTGCTCCCTCACCTTTATCCTTCATGGGTGCTTTCCCCAATAAATCTCTTGTGCGTCTTGATGGATGCTTCTTGGGAAGCCAGAACTGACACAATGTGGCTGATAATTGAAGGCATAGACATGGTAGAGATCATTCAGTAGAGAAGAGAAGGCCAGACAGAACCCTGAGGATCACCTACATTCCCAAGATAGGCAGCAGAAGAGGTTCCTAGAAAAAATGGAGATGAAGCAGCCAAAGAAGTAGGATGGAACGCAAGAGAACATGACCTCACAGAAGTCCTGGAAAGGGAGCTTCAGGCCGGGCGCGGTGGCTCATGCCTGTAATCCTAGCACTTTGGGAGGCTGAGGTGGGCGGATCACCCAAGGTCAGGAGTTCTAGACCAGCCAGGTCAACATGATGAAACCCCATCTCTATTAAAAATACCAAAAAAAAAAAAATTAGCCAGGCGTGGTGGTGTGTGCCTATAGTCCCAGCTACTCAGGAGGCTGAGGCAGGAGAATCACTTGAACCCAGGAGGCGGAGGTTGCAGTGAGCCTAGATTGGCCCCCTGCACTCCAGCCTGGGTGACAGAGTGAGACTCCATCTCAAAAAAAAAGAACTTCAAAGAGGCTGATATGGTTCATATAGTCACAGTGGTCAAATAAGGACTCAAAAGATTTAACAGTATGGGCTGGAGGTCTCAGTGACAGTGTCTTCAGTGGAATTAGAAACACAGATTGAAGTAGGCAAGGAATACAGTGTAGATGAGGAAGTGGAGATACTGAGGGCAGACATGCCTTTGCAGGGTCTTGTCTAAGAAAGGGAGAAAATAAGATAGGGTGGATTTGGATTTGAGAGTTTTTCTTTAATGAATTCTATACATTTCTTTTCATAAGATGGGAGATGCTAGGGCCTTTTTAAATGTCTCCAGGAAGGAGGTAGTATAAGGGCAAGAGTGAAGAGCAATGTTGAGAGATGGTGGAACCAGATGAGATCACTATGAGATAGAAAGAATAGACTAAGAGGCAGGACTCCTTTCTCATCTTGGCAATGCGGAAAAGAAGGAAGAAGAGCTACAGACACAAGTAAACTTGTGCATTGGGTTCCAGAAAGTTAAGCGAGTTTCCATATGATGGCTTCTATTTTCCTTGAGGTTAAGTCTCAAGTGAGAGGACAGTGAGCAGTGGTGGGATATAGGTAAAAAAAAAGGAGAGAGAAGTTAAAATAATTTCTGTAGAGAGTGAGAAGTGAGCTACCCAGACAACAGAAGGATTGTCAGGCAGCCACTGAAGACCTGGTTGGAGTCCATGAGTTCAGAGTGGCCTGACTACATGTGTTTGCATAGGTTTTTTTTTTTCCCATTAGACTATGTATGGGGCACAGAAGGCAGGTGGATCGGTTCTTCAAGCTTGGAGTGTTGCTGGGCAGGTGTGATGCAAGGACCATAGGGGAAGGCAGTGAAGGAAACTGGAGAGAAAGTGGTAGAAGTAATGGGCTATGAGGTCTAGATTCGATAGAAAAGGAAACAGAGAGGATGAAGAAAAAAGAAAGTCAAGAACAGACAATGGAAATTTTAGAGTAAGGGAAATAGAAGGATAGGAGATTTTGATCGTTAGCAGAATGTTTGAAGATTTTAGAGGTGGAATCATTTCAGGTGGTGGTGAGGTCTCAGGTATGGCAACTGGAGTAGGTGAATGTGATGGCATTTGGAGTTGAATAGGTAAAGAAATAAGGTGCAGAAGTGCTGGATGGGTCTTTCATACAGACACCGAAGAAACTATCAATGATAATAGATCTGGGGAATGACGGAGATGGTGGACAAGGAGTCAGGGTTTACAGGGAATGATGAGCCATAATGAGGAGGTCCACAAGTGAGAGGAAGGAGGAAAGAAGGGCAGCAAAGCCAGATTATGGTATGGGTCTTAAAGGAAAAAAAGGATGTAGTCAAGCGGGGAAGAATTGTTGAGGGAAGATTCTTTCAAGCTAATCTCTTACTTGAGGAGGACACATGGAGTACAGGAGAGCAAGAACCAAGTGGTCAGAGGGCTGCAGAACAAGCAATTTCCTTCAGAATGTCCGGGTTTCTCTTTAGGTGAGGAGATGCAGGAAATATTTTGTGATGTTGAAAATTCAGCAGAGTTAGTATCTGGGAAACAGGGTTTCACGGGAGCACCATGGGCAGATTTGGGAGAAAAAGGAAAGGCAGTGGGTTGCGGCAGGAGAAAGGAAGGACAACATAGTAGAGAAGAGAGTCTGGGAGAGAAGAGATGGCAAAGCAGTTTCATCTTGACTGGTGTTCAATGTTGACAGGAAGTAAACCAGGATGCACTCATAGCAGGGTTTCTGGAAGAAGTATCCCCACAATGCCTTCATGAATAGGAGGGCCTTGGGTTTCTGTCAGAAGTCCAAGCTCAGGTAGATTATATGTCTAAAAGAATTCTAGTGTAACGACCCCTTGAGCAATGACAGTATCATAGTTTCACCATTCTAAGATGATGTGAATTGTGAGGTCACCCAACTCAGAACAACTTTCAGGGGGTGAGAAGGGAAACAGTATGTTTATCATGCATCATGATTTCAGAAACGTTACCACATGAAACATTTATGACTTAGTCAAGAAAATACAAAAGGTGCTTCTGTATAACTTCATCATGTCCCTGGTTAATGGAGTGGAATGTACACTCTATTTCTTAAATGAATAAAGGAGAAAGGTGTTGAGAGATGGCCATTCAGAGAGAATAAGAGGAAATGAGATGAAAGAGCTGCCTGGGTGATGTTAGTGAGGATTTCCTAACAGCGATCATTCTAGTTTGGTCTAATCTTTGTTTATCACAAAACTGGGTTTACACAAAAAACAAGATTGTCTCCTCCCGAGGGACTTTAAATATGGTAGATTTCTCATTCCTTGGAAATGGGTTTCCCGGCTGTAAGCCAAAATCTAGATAATCTCTCAAATTATTTACCAAAGTGACTCTTCTGCCTCCTTCACCCCCATAATTCCCATTTGTGTCTTTACCCAGCCAGTTTAGACCCTTGCTTATATGTAGGGCAAAGTTCCATGTAAATAGGCTTTATTTAGTCTTTCTCTGAGACTTATTTCTTTAAATCCTAAAATAGAAAGTTAACAGAAGAATTTCCTAAGTTTTTCTCCACTCTATTTACATTTCAAAATGAGCATAATGCTGGAGTTTTTTGTATGCTCCAAGAGGCAAAACCAAACCCCTGGTTGGTGTAATTTACTTAAATGCCAGATTCTCCTGGGGAAACTGGGCTCTCTTTATAGGCCTTGATTCAAATAACTACTCTGATTCTCAATAGCTTTTTATGAAATTACCATGCAGAGCCTAAATTGGTGCAGCTGAATTAAATAAATATCGGAGTTTAACATTCTTAATCGCAAACCCTCAATTTAACCAACCATTTATTATAATCAAAAAGCAATCAATATGTTGATTGTGGTGACATGCAAAATGGAGGTAGAATTATTAGTAATTACCATATATTTGTGGTTCAATGTGATGGTGAAATAACTGGGAAAAAAATTTTAAAGCACACTACAGTTAAAGGACTGGTTGCTATGTTTTGGAGCAGCATGCTATATTGATTGTAGTCTTTAAATAAGTTGAGTAACATAGTTGCTGTCAAACATATGAATTATTCATGAAGCAAAGTTTGAGAACACTAAAGCAGCCCCTGTTTATGAATATTCGGACGTGTTAATATATAAACGACTGACCCAACACTAACCAATTCTTGCATGAAGAAAAGGTCTCAGAAACAAAATGGAAATCTATTAGGCAAACTCACTTGAGTCACTCGCTTGAAATGTAATCAGTCTGAGAGATGGGGAATAAAGACTGAGCTGCAAGTCAGGGAGGTATCAGGCCAAAGAGGGAGGCATGGGGACCTTCTTCGACTGGGATTGCTTGGTGATGCCAAAGTCTTTTTTGCAGGCTCCAGGGACCCTGGAATTTCTATGATCACATTTGCAAAGGTGTGGCCTTTGGATCCCTTCCTATCAATATTCGGAACTACATAGTAACACACCTCTGGTTTACTTTTTCAGCCCTATTTAGGAAAGGATGAAAGGAAATTTCAGAGCATTCCATATTTGAGAAAATCCTCACAATTTCTTTTCTCTAAATAAATTTCCACAATGGCCTGTAAGCTGTATGTTTTAATATTTACAAGGCCTCATTAGAAACACAATTCTTACTTCCCAAAAACTCTGGACATCACTGAGTCTTGGGACAATATATTTTAGTAAAAGATAAAATAGAGAATTTTTCTGAGGCCAGCAGATTACATAGATAAGAGTCTCATAGGGAGGCAGTGACTGGTGACCAATTAGGATGATGAACTGACCCAGTTTGCCTGGGTCTCAGAGGATTGCCAGGATATGGGAACTTCAGTTTTAAAACATAGAACAGTTTCAGACAAGCTGGGATGAGTTGATAACCCTACCAACCATCTCAGTATGATCAGAGGAATCTCTTAGAATGTGGAACTTCTAGTGGAAAAACTAGGAAAACCCTGGGCAAACAAGGAGGATTGGTCACCCTACCCAAACCACAAAATGAGAGGAACACATTTGGGAGGATCTACTTATGCTGATCAAGTTTCCAAAAGACTACTATACAAAACTAAAAGCTAATCTATTCATTCACAAAAGAGCGCACATTTTCCTCTGAGTGGAATTTTATGTACATCATCTAGGGGACTCCATTCCATTGTCAACACGACTAAATTTTTTGAGTAGAGTCTTCCAAGTGTGTGTGTTACCAGAGCTAATGGAAGAAATGTCTGGAGTATTAATTCCCAAACATCACTGCAGATCAATATCACCACAGGGGCTTGTTACGAAGAGGGACCCTTGGGCCTCACTCAGATTTTCATTTACTAGGGCCTGGGATGGAGCTTGGGAACTGTATTTTTTATAAGCTCCCCCAGAGGATACCAGTCAAGTTTAAGATAAGGAAAATATTTTACCCAGGCCAGGGTAGAACCTGATGAATCACTCTACCCAGCCACTTCTCAGGTGATCACAATTTTCATGTTGCACATGTTGCAATGAGTCCACATACTCTTAGGTTCTGGTATCCGACACTGTCCATTCTCTTCTGACTCTGCCACTTACAAACTAAAACTTGAGCGGTTCAGTTACACTCCCTGACCGTCAGTTTCCTCATCTGTCAAGATGAACCTCATCTATTTGCATACAACCTATTTCATTAAGTTGTTATGAAATTAAGTGATACAATGCATGTGACATGTTTAGAAGCCTGAGAGCCATCAAGTTCAATGAATATTAGCTAAAATTATGATTTAATGTCTCTCCCTGACTGGTGATGAATAGACTGATACATTCTTACTCTTAGCTTTTTTTTTTTTTTTTTTTTTTTACTAAACTCTCTGAAGGCCATCTCTTTCTGTTAATGCACTGTTTCTTCAGTCAGGGTGCCTCACACTATTAGATTTCAGGTTAATATATTTGACTACATGAATGTTTGATTGTCCCACAGCTTTGACCTGTTGATATAATCATGTTTCTGAAGATGAGATCTGAGTCACCCCAGTTCAGCCTGGGTGCTGTCAGCCATGTGCATTCACCCAGTCTGTTGGGGGCAGTCATGGATAGCATGAAGCTATTCCATTCTGGCAAGGTCATCATGAGTCGATGATTGAGAAAAGTGAGTCCTGCAATATAGGGCATGGTTGGGAATGCCTTCTTTTGCAATGTCCATTTAATTCTCTCCTGTTCACTGCTCCAGTAGGTGGGGATTAGATAAATTCCATGTATTTGCATTGGTTTCAGTTAGATTAAGTTTCATTTCCTCATTTTCTCGATCTCAGAAGGATGCTTACCCCTACTCTCCTGAACTAAGTAGAGTCACCATGTGGAAGTGTGGTTACACTAGTATGACTACAGTTGGCTAGTTGTTTACCATGTTATTTCCTTTTTCCTCGTAGACACATAACTAAATATTTATCAGTCTTCCTGTCAGTTAGATATGGTCATAGGACTGAGTTTCAGCCAATGGAATCAGGCAGAAGTATTGTGAGTTATTTCCAGGCTTGTCTGAGGAAACCTCCAATGCAATCCTCTAAATCCTCTTCCCTCACCTGCTGACTTAATGCACTAGATTCAGCGAAGCCACTAGATTGTAAGAGGCTTGGATCCTGGGTCACTGCTCAGAGAAGAGCTGCCCAAGAGAATGCCTGACTAGGAACAGCTAAAATAGACCCTTGCATTTGTGAAAACCAACCTCTAATTGGGATTAGTCACTGAGATGTAGGGTTTTTCTATTTCATCAGTTAGCTTGTCCTGACTTTTCAAGTAAGAAGGAGGAACTACCAATATCCACTGCAGACATTGGGCAAGTAGTATTTTTGGTCTCTGACATTTTAATTTTTAAAAAATAAAATATGCTTTTAAAAATAAAGTTATCCAAGTAAGTCTTTACATATTTATTCTAGAAAAATTAAAAACAAGGAAAAAAATTAAAGTAAGCCATAATTATATGATATATTCTTTTGGACTATGCATATCTAGATACATTTTCCCCATTAAAATTAGCTCATCTGCTTTTGGTATTTTAGAACTTTTTCCATTACTTAACATGTATTTATTTATTTATTTTTAGATAGGGTCTTCCTCTGTTGCCCGGGCTGGAGTGCAGTGGAGTCATCCTTGAACTCCTGGACTCAAGTGATCCTCCTGCCTCAGCCTTCTGAGTAGCTAGGACTACAGGTACACGCCATCATGCCTGACTAATTTTTTTATTTTTATTTTTTGTAGAGATGTGGTTTTGCTGTTTTACCCAGGCTAATCTCAAACTCCTGGCTTCAAGCGATCCTCCCACCTCAGCCTTCCAAACTACTGGGATTGCAAACAGAGCCACTGTGCCTGGCCCTTATTTAACTTTCAATGTAAACATTTTTTTTTCACCTGTATTATCATTTAAAAGGGAGGTACCACCATCTGTCTAATGCAGTTATTGAATATTAAGATTTTTCTCAATTTTTTTCCCACAAAATAAATACTTCTGTGAATTTTTCTGTATATTAATCTTTGCTCCCATCTTTATTCTCTTAAGATAAATTTGTTGAAGTGGAATTGCTAATTTGACATTTTATTCTTTTTTTTTTTTTTTTTTTTTTTTTTGAGATGGACTCTCAGTCTGTCACCAGGCTGGAGTGCAATGGTGTGATCTCGGCTGATTGCAACCTCCACCTCCCAGGTTCAAGCGATTCTCCTGACTCAGCTTGCCAAGTAGCTGGGACTACAGGCATGCGCCACCATGCCCAGCTTATTTTTGTATTTTTAGCAGAGACAGGGTTTCACCATGTTGGCCAGGATGGTCTCAATCTCTTGACCTTGTGATCCGCCCGCCTTGGCCTCCCAAAGTGCTGGGATTACAGGCGTGAGCCACCACGCCCAGCCTGACATTTTATTCTTATAACTAGTGTAGGGTTGCCTGGTTCCATTGGCCTTGACCAAAATCACAGCCATCTTTCAATTTCATAGATTGTAAGTGAGCCTGAGGAAGGATTTGCCAACATTTGTCATTATATGACAGGCAATTGAAGAA